>NC_000013.11:17418662-18051248 GCF_000001405.40 Homo sapiens
AGAATTCTCAGAAACTTGTTTGTGATGTGTGTCCTCAACTGACAGAGTTGTACCTTTCTATTGATAGAGTAGTTTTGAAACACTCTTTTTGTGGAATCTGCAAGTGAATATTTGGATAGCTTGGAGGATTTCGTTGGAAGCGGGAATTGAAATGAAAGGTAGACAGCAGCATTCTCAGAAATTACTTTCTGATGTCTGCATTCAACTCATAGAGTTGAAGATTCCCTTTCATAGAGCAGGTTTGAAACACTCTTTCTGTAGTATCTGGATGTGGACACTTGGAGCGCTTTGATACCTACGGTGAAAAAGTAAATATCTTCCCATAAAAACTAGACAGAAGGATTCTCAGAAACAAGTTTGTGATGTGTGTACTCAGCTAACAGAGTGGAACCTTTCTTTTTACAGAGCAGCTTTGAAACTCTATTGTTGTGGATTCTGCAAATTGATATTTAGATTGCTTTAACGATATCGTTGGAAAAGGGAATACCGTCATAGAAAATCTAGACAGAAGCATTCTCACAAACTTCTTTGTGATGTGTGTCCTCAACTAACAGAGTTGAACCTTTCTTTTGATGCAGCAATTTGGAAACACCCTTTTGGTAGAAACTGTAACTGGATATTTGGATAGCTCTAACGATTTCGTGGGAAACGGGAATATCATCATCTAAAATGTAGACAGAAGCACTATTAGAAACTACTTGGTGATATCTGCATTCAAGTCACAGAGTAGAACATTCCCTTACTTCGAGCACGTTTGAAACACTCTTTTGGAAGAATCTGGAAGTGGACATTTGGAGCGCTTTGATGCCTTTGGTGAAAAGGAAACGTCTTCCAATAAAAGCCAGACAGAAGCATTCTCAGAAACTTGTTGGTGATGTGTGTACTCAACTAAAAGAGTTGAACCTTTCTATTGATAGAGCAGTTTTGAAACACTCTTTTTGTGGATTCTGCAAGTGGATATTTGGATTGCTTTGAGGATTTCGTTGGAAGCGGGAATTCGTATAAACACTAGACAGCAGCATTCCCAGAATTTTCTTTCGGATATTTCCATTCAACTCATAGAGTTGAACATGGCCTTTCATAGAGCAGGTTTGAAACACTCTTTTTGTAGTTTGTGGAAGTGGACATTTCGATCGCCTTGACGCCTACGCTGAAAAAGGAAATATCTTCCCATAAAAAATAGACAGAAGCATTCTGAGAAACTTGTTGGTGATATGTGTCCTCAACTAACAGAGTTGAACTTTGCCATTGATACAGAGCAGTTTTGAAACACTCTTTTTGTGGAATCTGCAAGTGGATATTTGGATAGCTTGGAGGATTTCGTTGGAAGCGGGAATTCAAATAAAAGGTAGACAGCAGCATTCTCAGAAATTTCTTTCTGATGTCTGCATTCAACTCATAGAGTTGAAGATTCCCTTTCATAGAGCAGGTTTGAAACACTCTTTCTGGAGTATCTGGATGTGGACATTTGGAGCGCTTTGATTCCTACGGTGAAAAAGTAAATATCTTCCCATAAAAACGAGACAGAAGGATTCTCAGAATCAAGTTTGTGATGTGTGTACTCAGCTAACAGAGTGGAACCTCTCTTTTGATGCAGCAGTTTGGAAACACTCTTTTTGTAGAAACTGTAAGTGGATATTTAGATAGCTCTAATGATTTCGTTGGAAACGGGAATATCATCATCTAAAATCTAGACAGAAGCCCTCTCAGAAACTACTTTGTGATATCTGCATTCAAGTCAGAGAGTTGAACATTCGCTTTCTTAGAGCACGTTTGAAACACTCTTTTTGTAGTATCTGGAAGTGGACATTTGGAGCGCTTTGATGCCTTTGGTGAAAAAGGGAACGTCTTCCCATAAAAACTAGACAGAAGCATTCTCAGAAACTTGTTTGTGATGTGTCTACCCAGCTAAAGGAGTTGAACATTTCTATTGATAGAGCAGTTTTGAAACACTCTTTTTGTGGAAAATGCAGGTGGATATTTGGATAGCTTGGAGGATTTCGTTGGAAGCGGGAATTCAAATAAAAAGTAGACAGCAGCATTCTCAGAAATTTCTTTCTGATGTCTGCATTCAACTCATAGAGTTGAAGATTCCCTTTCATAGAGCAGGTTTGAAACACTCTTTCTGGAGTATCTGGATGTGGACAATTGGAGCGCTTTGATGCCTACGGTGGAAAAGTAAATATCTTCTGATAAAAACGAGACAGAAGGATTCTCAGAAACAAGTTTGTGATGTGTGTACTCAGCTAACAGAGTGGAACCTTTCTTTTTACAGAGCAGCTTTGAAACTCTATTTTTGTGGATTCTGCAAATTGATATTTAGATTGCTTTAACGATATCGTTGGAAAAGGGAATATCGTCATACAAACTCTAGACAGAAGCATTCTCACAAACTTCTTTGTGATGTGTGTCCTCAACTAACAGAGTTGAACCTTTCTTTTGATGCAGCAATTTGGAAACACCCTTTTGGTAGAAACTGTAACTGGATATTTGGATAGCTCTAACGATTTCCTTGGAAACGGGAATATCATCATCTAAAATCTAGACAGAAGCACTATTAGAAACTACTTGGTGATATCTGCATTCAAGTCACAGAGTTGAACATACCCTTACTTTGAGCACGTTTGAAACACTCTTTTGGAAGAATCTGGAAGTGGACATTTGGAGCGCTTTGATGCCTTTGGTGAAAAGGAAACGTCTTCCAATAAAAGCCAGACAGAAGCATTCTCAGAAACTTGTTTGTGATGTGTGTACTCAACTAAAAGAGTTGAACCTTTCTATTGATAGAGCAGTTTTGAAACACTCTTTTTGTGGATTCTGCAAGTGGATATTTGGATTGCTTTGAGGATTTCGTTGGAAGCGGGAATTCATATAAAAACTAGACAGCAGCATTCCCAGAAATTTCTTTCGGATATTTCCATTCAACTCATTGAGATGAACATCGCGTTTCATAGAGCAGGTTTGAAACACTCTTTTTGTAGTTTGTGGAAGTGGACATTTCGATCGCCTTGACGCCTACAGTGAAAAAGGAAATATCTTCCCATAAAAAATAGACAGAAGAACTCTCAGAAACTTGTTTGTGATGTGTATCCTCAACTGACAGAGTTGAACCTTGCCATTGATAGAGCAGTTTAGAAACACTGTTTTTGTGGAATCTGCAAGTGGATATTTGGATAGCCTGGAGGATTTTGTTGGAAGCGGGAATTCAAATGAAAGGTAGACAGCAGCATTCTCAGAAATTTCTTTCTGATGTCTGCATTCAACTCATAGAGTTGAAGATTCCCTTTCATAGAGCAGGTTTGAAACACTCTTTGTGGAGTATCTGGATGTGGACATATGGAGCGCTTTGATGCCTACGGTGAAAAGGTAAATATCTTCCCATAAAAACGAGACAGAAGGATTCTCAGAAACAAGTTTGTGATGTGCGTACTCAGCTAACAGAGTGGAACCTCTCTTCTGATGCAGCAGTTTGGAAACACTCTGTTTGTAGAAACTGTAAGTGGATATTTGGATAGCTCTAATGATTTCGTTGGAAACGGGAATATCATCATCTAAAATCTAGACAGAAGCAGTCTCAGAATCTACTTTGTGATATCTGCATTCCAGTCACAGAGTTGAAAACTCCCTTACTTAGAGCAGGTTTGAAACACTCTTTTTGTAGAATCTGGAAGTGGACATTTGGAGCGCTTTGATGCCTTTGGTGAAAAAGGAAATGTCTTCCCTTAAAAAGTAGACAGAAGCATTCTCAGAAACTTGTTTGTGATGTGTATACCTAGCTAAAGGAGTTGAACATTTCTATTGATAGAGCAGTTTTGAAACACTCTTTTTGTGGAAAATGCAGGTGGATATTTGGATAGGTTGGAAGATTTCGTTGGAAGCGGGAATTCAAATAAATGGTAGACAGCAGCATTCTCAGAAATTAGTTTCTGATGTCTGCATTCAACTCATAGAGTTGAAGATTCCCTTTCATAGAGCAGGTTTGAAACACTCTTTCTGGAATATCTGGATGTGGACATTTGGAGCGCTTTGATGCCTACGGTGAAAAAGTAAATATCTTCCCATAAAAACGAGACAGAAGGATACTCAGAAACAAGTTTGTGATGTGTGTACTCAGCTAACAGAGTGGAACCTTTCTTTTTACAGAGCAGCTTTGAAACTCTATTTTTGTGGATTCTGCAAATTGATATTTAGATTGCTTTAACGATATCGTTGGAAAAGGGAATATTGTCATACAAAATCTAGAGAGAAGCATTCTCACAAACTTCTTTGTGATGTGTGTCCTCAACTAACACAGTTGAACTTTTCTTTTGATGCAGCAGTTTGGAAACACTGTTTTTGTAGAAACTGTAAGTGGATATTTGGATAGCTCTAACGATTTCGTTGGAAACGGGAATATCATCATCTAAAATCTAGACAGAAGCACTATTAGAAACTACTTGGTGATATCTGCATTCAAGTCACAGAGTTGAACATTCCCTTACTTTGAACACGTTTGAAACACTCTTTTGGAAGAATCTGGAAGTGGACATTTGGAGCGCTTTGATGCCTTTGGTGAAAAGGAAACGTCTTCCAATAAAAGCCAGACAGAAGCATTCTCAGAAACTTGTTCGTGATGTGTGTACTCAACTAAAAGAGTTGAACCTTTCTATTGATAGAGCAGTTTTGAAACACTCTTTTTGTGGATTCTGCAAGTGGATATTTGGATTGCTTTGAGGATTTCGTTGGAAGCGGGAATTCGTATAAACACTAGACAGCAGCATTCCCAGAAATTTCTTTCGGATATTTCCATTCAACTCATAGAGATGAATATGGCCTTTCATAGAGCAGGTTTGAAACACTCTTTTTGTAGTTTGTGGAAGTGGACATTTCGATCGCCTTGACGCCTACGGTGAAAAAGGAAATATCTTCCCATAAAAAATAGACAGAAGAATTCTCAGAAACTTGTTTGTGATGTGTATCCTCAACTGACAGAGTTGAACCTTGCCATTGATAGAGCAGTTTAGAAACACACTTTTTGTGGAATCTGCAAGTGGATATTTGGATAGCCTGGAGGATTTCGTTGGAAGCGGGAATTCAAATGAAAGGTAGACAGCAGCATTCTCAGAAATTTCTTTGTGATGTTTGCATTCAACTCATAGAGTTGAACATTCCCTTTCATAGAGCAGGTTTGAAACACTCTTTCTGTACTATGTGGATGTGGACATTTGGAACGCTTTGATGCCTATGGTGAAAAAGTAAATATCTTCCCATAAAAGCTAGACAGAAGGATTCTCAGAAACAAGTTTGTGATGTGTGTACTCAGCTAACAGAGTGGAACCTCTCTTTTGATGCAGCAGTTTGGAAACACTCTTTTTGTAGAAACTGTAAGTGGATATTTGGATAGCTCTAATGATTTCGTTGGAAACGGGAATATCATCATCTAAAATCTAGACAGAAGCCCTCTCAGAAACTACTTTGTGATATCTGCATTCAAGTCACAGGGTTGATCATTCGCTTTCTTAGAGCACGTTTGAAACACTCTTTTTGTAGTGTATGGAAGTGGACATTTGGAGCGCTTTGATGCCTTTGGTGAAAAAGGGAACGTCTTCCCATAAAAACTAGACAGAAGCATTCTCAGAAACTTGTTTGTGATGTGTGTACCCAGCCAAAGGAGTTGAACACTTCTATTGATAGAGCAGTTTTGAAACACTCTTGTTGTGGAAAATGCAGGTGGATATTTGGATAGCTTGGAGGATTTCGTTGGAAGCGGGAATTCAAATAAAAGGTAGACAGCAGGATTCTGAGAAACAAGTTTGTGATGTGTGTACTCAGCTAACAGAGTGGAACCTCTCTTTTGATGCAGCAGTTTGGAAACACTCTTTTTGTAGAAACTGTAACTGGATATTTGGATAGCTCTAATGATTTCGTTGGAAACGGGAATATCATCATCTAAAATCTAGACAGAAGCCCTCTCAGAAACTACTTTTTGATATCTGCATTCAAGTCACAGAGTTGAACATTCGCTTTCTTAGAGCACGTTTGAAACACTCTTTTTGTAGTGTCTGGAAGTGGACATTTGGAGCGCTTTGATGCCTTTGGTGAAAAAGGGAATGTCTTCCCATAAAAACTAGACAGAAGCATTCTCAGAAACTTGTTTGTGATGTGTGTACCCAGCCAAAGGAGTTGAACATTTCTATTGATAGAGCAGTTTTGAAACACTCTTGTTGTGGAAAATGCAAGTGGATATTTGGATAGCTTCGAGGATTTCGTTGGAAGCGGGAATTCAAATAAAAGGTAGACAGCAGCATTCTCAGAAATTTCTTTCTGATGTCTGCATTCAACTCATAGAGTTGAAGATTCCCTTTCATAGAGCAAGTTTGAAACACTCTTTCTGGAGTATCTGGATGTGGACATTTGGAGCGCTTTGATGCCTACGGTGAGAAAGTAAATATCTTCCCATAAAAACGAGACAGAAGGATTCTCAGAAACAAGTTTGTGATGCGTGTACTCAGCTAACAGAGTGGAACCTTTCTTTTTACACAGCAGCTTGGAAACTCTATTTTTGTGGATTCTGCAAATTGATATTTAGATTGCTTTAACGATATCGTTGGAAAAGGGAATATCGTCATACAAAATCTAGACAGAAGCATTCTCACAAACATCTTTGTGATGTGTGTCCTCAACTAACAGAGTTGAACCTTTCTTTTGATGCAGCAGTTTGGAAACACCCTTTTGGTTGAAACTGTAACTGGATATTTGGATAGCTCTAACGATTTCGTTGGAAACGGGAATATCATCATCTAAAATCTAGACAGAAGCACTATTAGAAACTACTTGGTGATATCTGCATTCAAGTCACAGAGTTGAACATTCCCTTACTTTGAGCACGTTTCAAACACTCTTTTGGAAGAATCTGGAAGTGGACATTTGGAGCGCTTTGATGCCTTTGGTGAAAAGGAAATGTCTTCCAATAAAAGCCAGACAGAAGCATTCTCAGAAACTTGTTTGTGATGTGTGTACTCAACTAAAAGAGTTGAACCTTTGTATTGATAGAGCAGTTTTGAAACTCTCTTATGTGGATTCTGCAAGTGGATATTTGGATTGCTTTGTGGATTTCGTTGGAAGCGGGAATTCGTATAAAAACTAGACAGCAGCATTCCCAGAAATTTCTTTCGGATATTTCCATTCAACTCATAGAGATGAACATTGCCTTTCATAGAGCAGGTTTGAAACACTCTTTTTGTAGTTTGTGGAAGTGGACATTTCGATCGCCTTGATGCCTACGGTGAAAAAGGAAATATCTTCCCATAAAAAATAGACAGAAGAATTCTCAGAAACTTGTTTGTGATGTGTATCCTCAACTGACAGAGTTGAACCTTTCCATTGATAGAGCAGTTTTGAAACACGCTTTTTGTGGAATCTGCGAGTGGATATTTGGATAGCCTGGGGGATTTCATTGGAAGCGGGAATTCAAATAAAAGGTAGACAGCAGCATTCTCAGAAATTTCTTTCTGATGTCTGCATTCAACTCATAGAGTTGAAGATTCCCTTTCATAGAGCAGGTTTGAAACACTCTTTCTGGAGTATCTGGATGTGGACATTTGGAGCGCTTTGATGCCTACGGTGAAAAAGTAAATATCTTCCCATAAAAACGACACAGAAGGATTCTGAGAAACAAGTTTGTGATGTGTGTACTCAGCTAACAGAGTGGAACCTCTCTTTTGATGCAGCAGTTTCGAAACACTCTTTTTGTAGAAACTGTAAGTGGATATTTGGATAGCTCTAATGATTTCGTTGGAAACGGGAATATCATCATCTAAAATCTAGACAGAAGCCCTCTCAGAAACTACTTTGTGATATCTGCATTCAAGTCACAGAGTTGAACATTCGTTTTCTTAGAGCACGTTTGAAACACTCTTTTTATAGTGTCTGGAAGTGGACATTTGGAGCGCTTTGATGCCTTTGGTGAAAAAGGGAACGTCTTCCCATAAAAACTAGACAGATAAGCATTCTCAGCAAACTTGTTTGTGATGTGTGTACCCAGCTAAAGGAGTTGAACATTTCCATTGATAGAGCAGTTTTGAAACACTCTTTTTGTGGAAAATGCAAGTGGATATTTGGATAGCTTGGAGGATTTCGTTGGAAGCGGGAATTCAAATAAAAGGTAGACAGGAGCATTCTCAGAAATTTCTTTGTGATGTTTGCATTCAACTCATAGAGTTGAACATTCCCTTTAATAGAGCAGGTTTGAAACACTCTTTCTGTACTATGTGGATGTGGACATTTGGAGCGCTTTGACGCCTACGGTGAAAAAGGAAATGTCTTCCCATAAAAAATTGAAGAAGGTTTCTCAGAAACAAGTTTGTGATGTGTGTACTCAGCTAACAGAGTGGAACCCTTCTTTTTAAAGAGCAGCTTTGAAACTCTATTTTTGTGGATTCTGCAAATTGATATTTAGATTGCTTTAACGATATCGTTGGAAAAGGGAATATGGTCACACAAAATCTAGACAAAAGCTTTCTCAGAAACTTGTATGTGATGTGTGTCCTCAACTAACAGAGTTGAACCTTTCTTTTGATGCAGCAGTTTGGAAACACACTTTTGGTAGAAACTGTAAGTGGATATTTGGATAGCTCTAACGATTTCGTTGGAAACGGGAATATCATCATCTAAAATCTAGACAGAAAGCACTATTAGAAACTACTTGGTGATATCTGCATTCAAGTCACAGAGTTGAACATTCCCTTACTTTGAGCACGTTTGAAACACTCTTTTGGAAGAATCTGGAAGTGGACATTTGCAGCGCTTTGATGCCTTTGGTGAAAAGGAAACGTCTTCCAATAAAAGCCAGACAGAAGCATTCTCAGAAACTTGTTCATGATGTGTGTACTCAACCAAAAGATTTGAACCTTTCTATTGATAGAGCAGTTTTGAAACACTCTTTTTGTGGATTCTGCAAGTGGATATTTGGATTGCTTTGAGGATTTCGTTGGAAGCGGGAATTCGTATAAAAACTAGACAGCAGCATTTCCAGAAATTTCTTTCGGATATTTCCATTCAACTCATAGAGATGAACATGGCCTTTCATAGAGCAGGTTTGAAACACTCTTTTTGTAGTTTGTGGAAGTGGACATTTCGATCGCCTTGACGCCTACGGTGAAAAAGGAAATATCTTCCCATAAAAAATAGACAGAAGCATTCTCAGAAACTTGCTGGTGATATGTGTCCTCAACTAACAGAGTTGAACTTTGCCATTGATAGAGAGCAGTTTTGAAACACTCTTTTTGTGGAATCTGCAAGTGGATATTTGGATAGCTTGGAGGATTTCGTTGGAAGCGGGAATTCAAATAAAAGGTAGACAGCAGCATTCTCAGAAATTTCTTTGTGATGTTTGCATTCAACTCATAGAGTTGAACATTCCCTTTCATAGAGCAGGTTTGAAACACTCTTTCTGTACTATCTGGATGTGGACATTTGGAACGCTTTGATGCCTACGGTGAAAAAGTAAATATCTTCCCATAAAACCTAGACAGAAGGATTCTCAGAAAGAAGTTTGTGATGTGTGTACTCAGCTAACAGAGTGGAACCTCTCTTTTGATGCAGCAGTTTGGAAACACTCTTTTTGTAGAAACTGTAACTGGATATTTGGATAGCTCTAATGATTTCGTTGGAAACGGGAATATCATCATGTAAAATCTAGACAGAAGCAGTCTCAGAAACTACTTTGTGATATCTGCATTCCAGTCACAGAGTTGAAAACTCCCTTACTTAGAGCAGGTTTGAAACACTCTTTTTGTAGAATCTGGAAGTGGACATTTGGAGCACTTTGATGCCTTTGGTGAAAAAGGAAATGTCTTCCCTTAAAAAGTAGACAGAAGTATTCTCAGAAACTTGTTTGTGATGTGTGTACCCAGCCAAAGGAGTTGAACATTTCTATTGATAGAGCAGTTTTGAAACACTCTTGTTGTGGAAAATGCAGGTGGATATTTGGATAGCTTGGAGGATTTCGTTGGAAGCGGGAATTCAAATAAAAGGTAGACAGCAGCATTCTCAGAAATTTCTTTCTGATGTCTGCATTCAACTCATAGAGTTGAAGATTCCCTTTCATAGAGCAGGTTTGAAACAGTCTTTCTGGAGTATCTGGATGTGGACATTTGGAGCGCTTAGATGCCTACGGTGAAAAAGTAAATATCTTCCCATAAAAACGAGACAGAAGGATTCTGAGAAACATGTTTGTGATGTGTGTACTCAGCTAACAGAGTGTAACCTTTCTTTTTACAGAGCAGCTTTGAAACTCTATTTTTGTGGATTCTGCAAATTGATATTTAGATTGCTTTAACGATATCGTTGGAAAAGGGAATATCGTCATACAAAATCTAGACAGAAGGATTCTCACAAACTTCTTTGTGATGTGTGTCCTCAACTAACAGAGTTGAACCTTTCTTTTGATGCAGCAGTTTGGAAACACTCTTTTTGTAGAAACTGTAACTGGATATTTGGATAGCTCTAATGATTTCGTTGGAAACGGGAATATCATCATGTAAAATCTAGACAGAAGCACTATTAGCAAACTACTTGGTGATATCTGCATTCAAGTCACAGAGTTGAACATTCCCTTACTTTGAGCACGTTTGAAACACTCTTTTGGAAGAATCTGGAAGTGGACATTTGCAGCGCTTTGATGCCTTTGGTGAAAAGGAAACGTCTTCCAATAAAAGCCAGACAGAAGCATTCTCAGAAACTTGTTTGTGATGTGTGTACTCAACTAAAAGAGTTGAACCTTTCTATTGATAGAGCAGTTTTGAAACACTCTTTTTGTGGATTCTGCAAGTGGATATTTGGATTACTTTGAGGATTTCGTTGGAAGCGGGAATTCGTATAAACACTAGACAGCAGCATTCCCAGAAATTTCTCTCGGATATTTCCATTCAACTCATAGAGATGAACATGGCCTTTCATAGAGCAGGTTTGAAACACTCTTTTTGTAGTTTGTGGAAGTGGACATTTCGATCGCCTTGACGCCTACGGTGAAAAAGGAAATATCTTCCCATAAAAAATAGACAGAAGCATTCTCAAAAACTTGTTGGTGATATGTGTCCTCAACTAACAGAGTTGAACTTTGCCATTGATAGAGAGCAGTTTTGAAACACTCTTTTTGTGGAATCTGCAAGTGGATATTTGGATAGCTTGGAGGATTTCGTTGGAAGCGGGAATTCAAATAAAAGGTAGACAGCAGCATTCTCAGAAATTTCTTTCTGATGTTTGCATTCAACTCATAGAGTTGAACATTCCCTTTAATAGAGCAGGTTTGAAACATTCTTTCTTTACTATCTGGATGTGGACATTTGGAGCGCTTTGACGCCTACGGTGAAAAAGGAAATGTCTTCCCATAAAAAATTGAAGAAGGATTCTCAGAAACAAGTTTGTGATGTGTGTACTCAGCTAACAGAGTGGAACCTTTCTTTTGACAGAGCAGCTTTGAAACTCTATTTTTGTGGATTCTGCAAATGGATATTTAGATTGCTTTAACGATATCGTTGGAAAAGGGAATATCGTCATACAAAATCTGGACAGAAGCATTCTCACAAACTTCTTTATGATGTGTGTCCTCAACTAACAGAGTTGAACCTTTCTTTTGATGCAGCAATTTGGAAACACCCTTTTGGTAGAAACTGTAACTGGATATTTGGATAGCTCTAACGATTTCGTTGGAAACGGGAATATCATCATCTAAAATCTAGACAGAAGCACTATTAGAAACTACTTGGTGATATCTGTATTCAAGTCACAGAGTTGAACATTCCCTTACTTTGAGCACGTTTGAAACACTCTTTTGGAAGAATCTGGAAGTGGACATTTGGAGCACTTTGATGCCTTTGGTGAAAAGGAAACGTCTTCCAATAAAAGCCAGAGAGAAGCATTCTCAGAAACTTGTTTGTGATGTGTGTACTCAACTAAAAGAGTTGAACCTTACTATTGATAGAGCAGTTTTGAAACACTCTTTTTGTGGATTCTGCAAGTGGATATTTGGATTGCTTTGAGGATTTCGTTGGAAGCGGGAATTCGTATAAAACCTAGACAGCAGCATTCCCAGAAATTTCTTTCGGATATTTCCATTCAACTCATAGAGATGAACATGGCCTTTCATAGAGCAGGTTTGAAACACTCTTTTTGTAGTTTGTGGAAGTGGACATTTCGATCGCCTCGACGCATACGGTGAAAAAGGAAATATCTTCCCATAAAAAATAGACAGAAGCATTCTCAGAAACTTGTTGGTGATATGGGTCCTCAACTAACAGAGTTGAACTTTGCCATTGATAGAGAGCAGTTTTGAAACACTCTTTTTGTGGAATCTGCAAGTGGATATTTGGATAGCTTGGAGGATTTCGTTGGAAGCGGGAATTCAAATAAAAGGTAGACAGCAGCATTCTCAGAAATTTCTTTCTGATGTCTGCATTCAACTCATAGAGTTGAAGATTCCCTTTCATAGAGCAGGTTTGAAACAGTCTTTCTGGAGTATCTGGATGTGGACATTTGAAGCGCTTTGATGCCTACGGTGAAAAAGTAAATATCTTCCCATAAAAACGAGACAGAAGGATTCTCAGAAACAAGTTTGTGATGTGTGTACTCAGCTAAAAGAGTAGAACCTTTCTTTTTACAGAGCAGCTTTGAAACTCTATTTTTGTGGATTCTGCAAATTGATATTTAGATTGCTTTAACGATATCGTTGGAAATGAGAATATCGTCATAGAAAATCTACACAGAAGCATTCTCACAAACTTCTTTGTGATGTGTGTCCTCAACTAACAGAGTTGAACCTTTCTTTTGATGCAGCAGTTTGGAAACACTGTTTTTGTAGCAACTGTAAGTGGATATTTGGATAGCTCTAACGATTTCGTTGGAAACGGGAATATCATCATCTAAAATCTAGACAGAAGCACTATTAGAAACTACTTGGTGATATCTGCATTCAAGTCACAGAGTTGAACATTCCCTTACTTTGAGCACGTTTGAAACAGTCTTTTGGAAGAATCTGGAAGTGGACATATGGAGCGCTTTGATGCCTTTGGTGAAAAGGAAACGTCTTCCAATAAAAGCCAGACAGAAGCATTCTCAGAAACTTGTTCGTGATGTGTGTACTCAACTAAAAGAGTTGAACATTTCTATTGATAGAGCAGTTTTGAAACACTCTTTTTGTGGATTCTGCAAGTGGATATTTGGATTGCTTTGAGGATTTCGTTGGAATCGGGAATTCGTATAAACACTAGACAGCAGCATTCCCAGAAATTTCTTTCGGATATTTCCATTCAACTCATTGAGATGAACATCGCCTTTCATAGAGCTGGTTTGAAACACTCTTTTTGTAGTTTGTGGAAGTGGACATTTCGATCGCCTTGACGCCTACAGTGAAAAAGGAAATATCTTCCCATAAAAAATAGACAGAAGAATTCTCAGAAACTTGTTTGTGATGTGTATCCTCAACTGACAGAGTTGAACCTTGCCATTGATAGAGCAGTTTAGAAACACTCTTTTTGTGGAATCTGCAAGTGGATATTTGGATAGACTGGAGGATTTCGTTGGAAGCGGGAATTCAAATGAAAGGTAGACAGCAGCATTCTCAGAAATTTCTTTCTGATGTCTGCATTCAACTCGTAGAGTTGAAGATTCCCTTTCATAGAGCAGGTTTGAAACACTCTTTCTGGAGTATCTGGATGTGGACATTTGGAGCGCTTTGATGCCTACGGTGAAAAAGTATATATCTTCCCATAAAAACGAGACAGAAGGATTCTCAGAAACAAGTTTGTGATGTGTGTACACAGCTAACAGAGTGGAACCTCTCTTCTGATGCAGCAGTTTGGAAACACTCTTTTTGTAGAAACTGTAAGTGGATATTTGGATAGCTCTAATGATTTCGTTGGAAATGGGAATATCATCATCTAAAATCTAGACAGAAGCCCTCTCAGAAACTACTTTGTGATATCTGCATTCAAGTCACAGAGTTGAACATTCGCTTTCTTAGGGCACGTTGGAAACACTCTTTTTGTAGTGTCTGGAAGTGGACATTTGGAGCGCTTTGATGCCTTTGGTGAAAAAGGGAACGTCTTCCCATAAAAACTAGACAGAAGCATTCTCAGAAACTTGTTTGTGATGTGTGTACCCAGCCAAAGGAGTTGAACATTTCTATTGATAGAGCAGTTTTGAAACACTCTTTTTATGGAAAATGCAAGTGGATATTTGGATAGCTTGGAGGATTTCGTTGGAAGCGGGAATTCAAATAAAAGGTAGACAGCAGGATTCTCAGAAACAAGTTTGTGATGTGTGTACTCAGCTAACAGAGTGGAACCTTTCTTTTTACAGAGCAGCTTTGAATCTCTATTTTTGTGGATTCTGCAAATTGATATTTAGATTGCTTTAACGATATCGTTGGAAAAGGGAATATGGTCATACAAAATCTAGACAGAAGCATTCTCACAAACTTCTTTGTGATGTGTGTCCTCAACTAACAGAGTTGAACCTTTCTTTTGATGCAGCAATTTGGAAACACCCTTTTGGTAGAAACTGTAACTGGATATTTGGATAGCTCTAACGATTTCGTTGGAATCGGGAATATCATCATCTAAAATCTAGACAGAAGCACTATTAGAAACTACTTGGTGATATCTGCATTCAAGTCACAGAGTAGAGCATTCCCTTACTTCGAGCACGTTTGAAACACTCTTTTGGAAGAATCTGGAAGTGGACATTTGGAGCGCTTTGATGCCTTTGGTGAAAAGGAAACGTCTTCCAATAAAAGCCAGACAGAAGCATTCTCAGAAACTTGTTTGTGATGTGTGTACTCAACTAAAAGAGTTGAACCTTTCTATTGATAGAGCAGTTTTGAAACACTCTTTTTGTGGATTCTGCAAGTGGATATTTGGATTGCTTTGAGGATTTCGTTGGAAGCGGGAATTCATATAAAAACTAGACAGCAGCATTCCCAGAAATTTCTTTCGGATATTTCCATTCAACTCATAGAGATGAACATCGCCTTTCATAGAGCAGGTTTGAAACACTCTTTTTGTAGTTTGTGGAAGTGGACATTTCGATCGCTTTGATGCCTACGGTGAAAAAGGAAATATCTTCCCATAAAAAATAGACAGAAGCATTCTCAGAAACTTGTTGGTGATATGTGTCCTCAACTAACAGAGTTGAACTTTGCCATTGATAGAGAGCAGTTTGGAAACACTCTTTTTGTGGAATCTGCAAGTGGATATTTGGATAGCTTGGAGGATTTCGTTGGAAGCGGGAATTCAAATAAAAGGTAGACAGCAGCATTCTCAGAAATTTCTTTCTGATGTCTGCATTCAACTCATAGAGTTGAAGATTCCCTTTCATAGAGCAGGTTTGAAACACTCTTTCTGGAGTATCTGGATGTGGACATTTGGAGCGCTTTGATGCCTACGGTGGAAAAGTAAATATCTTCCCATAAAAACGAGACAGAAGGATTCTGAGAAACAAGTTTGTGATGTGTGTACTCAGCTAACAGAGTGGAACCTCTCTTTTGATGCAGCAGTTTGGAAACACTCTTTTTGTAGAAACTGTAAGTGTATATTTGGATAGCTCTAATGATTTCGTTGGAAACGGGAATATCATCATCTAAAATCTAGACAGAAGCACTCTCAGAAACTTCTTTGTGATATCTGCATTCAAGTCACAGAGTTGAACATTCGCTTTCTTAGAGCACGTTTGAAACACTCTTTTTGTAGTGTCTGGAAGTGGACATTTGGAGCGCTTTGATGCCTTTGGTGAAAAAGGGAATGTCTTTCCATAAAAACTAGACAGAAGCATTCTCAGAAACTTGTTTGTGATGTGTGTACCCAGCGAAAGGAGTTGAACATTTCTATTGATAGAGCAGTTTTGAAACACTCTTTTTGTGGAATCTGCAAGTGGATATTTGGATAGCTTGGAGGTTTTCGTTGGAAGAGGGAATTCAAATAAAAGGTAGACAGCAGCATTCTCAGAAATTTCTTTCTGATGTTTGCATTCAACTCATAGTGTTGAACATTCCCTTTAATAGAGCAGGTTTGAAACACTCTTTCTGTACTATCTGGATGTGGACATTTGGAGCGCTTTGACGCCTACGGTGAAAAAGGAAATGTCTTCCCATAAAAAATTGAAGAAGGATTCTCAGAAACAAGTTTGTGATGTGTGTACTCAGCTAACAGAGTGGATCCTTTCTTTTTACAGAGCAGCTTTGAAACTCTATTTCTGTGGATTCTGCAAATTGATATTTGGGTTGATTTAACAATATCGTTGGAAAAGGGAATATCTTCATACAAAATCTAGACAGAAGCATTCTCACAAACTTCTTTGTGATGTGTGTCCTCAACTAACAGAGTTGAACCTTTCTTTTGATGCAGCAATTTGGAAACACCCTTTTGGTAGAAACTGTAACTGGATATTTGGATAACTCTAACGATTTCGTTGGAAACGGGAATATCATCATCTAAAATGTAGACAGAAGCACTATTAGCAAACTACTTGGTGATATCTGCATTCAAGTCACAGAGTTGAACATTCCCTTACTTTGAGCACGTTTGAAACACTCTTTTGGAAGAATCTGGAAGTGGACATTTGGAGCGCTTTGATGCCTTTGGTGAAAAGGAAACGTCTTCCAATAAAAGCCAGACAGAAGCATTCTCAGAAACTTGTTTGTGATGTGTGTACTCAACTAAAAGGAGTTGAACCTTTCTATTGATAGAGCAGTTTTGAAACACTCTTTTTGTGGATTCTGCAAGTGGATATTTGGATTGCTTTGAGGATTTCGTTGGAAGCGGGAATTCGTATAACAACTAGACAGCAGCATTCCCAGAAATTTCTTTCGGATATTTCCATTCAACTCATAGAGAAGAACATGGCCTTTCATAGAGCAGGTTTGAAACACTCTTTTTGTAGTTTGTGGAAGTGGACATTTCGATCGCCTTGACGCCTACGGTGAAAAAGGAAATATCTTCCCATAAAAAAAAGACAGAAGCATTCTCAGAAACTTGTTGGTGATATGTGTCCTCAACTAACAGAGTTGAACTTTGCCATTGATAGAGAGCAGTTTTGAAACACTCTTTTTCCTGAATCTGCAAGTGGATATATGGATAGCTTGGAGGATTTCGTTGGAAGCGGGAATTCAAATAAAAGGTAGACAGCAGGATTCTGAGAAACAAGTTTGTGATGTGTGTACTCAGCTAACAGAGTGGAACCTCTCTTTTGATGCAGCAGTTTGGAAACACTCTTTTTGTAGAAACTGTAAGTGGATATTTGGATAGCTCTAATGATTTCGTTGGAATCGGGAATATCATCACCTAAAATCTAGACAGAAGCACTCTCAGAAACTACTTTGTGATATCTGCATTCAAGTCACAGAGTTGAACATTCGCTTTCTTAGAGCACGTTTGAAACACTCTTTTTGTAGTGTCTGGAAGTGGACATTTGGAGCGCTTTGATGCCTTTGGTGAAAAAGGGAATGTCTTCCCATAAAAACTAGGCAGAAGCATTCTCAGAAACTTGTTTGTAATGTGTGTACCCAGCTAAAGGAGTTGAACGTTTCTATTGATAGAGCAGTTTTGAAACACTCTTTTTGTGGAAAATGCAGGTGGATGTTTGGATAGATAGGAGGATTTCGTTGGAAGCGGGAATTCAAATAAAAGGTAGACAGCAGCATTCTCAGAAATTTCTTTCTGATGTTTGCATTCAACTCATAGAGTTGAACATTCCCTTTAATAGAGCAGGTTTGAAACACTCTTTCTGTACTGTCCGGATGTGGACATTTGGAGCGCTTTGACGCCTACGGTGAAAAAGGAAATGTCTTCCCATAAAAAACTGAAGTATTCTCAGAAACAAGTTTGTGATGTGTGTACTCAGCTAACAGAGTGGAACCTCTCTTTTGACGCAGCAGTTTGGAAACACTCTTTTTGTAGAAACTGTAAGTGGATATTTGGATAGCTCTAATGATTTCGTTGGAAACGGGAATATCATCATCTAAAATCTAGACAGAAGCATTCCCAGAAATTTCTTTCGGATATTTCCATTCGACTCATAGAGATGAACATGGCCTTTCATAGAGCAGGTTTGAAACACTCTTTTTGTAGTTTGTGGAAGTGGACATTTCGATCGCCTTGACGCCTACGGTGAAAAAGGGAATGTCTTCCCATAAAAACTAGACAGAAGCATTCTCAGAAACTTGTTTGTGATGTGTGTACCCAGCCAAAGGAGTTGAACATTTCTATTGATAGAGCAGTTTTGAAACGCTCCTTTTGTGGAAAATGCAGGTGGATATTTGGATAGCTTGGAGGATTTCGTTGGAAGCGGGAATTCAAATAAAAGGTAGACAGCAGCATTCTCAGAAATTTCTTTCTGATGTCTGCATTCAACTCATAGAGTTGAAGATTCCCTTTCATAGAGCAGGTTTGAAACACTCGTTCTGGAGTATCTGGATGTGGACATTTGGAGCGCTTTGATGCCTACGGTGGAAAAGTAAACATCTTCCCATAAAAACGAGACAGAAGGATTCTCAGAAACAAGTTTTTGATGTGTGTACTCAGCTAACAGAGTGGAACCTTTCTTTTTACAGAGCAGCTTTGAAACTCTATTTTTGTGGATTCTGCAAATTGATATTTAGATTGCTTTAACGATATCGTTGGAAAAGGGAATATCGTCATACAAAATCTAGACAGAAGCATTCTCACAAACTTCTTTGTGATGTGTGTCCTCAACTAACAGAGTTGAACCTTTCTTTTGATGCAGCAGTTTGGAAACACCCTTTTTGTAGAAACTGTAAGTGGATATTTGGATAGCTCTAACGATTTCGTTGGAAACGGGAATATCATCATCTAAAATCTAGACAGAAGCACTATTAGAAACTACTTGGTGATATCTGCATTCAAGTCACAGAGTTGAACATTCCCTTACTTTGAGCACGTTTGAAACACTCTTTTGGAAGAATCTGGAAGTGGACATTTGGAGCGCTTTGATGCCTTTGGTGAAAAGGAAACGTCTTCCAATAAAAGCCAGACAGAAGCATTCTGAGAAACTTGTTCGTGATGTGTGTACTCAACTAAAAGAGTTGAACCTTTCTATTGATAGAGCAGTTTTGAAACACTCTTTTTGTGGATTCTGCAAGTGGATATTTGGATTGCTTTGAGGATTTCGTTGGAAGCGGGAATTCGTATAAAAACTAGACAGCAGCATTCCCAGAAATTTCTTTCGGATAATTCCATTCAACTCATAGAGATGAACATCGCCTTTCATAGAGCAGGTTTGAAACACTCTTTTTGTAGTTTGTGGAAGTGGATATTTCGATCGCCTTGACGCCTATGGTGAAAAAGGAAATATCTTCCCATAAAAAATAGACAGAAGCATTCTCAGAAACTTGTTGGTGATATGTGTCCTCAACTAACAGAGTTGAACTTTGTCATTGATAGAGAGCAGTTTTGAAACACTCTTTTTCCTGAATCTGCAAGTGGATATTTGGATAGCTTGGAGGATTTCGTTGGAAGCGGGAATTCAAATAAAAGGTAGACAGCAGCATTCTCAGAAATTTCTTTCTGAGATCTGCATTCAACTCATAGAGTTGAACATTCCCTTTCATAGAGCAGGTTTGAAATACTCTTTCTGTAGTATCTGGATGTGGACATTTGGAGTGCTTTGATGCCTACGGTGAAAAAGTAAATATCTTCCCATAAAAACGAGACAGAAGGATTCTCAGAAACAAGTTTGTGATGTGTGTACTCACCTAACAGAGTGGAACCTCTCTTTTGATGCAGCAGTTTGGAAACACTCTTTTTGTAGAAACTGTAAGTGGATATTTGGATAGCTCTAATGATTTCGTTGGAAACGGGAATATCATCATCTAAAATCTAGACAGAAGCACTCTCAAAAACTACTGTGTGATATCTGCATTCAAGTCACAGAGTTGAACATTCGCTTTCTTAGAGCACGTTTGAAACACTCTTTTTGTAGTGTCTGGAAGTGGACATTTGGAGCGCTTTGATTCCTTTGGTGAAAAAGGGAATGTCTACCCATAAAAACTAGACAGAAGCATTCTCAGAAACTTGTTTGTGATGTGTGTACCCAGCCAAAGGAGTTGAACATTTCTATTGATAGAGCAGTTTTGAAACACTCTTGTTGTGGAAAATGCAAGTGGATATTTGGATACCTTGGAGGATTTCGTTGGAAGCGGGAATTCAAATAAAAGGTAGACAGCAGCATTCTCAGAAATTTCTTTCTGATGTCTGCATTCAACTCATAGACTTGAAGGTTCCCTTTCATAGAGCAGGTTTGAAACACTCTTTCTGGAGTATCTGGATGTGGACATTTGGAGCGCTTTGATGCCTACGGTGAAAAAGTAAATATCTTCCCATAAAAACGAGACAGAAGGATTCTCAGAAACAAGTTTGTGATGTGTGTACTCAGCTAACAGAGTGAAACCTTTCTTTTTACAGAGCAGCTTTGAAACTCTATTTTTGTGGATTCTGCAAATTGATATTTAGATTGCTTTAACGATATCGTTGGAAAAGGGAATATCGTCATACAAAATCTAGACAGAAGCATTCTCACAAACTTCTTTGTGACGTGTGTCCTCAACTAACAGAGTTGAACCTTTCTTTTGATGCAGCAGTTTGGAAACACTGTTTTTGTAGCAACTGTAAGTGGATATTTGGATAGCTTCTAACGATTTCGTTGGAAACGGGAATATCATCATCTAAAATCTAGACAGAAGCACTATTAGAAACTACTTGGTGATATCTGCATTCAAGTCACAGAGTTGAACATTCTCTTACTTTGAGCACGTTTCAAACACTCTTTTGGAAGAATCTGGAAGTGGACATTTGGAGCGCTTTGATGCCTTTGGTGAAAAGGAAACGTCTTCCAATAAAAGCCAGACAGAAGCATTCTCAGAAACTTGTTCGTGATGTGTGTACTCAACTAAAAGAGTTGAACCTTTCTATTGATAGAGCAGTTTTGAAACACTCTTTTTGTGGATTCTGCAAGTGGATATTTGGATTGCTTTGAGGATTACGTTGGAAGCGGGAATTCGTATAAACACTAGACAGCAGCATTCCCAGAAATTTCTTTCGGATATTTCCATTCAACTCATAGAGATGAACATGGCCTTTCATAGAGCAGGTTTGAAACACTCTTTTTGTAGTTTGTGGAAGTGGACATTTCGATCGCCTTGACGCCTACGGTGAAAAAGGAAATATCTTCCCATAAAAAATAGACAGAAGCATTCTCAGAAACTTGTTGGTGATATGTGTCCTTAACTAACAGAGTTGAACTTTGCCATTGATAGAGAGCAGTTTTGAAACACTCTTTTTGTGGAATCTGCAAGTGGATATTTGCATAGCTTGGAGGATTTCGTTGGAAGCGGGAATTCAAATAAAAGGTAGACAGCAGCATTCTCAGAAATTTCTTTCTGATGTCTGCATTCAACTCATAGAGTTGAAGTTTCCCTTTCATAGAGCAGGTTTGAAACACTCTTTCTGGAGTATCTGGATGTGGACATTTGGAGCGCTTTGATGCCTACGGTGAAAAAGTAAATATCTTCCCATAAAAACGAGACAGAAGGATTCTGAGAAACAAGTTTGTGATGTGTGTACTCAGCTAACAGAGTGGAACCTCTCTTTGGATGCAGCAGTTTGGAAACACTCTTTTTGTAGAAACTGTAAGTGGATATTTGGATAGCTCTAATGATTTCGTTGGAAACGGGAATATCATCATCTAAAATCTAGATAGAAGCCCTCTCAGAAACTACTTTGTGATATCTGCATTCAAGTCACAGAGTTGAACATTCGCTTTCTTAGAGCACGTTGGAAACACTCTTTTTGTAGTGTCTGGAAGTGGACATTTGGAGCGCTTTGATGCCTTTGGTGAAAAAGGGAACGTCTTCCCATAAAAACTAGACAGAAGCATGCTCAGAACTTGTTTGTGATGTGTGTACCCAGCCAAAGGAGTTGAACATTTCTATTGATAGAGCAGTTTTGAAACACTCTTTTTGTGGAAAATGCAGGTGGATATTTGGATAGCTTGGAGGATTTCGTTGGAAGCGGGAATTCAAATAAAAGGTAGACAGCAGCATTCTCAGAAATTTCTTTCTGATGTCTGCATTCAACTCATAGAGTTGAAGATTCCCTTTCATAGAGCAGGTTTGAAACACTCGTTCTGGAGTATCCGGATGTGGACATTTGGAGCGCTTTGATGCCTACGGTGGAAAAGTAAATATCTTCCCATAAAAACGAGACAGAAAGGATTCTCAGAAACAAGTTTGTGATGTGTGTACTCAGCTAACAGAGTGGAACCTTTCTTTTTACAGAGCAGCTTTGAAACTCTATTTTTGTGGATTCTGCAAATTGATATTTAGATTGCTTTAACGATATCGTTGGAAAAGGGAATATCGTCATACAAAATCTAGACAGAAGCATTCTCACAAACTTCTTTGTGATGTGTGTCCTCAACTAACAGAGTTGAACCTTTCTTTTGATGCAGCAATTTGGAAACACCCTTTTGGTAGAAACTGTAACTGGATATTTGGATAGCTCTAACGATTTCCTTGGAAAAGGGAATATCATCATCTAAAATGTAGACAGAAGCACTATTAGAAACTACTTGGTGATATCTGCATTCAAGTCACAGAGTTGAACATTCCCTTACTTTGAGCACGTTTGAAACACTCTTTTGGAAGAATCTCGAAGTGGACATTTGGAGCGCTTTGATGCCTTTGGTGAAAAGGAAACGTCTTCCAATAAAAGCCAGACAGAAGCATTCTCAGAAACTTGTTCCTGATGTGTGTACTCAACTAAAAGAGTTGAACCTTTCTATTGATAGAGCAGTTTTGAAACACTCTTTTTGTGGATTCTGCAAGTGGATATTTGGATTGCTTTGAGGATTTCGTTGGAAGCGGGAATTCGTATAAACACTAGACAGCAGCATTCCCAGAAATTTCTTTCGGATATTTCCATTCAACTCATAGAGATGAACATGGCCTTTCATAGAGCAGGTTTGAAACACTCTTTTTGTAGTTTGTGGAAGTGGACATTTCGATCGCCTTGACGCCTACGCTGAAAAAGGAAATATCTTCCCATAAAAAATAGACAGAAGCATTCTCAGAAATTTATTTCTGATGTTTGCATTCAACTCATAGAGTTGAACATTCCCTTTAATAGAGCAGGTTTGAAACACTCTTTCTGTACTATCTGGATGTGGACATTTGGAGCGCTTTGACGCCTACGGTGAAAAAGGAAATGTCTTCCCATAAAAAATTGAAGAAACATTCTCAGAAATTTCTTTCTGATGTGTGCATTCAACTCATAGAGTTGAAGATTCCCTTTCATAGAGCAGGTTTGAAACACTCTTTCTGGAGTATCTGGATGTGGACATTTGGACCGCTTTGATGCCTACGGTGAAAAACTAAATATGTTCCCATAAAAACGAGACAGAAGGATTCTCAGAAACAAGTTTGTGATGTGTGTACTCAGCTAACAGAGTGGAACCTTTCTTTTTACAGAGCAGCTTGGAAACTCTATTTTTGTGGATTATGCAAATTGATATTTAGATTGCTTTAACGATATCGTTGGAAAAGGGAATATCGTCATACAAAATCTAGACAGAAAGCATTCTCACAAACTTCTTTGTGATGTGTGTCCTCAACTAACAGAGTTGAACCTTTCTTTTGATGCAGCAATTTGGAAACACCCTTTTGGTAGAAACTGTAACTGGATATTTGGATAGCTCTAGCGATTTCGTTGGAAACGGGAATATCATCATCTAAAATGTAGACAGAAGCACTATTAGAAACTACTTGGTGATATCTGCATTCAAGTCACAGAGTTGAGCATTCCCTTACTTTGAGCACGTTTGAAACACTCTTTTGGAAGAATCTGGAAGTGGACATTTGCAGCGCTTTGATGCCTTTGGTGAAAAGGAAACGTCTTCCAATAAAAGCCAGACAGAAGCATTCGCAGAAACTTGTTCGTGATGTGTGTACTCAACTAAAAGAGTTGAACCTTTCTATTGATAGAGCAGTTTTGAAACACTCTTTTTGTGGATTCTGCAAGTGGATATTTGGATTGCTTTGAGGATTTCGTTGGAAGCGGGAATTCGTATAAACACTAGACAGCAGCATTCCCAGAAATTTCTTTTGGATATTTCCATTCAACACATAGAGATGAACATGGCCTTTCATATTGAAACACTCTTTTTGTAGTTTGTGGAAGTGGACATTTCGATCGCCTTGATGCCTACGGTGAAAAAGGAAATATCTTCCCATAAAAAATAGACAGAAGCATTCTCAGAAACTTGTTTGTGATGTGTGTACCCAGCTAAAGGAGTTGAACATTTGTATTGATAGAGCAGTTTTGAAACACTCTTTTTGTGGAAAATGCAAGTGGATATTTGGATAGCTTGGAGGATTTCGTTGGAAGCAGGAATTCAAATAAAAGGTAGACAGCAGCATTCTCAGAAATTTCTGTCTGATGTCTGCATTCAACTCATAGAGTTGAAGATTCCCTTTCATAGAGGAGGTTTGAAACACTCTTTCTGGAGTATCTGGATGTGGACATTTGGAGCGCTTTGATGCCTACGGTGAAAAAGTAAATATCTTCCCATAAAAACGAGACAGAAGGATTCTCAGAAACAAGTTTGTGATGTGTGTACTCAGCTAACAGAGTGGAACCTTTCTTTTTACAGAGCAGCTTTGAAACTCTATTTTTCTGGATTCTGGAAATTGATATTTAGATTGCTTTAACGATATCGTTGGAAAAGGGAATATCGTCATACAAAATCTGGACAGAAGCATTCTCACAAACTTCTTTGTGATGTGTGTCCTCAACTAACAGAGTTGAACCTTTCTTTTGATGCAGCAGTTTGGAAACACTCTTTTTGTAGAAACTGTAAGTGCATTATTGAATAGCTCTAACGATTTCGTTGGAAACGGGAATATCATCATCTAAAATCTAGACAGAAAGCACTATTAGTAAACTACTTGGTGATATCTGCATTCAAGTCACAGAGTAGAACATTCCCTTACTTCGAGCACGTTTGAAACACTCTTTTGGAAGAATCTGGAAGTGGACATTTGGAGCGCTTTGATGCCTTTGGTGAAAAGGAAACGTCTTCCAATAAAAGCCAGACAGAGGCATTCTCAGAAACTTGTTTGTGATGTGTGTACTCAACTAAAAGAGTTGAACCTTTCTATTGATAGAGCAGTTTTGAAACACTCTTTTTGTGGATTCTGCAAGAGGATATTTGGATTGCTTTGAGGATTTCGTTGGAAGCGGGAATTCGTATAAAAACTAGACAGCAGCATTCCCAGTAAATTTCTTTCGGATATTTCCATTCAACTCATAGAGATGAACATCGCCTTTCATAGAGCACGTTTGAAACACTCTTTTTGTAGTTTGTGGAAGTGGACATTTCGATCGCCTTGACGCCTACGGTGAAAAAGGAAATATCTTCCCATAAAAAATAGACAGAAGCATTCTCAGAAACTTGTTGGTGATATGTGTCCTCAACTAACAGAGTTGAACTTTGCCATTGATAGAGAGCAGTTTTGAAACACTCTTTTTGTGGAATCAGCAAGTGGATATTTGGATAGCTTGAAGGATTTCGTTGGAAGCGGGAATTCAAATAAAAGGTAGACAGCAGCATTCTCAGCAAATTTCTTTCTGATGTCTGCATTCAACTCATAGAGTTGAAGATTCCCTTTCATAGAGCAGGTTTGAAACACTCTTTCTGGAGTATCTGGATGTGGACATTTGGAGCGCTTTGATGCCTACGGTGAAAAAGTAAATATCTTCCCATAAAAACGACACAGAAGGATTCTCAGAAACAAGTTTGTGATGTGTGTACTCAGCTAACAGAGTGGAACCTCTCTTTCGATGCAGCAGTTTGGAAACACTCTTTTTGTAGAAACTGTAAGTGGATATTTGGATAGCTCTAATGATTTCGTTGGAAACGGGAATATCATCATCTAAAATCTAGACAGAAGCCCTCTCAGAAACTACTTTGTGATATCTGCATTCAAGTCACAGAGTTGAACATTCGCTTTCTTAGAGCACGTTTGAAACACTCTTTTTGTAGTGTCTGGAAGTGGACATTTGGAGCGCTTCGATGCCTTTGGTGAAAAAGGGAATGTCTTCCCATAAAAACTAGACAGAAGCATTCTCAGAAACTTCTTTGTGATGTGTGTACCCAGCTAAAGGAGTTGAACGTTTCTATTGATAGAGCAGTTTTGAAACACTCTTTTTGTGGAAAATGCAAGTGGATATTTGAATAGCTTGGAGGATTTCGTTGGAAGCGGGAATTCAAATAAAAGGTAGACAGCAGCATTCTCAGAAATTACTTTCTGATGTCTGCATTCAACTCATAGAGTTGAAGATTCCCTTTCATAGAGCAGGTTTGAAACACTCTTTCTGTAGTATCTGGATGTGGACATTTGGAGCGCTTTGATACCTACGGTGAGAAAGTAAATATCTTCCCATAAAAACTAGACAGAAGGATTCTGAGAGACAAGTTTGTGATGTGTGTACTCAGCTAACAGAGTGGAACCTTTCTTTTTACAGAGCAGCTTTGAAACTCTATTTTTGTGGATTCTGCAAATGGATATTTAGATTGCTTTAATGATATCGTTGGAAAAGGGAATATCGTCATACAAAATCTGGACAGAAGCATTCTCACAAACTTCTTTGTGATGTGTGTCCTCAACTAACAGGGTTGAACCTTTCTTTTGATGCAGCAGTTTGGAAACACTCTTTTTGTAGAAACTGTAAGTGGATATTTGGATAGCTCTAACGATTTCGTTGGAAACGGGAATATCATCATCTAAAATCTAGACAGAAGCACTATTAGAAACTACTTGGTGATATCTGCATTCAAGTCAAAGAGTTGAACATTCCCTTACTTTGAGCACGTTTGAAACACTCTTTTGGAAGAATCTGGAAGTGGACATTTGGAGCGCTTTGATGCCTTTGGTGAAAAGGAAACGTCTTCCAATAAAAGCCAGACAGAAGCATTCTCAGAAACTTGTTTGTGATGTGTGTACTCAACTAAAAGAGTTGAACCTTTGTATTGATAGAGCAGTTTTGAAACTCTCTTATGTGGATTCTGCAAGTGGATATTTGGATTGCTTTGAGGATTTCGTTGGAAGCGGGAATTCGTATAAAAACTAGACAGCAGCATTCCCAGAAATTACTTTCGGATATTTCCTTTCAACTCATAGAGATGAACATGGCCTTTCATAGAGCAGGTTTGAAACACTCTTTTTGTAGTTTGTGGAAGTGGACATTTCGATCGCCTTTACGCCTACGCTGAAAAAGGAATTATCTTCCCATAAAAAATAGACAGAATTCTCAGAAACTTGTTTGTGATGTGTATCCTCAACTGACAGAGTTGTACCTTTCTATTGATAGAGTAGTTTTGAAACACTCTTTTTGTGGAATCTGCAAGTGAATATTTGGATAGCTTGGAGGATTTCGTTGGAAGCGGGAATTCAAATGAAAGGTAGACAGCAGCATTCTCAGAAATTTCTTTCTGATGTCTGCATTCAACTCATAGAGTTGAACATTCCCTTTCATAGAGCAGATTTGAAACACTCTTTCTGGAGTATCTGGATGTGGACATTTGGAGCGCTTTGATGCCTACGGTGAAAAAGTAAATATCTTCCCATAAAAACGAGACAGAAGGATTCTGAGAAACAAGTTTGTGATGTGTGTACTCAGCTAACAGAGTGGAACCTCTGTTTTGATGCAGCAGTTTGGAAACACTCTTTTTGTAGAAACTGTAAGTGGATATTTGGATAGCTCTAACGATTTTTTTGGAAACGGGAATATCATCATCTAAAATCTAGACAGAAGCCCTTTCAGAAACTACTTTGTGATATCTGCCTTCAAGTCACAGAGTTGAACATTCGCTTTCTTAGAGCACGTTTGAAACACTCTTTTTGTAGTGTCTGGAAGTGGACATTTGGAGCGCTTTGATGCCTTTGGTGAAAAAGGGAATGTCTTCCCATAAAAACTAGACAGAAGCATTCTCAGAAACTTGTTTTTGATGTGTGTACCCAGCGAAAAGAGTTGAACATTTCTATTGATAGAGCAGTTTTGAAACACTCTTTTTGTGGAATCTGCAAGTGGATATTTGGATAGCTTGGAGGTTTTCGTTGGAAGCGGGAATTCAAATAAAAGGTAGACAGCAGCATTCTCAGAAATTTCTTTCTGATGTCTGCATTCAACTCATAGAGTTGAAGATTCCCTTTCATAGAGCAGGTTTGAAACACTCTTTCTGGAGTATCTGGATGTGGACATTTGGAGCGCTTTGATGCCTACGGTGAAAATGTAAATATCTTCCCATAAAAACGAGACAGAAGGATTCTCAGAAACAAGTTTGTGATGTGTGAACTCAGCTAACAGAGTGGATCCTTTCTTTTTACAGAGCAGCTTTGAAACTCTATTTCTGTGGATTCTGCAAATTGATATTTGGGTTGATTTAACGACATCGTTGGAAAAGGGAATATCTTCATACAAAATCTAGACAGAAGCTTTCTCAGAAACTTCTTTGTGATGTGTGTCCACAACTAACAGAGTTGAAACTTTCTTTTGATGCAGCAGTTTGGAAACACTCTTTTTGTAGAAACTGTAAGTGGATATTTGGATAGGTCTAACGATATCGTTGGAAACGGGAATATCTTCATCTAAAGTATACACAGAAGCACTATTAGAAACTACTTGGTGATATCTGCATTCAAGTCACAGAGTTGAACATTCCCTTACTTTGAGCACGTTTCAAACACTCTTTTGGAAGAATCTTTAAGTGGACATTTGGAGCGCTTTGATGCCTTTGGTGAAAAGGAAACGCCTTCCAATAAAAGCCAGACAGAAGCATTCTCAGAAACCTGTTCGTGATGTGTGTACTCAACTAAAAGAGTTGAACCTTTCTATTGATAGAGCAGTTTTGAAACACTCTTTTTGTGGATTCTGCAAGTGGATATTTGGATTGATTTGAGGATTTCGTTGGAAGCGGGAATTCATATAAAAACTAGACAGCAGCATTCCCAGAAATTTCTTTCTCATATTTCCATTCAACTCATAGAGATGAACATGGCCTTTCATAGAGCAGGTTTGAAACACTCTTTTTGTAGTTTGTGGAAGTGGACATTTCGATCGCCTTGACGCCTACGGTGAAAAGAAATATCTTCCCATAAAAAATAGACAGAATTCTCAGAAACTTGTTTGTGATGTGTGTCCTCAACTGACAGAGTTGTACCTTTCTATTGATAGAGTAGTTTTGAAACACTCTTTTTGTGGAATCTGCAAGTGAATATTTGGATAGCTTGGAGGATTTCGTTGGAAGCGGGAATTCAAATGAAAGGAAGACAGCAGCATTCTCAGAAATTTCTTTCTGATGTCTTGAATTCAACTCATAGAGTTGAAGATTCCCTTTCATAGAGCAGGTTTGAAACACTCTTTCTGGAGTATCTGGATGTGGACATTTGGAGCGCTTTGATGCCTACGGTGAAAAAGTAAATATCTTCCCAGAAAAACGAGACAGAAGGATTCTCAGAAACAAGTTTGTGATGTGTGTACTCAGCTAACAGAGTGGAACCTTTCTTTTTACAGAGCAGCTTTGAAACTCTATTTTTGTGGATTCTGCAAATTGGTATTTAGATTGCTTTAACGATATCGTTGGAAAAGGGAATATCGTCATACAAAATCTAGACAGAAGCATTCTCACAAACTTCTTTGTGATGTGTGTCCTCAACTAATAGAGTTGAACCTTTCTTTTGATGCAGCAGTTTGGAAACAACCTTTTGGTAGAAACTGTAACTGGATATTTGGATAGCTCTAACGATTTCTTTGGAAACGGGAATATCATCATCTAAAATCTAGACAGAAGCACCATTAGAAACTACTTGGTGATATCTGCATTCAAGTCACAGAGTTGAACATTCCCTTACTTTGAGCACGTTTGAAACACTCTTTTGGAAGAATCTGGAAGTGGACATTTGTAACGCTTTGATGCCTTTGGTGAAAAGGAAACGTCTTCCAATAAAAGCCAGACAGAAGCATTCTCAGAAACTTGTTTGTGATGTGAGCACTCAACTAAAAGAGTTGAACCTTTCTATTGATAGAGCAGTTTTGAAACACTCTTTTTGTGGATTCTGCAAGTGGATATTTGGATTGCTTTGAGGATTTCGTTGGAAGCGGGAATTCGTATAAACACTAGACAGCAGCATTCCCAGAAATTTCTTTCGGATATTTCCATTCAACTCATAGAGATGAACATTGCCTTTCATAGAGCAGGTTTGAAACACTCTTTTTGTAGTTTGTGGAAGTGGACATTTCGATCGCCTTGACGTCTACGGTGAAAAAGGAAATATCTTCCCATAAAAAATAGACAGAAGAATTCTCAGAAACTTGTTTGTGATGTGTATCCTCAACTGACAGAGTTGAACCTTGCCATTGATAGAGCAGTTTAGAAACACTCTTTTTGTGGAATCTGCAAGTGGATATTTGGATAGCTTGGAGGATTTCGTTGGATGCGGGAATTCAAATGAAAGGTTGACAGCAGCATTCTCAGAAATTACTTTCTGATGTCTGCATTCAACTCATAGAGTTGAAGATTCCCTTTCATAGAGCAGGTTTGAAACACTCTTTCTGTAGTATCTGGATGTGGACATTTGGAGCGCTTTGATACCTACAGTGAAAAAGTAAATATCTTCCCATAAAAACTAGACAGAAGGATTCTCAGAAACAAGTTTGTGATGTGTGTACTCAGCTAACAGAGTGGAACCTCTCTTTTGATGCAGCAGTTTGGAAACACTCTTTTTGTAGAAACTGTAAGTGGATATTTGGATAGCTCTAATGATTTCGTTGGAAATGGGAATATCATCATCTAAAATCTAGACAGAAGCCCTCTCAGAAACTACTTTGTGATATCTGCATTGAAGTCACAGAGTTGAACATTCGGTTTCTTAGAGCACGTTTGAAACAATCTTTTTGTAGTGTCTGGAAGTGGACATTTGGAGCGCTTTGATGCCTTTGGTGAAAAAGGGAATGTCTTCCCATAAAAACTAGACAGAAGCTTTCTCAGAAACTTGTTTGTGATGTGTGTACCCAGCGAAAGGAGTTGAACATTTCTATTGATAGAGCAGTTTTGAAACACTCTTTTTGTGGAATCTGCAAGTGGATATTTGGGTAGCTTGGAGGTTTTTGTTGGAAGCGGGAATTCAAATAAAAGGTAGACAGCAGCATTCTCAGAAATTTCTTTCTGATGTCTGCATTCAACTCATAGAGTTGAAGATTCCCTTTCATAGAGCAGGTTTGAAACACTCTTTCTGGAGTATCTGGATGTGGACATTTGGCGCGCTTTGATGCCTGCGGTGAAAAAGTAAATATCTTCCCATAAAAACGAGACAGAAGGATTCTCAGAAACAAGTTTGTGATGTGTGTACTCAGCTAACAGAGTGGAACCTTTCTTTTTACAGAGCAGCTTTGAAACTCTATTTTTGTGGATTCTGCAAATTGGTATTTAGATTGCTTTAACCGATATCGTTGGAAAAGGGAATATCGTCATACAAAATCTAGACAGAAGCATTCTCACAAACTTCTTTGTGATGTGTGTCCTCAACTAACAGAGTTGAACCTTTCTTTTGATGCAGCAGTTTGGAAACACCCTTTTTGTAGAAACTGTAACTGGATATTTGGATAGCTCTAACGATTTCGTTGGAAACGGGAATATCATCATCTAAAATCTAGAGAGAAGCACTATTAGAAACTACTTGGTGATATCTGCATTCAAGTCACAGAGTTGAACATTCCCTTACTTTGAGCACGTTTGAAACACTCTTTTGGAAGAATCTGGAAGTGGACATTTGGAGAGCTTTGATGCCTTTGGTGAAAAGGAAACGTCTTCCAATAAAAGCCAGACAGAAGCATTCTCAGAAACTTGTTTGTGATGTGTGTACTCAACTAAAAGAGTTGAACCTTTCTATTGATAGAGCAGTTTTAAAACACTCTTTTTGTGGATTCTGCAAGTGGATATTTGGATTGCTTTGAGGATTTCGTTGGAAGCGGGAATTCGTATAAAAACTAGACAGCAGCATTCCCAGAAATTTCTTTCGGATATTTCCATTCGACTCATAGAGATGAACATGGCCTTTCATACAGCAGGTTTGAAACACTCTTTTTGTAGTTTGTGGAAGTGGACATTTCGATCGCCTTGACGCCTACGGTGAAAAAGGAAATATCTTCCCATAAAAAATAGACAGAAGATTTCTCAGAAACTTATTTGTGATGTGTATCCTCAACTGACAGAGTTGAACCTTGCCATTGATAGAGCAGTTTAGAAACCCTCTGTTTGTGGACTCTGCAAGTGGATATTTGGATAGCCTGGAGGATTTCGTTGGAAGCGGGAATTCAAATGAAAGGTAGACAGCAGCATTCTCAGAAATTTCTTTCTGATGTCTGCATTCAACTCATAGAGTTGAACATTCCCTTTCAGAGAGCAGGTTTGAAACACTCTTTCTGGAGTATCTGGATGTGGACATTTGGAGCGCTTTGATGCCTACGGTGAAAAAGTAAATATCTTCCCATAAAAACGAGACAGAAGGATTCTGAGAAACAAGTTTGTGATGTGTGTACTCAGCTAACAGAGTGGAACCTCTCTTTTGATGCAGCAGTTTGGAAACACTCTTTTTGTAGAAACTGTAAGTGGATATTTGGATAGCTCTAATGATTTCGTTGGAAACGGGAATATCATCATCTAAAATCTACACAGAAGCCCTCTCAGAAACTACTTTGTGATATCTGCATTCAAGTCACAGAGTTGAACATTCGCTTTCTTAGAGCACGTTTGAAACACTCTTTTTGTAGTGTCTGGAAGTGGACATTTGGCGCACTTTGATGCCTTTGGTGAAAAAGGGAATGTCTTCCCATAAAAACTAGACAGATAAGCATTCTCAGAAACTTGTTTGTGATGTGTGTACCCAGCTAAAGGAGTTGAACATTTCTATTGATAGAGCAGTTTTGATACACTCTTTTTGTGGAAACTGCAAGTGGATATTTGGATAGCTTGGAGGATTTCGTTGGAAGCGGGAATTCAAATAAAAGGTAGACAGCAGGATTCTGAGAAACAAGTTTGTGATGTGTGTACTCAGCTAACAGAGTGGAACCTTTCTTTTTACAGAGCAGCTTTGAAACTCTATTTTTGTGGATTCTGCAAATGGATATTTAGATTGCTTTAACGATATCGCTGGAAAAGGGAATATGGTCATACAAAATACTAGACAGAAAGCATTCTCACAAACTTCTTTGTGATGTGTGTCCTCAACTAACAGAGTTGAACCTTTCTTTTGATGCAGCAGTTTGGAAACACTCTTTTTGCAGAAACTGTAAGTGGATATTTGGATAGCTCTAACGATTTCGTTGGAAACGGGAATATCATCATCTAAAATCTAGACAGAAGCACTATTAGAAACTACTTGGTGATATCTGCATTCAAGTCAAAGAGTTGAACATTCCCTTACTTTAAGCACGTTTGAAACACTCTTTTGGAAGAATCTGGAAGTGGACATTTGGAGCGCTTTGATGCCTTTGGTGAAAAGGAAACGTCTTCCAATAAAAGCCAGACAGAAGCATTCTCAGAAACTTGTTTGTGATGTGTGTACCCAGCCAAAGGAGTTGAACATTTCTATTGATAGAGCAGTTTTGAAACACTCTTTTTGTGGATTCTGCAAGTGGATATTTGGATTGCTTTGAAGATTTCGTTGGAAGCGGGAATTCGTATAAACACTAGACAGCAGCATTCCCAGAAATTTCTTTCGGATATTTCCATTCAACTCATAGAGATGAACATGGCCTTTCATAGAGCAGGTTTGAAACACTCTTTTTGTAGTTTGTGGAAGTGGACATTTCGATCGCCTTGACGCCTATGGTGAAAAAGGAAATATCTTCCCATAAAAAATAGACAGAATTCTCAGAAACTTGTTTGTGATGTGTGTCCTCAACTGACAGAGTTGTACCTTTCTATTGATAGAGTAGTTTTGAAACACTCTTTTTGTGGAATCTGCAAGTGAATATTTGGATAGCTTGGACGATTTCGTTGGAAGCGGGAATTCAAATGAAAGGTAGACAGCAGCATTCTCAGAAATTTCTTTCTGATGTCTGCATTCAACTCATAGAGTTGAAGATTCCCTTTCATAGAGCAGGTTTGAAACACTCTTTCTGGAGTATCTGGATGTGGACATTTGGAGCGCTTTGATGCCTACGGTGAGAAAGTAAATATCTTCCCATAAAAACGAGACAGAAGGATTCTGAGAAACAAGTTTGTGATGTGTGTACTCAGCTAACAGAGTGGAACCTCTCTTTGGATGCAGCAGTTTAGAAACACTCTTTTTGTAGAAACTGTAAGTGGATATTTGGATAGCTCTAATGATTTCGTTGGAAACGGGAATATCATCATCTAAAATCTAGACAGAAGCACTCTCAGAAACTACTTTGTGATATCTGCATTCAAGTCACAGAGTTGAACATTCGCTTTCTTAGAGCACGTTTGAAACACTCTTTTTGTAGTGTCTGGAAGTGGACATTTGGAGCGCTTTGATTCCTTTGGTGAAAAAGGGAATGTCTACCCATAAAAACTAAACAGAAGAATTCTCAGAAACTTGTTTGTGATGTGTATCCTCAACTGACAGAGTTGAACCTTGCCATTGATAGAACAGCTTTGAAACACTCTTTTTGTGGATTCTGCAAGTGGATATTTGGATAGCCTGGAGGATTTCGTTGGAAGCGGGAATTCAAATAAAAGGTAGACAGCAGCATTCTCAGAAATTTCTTTGTGATGTTTGCATTCAACATATAGAGTTGAACATTCCCTTTCATAGAGCAGGTTTGAAACACTCTTTCTGTACTATCTGGAAATGGACATTTGGAACGCTTTGATGCCTACGGTGAAAAAGTAAATATCTTCCCATAAAAACTAGACAGAAGGATTCTCAGAAACAAGTTTGTGATGTGTGTACTCAGCTAACAGAGTGGAACCTTTCTTTTTACAGAGCAGCTTTGAAACTCTATTTTTGTGGATTCTTCAAATTGATATTTAGATTGCTTTAACGATATCGTTGGAAAAGGGAATATCGTCATACAAAATCTAGACAGAAGCATTCTCACAAACTTCTTTGTGATGTGTGTCCTCAACTAACAGAGTTGAACCATTCTTTTGATGCAGCAGTTTGGAAACACCCTTTTGGTAGAAACTGTAACTGGATATTTGGATAGCTCTAACGATTTCGTTGGAAACGGGAATATCATCATCTAAAATCTAGAGAGAAACACTATTAGAAACTGCTTGGTGATATCTGCATTCAACTCACAGAATTGAACATTCCCTTACTTTGAGCACGTTTGAAACACTCTTTTGGAAGAATCTGGAAGTGGACATTTGGAGCGCTTTGATGCCTTTGGTGAAAAGGAAACGTCTTCCAATAAAAGCCAGACAGAAGCTTTCTCAGAAACTTGTTTGTGATGTGTGTACTCAACTAAAAGAGTTGAACCTTTCTATTGATAGAGCAGTTTTGAAACACTCTTTTTGTGGAATCTGCAAGTGGATATTTGGATTGCTTTGAGGATTTCGTTGGAAGCGGGAATTCATAAAAAAGTAGACAGCAGAATTCTCAGAAACTTGTTTGTGATGTGTATCCTCAACTGACAGAGTTGAACCTTGCCATTGATAGAGCAGTTTTGAAACACTCTTTTTGTGGAATCTGCAAGTGGATATTTGGATAGCCTGGAGGATTTCGTTGGAAGCGGGAATTCAAATGAAAGGTAGACAGCAGAAATCTCAGAAACTTGTTTGTGATGTGTATCCTCAACTGACAGAGTTGAACCTTGCCATTGATAGAGCAGTTTTGAAACCCTCTTTTTGTGGAATCTGCAAGTAGATATTTGGAAAGCCTGGAGGATTTCGTTGGAAGCGGGAATTCAAATAAAAGGTAGACAGCAGCATTCTCAGAAATTTCTTTGTGATGTTTGCATTCAACTCATAGAGTTGAACATTCCCTTTCACAGAGCAGGTTTGAAACACTCTTTCTGTACTATCTGGATGTGGACATTTGGAACGCTTTGATGCCTACGGTGAAAAAGTAAATATCTTCCCATAAAAACTAGACAGAAGGATTCTCAGAAACAAGTTTGTGATGTGTGTACTCAGCTAACAGAGTGGAACCTCTCTTTTGACGCAGCAGTTTGGAAACACTCTTTTTGTAGAAACTGTAAGTGGATATTTGGATAGCTCTAATGATTTCTTTGGAAACGGGAATATCATCATCTAAAATCTAGACAGAAGCACTCTCAGAAACTACTTTGTGATATCTGCATTCAAGTCACAGAGTTGAACATTCGCTTTCTTACAGCACTTTTGAAACACTCTTTTTGTAGTATCTGGAAGTGGACATTTGGAGCTCTTTGATGCCTTTGGCGAAAAAGGAAATGTCTTCCCATAAAAACTAGACAGAAGCATTCTCAGAAACTTGTTTGTGATGTGTGTACCCAGCTAAAGGAGTTGAACATTTCTATTGATAGAGCAGTTTTGAAACACTCTTTTTGTGGAAAATGCAAGTGGATATTTGGATAGCTTGGAGGATTTCGTTGGAAGCTTGAATTCAAATAAAAGGTAGACAGCAGCATTCTCAGAAATTTCTTTCTGATGTCTGCATTCAACTCATAGAGTTGAAGATTCCCTTTCATAGAGCAGGTTTGAAACACTCTTTCTGGAGTATCTGGATGTGGACATTTGGAGCGCTTTGATGCCTACGGTGAAAAAGTAAATATCCTCCCATAAAAACGAGACAGAAGGATTCTCAGAAACAAGTTTGTGATGTGTGTACTCAGCTAACAGAGTGGAACCTTTCTTTTTACAGAGCAGCTTTGAAACTCTATTTTTGTGGATTCTGCAAACTGATATTTAGATTGCTTTAACGATATCGTTGGAAAAGGGAATATCGTCATACAAAATCTGGACAGAAGCATTCCCACAAACTTCTTTGTGATGTGTGTCCTCAACTAACAGAGTTGAACCTTTCTTTTGATGCAGCAGTTTGGAAACACTCTTTTTGTAGAAACTGTAAGTGGATATTTGGATAGCTCTAACGATTTCGTTGGAAACGGGAATATCATCATCTAAAATCTAGACAGAAGCACTATTAGAAACTACTTGGTGATATCTGCATTCAAGTCAAAGAGTTGAACATTCCCTTACTTTGAGCACGTTTGAAACACTCTTTTAGAAGAATCTGGAAGTGGACATTTGGAGCGCTTTGATGCCTTTGGTGAAAAGGAAACGTCTTCCAATAAAAGCCAGACAGAAGCATTCTCAGAAACTTGTATGTGATGTGTGTACTCAACTAAAAGAGTTGAACCTTTCTATTGATAGAGCAGTTTTGAAACACTCTTTTTGTGGAATCTGCAAGTGGATATTTGGATTGCTTTGAGGATTTCGTTGGAAGCGGGAATTCATAAAAAAGTAGACAGCAGCATTCCCAGAAATTTCTTTCGGATATTTCCATTCAACTCATAGAGATGAACATTGCCTTTCATAGAGCAGGTTTGAAACACTCTTTTTGTAGTTTGTGGAAGTGGACATTTCGATCGCCCTGATGCCTATGGTGAAAAAGGAAATATCTTCCCATAAAAAATAGACAGAAGCATTCTCAGAAACTTGTTGGTGATATGTGTCCTCAACTAACAGAGTTGAACTGTGCCATTGATAGAGAGCAGTTTTGAAACACTCTTTTTGTGGAATCTGCAAGTGGATATTTGGATAGCTTGGAGGATTTCGTTGGAAGCGGGAATTCAAATAAAAGTTAGACAGCAGCATTCTCAGAAATTTCTTTCTGATGTCTGCATTCAACTCATAGAGTTGAAGATTCCCTTTCATAGAGCAGGTTTGAAACACTCTTTCTGGAGTATCTGGATGTGGACATTTGGAGCGCTTTGATGCCTACGGTGAGAAAGTAAATATCTTCCCATAAAAACGAGACAGAAGGATTCTGAGAAACAAGTTTGTGATGTGTGTACTCAGCTAACAGAGTGGAACCTTTCTTTTTACAGAGCAGTTTTGAAACTCTATTTTTGTGGATTCTGCAAATTGATATTTAGATTGCTTTAACGATATCGTTGGAAAAGGGAATATCGTCATACAAAATCTAGACAGAAAGCATTCTCACAAACTTCTTTGTGATGTGTGTCCTCAACTAACAGAGTTGAACTTTTCTTTTGATGCAGCAGTTTGGAAACACTCTTTTTGTAGAAACTGTAAGTGGATATTTGGATAGCTCTAACGATTTCGTTGGAAACGGGAATATCATCATCTAAAATCTAGACAGAAGCACTATTAGAAACTACTTGGTGATATCTGCATTCAAGTCACGGAGTTGAACATTCCCTTACTTTGAGCACGTTTGAAACACTCTTTTGGAAGAATCTGGAAGTGGACATTTGGAGCGCTTTGATGCCTTTGGTGAAAAGCAAACCTCTTCCAACAAAAGCCAGACAGAAGCATTCTCAGAAACTTGTTCGTGATGTGTGTACTCAACTAAAAGATTTGAACCTTTCTATTGATAGAGCAGTTTTGAAACACTCTTTTTGTGGATTCTGCAAGTGGATATTTGGATTGCTTTGAGGATTTCATTGGAAGCGGGAATTCGTATAAAAACTAGACAGCAGCATTCACAGAAATTTCTTTCGGATATTTCCATTCAACTCATAGAGATGAACATGGCCTTTCATAGGGCAGGTTTGAAACACTCTTTTTGTAGTTTGTGGAAGTGGACATTTCGATCGCCTTGACGCCTACGGTGAAAAAGGAAATATCTTCCCATAAAAAATAGACAGAAGCATTCTCAGAAACTTGTTGGTGATATGTGTCCTCAACTAACAGAGTTGAACTTTGCCATTGATAGAGAGCAGTTTTGAAACACTCTTTTTGTGGAATCTGCAAGTGGATATTTGGATAGCTTGGAGGATTTCGTTGCAAGCGGGAATTCAAATAAAAGGTAGACAGCAAGGATTCTGAGAAACAAGTTTGTGATGTGTGTACTCAGCTAACAGAGTGGAACCTCTGTTTTGATGCAGCAGTTTGGAAACACTCTTTTTGTAGAAACTGTAAGTGGATATTTGGATAGCTCTAATGATTTCGTTGGAAACGGGAATATCATCATCTAAAATCTAGACAGAAGCACTCTCAGAAACTACTTTGTGATATCTGCATTCAAGTCACAGACTTGAACATTCGCTTTCTTAGAGCACGTTTGAAACACTCTTTTTGTAGTGTCTGGAAGTGGACATTTGGAGCGCTTTGATGTCTTTGGTGAAAAAGGGAATGTCTTCCCATAAAAACTAGACAGAAGCATTCTCAGAGACTTGTTTGTGATGTGTGTACCCAGCCAAAGGAGTTGAACATTTCTATTGATAGAGCAGTTTTGAAACACTCTTGTTGTGGAAAATGCAGGTGGATATTTGGATAGCTTGGAGGATTTCGTTGGAAGCGGGAATTCAAATAAAAGGTAGACAGCAGCATTCTCAGAAACTACTTTCTGATGTCTGCATTCAACTCATAGAGTTGAAGATTCCCTTTCATAGAGCAGGTTTGAAACACTCTTTCTGTAGAATCTGGATGTGGACATTTGGAGCGCTTTGATACCTACGGTGAAAAAGTAAATATCTTCCCATAAAAACTAGACAGAAGGATTCTGAGAAACAAGTTTGTGATGTGTGTACTCAGCTAACAGAGTGGAACCTTTCTTTTTACAGAGCAGCTTTGAAACTCTATTTTTGTAGATTCTGCAAATTGGTATTTAGATTGCTTTAACGATATCGTTGGAAAAGGGAATATCGTCATACAAAATCTAGACAGAAGCATTCTCACAAACTTCTTTGTGATGTGTGTCCTCAACTAACAGAGTTGAACCTTTCTTTTGATGCAGCAATTTGGAAACACCCTTTTGGTAGGAACTGTAACTGGATATTTGGATAGCTCTAACGATTTCGTTGGAAACGGGAATATCATCATCTAAAATCTAGACAGAAGCACTATTAGAAACTACATGGTGATATCTGCATTCAAGTCACAGAGTAGAACATTCCCTTACTTCGAGCACGTTTGAAACACTCTTTTGGAAGAATCTGGAAGTGGACATTTGGAGCGCTTTGATGCCTTTGGTGAAAAGGAAACGTCTTCCAATAAAAGCCAGACAGAAGCATTCTGAGAAACTTGTTCGTGATGTGTGTACTCAACTAAAAGAGTTGAACCTTTCTATTGATATAGCAGTTTTGAAACACTCTTTTTGTGGATTCTGCAAGTGGATATTTGGATTGCTTTGAGGATTTCGTTGGAAGCGGGAATTCATATAAACACTAGACAGCAGCATTCCCAGAAATTACTTTCGGATATTTCCATTCAACTCATAGAGATGAACATGGCCTTTCATAGAGCAGGTTTGAAACACTCTTTTTGTAGTTTGTGGAAGTGGACATTTCGATCGCCTTCACGCCTACGGTGAAAAAGGAAATATCTTCCCATAAAAAATAGACAGAAAGCATTCTCAGAAACTTGTTGGTGATATGTGTCCTCAACTAACAGAGTTGAACTTTGCCATTGATAGAGAGCAGTTTTGAAACACTCTTTTTGTGGAATCTGCAAGTGGATATTTGGATAGCTTGGAGGATTTCGTTGGAAGCGGGAATTCAAATAAAAGGTAGACAGAGCATTCTCAGAAATTTCTTTCTGATGTCTGCATTCAACTCATAGAGTTGAAGATTCCCTTTCATAGAGCAGGTTTGAAACACTCTTTCTGTACTATCTGGATGTGGACATTTGGAGCGCTTTGACGCCTACGGTGAAAAAGTAAATATCTTCCCATAAAAAAGAGACAGAAGGATTCTGAGAAACAAGTTTGTGATGTGTGTACTCAGCTAACAAAGTGGAACCTCTCTTTTGATGCAGCAGTTTGGAAACACTCTTTTTGTAGAAACTGTAAGTGGATATTTGGATAGCTCTAATGATTTCGTTGGAAACGGGAATATCATCATCTAAAATCTAGACAGAAGCCCTCTCAGAAACTACTTTGTGATATCTGCATTCAAGTCACAGAGTTGAACATTCGCTTTCTTAGAGCACGTTTGAAACACTCTTTTTGTAGTTTCTGGAAGTGGACATTTGGAGCGCTTTGATTCCTTTGGTGAAAAAGGGAATGTCTACCCATAAAAACTAGACAGAAGCATTCTCAGAAACTTGTTTGTGATGTGTATACCCAGCTAAAGGAGTTGAACATTTCTATTGATAGAGCAGTTTTGAAACACTCTTTTTGTGGAAAATGCAAGGGGATATTTGGATAGCTTGGAGGATTTCGTTGGAAGCGGGAATTCAAATAAAAGGTAGACAGCAGCATTCTCAGAAATTTCTTTGTGATGTCTGCATTCAACTCATAGAGTTGAAGATTCCCTTTCATAGAGCAGGTTTGAAACAGTCTTTCTGGAGTATCTGGATGTGGACATTTGGAGCGCTTTGATGCCTACGGTGAAAAAGTAAATATCTTCCCATAAAAACGAGACAGAAAGATTCTCAGAAACAAGTTTGGGATGTGTGAACTCAGCTAACAGAGTGGATCCTTTCTTTTTACAGAGCAGCTTTGAAACTCTATTTCTGTGGATTCTGCAAATTGATATTTGGGTTGATTTAACGACATCGTTGGAAAAGGGAATATCTTCATACAAAATCTAGACAGAAGCATTCTCACAAACTTCTTTGTGACGTGTGTCCTCAACTAACAGAGTTGAACCTTTCTTTTGATGCAGCAATTTGGAAACACCCTTTTGGTAGAAACTGTAACTGGATATTTGGATAGCTGCTAGCGATTTCGTTGGAAACGGGAATATCATCATCTAAAATCTAGACAGAAGCACTATTAGAAACTACTTGGTGATATCTGCATTCAAGTCACAGAGTAGAACATTCCCTTACTTCGAGCACGTTTGAAACACTCTTTTGGAAGAATCTGGAAGTGGACATTTGGAGCGCTTTGATGCCTTTGGTGAAAAGGAAACGTCTTCCAATAAAAGCCAGACAGAAGCATTCTCAGAAACTTGTTTGTGATGTGTGTACTCAACTAAAAGAGTTGAACCTTTCTATTGATAGAGCAGTTTTGAAACACTCTTTTTGTGGATTCTGCAAGTGGATATTTGGATTGCTTTGAGGATTTCGTTGGAAGCGGGAATTCATATAAAATCTAGACAGCAGCATTCCCAGAAATTTCTTTCGGATATTTCCATTCAACTCATAGAGATGAACATCGCCTTTCATAGAGCAGGTTTGAAACACTCTTTTTGTAGTTTGTGGAAGTGGACATTTCGATCGCCTTGACGCCTACGGTGAAAAAGGAAATATCTTCCCATAAAAAATAGACAGAATTCTCAGAAACTTGTTTGTGATGTGTGTCCTCAACTGACAGAGTTGTACCTTTCTATTGATAGAGTAGTTTTGAAACACTCTTTTTGTGGAATCTGCAAGTGAATATTTGGATAGCTTGGAGGATTTCGTTGGAAGCGGGAATTCAAATGAAAGGTAGAAAGCAGCATTCTCAGAAATTTCTTTCTGATGTCTGCATTCAACTCATAGAGTTGAAGATTCCCTTTCATAGAGCAGGTTTGAAACACTCTTTCTGAAGTATCTGGATGTGGACATTTGGAGCGCTTTGATGCCTACGGTGAAAAAGTAAATATCTTCCCATAAAAACGAGACAGAAGGATTCTCAGAAACAAGTTTGTGATGTGTGTACTCAGCTAACAGAGTGGAACCTCTCTTTTGATGCAGCAGTTTGGAAACACTCTTTTTGTAGAAACTGTAAGTGGATATTTGGATAGCTCTAATGATTTCGTTGGAAACGGGAATATCATCATATAAAATCTAGAGAGAAGCACTCTCCAGAAACTACTTTGTGATATCTGCATTCAAGTCACAGAGTTGAACATTCGCTTTCTTAGAGCACGTTTGAAACACTCTTTTTGTAGTGTCTGGAAGTGGACATTTGGAGCGCTTTGATGCCTTTGGTGAAAAAGGGAATGTCTTCCCATAAAAACTAGACAGAAGCATTCTCAGAAACTTGTTTGTGATGTGTGTACCCAGCCAAAGGAGTTGAACATTTCTATTAATAGAGCAGTTTTGAAACACTCTTTTTGTGGAAAATGCAGGTGGATATTTGGATAGCTTGGAGGATTTCGTTGGAAGCGGGAATTCAAATAAAAGTTAGACAGCAGCATTCTCAGAAATTACTTTCTGATGTCTGCATTCAACTCATAGAGTTGAAGATTCCCTTTCATAGAGCAGGTTTGAAACACTCTTTCTGTAGTATCTGGATGTGGACATTTGGAGCGCTTTGATACCTACAGTGAAAAAGTAAATATCTTCCCATAAAAACTAGACAGAAGGATTCTCAGAAACAAGTTTGTGATGTGTGTACTCAGCTAACAGAGTGGAACCTTTCTTTTTACAGAGCAGCTATGAAACTCTATTTTTGTGGATTCTGCAAATTGATATTTAGATTGCTTTAACGATATCGTTGGAAAAGGGAATATGGTCATACAAAATCTAGACAGAAGCATTCTCACAAACTACTTTGTGACGTGTGTCTTCAACTAACAGAGTTGAACCTTTCTTTTGATGCAGCAGTTTGGAAACACTCTTTTTGTAGAAACTGTAAGTGGATATTTGGATAGCTCTAACGATTTCGTTGGAAACGGGAATATCATCATCTAAAATCTAGACAGAAGCACTATTAGAAACTACTTGGTGATATCTGCATTCAAGTCACAGAGTTGAACATTCCCTTACTTTGAGCACGTTTGAAACACTCTTTTGGAAGAATCTGGAAGTGGACATTTGGAGCGCTTTGATGCCTTTGGTGAAAAGGAAACGTCTTCCAATACAAGCCAGACAGAAGCATTCTCAGAAACTTGTTCGTGATGTGTGTACTCAACTAAAAGAGTTGAACCTTTCTATTGATAGAGCAGTTTTGAAACACTCTTTTTGTGGATTCTGCAAGTGGATATTTGGATTGCTTTGAGGATTTCGTTGGAAGCGGGAATTCGTATAAACACTAGACAGCAGCATTCCCAGAAATTTCTTTCGGATATTTCCATTCAACTCATAGAGATGAACATGGCCTTTCATAGAGCAGGTTTGAAACACTCATTTTGTAGTTTCTGGAAGTGGACATTTCGATCGCCTTGACGCCTACGGTGGAAAAGGAAATATCTTCCCATAAAAAATAGACAGAAGCATTCTCAGAAACTTGTTGGTGATATGTGTCCTCAACTAACAGAGTTGAACTTTGCCATTGATAGAGAGCAGTTTTGAAACACTCTTTTTGTGGAATCTGCAAGTTGATATTTGGATAGCTTGGAGGATTTCGTTGGAAGCGGGAATTCAAATAAAAGGTAGACAGCAGCATTCTCAGAAATTTCTTTGTGATGTTTGCATTCAACTCATAGAGTTGAACATTCCCTTTCATAGAGCAGGTTTGAAACAATCTTTCTGTACTATCTGGATGTGGACATTTGGAACGCTTTGATGCCTACGGTGAAAAAGTAAATATCTTCCCATAAAAGCTAGACAGAAGGATTCTGAGAAACAAGCTTGTGATGTGTGTACTCAGCTAACAGAGTGGAACCTCTCTTTTGATGCAGCAGTTTGGAAACACTCTTTTTGTAGAAACTGTAAGTGGATATTTGGATAGCTCTAATGATTTCGTTGGAAACGGGAATATCATCATCTAAAATCTAGACAGAAGCCCTCTCATAAACTACTTTGTGATATCTGCATTCAAGTCACAGAGTTGAACATTCGCTTTCTTAGAGCACGTTTGAAACACTCTTTTTGTAGTGTCTGGAAGTGGACATTTGGAGCGCTTTGATGCCTTTGGTGAAAAAGTGAATGTCTTCCCATAAAAACTAGACAGAATTCTCAGAAACTTGTTTGTGATGTGTGTCCTCAACTGACAGAGTTGTACCTTTCTATTGATAGAGTAGTTCTGAAACACTCTTTTTGTGGAATCTGCAAGTGAATATTTGGATAGCTTGGAGGATTTCGTTGGAAGCGGGAATTCAAATGAAAGGTAGACAGCAGCATTCTCAGAAATTACTTTCTGATGTCTGCATTCAACTCATAGAGTTGAGGATTCCCTTTCATAGAGCAGGTTTGAAACCCTCTTTCTGTAGTATCTGGATGTGGACATTTGGAGCGCTTTGATACCTACGGTGAAAAAGTAAATATCTTCCCATAAAAACTAGACAGAAGGATTCTCAGAAACAAGTTTGTGATGTGTGTACTCAGCTAACAGAGTGGATCCTTTCTTTTTACAGAGCAGCTTTGAAACTCTATTTCTGTGGATTCTGCAAATTGATATTTGGGTTGATTTAACGACATCGTTGGAAAAGGGAATATCTTCATACAAAATACAGACAGAAGCTTTCTCAGAAACTTCTTTGTGATGTGTGTCCTCAACTAACAGAGTTGAACCTTTCTTTTGATGCACTAGTTTGGAAACACACTTTCTGTAGAAACTGTAAGTGGATATTTGGGTAGGTCTAACGATATCGTTGGAAACGGGAATATCTTCATCTAAAGTATACACAGAAGCACTATTAGACACTGCTTGGTGATATCTGCATTCAAGTCACAGAGTTGAACATTCCCTTACTTTGAGCACGTTTGAAACACTCTTTTGGAAGAATCTGGAAGTGGACATTTGGAGCGCTTTGATGCCTTTGGTGAAAAGGAAACGTCTTCCAATAAAAGCCAGACAGAAGCATTCTCAGAAACTTGTTTGTGATGTGTGTACTCAACTAAAAGAGTTGAACCTTTCTATTGATAGAGCAGTTTTGAAACACTCTTTTTGTGGATTCTGCAAGTGGATATTTGGATTGCTTTGAGGATTTCGTGGAAGCGGGAATTCGTATAAAAACTAGACAGCAGCATTCCCAGAAATTTCTTTCGGATATTTCCATTCAACTCATAGAGATGAACATGGCCTTTCATAGAGCAGGTTTGAAACACTCTTTTGGTAGTTTGTGGAAGTGGACATTTTGATCGCCTTGACGCCTACGGTGAAAAAGGAAATATCTTCCCATAAAAAATAGACAGAAGCATTCTCAGAAACTTGTTGGTGATATGTGTCCTCAACTAACAGAGTTGAACTTTGCCATTGATAGAGAGCAGTTTTGAAACACTCTTTTTGTGGAATCTGCAAGTGGATATTTGGATAGCTTGGAGGATTTCTTTGGAAGCGGGAATTCAAATAAAAGGTAGACAGCAGCATTCTCAGAAATTTCTTTGTGATGTTTGCATTCAACTCATAGAGTTGAACATTCCCTTTAATAGAGCAGGTTTGAAACACTCTTTCTGTACTATGTGGATGTGGACATTTGGAGCGCTTTGACGCCTACGGTGAAAAAGGAAATGTCTTCCCATAAAAAATTGAAGAAGGATTCTGAGAAACAAGTATGTGATGTGTGTACTCAGCTAACAGAGTGGAACCTTTCTTTTTACAGAGCAGCTTTGAAACTCTATTTTTGTGGATTCTGCAAATGGATATTTAGATTGCTTTAACGATATCGTTGGAAAAGGGAATATCGTCATACAAAATCTAGACAGAAGCATTCTCACAAACTTCTTTGTGATGTGTGTCCTCAACTAATAGAGTTGAACCTTTCTTTTGATGCAGCAGTTTGGAAACACCCTTTTGGTAGGAACTGTAACTGGATATTTGGATAGCTCTAACGATTTCGTTGGAAACGGGAATATCATCATCTAAAATCTAGACAGAAGCACTATTAGAAACTACTTGGTGATATCTGCATTCAAGTCACAGAGTTGAACATTCCCTTACTTTGAGCACGTTTCAAACACTCTTTTGGAAGAATCTGGAAGTGGACATTTGGAGCGCTTTGATGATGCCTTTGGTGAAAAGGAATCGTCTTCCAATAAAAGCCAGACAGAAGCATTCTCAGAAACTTGTTCGTGATGTGTGTACTCAACTAAAAGATTTGAACCTTTCTATTGATAGAGCAGTTTTGAAACACTCTTTTTGTGGATTCTGCAAGTGGATATTTGGATTGCATTGAGGATTTCGTTGGAAGCGGGAATTCGTATAAAAACTGGACAGCAGCATTCCCAGAAATTTCTTTCGGATATTTCCATTCAACTCATAGAGATGAACATGGCCTTTCATAGAGCAGGTTTGAAACACTCTTTTTGTAGTTTGTGGAAGTGGACATTTCGATCGCCTTGACGCCAACGGTGAAAAAGGAAATATCTTCCCATAAAAAATAGACAGAAGCATTCTCAGAAACTTGTTGGTGATATGTGTCCTCAACTAACAGAGTTGAACTTTGCCATTGATAGAGAGCAGTTTTGAAACACTCTTTTTGTGGAATCTGCAAGTGGATATTTGGATAGCTTGGAGGATTTCGTTGGAAGCGGGAATTCAAATTAAAGGTAGACAGCAAGGATTCTGAGAAACAAGTTTGTGATGTGTGTACTCAGCTAACAGAGTGGAACCTCTGTTTTGATTCAGCAGTTTGGAAACACTCTTTTTGTAGAAACTGTAAGTGGATATTTGGATAGCTCTAATGATTTCGTTGGAAAAGGGAATATCATCATCTAAAATCTAGACAGAAGCACTCTCAGAAACTACTTTGTGATATCTGCATTCAAGTCACAGAGTTGAACATTCGCTTTCTTAGAGCACTTTTGAAACACTCTTTTTGTAGTATCTGGAAGTGGACATTTGGAGCTCTTTGATGCCTTTGGTGAAAAAGGAAATGTCTTCCCATAAAAACTAGGCAGAAGCATTCTCAGAAACTTGTTTGTGATGTGTGTACCCAGCGAAAGGAGTTGAACATTTCTATTGATAGAGCAGTTTTGAAACACTCTTTTTGTGGAATCTGCAAGTGGATATTTGGATAGCTTGGAGGTTTTCGTTGGAAGCAGGAATTCAAATAAAAGGTAGACAGCAGCATTCTCAGAAATTTCTTTCTGATGTCTGCATTCAACTCATAGAGTTGAAGATTCCCTTTCCTAGAGCAGGTTTGAAACACTCTTTCTGGAGTATCTGGATGTGGACATTTGGAGCGCTTGGATGCCTACGGTGAAAAAGTAAATATCTTCCCATAAAAACGAGACAGAAGGATTCTCAGAAACAAGTTTGTGATGTGTGTACTCAGCTAACAGAGTGGAACCTCTCTTTTGAAGCAGCAGTTTGGAAACACTCTTTTTGTAGAAACTGTAAGTGGATATTTGGATAGCTCTAATGATTTCGTTGGAAACGGGAATATCATCATCTAAAATCTAGACAGAAGCACTCTCAGAAACTACTTTGTGATATCTGCATTCAAGTCACAGAGTTGAACATTCGCTTTCTTAGAGCACTTTTGAAACACTCTTTTTGTCGTATCTGGAAGTGGACATTTGGAGCTCTTTGATGCCTTTGGTGAAAAAGGAGATGTCTTCCCATAAAAACTAGACAGAAGCTTTCTCAGAAACTTGTTTGTGATGTGTGTACCCAGCGAAAGGAGTTGAACATTTCTATTGATAGAGCATTTTTGAAACACTCTTTTTGTGGAATCTGCAAGTGGATATTTGGATAGCTTGTAGGTTTTCGTTGGAAGCGGGAATTCAAATAAAAGGTAGACAGCAGCATTCTCAGAAATTTCTTTCTGATGTTTGCATTCAACTCATAGAGTTGAACATTCCCTTTAATAGAGCAGGTTTGAAACACTCTTTCTGTAGTATCTGGATGTGGATAATTGGAGCGCTTTGACGCCTACGGTGAAAAAGGAAATGTCTTCCCATAAAAAATTGAAGAAGGATTCTGAGAAATAAGTTTGTGATGTGTGTACTCAGCTAACAGAGTGGAACCTCTCTTTTGATGCAGCAGTTTGGAAACACTCTTTTTGTAGAAACCGTAAGTGGATATTTGGATAGCTCTAATGATTTCGTTGGAAACGGGAATATCATCATCTAAAATCTAGACAGAAGCCCTCTCAGAAACTACTTTGTGATATCTGCATTCAAGTCAGAGAGTTGAACATTCGCTTTCTTAGAGCACGTTTGAAACACTCTTTTTGTAGTGTCTGGAAGTGGACATTTGGAGCGCTTTGATGCCTTTGGTGAAACAGGGAATGTCTTCCCATAAAAACTAGACAGAAGCATTCTCAGAAACTTGTTTGTGATGTGTGTACCCAGCCAAAGGAGTTGAACATTTCTATTGATAGAGCAGTTTTGAAACACTCTTTTTGTGGAAAATGCAGGTGGATATTTGGATAGCTTGGAGGATTTCGTTGGAAGCGGGAATTTCAAATAAAAGTTAGACAGCAGGATTCTGAGAAACAAGTTTGTGATGTGTGTACTCAGCTAACAGAGTGGAACCTCTCTTTTTACAGAGCAGCTTTGAAACTCTATTTTTGTGGATTCTGCAAATGGATATTTAGATTGCTTTAACGATATCGCTGGAAAAGGGAATATGGTCATACAAAATCTAGACAGAAGCATTCTCACAAACTTCTTTGTGATGTGTGTCCTCAACTAACAGAGTTGAACCTTTCTTTTGATGCAGCAGTTTGGAATCACCCTTTTGGTAGAAACTGTAACTGGATATTTGGATAGCTCTAACGATTTCGTTGGAAACGGGAATATCATCATCTAAAATCTAGACAGAAGCACTATTAGAAACTACTTGGTGATATCTGCATTCAAGTCACAGAGTTGAACATTCCCTTACTTCGAGCACGTTTGAAACACTCTTTTGGAAGAATCTGGAAGTGGACATTTGGAGCCCTTTGATGCCTTTGGTGAAAAGGAAACGTCTTCCAATAAAAGCCAGACAGAAGCATTCTCAGAAACTTGTTCGTGATGTGTGTACTCAACTAAAAGAGTTGAACCTTTCTATTGATAGAGCAGTTTTGAAACGCTCTTTTTGTGGATTCTGCAAGTGGATATTTGGATTGCTTTGAGGATTTCGTTGGAAGCGGGAATTCGTATAAACACTAGACAGCAGCATTCCCAGAAATTTCTTTCGGATATTTCCATTCAACTCATAGAGATGAACATGGCCTTTCATAGAGCAGGTTTGAAACACTCTTTTTGTAGTTTGTGGAAGTGGACATTTCGATCGCCTTGACGCCTACGGTGAAAAAGGAAATATCTTCCCATAAAAAATAGACAGAAGCATTCTCAGAAACTTGTTGGTGATATGTGTCCTCAACTAACAGAGTTGAACTTTGCCATTGATAGAGAGCAGTTTTGAAACACTCTTTTTGTGGAATCTGCAAGTGGATATTTGGATAGCTTGGAGGATGTCGTTGGAAGCGGGAATTCAAATTAAAGGTAGACAGCAGCATTCTCAGAAATTTCTTTCTGATGTCCGCATTCAACTCATAGAGTTGAACATTCCCTTTCATAGAGCAGGTTTGAAACACTCTTTCTGGAGTATCTGGATGTGGACATTTGGAGCGCTTTGATGCCTACGGTGAAAAAGTAAATATCTTCCCATAAAAACGAGACAGAAGGATTCTGAGAAACAAGTTTGTGATGTGTGTACTCAGCTAACAGAGTGGAACCTCTCTTTTGATGCAGCAGTGTGGAAACACTCTTTTTGTAGAAACTGTAAGTGGATATTTGGATAGCTCTAATGATTTCGTTGGAAACGGGAATATCATCATCTAAAATCTAGACAGAAGCCCTCTCAAAAACTACTTTGTGATATCTGCATTCAAGTCACAGAGTTGAACATTCGCTTTCTTAGAGCACGTTTGAAACACTCTTTTTGTAGTGTCTGGAAGTGGAAATTTGGAGCGCTTTGATGCCTTTGGTGAAAAAGGGAATATCTTCCCATAAAAACTAGACAGAAGCTTTCTCAGAAACTTGTTTGTGATGTGTGTACCCAGCGAAAGGAGTTGAACATTTCTATTGATAGAGCAGTTTTGAAACACTCTTTTTGTGGAATCTGCAAGTGGATATTTGGATAGCTTGTAGGTTTTCGTTGGAAGCGGGAATTCAAATAAAAGGTAGACAGCAAGCATTCTCAGAAATTTCTTTCTGATGTCTGCATTCAACTCATACAGTTGAAGATTCCCTTTCATAGAGCAGGTTTGAAACACTCGTTCTGGAGTATCTGGATGTGGACATTTGGAGCGCTTTGATGCCTACGGTGGAAAAGTAAATATCTTCCCATAAAAACGAGACAGAAGGATTCTCAGAAACAAGTTTGTGATGTGTGTACTCAGCTAACAGAGTGGAACCTTTCTTTTTACAGAGCAGCTTTGAAACTCTATTTTTGTGGATTCTGCAAATTGATATTTAGATTGCTTTAACGATATCGTTGGAAAACGGAATATCGTCATACAAAATCTAGACAGAAGCATTCTCACAAACTTCTTTGTGATGTGTGTCCTCAACTAACAGAGTTGAACCTTTCTTTTGATGCAGCAATTTGGAAACACCCTTTTGGTAGAAACTGTAACTGGATATTTGGATAGCTCTAACGATTTCGTTGGAAACGGGAATATCATCATCTAAAATATAGACAGAAGCACTATTAGAAACTACTTGGTGATATCTGCATTCAAGTCACAGAGTTGAACATTCGCTTACTTTGAGCACGTTTGAAACACTCTTTTGGAAGAATCTGGAAGTGGACATTTGGAGCGCTTTGATGCCTTTGGTGAAAAGGAAACGTCTTCCAATAAAAGCCAGACAGAAGCATTCTCAGAAACTTGTTCGTGATGTGTGTACTCAACTAAAAGAGTTGAACCTTTCTATTGATAGAGCAGTTTTGAAACACTCTTTTTGTGGATTCTGCAAGTGGATATTTGGATTGCTTTGAGGATTTCGTTGGAAGCGGGAATTCGTATAAACACTAGACAGCAGCATTCCCAGAAATTTCTTTCGGATATTTCCATTCAACTCATAGAGATGAACATGGCCTTTCATATTGAAACACTCTTTTTGTAGTTTGTGGAAGTAGACATTTCGATCACCTTGACGCCTGCGGTGAAAAAGGAAATATCTTCCCATAAAAAATAGACAGAAGCATTCTCAGAAACTTGTTGGTGATATGTGTCCTCAACTAACAGAATTGAACTTTGCCATTGATAGAGAGCAGTTTTGAAACACTCTTTTTGTGGAATCTGCAAGTGGATATTTGGATAGCTTGGAGGATTTCGTTGGAAGCGGGAATTCAAATAAAAGGTAGACAGCAGCATTCTCAGAAATTTCTTTCTGATGTCTGCATTCAACTCATAGAGTTGAAGATTCCCTTTCATAGAGCAGGTTTGAAACACTCTTTCTGGAGTATCTGGATGTGGACATTTGGAGCGCTTTGATGCCTACGGTGAGAAAGTAAATATCTTCCCATAAAAACGAGACAGAAGGATTCTGAGAAACAAGTTTGTGATGTGTGTACTCAGCTAACAGAGTGGAACCTCTCTTTTGATGCAGCAGTTTGGAAACACTCTTTTTGTAGAAACTGTAAGTGTTTATTTGGATAGCTCTAATGATTTCGTTGGAAACGGGAATATCATCATCTAAAATCTAGACAGAAGCACTCTCAGAAACTACTTGTTGATATCTGCATTCAAGTCACAGAGTTGAACATTCGCTTTCTTAGAGCACTTTTGAAACACTCTTTTTGTAGTATCTAGAAGTGGACATTTGGAGCTCTTTGATGCCTTTGGTGAAAAAGGAAATGTCTTCCCATAAAAACTAGACAGAAGCATTCTCAGGAAACTTGTTTGTGATGTGTGTACCCAGCCAAAGGAGTTGAACATTTCTATTGATAGAGCAGTTTTGAAACACTCTTGTTGTGGAAAATGCAGGAGGATATTTGGATAGCTTGGAGGATTTCGTTGGAAGCGGGAATTCAAATAAAAGGTAGACAGCAGGATTCTGAGAAACAAGTTTGTGATGTGTGTACTCAGCTAACAGAGTGGAACCTTTCTTTTTACAGAGCAGCTTTCAAACTCTATTTTTGTGGATTCTGCAAATTGATATTTAGATTGCTTTAACGATATCGTTGGAAAAGGGAATATCCTCATACAAAATCTAGACAGAAGCATTCTCACAAACTTCTTTGTGATGTGTGTCCTCAACTAACAGTAGTTGAACCTTTCTTTTGATGCAGCAATTTGGAAACACCCTTTTGGTAGAAACTGTAACTGGATATTTGGATAGCTCTAACGATTTCGTTGGAAACGGGAATATCATCATCTAAAATGTAGACAGATCTAGAAACTACTTGGTGATATCTGCATTCAAGTCAAAGAGTTGAACATTCCCTTACTTTGAGCACGTTTGAAACACTCTTTTGGAAGAATCTGGAAGTGGACATTTGGAACGCTTTGATGCCTTTGGTGAAAAGGAAACGTCTTCCAATAAAAGCCAGACAGAAGCCTTCTCAGAAGCTTGTTCGTGATGTGTGTACTCAACTAAAAGAGTTGAACCTTTCTATTGATAGAGCAGTTTTGAAACACTCTTTTTGTGGATTCTGCAAGTGGATATTTGGATTGCTTTGAGGATTTCGTTGGAAGCGGGAATTCGTATAAACACTAGACAGCAGCATTCCCAGAAATTTCTTTCGGATATTTCCATTCAACTCATAGAGGTGAACATGGCCTTTCATACAGCAGGTTTGAAACACTCTTTTTGTAGTTTGTGGAAGTGGACATTTCAATCGCCTTGATGCCTACGGTGAAAAAGGAAATATCTTCCCATAAAAAATAGACAGAAGCATTCTCAGAAACTTGTTGGTGATATGTGTCCTCAACTAACAGAGTTGAACTTTGCCATTGATAGAGAGCAGTTTTGAAACAGTCTTTTTGTGGAATCTGCAAGTGGATATTTGGATAGCTTGGAGGATTTCGTTGGAAGCGGGAATTCAAATAAAAGGTAGACAGCAGCATTCTCAGAAATTTCTTTCTGATGTCTGCATTCAACTCATAGAGTTGAAGATTCCCTTTCATAGAGCAGGTTTGAAACACTCGTTCTGGAGTATCTGGATGTGGACATTTGGAGCGCTTTGATGCCTACGGTGCAAAAGTAAATATCTTCCCATAAAAACGAGACAGAAGGATTCTCAGAAACAAGTTTGTGATGTGTGTACTCAGCTAACAGAGTGGAACCTCTCTTTTGATGCAGCAGTTTGGAAACACTCTTTTTGTAGAAACTGTAAGTGGATATTTGGAAAGCTCTAATGATTTCATTGGAAACGGGAATATCATCATCTAAAATCTAGACTGAAGCACTCTCAGAAACTACTTTGTGATATCTGCATTCAAGTCACAGAGTTGAACATTCGCTTTCTTAGAGCACTTTTGAAACACTCTTTTTGTAGTATCTGGAAGTGGACATTTGGAGCTCTTTGATGCCTTTGGTGAAAAAGGAAATGTCTTCCCATAAAAGCTAGACAGAAGCATTCTCAGAAACTTGTTTGTGATGTGTGTACCCAGCGAAAGGAGTTGAATATTTCTATTGATAGAGCAGTTTTGAAACACTCTTTTTGTGGAATCTGCAAGTGGATATTTGGATAGCTTGGAGGTTTTCATTGGAAGCGGGAATTCAAATAAAAGATAGACAGCAGCATTCTCAGAAATTTCTTTCTGATGTCTGCATTCAACTCATAGAGTTGAAGATTCCCGTTCATAGAGCAGGTTTGAAACACTCGTTCTGGAGTATCTGGATGTGGACATTTGGAGCGCTTTGATGCCTACGGTGGAAAAGTAAATATCTTCCCATAAAAACGAGACAGAAGGATTCTCAGAAACAAGTTTGTGATGTGTGTACTCAGCTAACAGAGTGGATCCTTTCTTTTTACAGAGCAGCTTTGAAACTCTATTTCTGTGGATTCTGCAAATTGATATTTGGGTTGATTTAACGATATCGTTGGAAAAGGGAATATCTTCATACAAAATCTAGACAGAAGCATTCTCACAAACTTCTTTGTGATGTGTGTCCTCAACTAACAGAGTTGAACCTTTCTTTTGATGCAGCAATTTGGAAACACCCTTTTGGTAGAAACTGTAACTGGATATTTGGATAGCTCTAGCGATTTCGTTGGAAACGGGAATATCATCATCTAAAATCTAGACAGAAGCACTATTAGAAACTACTTGGTGATATCTGCATTCAAGTCAAAGAGTTGAACATTCCCTTACTTTGAGCACGTTTGAAACACTCTTTTGGAAGAATCTGGAAGTGGACATTTGGAGCGCTTTGATGCCTTTGGTGAAAAGGAAACGTCTTCCAATAAAAGCCAGACAGAAGCATTCTGAGAAACTTGTCCGTGATGTGTGTACTCAACTAAAAGAGTTGAACCTTTCTATTGATAGAGCAGTTTTGAAACACTCTTTTTGTGGATTCTGCAAGTGGATATTTGGATTGCTTTGAGGATTTCGTTGGAAGCGGGAATTCGTATAAACACTAGACAGCAGCATTCCCAGAAATTTCTTTCGGATATTTCCATTCAACTCATAGAGATGAACATGGCCTTTCATAGAGCAGGTTTGAAACACTCTTTCTGTAGTTTGTGGAAGTGGACATTTCGATCGCCTTGACGCCTACGGTGAAAAAGGAAATATCTTCCCATAAAAAATAGACAGAAGAATTCTCAGAAACTTGTTTGTGATGTGTGTCCTCAACTGACAGAGTTGTACCTTTCTATTGATAGAGTAGTTTTGAAACACTCTTTTTGTGGAATCTGCAAGTGAATATTTGGATAGCTTGGAGGATTTCGTTGGAAGCGGGAATTCAAATGAAAGGTAGACAGCAGCATTCTCAGAAATTTCTTTCTGATGTCTGCATTCAACTCATAGAGTTGAAGATTCCCTTTCATAGAGCAGGTTTGAAACACTCTTTCTGGAGTATCTGGATGTGGACATTTGGAGCGCTTTGATGCCTACGGTGAAAAAGTAAATATCTTCCCATAAAAACGACACAGAAGGATTCTGAGAAACAAGTTTGTGATGTGTGTACTCAGCTAACAGAGTGGAACCTCTCTTTTGATGCAGTAGTTTGGAAACACTCTTTTTGTAGAAACTGTAAGTGGATATTTGGATAGCTCTAATGATTTCGTTGGAAACGGGAATATCATCATCTAAAATCTAGAGAGATGCCCTCTCAGAAACTACTTTGTGATATCTGCATTCAAGTCACAGAGTTGAACATTCGCTTTCTTAGAGCACGTTGGAAACACTCTTTTTGTAGTGTCTGGAAGTGGACATTTGGAGCGCTTTGATGCCTTTGGTGAAAAAGGGAATGTCTTCCCATAAAAACTAGACAGAAGCATTCTCAGAAACTTGTTTGTGATGTGTGTACCCAGCTAAAGGAGTTGAACATTTCTATTGATAGAGCAGTTTTGAAACACTCTTTTTGTGGAAAATGCAAGTGGATATTTGGAGAGCTTGGAGGATTTCGTTGGAAGCGGGAATTCAAATAAAAGGTAGACAGCAGCATTCTCAGAAATTTCTTTCTGATGTCTGCATTCAACTCATAGAGTTGAAGATTCCCTTTCATAGAGCAGATTTGAAACACTCTTTCTGGAGTATCTGGATGTGGACATTTGGAGCGCTTTGATGCCTACGGTGAAAAAGTAAATATCTTCCCATAAAAACGAGACAGAAGGATTCTCAGAAACAAGTTTGTGATGTGTGTACTCAGCTAACAGAGTGGAACCTTTCTTTTTACAGAGCAGCTTTGAAACTCTATTTTTGTGGATTCTGCAAATGGATATTTAGATTGCTTTAATGATATCGCTGGAAAAGGGAATATGGTCATACAAAATCTAGACAGAAGCATTCTCACAAACTTCTTTGTGATGTGTGTCCTCAACTAACAGAGTTGAAGCTTTCTTTTGATGCAGCAGTTTGGAAACACCCTTTTGGTAGAAACTGTAAGTGGATATTTGGATAGCTCTAACGATTTCGTTGGAAACGGGAATATCATCATCTAAAATCTAGACAGAAGCACTATTAGAAACTACTTGGTGATATCTGCATTCAAGTCAAAGAGTTGAACATTCCCTTACTTTCAGCACGTTTGAAACACTCTTTTGGAAGAATCTGGAAGTGGACATTTGGAGCGCTTTGATGCCTTTGGTGAAAAGGAAACGTCTTCCAATAAAAGCCAGACAGAAGCATTCTCAGAAACTTATTCGTGATGTGTGTACTCAACTAAAAGAGTTGAACCTTTCTATTGATAGAGCAGTTTTGAAACACTCTTTTTGTGGATTCTGCAAGTGGATATTTGGATTGCTTTGAGGATTTCGTTGGAAGCGGGAATTCGTATAAACACTAGACAGCAGCATTCCCAGAAATTTCTTTCGGATATTTCCATTCGACTCATAGAGATGAACATGGCCTTTCATAGAGCAGGTTTGAAACACTCTTTTTGTAGTTTGTGGAAGTGGACATTTCGATCGCCTTGACGCCTACGGTGAAAAAGGAAATATCTTCCCATAAAAAATAGACAGAAGCATTCTCAGAAACTTGTTGGTGATATGTGTCCTCAACTAACAGAGTTGAACTTTGCCATTGATAGAGAGCAGTTTTGAAACACTCTTTTTGTGGAATCTGCAAGTGGATATTTGGATACCTTGGAGGATTTCGTTGGAAGCGGGAATTCAAATAAAAGGTAGACAGCAGCATTCTCAGAAATTTCTTTCTGATGTCTGCATTCAAGTCATAGAGTTGAAGATTCCCTTTCATAGAGCAGGTTTGAAACACTCTTTCTGGAGTATCTGGATGTGGACATTTGGAGCGCTTTGATGCCTACGGTGAGAAAGTAAATATCTTCCCATAAAAACGAGACAGAAGGATTCTAAGAAACAAGTTTGTGATGTGTGTACTCAGCTAACAGAGTGGAACCTCTCTTTTGATGCAGCAGTTTGGAAACACTCTTTTTGTAGAAACTGTATGTGGATATTTGGATAGCTCTAATGATTTCATTGGAAACGGGAATATCATCATCTAAAATCTAGACAGAAGCACTCTCAGAAACTACTTTGTGATATCTGCATTCAAGTCACAGAGTTGAACATTCCCTTTCTTAGAGCACGTTTGAAAGACTCTTTTTGTAGTGTCTGGAAGTGGACATTTGGAGCGCTTTGATTCCTTTGGTGAAAAAGGGAATGTCTACCCATAAAAACTAGACAGAAGCATTCTCAGAAACTTGTTTGTGATGTGTGTACCCAGCTAAAGGAGTTGAACATTTCTATTGATAGAGCAGTTTTGAAACACTCTTTTTGTGGAAAATGCAAGTGGATATTTGGATTGCTTGGGGGATTTCGTTGGAAGCGGGAATTCAAATAAAAGGTAGACAGCAGCATTCTCAGAAATTTCTTTCTGATGTCTGCATTCAATTCATAGAGTTGAAGATTCCCTTTCATAGAGCAGGTTTGAAACACTCGTTCTGGAGTATCTGGATGTGGACATTTGGAGCGCTTTGATGCCTACGGTGGAAAAGTAAATATCTTCCCATAAAAACGAGACAGAAGGATTCTGAGAAACAAGTTTGTGATGTGTGTACTCAGCTAACAGAGTGGAACCTTTCTTTTTACAGAGCAGCTTTGAAACTCTATTTCTGTGGATTCTGCAAATTGATATTTAGATTGCTTTAACGATATCGTTGGAAAAGGGAATATCGTCATACAAAATCTAGACAGAAGCATTCTCACAAACTTCTTTGTGATGTGTGTCCTCAACTAACAGAGTTGAACCTTTCTTTTGATGCAGCAATTTGGAAACAGCCTTTTGGTAGAAACTGTAACTGGATATTTGGATAGCTCTAACGATTTCGTTGTAAACGGGAATATCATCATCTAAAATCTAGACAGAAGCACTATTAGAAACTACTTGGTGATATCTGCATTCAAGTCACAGAGTAGAACATTCCCTTACTTCGAGCACGTTTGAAACACTCTTTTGGAAGAATCTGGAAGTGGACATTTGGAGCGCTTTGATGCCTTTGGTGAAAAGGAAACGTCTTCCAATAAAAGCCAGACAGAAGCATTCTCAGAAACTTGTTCGTGATGTGTGTACTCAACTAAAAGAGTTGAACCTTTCTATTGATAGAGCAGTTTTGAAACACTCTTTTTGTGGATTCTGCAAGTGGATATTTGGATTGCTTTGAGGATTTCGTTGGAAGCGGGAATTCGTATAAACACTAGACAGCAGCATTCCCAGAAATTTCTTTCGGATATTTCCATTCAACTCATAGAGATGAACATGGCCTTTCATAGAGCAGGTTTGAAACACTCTTTTTGTAGTTTGTGGAAGTGGACATTTCGATCGCCTTGACGCCTACGGTGATAAAGGAAATATCTTCCCATAAAAAATAGACAGAAGCATTCTCAGAAACTTGTTGGTGATATGTGTCCTCAACTAACAGAGTTGAACTTTGCCATTGATAGAGAGCAGTTTTGAAACACTCTTTTTGTGGAATCTGCAAGTGGATATTTGGATAGCTTGGAGGATTTCGTTGGAAGCGGGAATTCAAATAAAAGGTAGACAGCAGCATTCTCAGAAATTTCTTTCTGATGTCTGCATTCAACTCATAGAGTTGAAGATTCCCTTTCATAGAGCAGGTTTGAAACACTCTTTCTGGAGTATCTGGATGTGGACATTTGGAGCGCTTTGATGCCTACGGTGGAAAAGTAAATATCTTCCCATAAAAACGAGACAGAAGGATTCTGAGAAACAAGTTTGTGATGTGTGTACTCAGATAACAGAGTGGAACCTCTCTTTTGATGCAGCAGTTTGGAAACACTCTTTTTGTAGAAACTGTAAGTGGATATTTGGATAGCTCTAATGATTTCGTTGGAAACGGGAATATCATCATCTAAAATCTAGACAGAAGCACTCTCAGAAACTACTTTGTGATATCTGCATTCAAGTCACAGAGTTGAACATTCGCTTTCTTAGAGCACGTTTGAAACACTCTTTTTGTAGTGTCTGGAAGTGGACATTTGGAGCGCTTTGATGGCTTTGGTGAAAAAGGGAACGTCTTCCCATAAAAACTAGACAGAAGCATTCTCAGAAACTTGTTTGTGATGTGTGTACCCAGCTAAAGGAGTTGAACATTTCTATTGATAGAGCAGTTTTGATACACTCTTTTTGTGGAAACTGCAAGTGGATATTTGGATAGCTTGGAGGATTTCGTTGGAAGCGGGAATTCAAATAAAAGGTAGACAGCAGCATTCTCAGAAATTTCTTTCTGATGTCTGCATTCAACTCATAGAGTTGAAGATTCCCTTTCATAGAGCAGGTTTGAAACACTCTTTCTGGAGTATCTGGAAGTGGCCATTTGGACCGCTTTGATGCCTACGGTGAAAAACTAAATATGTTCCCATAAAAACGAGACAGAAGGATTCTCAGAAACAAGTTTGTGATGTGTGTACTCAGCTAACAGAGTGGAACCTTTCTTTTTACAGAGCAGCTTTGAAACTCTATTTTTGTGGATTCTGCAAATTGATATTTAGATTGCTTTAACGATATCGTTGGAAAAGGGAATATCGTCATACAAAATCTAGAAAGAAGCATTCTCACAAACTTCTTTGTGATGTGTGTCCTCAACTAACAGAGTTGAACCTTTCTTTTGATGCAGCAATTTGGAAACACCCTTTTGGTAGAAACTGTAACTGGATATTTGGATAGCTCTAAAGATTTCGTTGGAAACGGGAATATCATCATCTAAAATCTAGACAGAAGCACTATTAGAAACTACTTGGTGATATCTGCATTCAAGTCACAGAGTTGAACATTCCCTTACTTTGAGCACGTTTGAAACACTCTTTTGGAAGAATCTGGAAGTGGACATTTGGAGCGCTTTGATGCCTTTGGTGAAAAGGAAACGTCTTCCAATAAAAGCCAGACAGAAGCATTCTCAGAAACTTGTTTGTGGTGTGTGTACTCAACTAAAAGAGTTGAACCTTTCTATTGATAGAGCAGTTTTGAAACACTCTTTTTGTGGATTCTGCAAGTGGATATTTGGATTGCTTTGAGGATTTCGTTGGAAGCGGGAATTCGTATAAAAACTAGACAGCAGCATTCCCAGAAATTTCTTTCGGATATTTCCATTCAACTCATAGAGATGAACATGGCCTTTCATAGAGCAGGTTTGAAACACTCTTTTTGTAGTTTGTGGAAGTGGACATTTCGATCGCCTTGACGCCTACGGTGAAAAAGGAAATATCTTCCCATAAAAAATAGACAGAAGCATTCTCAGAAACTTGTTGGTGATATGTGTCCTCAACTAACAGAGTTGAACTTTGCCATTGATAGAGAGCAGTTTTGAAACACTCTTTTTGTGGAATCTGCAAGTGGATATTTGGATAGCTTGGAGGATTTCGTTGGAAGCGGGAATTCAAATAAAAGGTAGACAGCAGCATTCTCAGAAATTTCTTTCTGATGTCTGCATTCAACTCATAGAGTTGAACATTCCCTTTCATAGAGCAGGTTTGAAACACTCTTTCTGGAGTATCTGGATGTGGACATTTGGAGCGCTTTGATGCCTACGGTGAAAAAGTATAATCTTCCCATAAAAACGAGACAGAAGGATTCTCAGAAAGAAGTTTGTGATGTGTGTACTCAGCTAACAGAGTGGAACCTCTCTTTTGAAGCAGCAGTTTGGAAACACTCGTTTTGTAGAAACTGTAAGTGGATATTTGGATAGCTCTAATGATTTCGTTGGAAACGGGAATATCATCATCTAAAATCTAGACAGAAGCCCTCTCAGAAACTACTTTGTGATATCTGCATTCAAGTCACAGAGTTGAACATTCGCTTTCTTAGAGCACGTTGGAAACACTCTTTTTGTAGTGTTTGGAAGTGGACATTTGGAGCGCTTTGATGCCTTTGGTGAAAAAGGGAATGTCTTCCCATAAAAACTAGACAGAAGCATTCTCAGAAACTTGTTTGTGATGTGTGTACCCAGCTAAAGGAGTTGAACATTTCCATTGATAGAGCAGTTTTGAAACACTCTTTTTGTGGAAAATGCAAGTGGATATTTGGATAGCTTGGAGGATTTCGTTGGAAGCGGGAATTCAAATAAAAGGTAGACAGCAGCATTCTCAGAAATTTCTTTCTGATGTCTGCATTCAACTCATAGAGTTGAAGATTCCCTTTCATAGCAGCAGGTTTGAAACACTCTTTCTGGAGTATCTGGATGTGGACATTTGGAGCGCTTTGATGCCTACGGTGAAAAAGTAAATATCTTCCCAGAAAAACGAGACAGAAGGATTCTGAGAAACAAGTTTGTGATGTGTGTACTCAGCTAACAGAGTGGAACCTTTCTTTTTACAGAGCAGCTTTGAAACTCTATTTTTGTGGATTCTGCAAATGGATATTTAGATTGATTTAATGTTATCGCTGGAAAAGGGAATATGGTCATACAAAATCTAGATAGAAGCATTCTCACAAACTTCTTTGTGATGTGTGTCCTCAACTAACAGAGTTGAACCTTTCTTTTGATGCAGCAGTTTGGAAACACCCTTTTGGTAGAAACTGTAAGTGGATATTTGGATAGCTCTAACTATTTCATTGGAAACGGGAATATCATCATCTAAAATCTAGACAGAAGCACTATTAGAAACTACTTGGTGATATCTGCATTCAAGTCACAGAGTTGAACATTCCCTTACTTTGAGCACGTTTGAAACACTCTTTTGGAAGAATCTGGAAGTGGACATTTGCAGCGCTTTGATGCCTTTGGTGAAAAGGAAACGTCTTCCAATAAAAGCCAGACAGAAACATTCTCAGAAACTTGTTTGTGATGTGTGTACTCAACTAAAAGAGTTGAACCTTTCTATTGATAGAGCAGTTTTGAAACACTCTTTTTGTGGATTCTGCAAGTGGATATTTGGATTGCTTTGAGGATTTCGTTGGAAGCGGGAATTCGTATAAACACTAGACAGCAGCATTCCCAGAAATTTCTTTCGGATATTTCCATTCAACTCATAGAGATGAACATGGCCTTTCATAGAGCAGGTTTGAAACACTCTTTTTGTAGTTTGTGGAAGTGGACATTTCGATCGCCTTGACGCCTACGGTGAAAAAGGAAATATCTTCCCATAAAAAATAGACAGAAGCATTCTCAGAAACTTGTTGGTGATATGTGTCCTCAACTAACAGAGTTGAACTTTGCCATTGATAGAGAGCAGTTTTGAAACACTCTTTTTGTGGAATCTGCAAGTGGATATTTGGATAGCTTGGAGGATTTCGTTGGAAGCGGGAATTCAAATAAAAGGTAGACAGCAGGATTCTCAGAAACAAGTTTGTGATGTGTGTACTCAGCTAACAGAGTGGATCCTTTCTTTTTACAGAGCAGCTTTGAAACTCTATTTCTGTGGATTCTGCAAATTGATATTTGGGTTGATTTAACGACATCGTTGGAAAAGGGAATATCTTCATACAAAATCCAGACAGAAGCATTCTCAGAAACTTCTTTCTGATGTCTGTCCTCAACTAACAGAGTTGAACCTTTCTTTTGATGCAGAAGTTTGGAAACACTCTTTTTGTAGAAACTGTAAGTGGATATTTGGATAGGTCTAACGATATCGTTGGAAACGGGAATATCTTCATCTAAAGTATACACAGAAGCACTATTAGAAACTACTGGGTGATATCTGCATTCAAGTCACAGAGTTGAACATTCCCTTACTTTGAGCACGTTTCAAACACTCTTTTGTAAGAATCTGGAAGTGGACATTTGGAGCGCTTTGATGCCTTTGGTGAAAAGGAAACGTCTTCCAATAAAAGCCAGACAGAAGCATTCTCAGAAACTTGTTCGTGATGTGTGTACTCAACTAAAAGAGTTGAACCTTTCTATTGATAGAGCAGTTTTGAAACACTCTTTTTGCGGATTCTGCAAGTGGATATTTGGATTGCTTTGAGGATTTCGTTGGAAGCGGGAATTCGTATAAACACTAGACAGCAGCATTCCCAGAAATTTCTTTCGGATATTTCCATTCGACTCATAGAGATGAACATGGCCTTTCATAGAGCAGGTTTGAAACACTCTTTTTGTAGTTTGTGGAAGTGGACATTTCGATCGCCTTGACGCCTACGGTGAAAAAGGAAATATCTTCCCATAAAAAATAGACAGAAGCATTCTCAGAAACTTGTTGGTGATATGTGTCCTCAACTAACAGAGTTGAACTTTGCCATTGATAGAGAGCAGTTTTGAAACACTCTTTTTGTGGAATCTGCAAGTGAATATTTGGATAGCTTGGAGGATTTCGTTGGAAGCGGGAATTCAAATAAAAGGTAGACAGCAGCATTCTCAGAAATTTCTTTCTGATGTCTGCATTCAACTCATAGAGTTGAACATTCCCTTTCATAGGACAGGTTTGAAATACTCTTTCTGTAGTATCTGGATGTGGACATTTGGAGCGCTTTGATGCCTACGGTGAGAAAGTAAATCTCTTCCCATAAAAACGAGACAGAAGGATACTCAGAAACAAGTTTGTGATGTGTGTACTCAGCTAACAGAGTGGAACCTCTCTTTTGATGCAGCAGTTTGGAAACACTCTTTTTGTAGAAACTGTAAGTGGATATTTGGATAGCTCTAATGATTTCGTTGGAAACGGGAATATCATCATCTAAAATCTAGACAGAAGTCCTCTCAGAAACTACTTTGTGATATCTGCATTCAAGTCACAGAGTTGAACATTCGCTTTCTTAGAGCACGTTTGAAACACTCTTTTTGTAGTGTCTGGAAGTGGACATTTGGAGCGCTTTGATGCCTTTGGTGAAAAAGGGAACGTCTTCCCATAAAAACTAGACAGAAACATTCTCAGAAACTTGTTTGTGATGTGTGTACCCAGCCAAAGGAGTTGAACATTTCTATTGATAGAGCAGTTTTGAAACACTCTTTTTGTGGAAAATGCAGGTGGATATTTGGATAGCTTGGAGGATTTCGTTGGAAGCGGGAATTCAAATAAAAGGTAGACAGCAGCATTCTCAGAAATTTCTTTGTGATGTTTGCATTCAACTCATAGAGTTGAACATTCCCTTTAATAGAGCAGGTTTGAAACACTCTTTCTGTACTATCTGGATGTGGACAGTTGGAGCGCTTTGACGCCTACGGTGAAAAAGGAAATGTCTTCCCATAAAAAATTGAAGAAGGATTCTGAGAAACAAGTTTGTGATGTGTGTACTCAGCTAACAGAGTGGAACCTTTCTTTTTACAGAGCAGCTTTGAAACTCTATTTTTGTGGATTCTGCAAATCGATATTTAGATTGCTTTAACGATATCGTTGGAAAAGGGAATATCGTCATACAAAATCTAGACAGAAGCATTCTCACAAACTTCTTTGTGATGTGTGTCCTCAACTAACAGAGTTGAACCTTTCTTTTGATGCAGCAATTTGCAAACACCCTTTTGGTAGAAACTGTAACTGGATATTTGGATAGCTCTAACGATTTCGTTGGAAACGGGAATATCATCATCTAAAATGTAGACAGAAGCACTATTAGAAACTACTTGGTGATATCTGCATTCAAGTCACAGAGTAGAACATTCCCTTACTTCGAGCACGTTTGAAACACTCTTTTGGAAGAATCTGGAAGTGGACATTTGGAGCGCTTTGATGCCTTTGGTGAAAAGGAAACGTCTTCCAATAAAAGCCAGACAGAAGCATTCTCAGAAACTTGTTCGTGATGTGTGTACTCAACTAAAAGCAGTTGAACCTTTCTATTGATAGAGCAGTTTTGAAACACTCTTTTTGTGGATTCTGCAAGTGGATATTTGGATTGCTTTGAGGATTTCGTTGGAAGCGGGAATTCATATAAAAACTAGACAGCAGCATTCCCAGAAATTTCTTTCGGATATTTCCATTCAACTCATAGAGATGAACATCGCCTTTCATAGAGCAGGTTTGAAACACTCTTTTTGTAGTTTGTGGAAGTGGACATTTCGATCGCCTTGACGCCTACGGTGAAAAAGGAAATATCTTCCCATAAAAAATAGACAGAAGCATTCTCAGAAACTTGTTGGTGATATGTGTCCTCAACTAACAGAGTTGAACTTTGCCATTGATAGAGAGCAGTTTTGAAACACTCTTTTTGTGGAATCTGCAAGTGGATATTTGGATAGCTTGGAGGATTTCGTTGGAAGCGGGAATTCAAATAAAAGGTAGACAGCATCATTCTCAGAAATTTCTTTCTGATGTCTGCATTCAACTCATAGAGTTGAAGATTCCCTTTCATAGAGCAGGTTTGAAACACTCGTTCTGGAGTATCTGGATGTGGACATTTGGAGCGCTTTGATGCCTACGGTGGAAAAGTAAATATCTTCCCATAAAAACGAGACAGAAGGATTCTGAGTAAACAAGTTTGTGATGTGTGTACTCAGCTAACAGAGTGGAACCTCTCTTTTGATGCAGCAGTTTGGAAACTCTCTTTTTGTAGAAACTGTAAGTGGATATTTGGATAGCTCTAATGATTTCGTTGGAAACGGGAATATCATCATCTAAAATCTAGACAGAAGCCCTCTCAGAAACTACTTTGTGATATCTGCATTCAAGTCACAGAGTTGAACATTCGCTTTCTTAGAGCACGTTGGAAACACTCTTTTTGTAGTGTCTGGAAGTGGACATTTGGAGCGCTTTGATGCCTTTGGTGAAAAAGGGAATGTCTTCCCATAAAAACTAGACAAAAGCATTCTCAGAAACTTGTTTGTGATGTGTGTACCCAGCCAAAGGAGTTGAACATTTCTATTGATAGAGCAGTTTTGAAACACTCTTGTTGTGGAAAATGCAAGTGGATATTTGGATAGCTTGGAGGATTTCGTTGGAAGCGGGAATTCAAATAAAAGGTAGACAGCAGCATTCTCAGAAATTTCTTTCTGATGTCTGCATTCAACTCATAGAGTTGAAGATTCCCTTTCGTAGAGCAGGTTTGAAACACTCGTTCTGGAGTATCTGGATGTGGACATTTGGAGCGCTTTGATGCCTACGGTGGAAAAGTAAATATCTTCCCATAAAAACGAGACAGAAGGATTCTCAGAAACAAGTTTGTGATGTGTGTACTCAGCTAACAGAGTGGAACCTTTCTTTTTACAGAGCAGCTTTGAAACTCTATTTTTGTGGATTCTGCAAATTGATATTTAGATTGCTTTAACGATATCGTTGGAAAAGGGAATATGGTCATACAAAATCTAGACAGAAGCATTCTCACAAACTTCTTTGTGATGTGTGTCCTCAACTAACAGAGTTGAACCTTTCTTTTGATGCAGCAGTTTGGAAACACTCTTTTTGTAGAAACTGTAAGTGCATTATTGGATAGCTCTAACGATTTCGTTGGAAACGGGAATATCATCATCTAAAATCTAGACAGAAGCACTATTAGAAACTACTTGGTGATATCTGCATTCAAGTCACAGAGTTGAACATTCCCTTACTTTGAGCACGTTTGAAACACTCTTTTGGAAGAATCTGGAAGTGGACATTTGGAGCGCTTTGATGCCTTTGGTGAAAAGGAAACGTCTTCCAATAAAAGCCAGACAGAAGCATTCTCAGAAACTTGTTCGTGATGTGTGTACTCAACTAAAAGAGTTGAACCTTTCTATTGATAGAGCAGTTTTGAAACACTCTTTTTGTGGATTCTGCAAGTGGATATTTGGATTGCTTTGAGGATTTCGTTGGAAGCGGGAATTCATATAAACACTAGACAGCAGCATTCTCAGAAATTTCTTCCTGATGTTTGCATTCAACTCATAGAGTTGAACATTCCCTTTAATAGAGCAGGTTTGAAACACTCTTTCTGTACTATCTGGATGTGGACATTTGGAGCGCTTTGATGCCTACGGTGAAAAAGGAAATGTCTTCCCATAAAAAATTGAAGAATTCTCAGAAACTTGTTTGTGATGTGTGTCCTCAACTGACACAGTTGTACCTTTCTATTGATAGAGTAGTTTTGAAACACTCTTTTTGTGGAATCTGCAAGTGAATATTTGGATAGCTTGGAGGATTTCGTTGGAAGCGGGAATTCAAATGAAAGGTAGACAGCAGCATTCTCAGAAATTACTTTCTGATGTCTGCATTCAACTCATAGAGTTGAAGATTCCCTTTCATAGAGCAGGTTTGAAACACTCTTTCTGTAGTATCTGGATGTGGACATTTGGAGCGCTTTGATACCTACGGTGAAAAAGTAAATATCTTCCCGTAAAAACTAGACAGAAGGATTCTGAGAAACAAGTTTGTGATGTGTGTACTCAGCTAACAGAGTGGAACCTCTCTTTTGATGCAGCAGTTTGGAAACACTCTTTTTGTAGAAACTGTACGTGGATATTTGGATAGCTCTAATGATTTCGTTGGAAACGGGAATATCATCATCTAAAATCTAGACAGAAGCCCTCTCAGAAACTACATTGTGATATCTGCATTCAAGTCACAGAGTTGAACATTCGCTTTCTTAGAGCACGTTTGAAACACTCTTTTTGTAGTGTCTGGAAGTGGACATTTGGAGCGCTTTGATGCCTTTGGTGAAAAAGGGAATGTCTTCCCATAAAAACTAGACAGAAGCATTCTCAGAAACTTGTTTGTGATGTGTGTACCCAGCTAAAGGAGTTGAACATTTCTATTGATAGATTAGTTTTGAAACACTCTTTTTGTGGAAAATGCAAGTGGATATTTGGATAGCTTGGAGGATTTCGTTGGAAGCGGGAATTCAAATAAAAGGTAGACAGCAGCATTCTCAGAAATTTCTTTCTGATGTCTGCATTCAACTCATAGAGTTGAAGATTCCCTTTCATAGAGCAGGTTTGAAACACTCTTTCTGGAGTATCTGGATGTGGACATTTGGAGCGCTTTGATGCCTACGGTGAAAAAGTAAATATCTTCCCATAAAAACTAGACAGAAGGATTCTCAGAAACAAGTTTGTGATGTGTGTACTCAGCTAAAAGAGTGGAACCTTTCTTTTTACAGAGCAGCTTTGAAACTCTATTTTTGTGGATTCTGCAAATTGATATTTAGATTGCTTTAACGATATCGTTGGAAAAGGGAATATCGTCATACAAAATCTAGACAGGAAGCATTCTCACAAACTTCTTTGTGATGTGTGTCCTCAACTAACAGAGTTGAACCTTTCTTTTGATGCAGCAGTTTGGAAACACTCTTTTTGTAGAAACTGTAAGTGGATATTTGGATAGCTCTAACGATTTTGTTGGAAACGGTAATATCATCATCTAAAATCTAGACAGAAGCACTATTAGAAACTACTTGGTGATATCTGCATTCAAGTCACAGAGTTGAACATTCCCTTACTTTGAGCACCTTTCAAACACTCTTTTGGAAGAATCTGGAAGTGGACATTTGGAGCGCTTTGATGCCTTTGGTGAAAAGGAAACGTCTTCCAATAAAAGCCAGACAGAAGCATTCTCAGAAACTTGTTCGTGATGAGTGTACTCAACTAAAAGATTTGAACCTTTCTATTGATAGAGCAGTTTTGAAACACTCTTTTTGTGGATTCTTCAAGTGGATATTTGGATTGCTTTGAGGATTTCGTTGGAAGCGGGAATTCGTATAAAAACTATACAGCAGCATTCCCAGAAATTTCTTTCGGATATTTCCATTCGACTCATAGAGATGAACATGGCCTTTCATAGAGCAGGTTTGAAACACACTTTTTGTAGTTTGTGGAAGTGGACATTTCGATCGCCTTGACGCCTACGGTGAAAAAGGAAATATCTTCCCATAAAAAATAGACAGAAGCATTCTCAGAAACTTGTTGGTGATATGTGTCCTCAACTAACAGAGTTGAACTTTGCCATTGATAGAGAGCAGTTTTGAAACACTCTTTTTGTGGAATCTGCAAGTGGATATTTGGATAGCTTGGAGGATTTCGTTGGAAGCGGGAATTCAAATAAAAGGTAGACAGCAGCATTCTCAGAAATTTCTTTCTGATGTCTGCATTCAACTCATAGAGTTGAAGATTCCCTTTCATAGAGCAGGTTTGAAACACTCTTTCTGGAGTATCTGGATGTGGACATTTGGAGCGCTTTGATGCCTACGGTGAAAAAGTAAATATCTTCCCATAAAAACGACACAGAGGATTCTGAGAAACAAGTTTGTGATGTGTGTACTCAGCTAACAGAGTGGAACCTTTCTTTTTACAGAGCAGCTTTGAAACTCTATTTTTGTGGATTCTGCAAATTGGTATTTAGATTGCTTTAACGATATCGTTGGAAAAGGGAATATCGTCATACAAAATTCTAGACAGAAAGTATTCTCACAAACTTCTTTGTGATGTGTGTCCTCAACTAACAGAGTTGAACCTTTCTTTTGATGCAGCAGTTTGGAAACACCCTTTTGGTAGAAACTGTAAGTGGATATTTGGATAGCTCTAACGATTTCGTTGGAAACGGGAATATCATCATCTAAAATCTAGACAGAAGCACTATTAGAAACTACTTGGTGATATCTGCATTCAAGTCACAGAGTTGAACATTCCCTTACTTTGAGCACGTTTGAAACACTCTTTTGGAAGAATCTGGAAGTGGACATTTGGAGCGCTATGATGCCTTTGGTGAAAAGGAAACGTCTTCCAATAAAAGCCAGACAGAAGCATTCTCAGAAACTTGTTTGTGATGTGTGTACTCAACTAAAAGAGTTGAACCTTTCTATTGATAGAGCAGTTTTGAAACACTCTTTTTGTGGATTCTGCAAGTGGATATTTGGATTGCTTTGAGGATTTCGTTGGAAGCGGGAATTCGTATAAAAACTAGACAGCAGCATTCCCAGAAATTTCTTTCGGATATTTCCATTCGACTCATAGAGATGAACATGGCCTTTCATAGAGCAGGTTTGAAACACTCTTTTTGTAGTTTGTGGAAGTGGACATTTCGATCGCCTTGACGCCTACGGTGAAAAAGGAAATATCTTCCCATAAAAAATAGACAGAAGCATTCTCAGAAACTTGTTGGTGATATGTGTCCTCAACTAACAGAGTTGAACTTTGCCATTGATAGAGAGCAGTTTTGAAACACTCTTTTTGTGGAATCTGCAAGTGGATATTTGGATAGCTTGGAGGATTTCGTTGGAAGCGGGAATTCCAATAAAAGGTAGACAGCAGCATTCTCAGAAATTTCTTTCTGATGTCTGCATTCAACTCATAGAGTTTAAGATTCCCTTTCATAGAGCAGGTTTGAAACACTCTTTCTGGAGTATCTGGATGTGGACATTTGGAGCGCTTTCATGCCTATGGTGAAAAAGTAAATATCTTGTCATAAAAACGAGACAGAAGGATTCTGAGAAACAAGTTTGAGATGTGTGTACTCAGCTAACAGAGTGGAACCTTTCTTTTTACAGAGCAGCTTTGAAACTCTATTTTTGTGGATTCTGCAAATGGATATTTAGATTGCTTTAACGATATCGTTGGAAAAGGGAATATCGTCATACAAAATCTGGACAGAAGCATTCTCACAAACTTCTTTGTGATGTGTGTCCTCAACTAACAGAGTTGAACCTTTCTTTTGATGCAGCAATTTGGAAACACCCTTTTGGTCGAAACTGTAACTGGATATTTGGATAGCTCTAACGATTTCGTTGGAAACGGGAATATCATCATCTAAAATCTAGACAGAAGCACTATTAGAAACTACTTGGTGATATCTGCATTCAAGTCACAGAGTTGAACATTCCCTTACTTTGAGCACGTTTGAAACACTCTTTTGGAAGAATCTGGAAGTGGACATTTGGAGCGCCTTGATGCCTTTGGTGAAAAGGAAACGTCTTCCAATAAAAGCCAGACAGAAGCATTCTCAGAAACTTGTTTGTGATGTGTGTACTCAACTAAAAGAGTTGAACCTTTCTATTGATAGAGCAGTTTTGAAACACTCTTTTTGTGGATTCTGCAAGTGGATATTTGGATTGCTTTGAGGATATCGTTGGAAGCGGGAATTTGTATAAAAACTAGACAGCAGCATTCCCAGAAATTTCTTTCGGATATTTCCATTCAACTCATAGAGATGAACATGGCCTTTCATAGAGCAGGTTTGAAACACTCTTTTTGTAGTTTGCGGAAGTGGACATTTCGATCGCCTTGACGCCTACGGTGAAAAAGGAAATATCTTCCCATAAAAAATAGACAGAAGCATTCTCAGAAACTTGTTGGTGATATGTGTCCTCAACTAACAGAGTTGAACTTTGCCATTGATAGAGAGCAGTTTTGAAACACTCTTTTTGTGGAATCTGCAAGTGGATATTTGGATAGCTTGGAGGATTTCGTTGGAAGCGGGAATTCAAATAAAAGGTAGACAGCAGCATTCTCAGAAATTTCTTTCTGATGTCTGCATTCAACTCATAGAGTTGAAGATTCCCTTTCATAGAGCAGGTTTGAAACACTCTTTCTGTAGTATCTGGATGTGGACATTTGGAGCGCTTTGATGCCTACAGTGAAAAAGTATAATCTTCCCATAAAAACGAGACAGAAGGATTCTCAGAAACAAGTTTGTGATGTGTGTACTCAGCTAACAGAGTGGAACCTTTCTTTTTACAGAGCAGCTTTGAAACTCTATTTTTGTGGATTCTGCAAATTGATATTTAGATTGCTTTAACGATATCGTGGAAAAGGGAATATCGTCATACAAAATCTAGACAGAAGCATTCTCACAAACTTCTTTGTGATGTGTGTCCTCAACTAACAGAGTTGAACCTTTCTTTTGATGCAGCAATTTGGAAACACCCTTTTGGTAGAAACTGTAACTGGATATTTGGATAGCTCTAACGATTTCGTTGGAAACGGGAATATCATCATCTAAAATGTAGACAAAAGCACTATTAGAAACTACTTGGTGATATCTGCATTCAAGTCACAGAGTTGAACATTCCCTTACTTTGAGCACGTTTGATACACTCTTTTGGAAGAATCTGGAAGTGGACATTTGGAGCGCTTTGATGCCTTTGGTGAAAAGGAAACGTCTTCCAATAAAAGCCAGACAGAAGCATTCTCAGAAACTTGTTTGTGATGTGTGTACTCAACTAAAAGAGTTGAACCTTTCTATTGATAGAGCAGTTTTGAAACACTCTTTTTGTGGAATCTGCAAGTGGATATTTGGATAGCTTGGAGGATTTCGTTGGAAGCGGGAATTCAAATGAAATGTAGACAGCAGCATTCCCAGTAAATTTCTTTCGGATATTTCCATTCAACTCATTGAGATGAACATCGCCTTTCATAGAGCAGGTTTGAAACACTCTTTTTGTAGTTTGTGGAAGTGGACATTTCGATCGCCTTGACGCCTACAGTGAAAAAGGAAATATCTTCCCATAAAAAATAGACAGAAGCATTCTCAGAAACTTGTTGGTGATATGTGTCCTCAACTAACAGAGTTGAACTTTGCCATTGATAGAGAGCAGTTTTGAAACACTCTTTTTGTGGAATCTGCAAGTGGATATTTGGATAGCTTGGAGGATTTCGTTGGAAGCGGGAATTCAAATAAAAGGTAGACAGCAGCATTCTCAGAAATTTCTTTCTGATGTCTGCATTCAACTCATAGAGTTGAGCATTCCCTTTCATAGGGCAGGTTTGAAATACTCTTTCTGTAGTATCTGGATGTGGACATTTGGAGCGCTTTGATGCCTACGGTGAAAAAGTAAATATCTTCCCATAAAAACGAGACAGAAGGATTCTGAGAAAAAAGTTTGTGATGTGTGTACTCAGCTAACAGAGTGGAACCTCTCTTTTGATGCAGCAGTTTGGAAACACTCTTTTTGTAGAAACTGTAAGTGGATATTTGGATAGCTCTAATGATTTCGTTGGAAACGGGAATATCATCATCTAAAATCTAGACAGAAGCGCTCTCAGAAACTACTTTGTGATATCTGCATTCAAGTCACAGAGTTGAACATTCGCTTTCTTACAGCACTTTTGAAACACTCTTTTTGTAGTATCTGGAAGTGGACATTTGGAGCTCTTTGATGCCTTTGGTGAAAAAGGAAATGTCTTCCCATAAAAACTAGACAGAAGCATTCTCAGAAACTTGTTTGTGATGTGTGTACCCAGCTAAAGGAGTTGAACATTTCTATTGATAGAGCAGTTTTGAAACGCTCTTTTTGTGGAAAATGCAGGTGGATATTTGGATAGCTTGGAGGATTTCGTTGGAAGCGGGAATTCAAATAAAAGGTAGACAGCAGCATTCTCAGAAATTTCTTTCTCATGTCTGCATTCAACTCATAGAGTTGAAGATTCCCTTTCATAGAGCAGGTTTGAAACACTCTTTCTGGAGTATCTGGATGTGGACATTTGGAGCGCTTTGATGCCTACGGTGGAAAAGTAAATATCTTCCCATAAAAACGAGACAGAAGGATTCTGAGAAACAAGTTTGTGATGTGTGTACTCAGCTAACAGAGTGGAACCTCTCTTTTGATGCAGCAGTTTGGAAACACTCTTTTTGTAGAAACTGTAAGTGGATATTTGGATAGCTCTAATGATTTCGTTGGAAACGGGAATATCATCATCTAAAATCTAGAGAGAAGCCCTCTCAGAAACTACTTTGTGATATGTGCATTCAAGTCACAGAGTTGAACATTCGCTTTCTTAGAGCACGTTTGAAACACTCTTTTTGTAGTGTCTGGAAGTGGACATTTGGAGCGCTTTGATGCCTTTGGTGAAAAAGGGAACGTCTTCCCATAAAAACTAGACAGAAGCATTCACAGAAACTTGTTTGTGATGTGTGTACCCAGCCAAAGGAGTTGAACATTTCTATTGATAGAGCAGTTTTGAAACACTCTTTTTGTGGAAAATGCAGGTGGATATTTGGATAGCTTGGAGGATTTCGTTGGAAGCGGGAATTCAAATAAAAGGTAGACAGCAGCATTCTCAGAAATTTCTTTCTGATGTCTGCATTCAACTCATACAGTTGAAGATTCCCTTTCGTAGAGCAGGTTTGAAACACTCCTTCTGGAGTATCTGGATGTGGACATTTGGAGCGCTTTGATGCCTACGGTGGAAAAGTAAATATCTTCCCATAAAAACGAGACAGAAGGATTCTCAGAAACAAGTTTGTGATGTGTGTACTCAGCTAACAGAGTGGATCCTTTCTTCTTACAGAGCAGCTTTGAAACTCTATTTCTGTGGATTCTGCAAATTGACATTTGGGTTGATTTAACGACATCGTTGGAAAAGGGAATATCTTCATACAAAATCTAGACAGAAGCATTCTCACAAACTTCTTTGTGATGTGTGTCCTCAACTAACAGAGTTGAACCTTTCTTTTAATGCAGCAGTTTGGAAACACTCTTTTTGTAGAAACTGTAAGTGGATATTTGGATAGCTCTAACGATTTCGTTGGAAACGGGAATATCATCATCTAAAATCTAGACAGAAGCACTATTAGAAACTACTTGGTGATATCTGCATTCAAGTCACAGAGTTGAACATTCCCTTACTTCGACCACGTTTGAAACTCTCTTTTGGAAGAATCTGGAAGTGGACATTTGGAGCGCTTTGATGCCTTTGGTGAAAAGGAAACGTCTTCCAATAAAAGCCAGACAGAAGCATTCTCAGAAACTTGTTGGTGATGTGTGTACTCAACTAAAAGAGTTGAACCTTTCTATTGATAGAGCAGTTTTGAAACACTCTTTTTGTGGATTCTGCAAGTGGATATTTGGATTGCTTTGAGGATTTCGTTGGAAGCGGGAATTCATATAAAAACAAGACAGCAGCATTCCCAGAAATTTCTTTCGGATATTTCCATTCAACTCATTGAGATGAACATCGCCTTTCATAGAGCAGGTTTGAAACACTCTTTTTGTAGTTTGTGGAAGTGGACATTTCGATCGCCTTGACGCCTACAGTGAAAAAGGAAATATCTTCCCATAAAAAATAGACAGAAGCATTCTCAGAAACTTGTTGGTGATATGTGTCCTCAACTAACAGAGTTGAACTTTGCCATTGATAGAGAGCAGTTTTGAAACACTCTTTTTGTGGAATCTGCAAGTGGATATTTGGATAGCTTGGAGGATTTCGTTGGAAGCGGGAATTCAAATAAAAGGTAGACAGCCAGCATTCTCAGAAATTTCTTTCTGATGTCTGCATTCAACTCATAGAGTTGAAGATTCCCTTTCATAGAGCAGGTTTGAAACACTCTTTCTGGAGTATCTGGATGTGGACATTTGGAGCGCTTTGATGCCTACGGTGAAAAAGTAAATATCTTCCCATAAAAACGACACAGAGGATTCTCAGAAACAAGTTTGTGATGTGTGTACTCAGCTAACAGAGTGGAACCTCTCTTTTGATGCAGCAGTTTGGAAACACTCTTTTTGTAGAAACTGTAAGTGGATATTTGGATAGCTCTAATGATTTCGTTGGAAACGGGAATATCATCATCTAAAATCTAGACAGAAGCCCTCTCAGAAACTACTTTGTGATATCTGCATTCAAGTCACAGAGTTGAACATCCGGTTTCTTAGAGCACGTTTGAAACACTCTTTTTGTAGTGTCTGGAAGTGGACATTTGGAGCGCTTTGATGCCTTTGGTGAAAAAGGGAATGTCTTCCCATAAAAACTAGACAGAAGCATTCTCAGAAACTTGTTTGTGATGTGTGTACCCAGCTAAAGGAGTTGAACATTTCTATTGATAGAGCAGTTTTGAAACACTCTTTTTGTGGAAAATGCAAGTGGATATTTGGATAGCTTGGAGGATTTCGTTGGAAGCGGGAATTCAAATAAAAGATAGACAGCAGCATTCTCAGAAATTTCTTTCTGATGTCTGCATTCAACTCATAGAGTTGAAGATTCCCTTTCATAGAGCAGGTTTGAAACACTGTTTCTGGAGTATCTGGATGTGGACATTTGGAGCGCTTTGATGCCTACGGTGAAAAAGTAAATATCTTCCCATCAAAACGAGACAGAAGGATTCTCAGAAACAAGTTTGTGATGTGTGTACTCAGCTAACAGAGTGGAACCTTTCTTTTTACAGAGCAGCTTTGAAACTCTATTTTTGTGGATTCTGCAAATGGATATTTAGACTGCTTTAATGATATCGCTGGAAAAGGGAATATGGTCATACAAAATCTAGACAGAAGCATTCTCGCAAACTTCTTTGTGATGTGTGTCCTCAACTAACAGAGTTGAACCTTTCTTTTGATGCAGCATTTTGGAAACACCCTTTTGGTAGAAACTGTAACTGGATATTTGGATAGCTCTAACGATTTCGTTGGAAACGGGAATATCATCATCTAAAATGTAGACAGAAGCACTATTAGAAACTACTTGGTGATATCTGCATTCAAGTCACAGAGTTGAACATTCCCTTACTTTGAGCACGTTTGAAACACTCTTTTGGAAGAATCTGGAAGTGGACATTTGGAGCGCTTTGATGCCTTTGGTGAAAAGGAAACGTCTTCCAATAAAAGCCAGACAGAAGCATTCTCAGAAACTTGTTCGTGATGTGTGTACTCAACTAAAAGAGTTGAACCTTTCTATTGATAGAGCAGTTTTGAAACACTCTTTTTGTGGATTCTGCAAGTGGATATTTGGATTGCTTTGAGGATTTCGTTGGAAGCGGAAATTCGTATAAACACTAGACAGCAGCATTCCCAGAAATTTCTTTCGGATATTTCCATTCAACTCATAGAGGTGAACATGGCCTTTCATAGAGCAGGTTTGAAACACTCTTTTTGTAGTTTGTGGAAGTGGACATTTCGATCGCCTTGATGCCTACGGTGAAAAAGGAAATATCTTCCCATAAAAAATAGACAGAAGCATTCTCAGAAACTTGTTGGTGATATGTGTTCTCAACTAACAGAGTTGAACTTTGCCATTGATAGAGAGCAGTTTTGAAACACTCCTTCTGTGGAATCTGCAAGTGGATATTTGGATAGCTTGGAGGATTTCGTTGGAAGCGGGAATTCAAATAAAAGGTAGACAGCAGCATTCTCAGAAATTTCTTTGTGATGTGTACATTCAACTCATAGAGTAGAACATTCCCTTTCATAGAGCAGGTTTGAAACACTCTTTCTGTACTATCTGGATGTGGACATTTGGAACGCTTTGATGCCTACGGTGAAAAAGTAAATATCTTCCCATAAAAACTAGACAGAAGGATTCTGAGAAACAAGTTTGTGATGTGTGTACTCAGCTAACAGAGTGGAACCTTTCTTTTTACAGAGCAGCTTTGAAACTCTATTTTTGTGGATTCTGCAAATGGATATTTAGATTGCTTTAATGATATCGTTGGAAAAGGGAATATCGTCATACAAAATCTAGACAGAAGCATTCTCACAAACTTCTTTGTGATGTGTGTCCTCAACTAACAGAGTTGAACCTTTCTTTTGATGCAGCAGTTTGGAAACACTCTTTTTGTAGAAACTGTAAGTGGATATTTGGATAGCTCTAATGATTTCGTTGGAAACGGGAATATCATCATCTAAAATCTAGACAGAAGCACTATTAGAAACTACTTGGTGATATCTGCATTCAAGTCACAGAGTTGAACATTCCCTTACTTTGAGCACGTTTGAAACACTCTTTTGGAAGAATCTGGAAGTGGACATTTGGAGCGCTTTGATGCCTTTGGTGAAAAGGAAACGTCTTCCAATAAATGCCAGACAGAAAGCATTCTCAGTAAACTTGTTCGTGATGTGTGTACTCAACTAAAAGAGTTGAACCTTTCTATTGATAGAGCAGTTTTGAAACACTCTTTTTGTGGATTCTGCAAGTGGATATTTGGATTGCTTTGAGGATTTCGTTGGAAGCGGGAATTCGTATAAACACTAGACAGCAGCATTCCCAGAAATTTCTTTCGGATATTTCCATTCAACTCATAGAGATGAACATCGCCTTTCATAGAGCACGTTTGAAACACTCTTTTTGTAGTTTGTGGAAGTGGACATTTCGATCGCCTTGACGCCTACGGTGAAAAAGGAAATATCTTCCCATAAAAAATAGACAGAAGCATTCTCAGAAACTTGTTGGTGATATGTGTCCTCAACTAACAGAGTTGAACTTTGCCATTGATAGAGAGCAGTTTTGAAACACTCTTTTTGTGGAATCTGCAAGTGGATATTTGGATAGCTTGGAGGATTTCGTTGGAAGCGGGAATTCAAATAAAAGGTAGACAGCAGGATTCTGAGAAACAAGTTTGTGATGTGTGTACTCAGCTAACAGAGTGGAACCTCTCTTTTGATGCAGCAGTTTGGAAACACTCTTTTTGTAGAAACTGTAAGTGGATATTTGGATTGCTCTAATGATTTCGTTGGAAACGGGAATATCATCATCTAAAATCTAGACAGAAGCACTCTCAGAAACTACTTTTTGATATCTGCATTCAAGTCATAGAGTTGAACATTCGCTTTCTTAGAGCACTTTTGAAACACTCTTTTTGTAGTATCTGGAAGTGGACATTTGGAGCTCTTTGATGCCTTTGGTGAAAAAGGAAATGTCTTCCCATAAAATCTAGAAAGAAGCTTTCTCAGAAACTTGTTTGTGATGTGTGTACCCAGCGAAAGGAGTTGAACATTTCTATTGATAGAGCAGTTTTGAAACACTCTTTTTGTGGAATCTGCAAGTGGATATTTGGATGGCTGGGAGGTTTTTGTTGGAAGCGGGAATTCAAATAAAAGGTAGACAGCAGCATTCTCAGAAATTTCTTTCTGATGTCTGCATTCAACTCATAGAGTTGAAGATTCCCTTTCATAGAGCAGGTTTGATACAGTCTTTCTGGAGTATCTGGATGTGGACATTTGGAGCGCTTTGATGCCTACGGTGAAAAAGTAAATATCTTCCCATAAAAACGAGACAGAAGGATTCTCAGAAACAAGTTTGTAATGTGTGTACTCAGCTAACAGAGTGGAACCTTTCTTTTTACAGAGCAGCTTTGAAACTCTATTTTTGTGGATTCTGCAAATTGATATTTAGATTGCTTTAACGATATCGTTGGAAAAGGGAATATCGTCATACAAAATCTAGACAGAAGCATTCTCACAAACTTCTTTGTGATGTGTGTCCTCAACTAACAGAGTTGAACCTTTCTTTTGATGCAGCAATTTGGAAACACCCTTTTGGTAGAAACTGTAACTGGATATTTGGATAGCTCTAGCGATTTCGTTGGAAACGGGAATATCATCATCTAAAATGTAGACAGAAAGCACTATTAGAAACTACTTGGTGATATCTGCATTCAAGTCACAGAGTTGAACATTCCCTTACTTCGAGCACGTTTGAAACACTCTTTTGGAAGAATCTGGAAGTGGACATTTGGAGCGCTTTGATGCCTTTGGTGAAAAGGAAACGTCTTCCAATAAAAGCCAGACAGAAGCATTCTCAGAAACTTGTTCATGATGTGTGTACTCAACTAAAAGAGTTGAACCTTTCTATTGATAGCGCAGTTTTGAAACACTCTTTTTGTGGATTCTGCAAGTGGATATTTGGATTGCTTTGAGGATTTCGTTGGAAGCGGGAATTCATATAAAAACTAGACAGCAGCATTCCCAGAAATTTCTTTCGGATATTTCCATTCAACTCATAGAGATGAACATGGCCTTTCATAGAGCAGGTTTGAAACACTCTTTTTGTAGTTTGTGGAAGTGGACATTTCGATCGCCTTGACGCCTACGCTGAAAAAGGAAATATCTTCCCATAAAAAATAGACAGAAGCATTCTCAGAAACTTGTTGGTGATATGTGTCCTCAACTAACAGAGTTGAACTTTGCCATTGATAGAGAGCAGTTTTGAAACACTCTTTTTGTGGAATCTGCAAGTGGATATTTGGATAGCTTGGAGGATTTCGTTGGAAGCGGGAATTCAAATAAAGGTAGACAGCAGCATTCTCAGAAATTTCTTTCTGATGTCTGCATTCAACTCATAGAGTTGAAGATTCCCTTTCATAGAGCACGTTTGAAACCCTCTTTCTGGAGTATCTGGATGTGGACATTTGGAGCGCTTTGATGCCTACGGTGAGAAAGTAAATATCTTCCCATAAAAACGAGACAGAAGGATTCTGAGAAACAAGTTTGTGATGTGTGTACTCAGCTAACAGAGTGGAACCTCTCTTTTGATGCAGCAGTTTGGAAACACTCTTTTTGTAGAGACTGTAAGTGGATATTTGGATAGCTCTAATGATTTCGTTGGAAACGGGAATATCATCATCTAAAATCTAGACAGAAGCCCTCTCAGAAAACTACTTTGTGATATCTGCATTCAAGTCACAGAGTTGAACATTCGCTTTCTTAGAGCACGTTGGAAACACTCTTTTTGTAGTGTCTGGAAGTGGACATTTGGAGCGCTTTGATGCCTTTGTTGAAAAAGGGAACGTCTTCCCATAAAAACTAGACAGATAAGCATTCTCAGAAACTTGTTTGTGATGTGTGTACCCAGCCAAAGGAGTTGAACATTTCTATTGATAGAGCAGTTTTGAAACGCTCTTTTTGTGGAAAATGCAGGTGGATATTTGGATAGCTTGGAGGATTTCGTTGGAAGCGGGAATTCAAATAAAAGGTAGACAGCAGCATTCTCAGAAATTTCTTTCTGATGTCTGCATTCAAGTCATAGAGTTGAAGATTCCCTTTCATAGAGCAGGTTTGAAACAGTCTTTCTGGAGTATCTGGATGTGGACATTTGGAACGCTTTGATGCCTACGGTGGAAAAGTAAATATCTTCCCATAAAAACGAGACAGAAGGATTCTCAGAAACAAGTTTGTGATGTGTGTACTCAGCTAACAGAGTGGAACCTTTCTTTTTACAGAGCAGCTTTGAAACTCTATTTTTGTGGATTCTGCAAATTGATATTTAGATTGCTTTAACTATATCGTTGGAAAAGGGAATATGGTCATACAAAATCTAGACAGAAGCATTCTCACAAACTTCTTTGTGATGTGTGTCCTCAACTAACAGAGTTGAACCTTTCTTTTGATGCAGCAGTTTGGAAACACTCTTTTTGTAGAAACTGTAAGTGGATATTTGGATAGCTCTAACGATTTCGCTGGAAACGGGAATATCGTCATCTAAAATCTAGACAGAAGCCCTCTCAGAAACTACTTTGTGATATCTGCATTCAAGTCACAGAGTTGAACATTCGCTTTCTTAGAGCACGTTTGAAACACTCTTTTTGTAGTGTCTGGAAGTGGACATTTGGAGCGCTTTGATGCCTTTGTTGAAAAAGGGAATGTCTTCCCATAAAAACTAGACAGAAGCATTCTCAGAAACTTGTTTGTGATGTGTGTACCCAGCCAAAGGAGTTGAACATTTCTATTGATAGAGCAGTTTTGAAACACTCTTGTTGTGGAAAATGCAGGTGGATATTTGGATAGCTTGGAGGATTTCTTTGGAAGCGGGAATTCAAATAAAAGGTAGACAGCAGCATTCTCAGAAATTTCTTTCTGATGTCTGCATTCAACTCATAGAGTTGAAGATTCCCTTTCATAGAGCAGGTTTGAAACACTCCTTCTGGAGTATCTGGATGTGGACATTTGGAGCGCTTTGATGCCTACGGTGAAAAAGTAAATATCTTCCCAGAAAAACGAGACAGAAGGATTCTCAGAAACAAGTTTGTGATGTGTGTACTCAGCTAAAAGAGTGGAACCTTTCTTTTTACAGAGCAGCTTTGAAACTCTATTTTTGTGGATTCTGCAAATTGATATTTAGATTGTTTTAACGATATCGTTGGAAAAGGGAATATCGTCATACAAAATCTAGACAGAAGCATTCTCACAAACTTCTTTGTGATGTGTGTCCTCAACTAACAGAGTTGAAGCTTTCTTTTGATGCAGCAATTTGGAAACACCCTTTTGGTAGAAACTGTAACTGGATATTTGGATAGCTCTAACGATTTCGTTGGAAACGGGAATATCATCATCTAAAATCTAGACAGAAGCACTATTAGAAACTACTTGGTGATATCTGCATTCAAGTCACAGAGTTGAACATTCCCTTACTTTGAGCACGTTTGAAACACTCTTTTGGAAGAATCTGGAAGTGGACATTTGGAGCGCTTTGATGCCTTTTGTGAAAAGGAAACGTCTTCAAATAAAAGCCAGACAGAAGCGTTCTCAGAAACTTGTTCGTGATGTGTGTACTCAACTAAAAGAGTTGAACCTTTCTATTGATAGAGCAGTTTTGAAACACTCTTTTTGTGGATTCTGCAAGTGGATATTGGGATTGCTTTGAGGATTTCGTTGGAAGCGGGAATTCGTATAAAAACTAGACAGCAGCATTCCCAGAAATTTCTTTCGGATATTTCCATTCGACTCATAGAGATGAACATGGCCTTTCATAGAGCAGGTTTGAAACACTCTTTTTGTAGTTTGTGGAAGTGGACATTTCGATCGCCTTGACGCCTACGGTGAAAAAGGAAATATCTTCCCATAAAAAATAGACAGAAGCATTCTCAGAAACTTGTTGGTGATATGTGTCCTCAACTAACAGAGTTGAACTTTGCCATTGATAGAGAGCAGTTTTGAAACACTCTTTTTGTGGAATCTGCAAGTGGATATTTGGATAGCTTGGAGGATTTCGTTGGAAGCGGGAATTCAAATCAAAGGTAGACAGCAGCATTCTCAGAAATTACTTTCTGATGTCTGCATTCAACTCATAGAGTTGAAGATTCCCTTTCATAGAGCAGGTTTGAAACACTCTTTCTGTAGTACCTGGATGTGGACATTTGGAGCGCTTTGATACCTACGGTGAAAAAGTAAATATCTTCCCATAAAAACTAGACAGAAGGATTCTGAGAAACAAGTTTGTGATGTGTGTACTCAGCTAACAGAGTGGAACCTCTCTTTTGATGCAGCAGTTTGGAAACACTCTTTTTGTAGAAACTGTAAGTGGATATTTGGATAGCTCTAATGATTTCGTTGGAAACGGGAATATAATCATCTAAAATCTAGACAGAAGCAGTCTCAGAAACTACTTTGTGATATCTGCATTCCAGTCACAGAGTTGAAAACTCCCTTACTTAGAGCAGGTTTGAAACACACTTTTTGTAGAATCTGGAAGTGGACATTTGGAGCGCTTTGATGCCTTTGGTGAAAAAGGAAATGTCTTCCCTTAAAAAGTAGACAGAATCATTCTCAGAAACTTGTTTGTGATGTGTGTACCCAGCTAAAGGAGTTGAACTTTGCCATTGATAGAGAGCAGTTTTGAAACCCTCTTTTTGTGGAAAATGCAAGTGGGTATTTGGATAGCTTGGAGGATTTCGTTGGAAGCGGGAATTCAAATAAAAGGTAGACAGCAGCATTCTCAGAAATTTCTTTCTGATGTGTGCATTCAACTCATAGAGTTGAAGATTCCCTTTCATAGAGCAGGTTTGAAACACTCTTTCTGGAGTATCTGGATGTGGACATTTGGAGCGCTTTGATGCCTACGGTGGAAAAGTAAATATCTTCCCATAAAAACGAGACAGAAGGATTCTGAGAAACAAGTTTGTGATGTGTGTACTCAGCTAACAGAGTGGAACCTCTCTTTTGATGCAGCAGTTTGGAAACACTCTTTTTGTAGAAACTCTAAGTGGATATTTGGATAGCTCTAATGATTTCGTTGGAAACGGGAATATCATCATCTAAAATCTAGACAGAAGCACTCTCAGAAACTACTGTGTGATATCTGCATTCAAGTCACAGAGTTGAACATTCGCTTTCTTAGAGCACGTTTGAAACACTCTTTTTGTAGTGTCTGGAAGTGGACATTTGGAGCGCTTTGATGTCTTTGGTGAAAAAGGGAATGTCTTCCCATAAAAACTAGACAGAAGCATTCTCAGAGACTTGTTTGTGATGTGTGTACCCAGCCAAAGGAGTTGAACATTTCTATTGATAGAGCAGTTTTGAAACACTCTTTTTGTGGAAAATGCAGGTGGATATTTGGATAGCTTGGAGGATTTCGTTGGAAGCGGGAATTCAAATAAAAGTTAGACAGCAGCATTCTCAGAAATTTCTTTCTGATGTCTGCATTCAAGTCATAGAGTTGAAGATTCCCTTTCATAGAGCAGGTTTGAAACACTCGTTCTGGAGTATCTGGATGTGGACATTTGGAGCGCTTTGATGCCTACGGTGGAAAAGTAAATATCTTCCCATAAAAACGAGACAGAAGGATTCTCAGAAACAAGTTTGTGATGTGTGTACTCAGCTAACAGAGTGGAACCTTTATTTTTACAGAGCAGCTTTGAAACTCTATTTTCGTGGATTCTGCAAATTGATATTTAGATTGCTTTAACGATATCGTTGGAAAAGGGAATATCGTCATACAAAATACTAGACAGAAGCATTCTCACAAACTTCTTTGTGATGTGTGTCCTCAACTAACAGAGTTGAACCTTTCTTTTGATGCAGCAGTTTGGAAACACTCTTTTTGTAGAAACTGTAAGTGGATATTTGGATAGCTCTAACGATTTTGTTGGAAACGGGAATATCATCATCTAAAATCTAGACAGAAGCACTATTAGAAACTACTTGGTGATATCTGCATTCAAGTCACAGAGTTGAACATTCCCTTACTTTGAGCACGTTTGAAACACTCTTTTGGAAGAATCTGGAAGTGGACATTTGGAGCGCTTTGATGCCTTTGTTGAAAAGGAAACGTCTTCCAATAAAAGCCAGACAGAAGCATTCTGAGAAACTTGTTCGTCATGTGTGTACTCAACTAAAAGAGTTGAACCTTTCTATTGATAGAGCAGTTTTGAAACACTCTTTTTGTGGATTCTGCAAGTGGATATTTGGATTGCTTTGAGGATTTCGTTGGAAGCGGGAATTCGTATAAACACTAGACAGCAGCATTCCCAGAAATTTCTTTCGGATATTTCCATTCACCTCATAGAGATGAACATGGCCTTTCAGAGAGCAGGTTTGAAACACTCTTTTTGTAGTTTGTGGAAGTGGACATTTCGATCGCCTTGACGCCTACGGTGAAAAAGGAAATATCTTCCCATAAAATATAGACAGAAGCATTCTCAGAAACTTGTTGGTGATATGTGTCCTCAACTAACAGAGTTGAACTTTGCCATTGATAGAGAGCAGTTTTGAAACACTCTTTTTGTGGAATCTGCAAGTGGATATTTGGATAGCTTGGAGGATTTCGTTGGAAGCGGGAATTCAAATAAAAGGTAGACAGCAGCATTCTCAGAAATTTCTTTGTGATGTCTGCATTCAACTCATGGAGTTGAAGATTCCCTTTCATAGAGCAGGTTTGAAACACTCTTTCTGGAGTATCTGGATGTGGACATTTGGAGCGCTTTGATGCCTACGGTGGAAAAGTAAATATCTTCCCATAAAAACGAGACAGAAGGATTCTGAGAAACAAGTTTGTGATGTGTGTACTCAGCTAACAGAGTGGAACCCTTTCTTTTTACAGAGCAGCTTTGAAACTCTATTTTTGTGGATTCTGCAAATTGATATTTAGATTGCTTTAACGATATCGTTGGAAAACGGAATATCGTCATACAAAATCTAGACAGAAGCATTCTCACAAACTTCTTTGTGATGTGTGTCCTCAACTAACAGAGTTGAACCTTTCTTTTGATGCAGCAGTTTGGAAACACTCTTTTTGTAGAAACTGTAAGTGGATATTTGGATAGCTCTAACGATTTCGTTGGAAACGGGAATATCATCATCTAAAACCTAGACAGAAGCACTATTAGAAACTACTTGGTGATATCTGCATTCAAGTCACAGAGTTGAACATTCCCTTACTTTGAGCACGTTTGAAACACTCTTTTGGAAGAATCTGGAAGTGGACATTTGGAACGCTTTGATGCCTTTGGTGAAAAGGAAACGTCTTCCAATAAAAGCCAGACAGAAGCATTCTCAGAAAATTGTTTGTGATGTGTGTACTCAACTAAAAGAGTTGAACCTTTCTATTGATAGAGCAGTTTTGAAACACTCTTTTTGTGGATTCTGCAAGTGGATATTTGGATTGCTTTGAGGATTTCGTTGGAAGCGGGAATTCGTATAAAAACTAGACAGCAGCATTCCCAGAAATTTCTTTCGGATATTTCCATTCGACTCATAGAGATGAACATGGCCTTTCATAGAGCAGGTTTGAAACACTCTTTTTGTAGTTTGTGGAAGTGGACATTTCGATCGCCTTGACGCCTACGGTGAAAAAGGAAATATCTTCCCATAAAAAATAGACAGAAGCATTCTCAGAAACTTGTTTGTGATGTGTGTACCCAGCTAAAGGAGTTGAACATTTCTATTGATAGAGCAGTTTTGAAACACTCTTTTTGTGGAAAATGCAAGTGGATATTTGGATAGCTTGGAGGATTTCGTTGGAAGCGGGAATTCAAATAAAAGGTAGCAGCATTCTCAGAAATTTCTTTCTGATGTCTGCATTCAACTCATAGAGTTGAAGATTCCCTTTCATAGAGCAGGTTTGAAACACTCTTTCTGGAGTATCTGGATGTGGACATTTGGAGCGCTTTGATGCCTACGGTGAAAAAGTAAATATCTTCCCATAAAAACGAGACAGAAGGATTCTCAGAAACAAGTTTGTGATGTGTGTACTCAGCTAACAGAGTGGAACCTTTCTTTTTATAGAGCAGCTTTGAAACTCTATTTTTGTGGATTCTGCAAATTGATATTTAGATTGCTTTAACGATATCGTTGGAAAAGGGAATATCGTCATACAAAATCTAGACAGAAGCATTCTCACAAACTTCTTTGTTATGTGTGTCCTCAACTAACAGTAGTTGAACCTTTCTTTTGATGCAGCAGTTTGGAAACACTCTTTTTGTAGAAACTGTAAGTGGATATTTGGATAGCTCTAACGATTTCGTTGGAAACGGGAATATCATCATCTAAAATCTAGACAGAAGCACTGTTAGAAACTACTTGGTGATATCTGCATTCAAGTCAAAGAGTTGAACATTCCCTTACTTTGAGCACGTTTGAAACACTCTTTTGGAAGAATCTGGAAGTGGACATTTGGAGCGCTTTGATGCCTTTGGTGAAAAGGAAACGTCTTCCAATAAAAGCCAGACAGAAGCATTCTCAGAAACTTGTTTGTGATGTGTGTACTCAACTAAAAGAGTTGAACCTTTCTATTGATAGAGCAGTTTTGAAACACTCTTTTTGTGGATTCTGCAAGTGGATATTTGGATTGCTTTCAGGAATTCGTTGGAAGCGGGAATTCGTATAAAAACTAGACAGCAGCATTCCCAGAAATTTCTTTCGGATATTTCCATTCGACTCATAGAGATGAACATGGCCTTTCATAGAGCAGGTTTGAAACACTCTTTTTGTAGTTTGTGGAAGTGGACATTTCGATCGCCTTGACGCCTACGGTGAAAAAGGAAATATCTTCCCATAAAAAATAGACAGAAGCATTCTCAGAAACTTGTTGGTGATATGTGTCCTCAACTAACAGAGTTGAACTTTGCCATTGATAGAGAGCAGTTTTGAAACACTCTTTTTGTGGAATCTGCAAGTGGATATTTGGATAGCTTGGAGGATTTCGTTGGAAGCGGGAATTCAAATAAAAGTTAGACAGCAGCATTCTCAGAAATTTCTTTCTGATGTCTGCATTCAACTCATAGAGTTGAAGATTCCCTTTCATAGAGCAGGTTTGAAACACTCTTTCTGGAGTATCTGGATGTGGACATTTGGAGCGCTTTGATGCCTACGGTGAAAAAGTAAATATCTTCCCATAAAATCGAGACAGAAGGATTCTGAGAAACAAGTTTGTGATGTGTGTACTCAGCTAACAGAGTGGAAACCTCTTTTGATGCAGCAGTTTGGAAACACTCTTTTTGTAGATACTGTAAGTGGATATTTGTATAGCTCTAATGATTTCGTTGGAAACGGGAATATCATCATCTAAAATCTAGACAGAAGCCCTCTCAGAAACTACTTTGTGATATCTGCATTCAAGTCACAGAGTTGAACATTCGCTTTCTTAGAGCACGTTTGAAACACTCTTTTTGTAGTGTCTGGAAGTGGACATTTGGAGTGCTTTGATGCCTTTGGTGAAAAAGGGAACGTCTTCCCATAAAAACTAGACAGAAGCATTCTCAGAAACTTGTTTGTGATGTGTGTACCCAGCTAAAGGAGTTGAACATTTCTATTGATAGAGCAGTTTTGAAACACTCTTTTTGTGGAAAATGCAGGGGGATATTTGGATAGCTTGGAGGATTTCGTTGGAAGCGGGAATTCAAATAAAAGGTAGACAGCAGCATTCTCAGAAATTTCTTTCTGATGTCTGCATTCAACTCATAGAGTTGAAGATTCCCTTTCATAGAGCAGGTTTGAAACACTCTTTCTGGAGTATCTGGATGTGGACCTTTGGAGCGCTTTGATGCCTACGGTGAAAAAGTAAATATCTTCCATAAAAACGAGACAGAAGGATTCTCAGAAACAAGTTTGTGATGTGTGTACTCAGCTAACAGAGTGGAACCTTTCTTTTTACAGAGCAGCTTTGAAACTCTATTTTTGTGGATTCTGCAAATTGATATTTAGATTGCTTTAACGATATCGTTGGAAAAGAGAATATGGTCATACAAAATCTAGACAGAAGCATTCTCACAAACAGCTTTGTGACGTGTGTCCTCAACTAACAGTAGTTGAACCTTTCTTTTGATGCAGCAGTTTGGAAACACCCTTTTGGTAGAAACTGTAAGTGGATATTTGGATAGCTCTAACGATTTCGTTGGAAACGGGAATATCATCATCTAAAATCTAGACAGAAGCACTATTAGAAACTACTTGGTGATATCTGCATTCAAGTCACAGAGTTGAACATTCCCTTACATTGAGCACGTTTGCAACACTCTTTTGGAAGAATCTGGAAGTGGACATTTGGAGCGCTTTGATGCCTTTGGTGAAAAGGAAACGTCTTCCAATAAAAGCCAGACAGAAGCATTCTCAGAAACTTGTTTGTGATGTGTGTACTCAACTAAAAGAGTTGAAACTTTCTATTGATAGAGCAGTTTTGAAACACTCTTTTTGTGGATTCTGCAAGTGGATATTTGGATTGCTTTGAGGATTTCGTTGGAAGCGGGAATTCGTATAACAACTAGACAGCAGCATTCCCAGAAATTTCTTTCGGATATTTCCATTCGACTCATAGAGATGAACATGGCCTTTCATAGAGCAGGTTTGAAACACTCTTTTTGTAGTTTGTGGAAGTGGACATTTCGATCGCCTTGACGCCTACGGTGAAAAAGGAAATATCTTCCCATAAAAAATAGACAGAAGCATTCTCAGAAACTTGTTGGTGATATGTGTCCTCAACTAACAGAGTTGAACTTTGCCATTGATAGAGAGCAGTTTTGAAACACTCTTTTTGTGGAATCTGCAAGTGGATATTTGGATAGCTTGGAGGATTTCGTTGGAAGCGGGAATTCAAATAAAAGGTAGACAGCAGCATTCTCAGAAATTTCTTTCTGATGTCTGCATTCAACTCATAGAGTTGAAGATTCCCTTTCATAGAGCAGGTTTGAAACACTCTTTCTGGAGTATCTGGATGTGGACATTTGGAGCGCTTTGATGCCCACGGTGAAAAAGTAAATATCTTCCCAGAAAAACGAGACAGAAGGATTCTGAGAAACAAGTTTGTGATGTGTGTACTCAGCTAACAGAGTGGAACCTTTCTTTTTACAGAGCAGCTTTCAAACTCTTTTTTTGTGGATTCTGCAAATTGATATTTAGATTGCTTTAACGATATCGTTGGAAAAGGGAATATGGTCATACAAAATCTAGACAGAAGCTTTCTCAGAAACTTCTTTGTGATGTGTGTCCTCAACTCACAGAGTTGAACCTTTCTTTTGATGCAGCAGTTTGGAAACACTCTTCTTGTAGAAACTGTTAGTGGATATTTGGATAGGTCTAACGATATCGTTGGAAACGGAAATATCTTCATCTAAAGTATACACAGAAGCACTATTAGAAACTACTTGGTGATATCTGCATTCAAGTCACAGAGTTGAACATTCCCTTACTTCGACCACGTTTGAAACACTCTTTTGGAAGAATCTGGAAGTGGACATTTGGAGCGCTTTGATGCCTTTGGTGAAAACGAAACGTCTTCCAATAAAAGCCAGACAGAAGCATTCTCAGAAACTTGTTTGTGATGAGTGTACTCAACTAAAAGAGTTGAACCTTTCTATTGATAGAGCAGTTTTGAAACACTCTTTTTGTGGATTCTGCAAGTGGATATTTGGATTGCTTTGAGGATTTCGTTGGAAGCGGGAATTCGTATAAAAACTAGACAGCAGCATTCCCAGAAATTTCTTTCGGATATTTCCATTCAACTCATAGAGATGAACATGGCCTTTGCATAGAGCAGGTTTGAAACACTCTTTTTGTAGTTTGTGGAAGTGGACATTTCGATCGCCTTGACGCCTACGGTGAAAAAGGAAATATCTTCCCATAAAAAATAGACAGAAGCATTCTCAGAAACTTGTTGGTGATATGTGTCCTCAACTAACAGAGTTGAACTTTGCCATTGATAGAGAGCAGTTTTGAAACACTCTTTTTGTGGAATCTGCAAGTGGATATTTGGATAGCTTGGAGGATTTCGTTGGAAGCGGGAATTCAAATAAAAGGTAGACAGCAGCATTCTCAGAAATTTCTTTCTGATGTCTGCATTCAACTCATAGAGTTGAAGATTCCCTTTCATAGAGCAGGTTTGAAACACTCTTTCTGGAGTATCTGGATGTGGACATTTGGAGCGCTTTGATGCCTACGGTGAAAAAGTAAATATCTTCCCAGAAAAACGACACAGAAGGATTCTGAGAAACAAGTTTGTGATGTGTGTACTCAGCTAACAGAGTGGAACCTCTCTTTTGATGCAGCAGTTTGGAAATACTCTTTTTGTAGAAACTGTAAGTGGATATTTGGATAGCTCCTAATGATTTCGTTGGAAACGGGAATATCATCATGCTAAAATACTAGACAGAAAGCCCTCTCAGAAACTACTTTGTGATATCTGCATTCAAGTCACAGAGTTGAACATTCGCTTTCTTAGAGCACGTTTGAAACACTCTTTTTGTAGTGTCTGGAAGTGGACATTTGGAGCGCTTTGATGTCTTTGGTGAAAAAGGGAATGTCTTCCCATAAAAACTAGACAGAAGGATTCTCAGAAACTTGTTTGTGATGTGTGTACCCAGCTAAAGGAGTTGAACATTTCTATTGATAGAGCAGTTTTGAAACACTCTTTTTGTGGAATCTGCAGGTGGATATTTGGATAGCTTGGAGGATTTCGTTGGAAGCGGGAATTCAAATAAAAGGTAGACAGGAGCATTCTCAGAAATTTCTTTCTGATGTCTGCATTCAACTCATAGAGTTGAAGATTCCCTTTCATAGAGCAGGTTTGAAACACTCGTTCTGGAGTATCTGGATGTGGACATTTGGAGCGCTTTGATGCCTACGGTGGAAAAGTATATATCTTCCCATAAAAACGAGACAGAAGGATTCTCAGAAACAAGTTTGCGATGTGTGTACTCAGCTAACAGAGTGGAACCTTTCTTTTTACAGAGCAGCTTTGAAACTCTATTTTTGTGGATTCTGCAAATTGATATTTAGATTGCTTTAACGATATCGTTGGAAAAGGGAATATCGTCATACAAAATCTAGACAGAAGCATTCTCACAAACTTCCTTGTGATGTGTGTCCTCAACTAACAGAGTTGAACCTTTCTTTTGATGCAGCAGTTTGGAAACACTCTTTTTGTAGAAACTGTAAGTGGATATTTGGATAGCTCTAACGATTTCGTTGGAAACGGGAATATCATCATCTAAAATCTAGACAGAAGCACTATTAGAAACTACTTGGTGATATCTGCATTCAAGTCAAACAGTTGAACATTCCCTTACTTTGAGCACGTTTGAAACACTCTTTTGGAAGAATCTGGAAGTGGACATTTGGAGCGCTTTGATGCCTTTGGTGAAAAGGAAACGTCTTCCAATAAAAGCCAGACAGAAGCATTCTCAGAAACTTGTTCGTGATGTGTGTACTCAACTAAAAGAAGTTGAACCTTTCTATTGATAGAGCAGTTTTGAAACACTCTTTTTGTGGATTCTGCAAGTGGATATTTGGATTGCTTTGAGGATTTCGTTGGAAGCGGGAATTCGTATAAACACTAGACAGCAGCATTCCCAGAAATTTCTTTCGGATATTTCCATTCAACTCATAGAGATGAACATGGCCTTTCATAGAGCAGGTTTGAAACACTCTTTTTGCAGTTTGTGGAAGTGGACATTTCGATCGCCTTGACGCCTACGCTGAAAAAGGAAATATCTTCCCATAAAAAATAGACAGAAGCATTCTCAGAAACTTGTTGGTGATATGTGTCCTCAACTAACAGAGTTGAACTTTCCCATTGATAGAGAGCAGTTTTGAAACACTCTTTTTGTGGACTCTGCAAGTGGATATTTGGATAGCTTGGAGGATTTCGTTGGAAGCGGGAATTCAAATAAAAGGTAGACAGCAGCATTCTCAGAAATTTCTTTCTGATGTCTGCATTCAACTCATAGAGTTGAAGATTCCCTTTCATAGAGCAGGTTTGAAACACTCTTTCTGGAGTATCTGGATGTGGACATTTGGAGAGCTTTGATGCCTACGGTGAGAAAGTAAATATCTTCCCATAAAAACGTGACAGAAGGATTCTCAGAAACAAGTTTGTGATGTGTGTACTCAGCTAACAGAGTGGAACCTTTCTTTTTACAGAGCAGCTTTGAAACTCTATTTTTGTGGATTCTGCAAATGGATATTTAGATTGCTTTAACGATATCGCTGGAAAAGGGAATATGGTCATACAAAATACTAGACAGAAGCTTTCTCAGAAACTTCTTTGTGATGCGTGTCCTCAACTAACAGAGTTGAACCTTTCTTTTGATGCAGCAGTTTGGAAACACTCTTTTTATAAAAACTGTAAGTGGATATTTGGGTAGGTCTAACGATATCGTTGGAAACGGGGATATCTTCATCTAAAGTATACACAGAAACACTATTAGAAACTACTTGGTGATATCTGCATTCAAGTCACAGAGTTGAACATTCCCTTACTTTGAGCACGTTTGAAACACTCTTTTGGAAGAATCTGGAAGTGGACATTTGGAGCGCTTTGATGCCTTTGGTGAAAAGGAAACGTCTTCCAATAAAAGCCAGACAGAAAGCATTCTCAGTAAACTTGTTTGTGATGTGTGTACTCAACTAAAAGAGTTGAACCTTTCTATTGATAGAGCAGTTTTGAAACACTCTTTTTGTGGATTCTGCAAGTGGATATTTGGATTGCTTTGAGGATTTCGTTGGAAGCGGGAATTCATATAAAAACTAGACAGCAGCATTCCCAGAAATTTCTTTCGGATATTTCCATTCAACTCATAGAGATGAATATGGCCTTTCATAGAGCAGGTTTGAAACACTCTTTTTGTAGTTTGTGGAAGTGGACATTTCGATCGCCTTGACGCCTACGGTGAAAAAGGAAATATCTACCCATAAAAAATAGACAGAAGCATTCTCAGAAACTTGTTGGTGATATGTGTCCTCAACTAACAGAGTTGAACTTTGCCATTGATAGAGAGCAGTTTTGAAACACTCTTTTTGTGGAATCTGCAAGTGGATATTTGGATAGCTTGGAGGATTTCGTTGGAAGCGGGAATTCAAATAAAAGGTAGACAGCAGCATTCTCAGAAATTTCTTTCTGATGTCTGCATTCAACTCATAGAGTTGAAGATTCCCTTTCATAGAGCAGGTTTGAAACACTCTTTCTGGAGTATCTGGATGTGGACATTTGGAGCGCTTTGATGCCTACGGTGAAAAAGTAAATATCTTCCCATAAAAACGACACAGAAGGATTCTGAGAAACAAGTTTGTGATGTGTGTACTCAGCTAACAGAGTGGAACCTCTCTTTTGATGCAGCAGTTTGGAAACCCTCTTTTTGTAGAAACTGTAAGTGGATATTTGGATAGCTCTAATGATTTCGTTGGAAACGGGAATATCATCATCTAAAATCTAGACAGAAGCACTCTCAGAAACTACTTTGTGATATCTGCATTCAAGTCACAGAGTTGAACATTCGCTTTCTTAGAGCACTTTTGAAACACTCTTTTTGTATATCTGGAAGAGGACATTTGGAGCTCTTTGATGCCTTTGGTGAAAAAGGAAATGTCTTCCCATAAAAACTAGACAGAAGCATTCTCAGAAAGTTGATTGTGATGTGTGCACCCAGCTAAAGGAGTTGAACATTTATTGATAGAGCAGTTTTGAAGCACTCTTTTTGTGGAAAATGCAAGTGGATATTTGGATAGCTTGGAGGATTTCGTTGGAAGCGGGAGTTCAAATAAAAGGTAGACAGCAGCATTCTCAGAAATTACTTTCTGATGTCTGCATTCAACTCATAGAGTTGAAGATTCCCTTTCATAGAGCAGGTTTGAAACACTCTTTCTGTAGTATCTGGATGTGGACATTTGGAGCGCTTTGATACCTACGGTGAAAAAGGAAATATCTTCCCATAAAAACTAGACAGAAGGATTCTCAGAAACAAGTTTGTGATGTGTGTACTCAGCTAACAGATTGGAACCTTTCTTTTTACAGAGCAGCTTTGAAACTCTATTTTTGTGGATTCTGCAAATTGATATTTAGATTGCTTTAACGATATCGTTGGAAAAGGGAATATGGTCATACAAAATCTAGACAGAAGCATTCTCACAAACTTCTTTGTGATGTGTGTCCTCAACTAACAGAGTTGAACCTTTCTTTTGATGCAGCAGTTTGGAAACACTCTTTTTGTAGAAACTGTAAGTGGATATTTGGATACTTCTAACGATTTCGTTGGAAACGGGAATATCATCATCTAAAATCTAGACAGAAGCACTATTAGAAACTACTTGGTGATATCTGTATTCAAGTCACAGAGTTGAACATTCCCTTACTTTGAGCACGTTTGAAACACTCTTTTGGAAGAATCTGGAAGTGGACATTTGGAGCGCTTTGATGCCTTTGGTGAAAAGGAAACGTCTTCCAATAAAAGCCAGACAGAAGCATTCTCAGAAACTTGTTTGTGATGTGTGTACTCAACTAAAAGAGTTGAACCTTTCTATTGATAGAGCAGTTTTGAAACACTCTTTTTGTGGATTCTGCAAGTGGATATTTGGATTGCTTTGAGGATTTCATTGGAAGCGGGAATTCGTATAAAAACTAGACAGCAGCATTCCCAGAAATTTCTTTCGGATATTTCCATTCAACTCATTGAGATGAACATCGCCTTTCATAGAGCAGGTTTGAAACACTCTTTTTGTAGTTTGTGGAAGTGGACATTTCGATCGCCGTGACGCCTACAGTGAAAAAGGAAATATCTTCCCATAAACAATAGACAGAAGCATTCTCAGAAACTTGTTGGTGATATGTGTCCTCAACTAACAGAGTTGAACTTTGCCATTGATAGAGAGCAGTTTTGAAACACTCTTTTTGTGGAATCTGCAAGTGGATATTTGGATAGCTTGGAGGATTTCGTTGGAAGCGGGAATTCAAATAAAAGGTAGACAGCAGCATTCTCAGAAATTTCTTTCTGATGTCTGCATTCAACTCATAGAGTTGAAGATTCCCTTTCATAGAGCAGGTTTGAAACACTGTTTCTGGAGTATCTGGATGTGGACATTTGGAGCGCTTTGATGCCTACGGTGAGAAAGTAAATATCTTCCCATAAAAACGAGACAGAAGGATTCTGAGAAACAAGTTTGTGATGTGTGTACTCAGCTAACAGAGTGGAACCTCTCTTTTGATGCAGCAGTTTGGAAACACTCTTTTTGTAGAAACTGTAAGTGGATATTTGGATAGCTCTAATGATTTCGTTGGAAACGCGAATATCATCATCTAAAATCTAGACAGAAGCACTCTCAGAAACTACTTTTTGATATCTGCACTCAAGTCACAGAGTTGAACATTCGCTTTCTTAGAGCACTTTTGAAACACTCTTTTTGTAGTATCTGGAAGTGGACATTTGGAGCTCTTTGATGCCTTTGGTGAGAAAGGAAATGTCTTCCCATAAAAACTAGACAGAAGCATTCTCAGAAAGTTGTTTGTGATGTGTGTACCCAGCTAAAGGAGTTGAACATTTCTATTGATAGAGTAGTTTTGAAACACTCTTTTTGTGGAAAATGCAAGTGGATATTTGGATAGCTTGGAGGATTTCGTTGGAAGCGGGAATTCAAATAAAAGGTAGACAGCAGCAGCATTCTCAGAAATTTCTTTCTGATGTCTGCATTCAACTCATAGGGTTGAAGATTCCCTTTCATAGAGCAGGTTTGAAACACTCTTTCTGGAGTATCTGGATGTGGACATTTGGAGCGCTTTGATGCCTACGGTGAAAAAGTAAATATCTTCCCATAAAAACGAGACAGAAGGATTCTCAGAAACAAGTTTGTGATGTGTGTACTCAGCTAACAGAGTGGAACTTTTATTTTTACAGAGCAGCTTTGAAACTCTATTTTTGTGGATTCTGCAAATTGATATTTAGATTGCTTTAACGATATCGTTGGAAAAGGGAATATCGTCATACAAAATCTAGACAGAAGCATTCTCACAAACTTCTTTGTGATGTGTGTCCTCAACTAACAGAGTTGAACCTTTCTTTTGATGCAGCAATTTGGAAACACCCTTTTGGTAGAAACTGTAACTGGATATTTGCTTAGCTCTAACGATTTCGTTGGAAACGGGAATATCATCATCTGAAATCTAGACGGAAGCACTATTAGAAACTACTTGGTGATATCTGCATTCAAGTCACAGAGTTGAACATTACCTTACTTTGAGCACGTTTGAAACACTCTTTTGGAAGAATCTGGAAGTGGACATTTGGAGCGCTTTGATGCCTTTGGTGAAAAGGAAACGTCTTCCAATAAAAGCCAGACAGAAGCATTCTCAGAAACTTGTTCGTGATGTGTGTACTCAACTAAAAGAGTTGAACCTTTCTATTGATAGAGCAGTTTTGAAACACTCTTTTTGTGGATTCTGCAAGTGGATATTTGGATTGCTTTGAGGATTTCGTTGGAAGCGGGAATTCGTATAAACACTAGACAGCAGCATTCCCAGAAATTTCTTTCGGATATTTCCATTCAACTCATAGAGATGAACATGGCCTTTCATAGAGCAGGTTTGAAACACTCTTTTTGTAGTTTGTGGAAGTGGACATTTCGATAGCCTTGACGCCTACGGTGAAAAAGGAAATATCTTCCCATAAACAATAGACAGAAGCATTCTCAGAAACTTGTTGGTGATATGTGTCCTCAACTAACAGAGTTGAACTTTGCCATTGATAGAGAGCAGTTTTGAAACACTCTTTTTGTGGAATCTGCAAGTGGATATTTGGATAGCTTGGAGGATTTCGTTGGAAGCGGGAATTCAAATAAAAGGTAGACAGCAGCATTCTCAGAAATTTCTTTCTGATGTCTGCATTCAACTCATAGAGTTGAAGATTCCCTTTCATAGAGCAGGTTTGAAACACTCTTTCTGTAGTATCTGGATGTGGACATTTGGAGCGCTTTGATACATACGGTGAAAAAGGAAATATCTTCCCGTAAAAACTAGACAGAAGGATTCTCAGAAACAAGTTTGTGATGTGTGTACTCAGCTAATAGAGTGGATCCTTTCTTTTTACAGAGCAGCTTTGAAACTCTATTTCTGTGGATTCTGCAAATTGATATTTGGGTTGATTTAACGACATCGTTGGAAAAGGGAATATCTTCATACAAAATCTAGACAGAAGCATTCTCACAAACTTCTTTGTGATGTGTGTCCTCAACTAACAGAGTTGAACCTTTCTTTTGATGCAGCAGTTTGGAAACACCCTTTTGGTAGAAACTGTAAGTGGATATTTGGATAGCTCTAACGATTTCGTTGGAAACGGGAATATCATCATCTAAAATGCTAGACAGAAGCACTATTAGAAACTACTTGGTGATATCTGCATTCAAGTCACAGAGTTGAACATTCCCTTACTTTGAGCACGTTTGAAACACTCTTTTGGAAGAATCTGGAAGTGGACATTTGGAGCGCTTTGATGCCTTTGGTGAAAAGGAAACGTCTTCCAATAAAAGCCAGACAGAAGCATTCTCAGAAACTTGTTTGAGATGTGTGTACTCAACTAAAAGAGTTGAACCTTTCTATTGATAGAGCAGTTTTGAAACACTCTTTTTGTGGATTCTGCAAGTGGATATTTGGATTGCTTTGAGGATTTCGTTGGAAGCGGGAATTCGTATAACAACTAGACAGCAGCATTCCCAGAAATTTCTTTCGGATATTTCCATTCAACTCATAGAGATGAACATGGCCTTTCATAGAGCAGGTTTGAAACACTCTTTTTGTAGTTTGTGGAAGTGGACATTTCGATCGCCTTGACGCCTACGGTGAAAAAGGAAATATCTTCCCATAAAAAATAGACAGAAGCATTCTCAGAAACTTGTTGGTGATATGTGTCCTCAACTAACAGAGTTGAACTTTGCCATTGATAGAGAGCAGTTTTGAAACACTCTTTTTGTGGAATCTGCAAGTGGATATTTGGATAGTTTGGAGGATTTCGTTGGAAGCGGGAATTCAAATAAAAGGTAGACAGCAGCATTCTCAGAAATTTCTTTCTGATCTCTGCATTCAACTCATAGAGTTGAACATTCCCTTTCATAGGGCAGGTTTGAAATACTCTTTCTGTAGTATCTGGATGTGGACATTTGGAGCGCTTTGATGCCTACGGTGAAAAAGTAAATATCTTCCCATAAAAACGAGACAGAAGGATTCTGAGAAACAAGTTTGTGATGTGTGTACTCAGCTAACAGAGTGGAACCTCTGTTTTGATGCAGCAGTTTGGAAACACTCTTTTTGTAGAAACTGTAAGTGGATATTTGGATAGCTCTAATGATTTCGTTGGAAACGGGAATATCATCATCTAAAATCTAGACAGAAGCCCTCTCAGAAACTACTTTGTGATATCTGCATTCAAGTCACAGAGTTGAACATTCGCTTTCTTAGAGCACGTTGGAAACACTCTTTTTGTAGTGTCTGGAAGTGGACACTTGGAGCGCTTTGATGCCTTTGGTGAAAAAGGGAACGTCTTCCCATAAAAACTAGACAGAAGCATTCTCAGAAACTTGTTTGTGATGTGTGTACACAGCCAAAGGAGTTGAACATTTCTATTGATAGAGCAGTTTTGAAACACTCTTGTTGTGGAAAATGCAGGTGGATATTTGGATAGCTTGGAGGATTTCGTTGGAAGCGGGAATTCAAATAAAAGGTAGACAGCAGGATTCTGAGAGACAAGTTTGTGATGTGTGTACTCAGCTAACAGAGTGGAACCTTTCTTTTTACAGAGCAGCTTTGAAACTCTATTTTTGTGGATTCTGCAAATGGATATTTAGATTGCTTTAACGATATCGTTGGAAAAGGGAATATGGTCATACAAAATCTGGACAGAAGAATTCTCACAAACTTCTTTGTGATGTGTGTCCTCAACTAACAGAGTTGAACCTTTCTTTTGATGCAGCAGTTTGGAAACACCCTTTTGGTAGAAACTGTAAGTGGATATTTGGATAGCTCTAACGATTTCGTTGGAAACGGGAATATCATCATCTAAAATCTAGACAGAAGCACTATTAGAAACTTCTTGGTGATATCTGCATTCAAGTCACAGAGTTGAACATTCCCTTACTTCGAGCACGTTTGAAACACTCTTTTGGAAGAATCTGGAAGTGGACATTTGGAGCGCTTTGATGCCTTTGGTGAAAAGGAAACGTCTTCCAATAAAAGCCAGACAGAAGCATTACCAGAAATTTCTTTCGGATATTTCCATTCAACTCATAGAGAAGAACATGGCCTTTCATAGAGCAGGTTTGAAACACTCTTTTTGTAGTTTGTGGAAGTGGACATTTCGATCGCCTTGACGCCTACGGTGAAAAAGGAAATATCTTCCCATAAAAAATAGACAGAAGCATTCTCAGAAACTTGTTGGTGATATGTGTCCTCAACTAACAGAGTTGAACTTTGCCATTGATAGAGAGCAGTTTTGAAACACTCTTTTTGTGGAATCTGCAAGTGGATATTTGGATAGCTTGGAGGATTTCGTTGGAAGCGGGAATTCAAATAAAAGGTAGACAGCAGCATTCTCAGAAATTTCTTTCTGATGTCTGCATTCAACTCATAGAGTTGAAGATTCCCTTTCATAGAGCAGGTTTGAAACACTCTTTCTGGAGTATCTGGATGTGGACATTTGGAGCGCTTTGATGCCTACGGTGAAAAGTAAATATCTTCCCATAAAAACGAGACAGAGTATTCTCAGAAACAAGTTTGTGATGTGTGTACTCAGCTAACAGAGTGGATCCTTTCTTTTTACAGAGCAGCTTTGAAACTCTATTTCTGTGGATTCTGCAAATTGATATTTGGGTTGATTTAACGATATCGTTGGAAAAGGGAATATCTTCATACAAAATCTAGACAGAAGCATTCTCACAAACTTCTTTGTGACGTGTGTCCTCAACTAACAGAGTTGAACCTTTCTTTTGATGCAGCAGTTTGGAAACACTGTTTTTGTAGCAACTGTAAGTGGATATTTGGATAGATCTAACGATTTCGTTGGAAACGGGAATATCATCATCTAAAATCTAGACAGAAGCACTATTAGAAACTACTTGGTGATATCTGCATTCAAGTCACAGAGTAGAACATTCCCTTACTTCGACCACGTTTGAAACACTCTTTTGGAAGAATCTGGAAGTGGACATTTGGAGCACTTTGATGCCTTTGGTGAAAAGGAAACGTCTTCCAATAAAAGCCAGACAGAAGCATTCTCAGAAACTTGTTTGTGATGTGTGTACTCAACTAAAAGAGTTGAACCTTTCTATTGATAGAGCGGTTTTGAAACACTCTTTTTGTGGATTCTGCAAGTGGATATTTGGATTGCTTTGAGGATTTCGTTGGAAGCGGGAATTCATATAAAAACTAGACAGCAGCATTCCCAGAAATTTCTTTCGGATATTTCCATTCAACTCATTGAGATGAACATCGCCTTTCATAGAGCAGGTTTGAAACACTCTTTTTGTAGTTTGTGGAAGTGGACATTTCGATCTCCTTGACGCCTACAGTGAAAAAGGAAATATCTTCCCATAAAAAATAGACAGAAGCATTCTCAGAAACTTGTTTGTGATGTGTGCACCCAGCTAAAGGAGTTGAACATTTCTATTGATAGAGCAGTTTTGAAGCACTCTTTTTGTGGAAAATGCAAGTGGATATTTCGATAGCTTGGAGGATTTCGTTGGAAGCGGGAGTTCAAATAAAAGGTAGACAGCAGCATTCTCAGAAATTTCTTTCTGATGTCTGCATTCAACTCATAGAGTTGAAGATTCCCTTTCATAGAGCAGGTTTGAAACACTCTTTCTGGAGTATCTGGATGTGGACATTTGGAGCGCTTTGATGCCTACGGTGAAAAAGTAAATATCTTCCCAGAAAAACGAGACAGAAAGGATTCTCAGAAACAAGTTTGTGATGTGTGTACTCAGCTAACAGAGTGGAACCTTTCTTTTGACAGAGCAGCTTTGAAACTCTATTTTTGTGGATTCTGCAAATGGATATTTAGATTGCTTTAACGATATCGTTGGAAAAGGGAATATCGTCATACAAAATCTGGACAGAAGCTTTCTCAGAAACTTCTCTGTGATGTGTGTCCTCAACTCACAGAGTTGAACCTTTCTTTAGATGCAGCAGTTTGGAAACACTTTTTTTGTAGAAACTGTAAGTGGATATTTGGGTAGGTCTAACGATATCATTGGAAACGGGAATACCTTCATCTAAAGTATACACAGAAGCACTATTAGAAACTACTTGGTGATATCTGCATTCAAGTCACAGAGTTGAACATTCCCTTACTTTGAGCACGTTTGAAACACTCTTTTGGAAGAATCTGGAAGTGGACATTTGGAGCGCTTTGATGTCTTTGGTGAAAAGGAAACGTCTTCCAATAAAAGCCAGACAGAAGCATTCTCAGAAACTTGTTTGTGATGTGTGTACTCAACTAAAAGAGTTGAACCTTTCTATTGATAGAGCAGTTTTGAAACACTCTTTTTGTGGATTCTGCAAGTGGATATTTGGATTGCTTTGAGGATTTCGTTGGAAGCGGGAATTCGGTATAAAAACTAGACAGCAGCATTCCCAGAAATTTCTTTCGGATATTTCCATTCGACTCATAGAGATGAACATGGCCTTTCATAGAGCAGGTTTGAAACACTCTTTTTGTAGTTTGTGGAAGTGGACATTTCGATCGCCTTGACACCTACGGTGAAAAAGGAAATATCTTCCCATAAAAAATAGACAGAAGCATTCTCAGAAACTTGTTGGTGATATGTGTCCTCAACTAACAGAGTTGAACTTTGCCATTGATAGAGAGCAGTTTTGAAACACTCTTTTTGTGGAATCTGCAAGTGGATATTTGGATAGCTTGGAGGATTTCGTTGGAAGCGGGAATTCAAATAAAAGGTAGACAGCAGCATTCTCAGAAATTTCTTTCTGATGTCTGCATTCAACTCATAGAGTTGAACATTCCCTTTCATAGAGCAGGTTTGAAACACTCTTTCTGGAGTATCTGGATGTGGACATTTGGAGCACTTTGATGCCTACGGTGAAAAAGTAAATATCTTCCCATAAAAACGAGACAGAAGGATTCTCAGAAACAAGTTTGTGATGTGTGTACTCAGCTAACAGAGTGGAACCTTTCTTTTTACAGAGCAGCTTTGAAACTCTATTGTTGTGGATTCTGCAAATTGATATTTAGATTGCTTTAACGATATCATTGGAAAAGGGAATATCGTCATACAAAATCTAGACAGAAGCATTCTCACAAACTTCTTTGTGATGTGTGTCCTCAACTAACAGAGTTGAACTTTTCTTTTGATGCAGCAGTTTGGAAACACTGTTTTTGTAGAAACTGTAAGTGGATATTTGGATAGCTCTAACGATTTCATTGGAAACGGGAATATCATCATCTAAAATCTAGACAGAAACACTATTAGAAACTACTTGGTGATATCTGCATTCAAGTCACAGAGTTGAACATTCCCTTACTTTGAGCACGTTTCAAACACTCTTTTGGAAGAATCTGGAAGTGGACATTTGGAGCGCTTTGATGCCTTTGGTGAAAAGGAAACGTCTTCCAATAAAAGCCAGACAGAAGCATTCTCAGAAACTTGTTTGTGATGTGTGTACTCAACTAAAAGAGGTGAACCTTTCTATTGATAGAGCAGTTTTGAAACACTCTTTTTGTGGATTCTGCAAGTGGATATTTGGATTGCTTTGAGGATTTCGTTGGAAGCGGGAATTCATATAAAAACTAGACAGCAGCATTCCCAGAAATTTCTTTCGGATATTTCCATTCAACTCATAGAGGTGAACATGGCCTTTCATAGAGCAGGTTTGAAACACTCTTTTTGTAGTTTGTGGAAGTGGACATTTCGATCGCCTTGACGCCTACGCTGAAAAAGGAAATATCTTCCCATAAAAAATAGACAGAAGCATTCTCAGAAACTTGTTGGTGATATGTGTCCTCAACTAACAGAGTTGAACTTTGCCATTGATAGAGAGCAGTTTTGAAACACTCTTTTTGTGGAATCTGCAAGTGGATATTTGGATAGCTTGGAGGATTTCGTTGGAAGCGGGAATTCAAATAAAAGGTAGACAGCAGGATTCTGAGAAACAAGTTTGTGATGTGTGTACTCAGCTAACAGAGTGGAACCTTTCTTTTTACAGAGCAGCTTTGAAACTCTATTTTTGTGGATTCTGCAAATGGATATTTAGATTGCTTTAATGATATCGTTGGAAAAGGGAATATCGTCATACAAAATCTGGACAGAAGCATTCTCACAAACTTCTTTGTGATGTGTGTCCTCAACTAACAGAGTTGAACCTTTCTTTTGATGCAGCAGTTTGCAAACACCCTTTTGGTAGAAACTGTAACTGTATATTTGGATAGCTCTAACGATTTCGTTGGAAACGGGAATATCATCATCTAAAATCTAGACAGAAGCACTATTAGAAACTACTTGGTGATATCTGCATTCAAGTCACAGAGTTGAACATTCCCTTACTTTGAGTACGTTTCAAACACTCTTTTGGAAGAATCTGGAAGTGGACATTTGGAGCGCTTTGATGCCTTTGGTGAAAAGGAAACGTCTTCCAATAAAAGCCAGACAGAAGCATTCTCAGAAACTTTTTTGTGATGTGTGTACTCAACTAAAAGAGTTGAACCTTTCTATTGATAGAGCAGTTTTGAAACACTCTTTTTGTGGATTCTGCAAGTGGATATTTGGATTGCTTTGAGGATTTCGTTGGAAGCGGGAATTCATATAAACACTAGACAGCAGCATTCCCAGAAATTTCTTTCGGATATTTCCATTCGACTCATAGAGATGAACATGGCCTTTCATAGAGCAGGTTTGAAACACTCTTTTTGTAGTTTGTGGAAGTGGACATTTCGATCGCCTTGACGCCTACGGTGAAAAAGGAAATATCTTCCCATAAAAAATAGACAGAAGCATTCTCAGAAACTTGTTGGTGATATGTGTCCTCAACTAACAGAGTTGAACTTTGCCATTGATAGAGAGCAGTTTTGAAACACTCTTTTTGTGGAATCTGCAAGTGGATATTTGGATAGCTTGGAGGATTTCGTTGGAAGCGGGAATTCAAATAAAAGGTAGACAGCAGCATTCTCAGAAATTTCTTTCTGATGTCTGCATTCAACCTCATAGAGTTGAAGATTCCCTTTCATAGAGCAGGTTTGAAACACTCTTTCTGGAGTATCTGGATGTGGACATTTGGAGCGCTTTGATGCCTACGGTGAAAAAGTAAATATCTTCCCATAAAAACGACACAGAAGGATTCTCAGAAACAAGTTTGTGATGTGTGTACTCAGCTAACAGAGTGGAACCTCTCTTTTGATGCAGCAGTTTGGAAACACTCTTTTTGTAGAAACTGTAAGTGGATATTTGGATAGCTCTAATGATTTCGTTGGAAACGGGAATATCATCATCTAAAATCTAGACAGAAGCACTCTCAGAAACTACTTTTTGATATCTGCATTCAAGTCACAGAGTTGAACATGCGCTTTCTGAGAGCACTTTTGAAACACTCTTTTTGTAGTATCTGGAAGTGGACATTTGGAGCTCTTTGATGCCTTTGGTGAAAAAGGAAATGTCTTCCCATAAAAACTAGACAGAAGCATTCTCAGAAACTTGTTTGTGATGTGTGTACCCAGCCAAAGGAGTTGAACATTTCTATTGATAGAGCAGTTTTGAAACACTCTTGTTGTGGAAAATGCAGGTGGATATTTGGATAGCTTGGAGGATTTCGTTGCAAGCGGGAATTCAAATAAAAGGTAGACAGCCAGCATTCTCAGAAATTTCTTTCTGATGTCTGCATTCAACTCATAGAGTTGAAGATTCCCTTTCATAGAGCAGGTTTGAAACACTCGTTCTGGAGTATCTGGATGTGGACATTTGGAGCGCTTTGATGCCTACGGTGGAAAAGTAAATATCTTCCCATAAAAACGAGACAGAGGATTCTCAGAAACAAGTTTGTGATGTGTGTACTCAGCTAACAGAGTGGAACCTTTCTTTTTACAGAGCAGCTTTGAAACTCTATTTTTGTGGATTCTGCAAATTGATATTTAGATTGCTTTAACGATATCATTGGAAAAGGGAATATCGTCATACAAAATCTGGACAGAAGCATTCTCACAAACTTCTTTGTGATGTGTGTCCTCAACTAACAGAGTTGAACCTTTCTTTTGATGCAGCAATTTGGAAACACCCTTTTGGTAGAAACTGTAACTGGATATTTGGATAGCTCTAACGATTTCGTTGGAAACGGGAATATAATCATCTAAAATGTAGACAGAAGCACTATTAGAAACTACTTGGTGATATCTGCATTCAAGTCACAGAGTTGAACATTCCCTTACTTTGAGCACGTTTGAAACACTCTTTTGGAAGAATCTGGAAGTGGACATTTGGAGCGCTTTGATGCCTTTGGTGAAAAGGAAACGTCTTCCAATAAAAGCCAGAGAGAAGCATTCTCAGAAACTTGTTCGTGATGTGTGTACTCAACTAAAAGGGTTGAACCTTTCTATTGATAGAGCAGTTTTGAAACACTCTTTTTGTGGATTCTGCAAGTGGATATTTGGATTGCTTTGAGGATTTCGTTGGAAGCGGGAATTCGTATAAACACTAGACAGCAGCATTCCCAGAAATTTCTTTCGGATATTTCCATTCAACTCATAGAGATGAACATGGCCTTTCATAGAGCAGGTTTGAAACACTCTTTTTGTAGTTTGTGGAAGTGGACATTTCGATCGCCTTGACGCCTACGCTGAAAAAGGAAATATCTTCCCATAAAAAATAGACAGAAGCATTCTCAGAAACTTGTTGGTGATATGTGTCCTCAACTAACAGAGTTGAACTTTGCCATTGATAGAGAGCAGTTTTGAAACACTCTTTTTGTGGAATCTGCAAGTGGATATTTGGATAGCTTGGAGGATTTCGTTGGAAGCGGGAATTCAAATAAAAGGTAGACAGCAGGATTCTGAGAAACAAGTTTGTGATGTTTGTACTCAGCTAACAGATTGGAACCTCTCCTTTGATGCAGCAGTTTGGAAACACTCTTTTTGTAGAAACTGTAAGTGGATATTTGGATAGCTCTAATGATTTCGTTGGAAACGGGAATATCATCATCTAAAATCTAGACAGAAGCACTCTCAGAAACTACTTTGTGATATCTGCATTCAAGTCACAGAGTTGAACATTCGCTTTCTTAGAGCGCGTTTGAAACACTCTTTTTGTAGTGTCTGGAAGTGGACATTTGGAGCGCTTTGATGCCTTTGGTGAAAAAGGGAATGTCTTCCCATAAAAACTAGACAGAAGCATTCTCAGAAACTTGTTTGTGATGTGTGTACCCAGCCAAAGCAGTTGAACATTTCTATTGATAGAGCAGTTTTGAAACACTCTTGTTGTGGAAAATGCAGGTGGATATTTGGATAGCTTGGAGGATTTCGTTGGAAGCGGGAATTCAAATAAAAGGTAGACAGCAGCATTCTCAGAAATTTCTTTCTGATGTCTGCATTCAACTCATAGAGTTGAGGATTCCCTTTCATAGAGGAGGTTTGAAACACTCGTTCTGGAGTATCTGGATGTGGACATTTGGAGCGCTTTGATGCCTACGGTGGAAAAGTAAATATCTTCCCATAAAAACGAGACAGAAGGATTCTCAGAAACAAGTTTGTGATGTGTGTACTCAGCTAACAGAGTGGAACCTTTGTTTTTACAGAGCAGCTTTGAAACTCTAGTTTTGTGGATTCTGCAAATTGATATTTAGATTGCTTTAACGATATCGTTGGAAAAGGGAATATCGTCATACAAAATCTAGACAGAAGCATTCTCACAAACTTCTTTGTGATGTGTGTCCTCAACTAACAGAGTTGAACCTTTCTTTTGATGCAGCAGTTTGGAAACACTCTTTTTGTAGAAACTGTAAGTGGATATTTGGATAGCTCTAAAGATTTCGTTGGAAACGGGAATATCATCATCTAAAATCTAGACAGAAGCACTATTAGAAACTACTTGGTGATATCTGCATTCAAGTCACAGAGTTGAACATTCCCTTACTTTGAGCACGTTTGAAACACTCTTTTGGAAGAATCTGGAAGTGGACATTTGGAGCGCTTTGATGCCTTTGGTGAAAAGGAAACGTCTTCCAATAAAAGCCAGACAGAAGCATTCTCAGAAACTTGTTTGTGATGTGTGTACTCAACTAAAAGAGTTGAACCTTTCTATTGATAGAGCAGTTTTGAAACACTCTTTTTGTGGATTCTGCAAGTGGATATTTGGATTGCTTTGAGGATTTTGTTGTAAGCGGGAATTCGTATAAAAACTAGACAGCAGCATTCCCAGAAATTTCTTTCGGATATTTCCATTCAACTCATAGAGATGAACATGGCCTTTCATAGAGCAGGTTTGAAACACTCTTTTTGTAGTTTGTGGAAGTGGACATTTCGATCGCCTTGACGCCTACGGTGAAAAAGGAAATATCTTCCCATAAAAAATAGACAGAAACATTCTCAGAAACTTGTTGGTGATATGTGTCCTCAACTAACAGAGTTGAACTTTGCCATTGATAGAGAGCAGTTTTGAAACACTCTTTTTGTGGAATCTGCAAGTGGATATTTGGATAGCTTGGAGGATTTCGTTGGAAGCGGGAATTCAAATAAAAAGTAGACAGCAGCATTCTCAGAAATTTTTTTCTGATGTCTGCATTCAACTCATAGAGTTGAAGATTCCCTTTCATAGAGCAGGTTTGAAACACTCTTTCTGGAGTATCTGGATGTGGACATTTGGAGCGCTTTGATGCCTACGGTGAAAAAGTAAATATCTTCCCATAAAAACGAGACAGAAGGATTCTGAGAAACAAGTTTGTGATGTGTATACTCAGCTAACAGAGTGGAACCTCTCTTTTGATGCAGCAGTTTGGAAACACTCTTTTTGTAGAAACTGTAAGTGGATATTTGGAAGCTCTAATGATTTTGTTGGAAACGGGAATATCATCATCTAAAATCTAGACAGAAGCACTCTCAGAAACTACTTTGTGATATCTGCATTCAAGTCACAGAGTTGAATATTCGCTTTCTTAGAGCACGTTGGAAACACTCTTTTTGTAGTGTCTGGAAGTGGACATTTGGAGCGCTTTGATGCCTTTGGTGAAAAAGGGAATGTCTTCCCATAAAAACTAGACACAAGCATTCTCAGAAACTTGTTTGTGATGTGTGTACCCAACTAAAGGAGTTGAACATTTCTATTGATAGAGCAGTTTTGAAACACTCTTTTTGTGGAAAATGCAAGTGGATATTTGGATAGCTTGGAGGATTTCGTTGGAAGCGGGAATTCAAATAAAAGGTAGACAGCAGGATTCTGAGAAACAAGTTTGCGATGTGTGTACTCAGCTAACAGAGTGGAACCTTTCTTTTTACAGAGCAGCTTTGAAACTCTATTTTTGTGGATTCTGCAAATGGATATTTAGATTGCTTTAACGATATCGTTGGAAAAGGGAATATCGTCATACAAAATCTAGACAGAAGCATTCTCACAAACTTCTTTGTGATGTGTGTCCTCAACTAACAGAGTTGAACCTTTCTTTTGATGCAGCAGTTTGGAAACACTGTTTTTGTAGCAACTGTAAGTGGATATTTGGATAGCTCTAACGATTTCGTTGGAAACGGGAATATCATCATCTAAAATCTAGACAGAAGCACTATTAGAAACTACTTGGTGATATCTGCATTCAAGTCACAGAGTTGAACATTCCCTTACTATGAGCACGTTTGAAACACTCTTTTGGTAGAATCTGGAAGTGGACATTTGGAGCGCTTTGATGCCTTTGGTGAAAAGGAAACGTCTTCCAATAAAAGCCAGACAGAAGCATTAACAGAAACTTGTTTGTGATGTGTGTACTCAACTAAAAGAGTTGAACCTTTCTATTGATAGAGCAGTTTTGAAACACTCTTTTTGTGGATTCTGCAAGTGGATATTTGGATTGCTTTGAGGATTTCGTTGGAAGCAGGAATTCGTATAAAAACTAGACAGCAGCATTCCCAGAAATTTCTTTCGGATATTTCCATTCGACTCATAGAGATGAACATGGCCTTTCATAGAGCAGGTTTGAAACACTCTTTTTGTAGTTTGTGGAAGTGGACATTTCGATCGCCTTGACGCCTACGGTGAAAAAGGAAATATCTTCCCATAAAAAATAGACAGAAGCATTCTCAGAAACTTGTTGGTGATATGTGTCCTCAACTAACAGAGTTGAACTTTGCCATTGATAGAGAGCAGTTTTGAAACACTCTTTTTGTGGAATCTGCAAGTGGATATTTGGATAGCTTGGAGGATTTCGTTGGAAGCGGGAATTCAAATAAAAGGTAGACAGCAGCATTCTCAGAAATTTCTTTCTGATGTCTGCATTCAACTCATAGTGTTGAAGATTCCCTTTCATAGAGCAGGTTTGAAACACTCTTTCTGGAGTATCTGGATGTGGACATTTGGAGCGGTTTGATGCCTACGGTGAAAAAGTAAATATCTTCCCATAAAAACGAGACAGAAGGATTCTGAGAAACAAGTTTGTGATGTGTGTACTCAGCTAACAGAGTGGAACCTCTCTTTTGATGCAGCAGTTTGGAAACACTCTTTTTGTAGAAACTGTAAGTGGATATTTGGATAGCTCTAATGATTTCGGTTGGAAACGGGAATATCATCATCTAAAATCTAGACAGAAGCCCTCTCAGAAACTACTTTGTGATATCTGCATTCAAGTCACAGAGTTGAACATTCGCTTTCTTAGAGCACGTTTGAAACACTCTTTTTGTAGTGTCTGGAAGTGGACATTTGGAGCGCTTTGATGCCTTTGGTGAAAAAGGGAATGTCTACCCATAAAAACTAGACAGAAGCATTCTCACAAACTTGTTTGTGATGTGTGTACCCAGCCAAAGGAGTTGAACATTTCTATTGATAGAGCAGTTTTGAAACACTCTTGTTGTGGAAAATGCAGGTGGATATTTGGATAGCTTGGAGGATTTCGTTGGAAGCGGGAATTCAAATAAAAGGTAGACAGCAGCATTCTCAGAAATTTCTTTCTGATGTCTGCATTCAACTCATAGAGTTGAAGATTCCCTTTCATAGAGCAGGTTTGAAACACTGTTTCTGGAGTATCTGGATGTGGACATTTGGAGGGCTTTGATGCCTACGGTGAAAAAGTAAATATCTTCCCATAAAAACGAGACAGAAGGATTCTCAGAAACAAGTTTGTGATGTGTGTACTCAGCTAACAGAGTGGAACCTTTCTTTTTACAGAGCAGCTTTGAAACTCTATTTTTGTGGATTCTGCAAATTGATATTGAGATTGCTTTAACGATATCGTTGGAAAAGGGAATATCGTCATACAAAATCTAGACAGAAGCATTCTCACAAACTTCTTTGTGATGTGTGTCCTCAACTAACAGAGTTGAACCTTTCTTTTAATGCAGCAGTTTGGAAACACCCTTTTGGTAGAAACTGTAAGTGGATATTTTGATAGCTCTAACGATTTCGTTGGAAACGGGAATATCATCATCTAAAATCTAGACAGAAGCACTATTAGAAACTACTTGGTGATATCTGCATTCAAGTCACAGAGTTGAACATTCCCTTACTTTGAGCACGTTTGAAACACTCTTTTGGAAGAATCTGGAAGTGGACATTTGGAGCGCTTTGATGCCTTTGGTGAAAAGGAAACGTCTTCCAATAAAAGCCAGACAGAAGCATTCTCAGAAACTTGTTCGTGATGTGTGTACTCAACTAAAAGAGTTGAACCTTTCTATTGATAGAGCAGTTTTGAAACACTCTTTTTGTGGATTCTGCAAGTGGATATTTGGATTGCTTTGAGGATTTCGTTGGAAGCGGGAATTTGGTATAAACACTAGACAGCAGCATTCCCAGAAATTTCTTTCGGATATTTCCATTCAACTCATAGAGATGAACATGGCCTTTCATAGAGCAGGTTTGAAACACTCTTTTTGTAGTTTGTGGAAGTGGACATTTCGATCGCCTTGACGCCTACGGTGAAAAAGGAAATATCTTCCCATAAAAAATAGACAGAAGCATTCTCAGAAACTTGTTGGTGATATGTGTCCTCAACTAACAGAGTTGAACTTTGCCATTGATAGAGAGCAGTTTTGAAACACTCTTTTTGTGGAATCTGCAAGTGGATATTTGGATAGCTTGGAGGATTTCGTTGGAAGCGGGAATTCAAATAAAAGGTAGACAGCAGCATTCTCAGAAATTTCTTTGTGATGTTTGCATTCAACTCATAGAGTTGAACATTCCCTTTCATAGAGCAGGTTTGAAACATTCTTTCTGTACTATCTGGATGTGGACATTTGTAACGCTTTGATGCCTACGGTGAAAAAGTAAATATCTTCCCATAAAAACTAGACAGAAGGATTCTCAGAAACAAGTTTGTGATGTGTGTACTCAGCTAACAGAGTGGAACCTCTCTTTTGACGCAGCAGTTTGGAAACACTCTTTTTGTAGAAACTGTAAGTGGATATTTGGAAAGCTCTAATGATTTCGTTGGAAACGGGAATATCATCATCTAAAATCTAGACAGAAGCACTCTCAGAAACTACTTTGTGATATCTGCATTCAAGTCACAGAGTTGAACATTCGCTTTCTTAGAGCACTTTTGAAACACTCTTTTTGTAGTATCTGGAAGTGGACATTTGGAGCTCTTTGATGCCTTTGGTGAAAAAGGAAATGTCTTTCCATAAAAACTAGACAGAAGCATTCTCAGAAACTTGTTTGTGATGTGTGAACCCAGCGAAAGGAGTTGAACATTTCTATTGATAGAGCAGTTTTGAAACACTCTTTTTGTGGAATCTGCAAGTGGATATTTGGATAGCTTGGAGGTTTTCGTTGGAAGCGGGAATTCAAATAAAAGGTAGACAGCCAGCATTCTCAGAAATTTCTTTCTGATGTCTGCATTCAACTCATAGAGTTGAAGATTCCCTTTCATAGAGCAGGTTTGAAACACTCTTTCTGGAGTATCTGGATGTGGACATTTGGAGCGCTTTGATGCCTACGGTGAAAAAGTAAATATCTTCCCATAAAAACGAGACAGAAGGATTCTCAGAAACAAATTTGTGATGTGTGTACTCAGCTAACAGAGTGGAACCTTTCTTTTTACAGAGCAGCTTTGAAACTCTATTGTTGTGGATTCTGCAAATTGATATTTAGATTGCTTTAACGATATCGTTGGAAAAGGGAATACCGTCATACAAAATCTAGACAGAAGCATTCTCACAAACTTCTTTGTGATGTGTGTCCTCAACTAACAGAGTTGAACCTTTCTTTTGATGCAGCAGTTTGGAAACACTCTTTTTGTAGAAACTGTAACTGGATATTTGGATAGATCTAACGATTTCGTTGGAAACGGGAATATCATCATCTAAAATCTAGACAGAAACACTATTAGAAACTACTTGGTGATATCTGCATTCAAGTCACAGAGTTGAACATTCCCTTACTTCGACCACGTTTGAAACACTCTTTTGGAAGAATCTGGAAGTGGACATTTGGAGCGCTTTGATGCCTTTGGTGAAAAGGAAACGTCTTCCAATAAAAGCCAGACAGAAGCATTCTCAGAAACTTGTTTGTGATGTGTGTACTCAACTAAAAGAGTTGAACCTTTCTATTGATAGAGCAGTTTTGAAACACTCTTTTTGTGGATTCTGCAAGTGGATATTTGGATTGCTTTGAGGATTTCGTTGGAAGCGGGAATTCATATAAAAACTAGACAGCAGCATTCCCAGAAATTTCTTTCGGATATTTCCATTCAACTCATAGAGATGAACATGGCCTTTCATAGAGCAGGTTTGAAACACTCTTTTTGTAGTTTGTGGAAGTGGACATTTCGATCGCCTTGACGCCTACGGTGAAAAAGGAAATATCTTCCCATAAAAAATAGACAGAAGCACTCTCAGAAACTTGTTGGTGATATGTGTCCTCAACTAACAGAGTTGAACTTTGCCATTGATAGAGAGCAGTTTTGAAACACTCTTTTTGTGGAATCTGCAAGTGGATATTTGGATAGCTTGGAGGATTTCGTTGGAAGCGGTAATTCAAATAAAAGGTAGACAGCAGCATTCTCAGAAATTTCTTTCTGATGTCTGCATTCAACTCATAGAGTTGAGCATTCCCTTTCATAGGGCAGGTTTGAAATACTCTTTCTGTAGTATCTGGATGTGGACATTTGGAGCGCTTTGAGGCCTACGAAGAAAAAGTAAATATCTTCCCATAAAAACGAGACAGAAGGATTCTCAGAAACAAGTTTGTGATGTGTGTACTCAGCTAACAGAGTGGAACCTCTCTTCTGATGCAGCAGTTTGGAAACACTCTTTTTGTAGAAACTGTAAGTGGATATTTGGATAGCTCTAATGATTTCGTTGGAAATGGGAATATCATCAACTAAAATCTAGACAGAAGCACTCTCAGAAACTACTTTGTGATATCTGCATTCAGGTCACAGAGTTGAACATTCGCTTTCTTAGAGCACGTTTGAAACACTCTTTTTGTAGTGTCTGGAAGTGGACATTTGGAGCGCTTTGATGCCTTTGGTGAAAAAGGGAATGTCTTCCCATAAAAACTAGACAGAAGCATTCTCAGAAACTTGTTTGTGATGTGTGTACCCAGCCAAAGGAGTTGAACATTTCTATTGATAGAGCAGTTTTGAAACACTCTTGTTGTGGAAAATGCAGGTGGATATTTGGATAGCTTGGAGGATTTCGTTGGAAGCAGGAATTCAAATAAAAGGTAGACAGCAGCATTCTCAGAAATTTCTTTCTGATGTCTGCATTCAACTCATAGAGTTGAAGATTCCCTTTCATAGAGCAGGTTTGAAACACTCTTTCTGGAGTATCTGGATGTGGACATTTGGAGCGCTTTGATGCCTACGGTGGAAAAGGAAATATCTTCCCATAAAAACGAGACAGAAGGATTCTCAGAAACAAGTTTGTGATGTGTGTACTCAGCTAACAGAGTGGAACATTTCTTTTTACAGAGCAGCTTTGAAACTCTATTTTTCTGGATTCTGCAAATTGATATTTAGATTGCTTTAACGATATCGTTGGAAAAGGGAATATCGTCATACAAAATCTAGACAGAAGCATTCTCACAAACTTGTTTGTGATGTGTGTCCTCAACTAACAGAGTTGAACCTTTCTTTTGATGCAGCAATTTGGAAACACCCTTTTGGTAGAAACTGTAACTGGATATTTGGATAGCTCTAACGATTTCGTTGGAAACGGGAATATCATCATCTAAAATGTAGACAGAAGCACTATTAGAAACTACTTGGTGATATCTGCATTCAAGTCACAGAGTTGAACATTCCCTTACTTTGAGCACGTTTGAAACACTCTTTTGGAAGAATCTGGAAGTGGACATTTGGAGCGCTTTGATGCCTTTGGTGAAAAGGAAACGTCTTCCAATAAAAGCCAGACAGAAGCATTCTCAGAAACTTGTTCGTGATGTGTGTACTCAACTAAAAGAGTTGAACCTTTCTATTGATAGCGCAGTTTTGAAACACTCTTTTTGTGGATTCTGCAAGTGGATATTTGGATTGCTTAGAGGATTTCGTTGGAAGCGGGAATTCGTATAAACACTAGACAGCAGCATTCCCAGAAATTTCTTTCGGATATTTCCATTCAACTCATAGAGATGAACATGGCCTTTCATAGAGCAGGTTTGAAACACTCTTTTTGTAGTTTGTGGAAGTGGACATTTCGATCGCCTTGACGCCTACGCTGAAAAAGGAAATATCTTCCCATAAAAAATAGACAGAAGCATTCTCAGAAACTTGTTGGTGATATGTGTCCTCAACTAACAGAGTTGAACTTTGCCATTGATAGAGAGCAGTTTTGAAACACTCTTTTTGTGGAATCTGCAAGTGGATATTTGGATAGCTTGGAGGATTTCGTTGGAAGCGGGAATTCAAATAAAAGGTAGACAGCAGCATTCTCAGAAATTTCTTTCTGATGTCTGCATTCAACTCATAGAGTTGAAGATTCCCTTTCATAGAGCAGGTTTGAAACACTCTTTCTGGAGTATCTGGATGTGGACATTTGGAGCGCTTTGATGCCTACGGTGAAAAAGTAAATATCTTGCCATAAAAACGACACAGAAGGATTCTCAGAAAGAAGTTTGTGATGTGTGTACTCAGCTAACAGAGTGGAACCTCTCTTTTGAAGCAGCAGTTTGGAAACACTCTTTTTGTAGAAACTGTAAGTGGATATTTGGATAGCTCTAATGATTTCGTTGGAAACGGGAATATCATCATCTAAAATCTAGACAGAAAGCCCTCTCAGAAACTACTCTGTGATATCTGCATTCAAGTCACAGAGTTGAACATTCGTTTTCTTAGAGCACGTTTGAAACACTCTTTTTGTAGTGTCTGGAAGTGGACATTTGGAGCGCTTTGATGCCTTTGGTGAAAAAGGGAATGTCTTCCCATAAAAACTAGACAGAAGCATTCGCAGAAACTTGTTTGTGATGTGTGCACCCAGCTAAAGGAGTTGAACATTTATTGATAGAGCAGTTTTGAAGCACTCTTTTTGTGGAAAATGCAAGTGGATATTTGGATAGCTTGGAGGATTTCGTTGGAAGCGGGAGTTCAAATAAAAGGTAGACAGCAGCATTCTCAGAAATTTCTTTCTGATGTCTGCATTCAACTCATAGAGTTGAAGATTCCCTTTCATAGAGCAGGTTTGAAACACTCTTTCTGGAGTATCTGGATGTGGACATTTGGAGCGCTTTGATGCCTACGGTGAAAAAGTAAATATCTTCCCATAATAACGAGACAGAAGGATTCTGAGAAACAAGTTTGTGATGTGTGTACTCAGCTAACAGAGTGGAACCTTTCTTTTTACAGAGCAGCTTTGGAACTCTATTTTTGTGGATTCTGCAAATGGATATTTAGATTGCTTTAATGATATCGCTGGAAAAGGGAATATGGTCATACAAAATCTAGACAGAAGCATTCTCACAAACTTCTTTGTGATGTGTGTCCTCAACTAACAGAGTTGAACTTTTCTTTTGATGCAGCAGTTTGGAAACACTCTTTTTGTAGAAACTGTAAGTGGATATTTGGATAGCTCTAACGATTTCGTTGGAAACGGGAATATCATCATCTAAAATCTAGACAGAAGCACTATTAGAAACTACTTGGTGATATCTGCATTCAAGTCACAGAGTTGAACATTCCCTTACTTTGAGCACGTTTGAAACACTCTTTTGGAAGAATCTGGAAGTGGACATTTGGAGCGCTTTGATGCCTTTGGTGAAAAGGAAACGTCTTCCAATAAAAGCCAGACAGAAGCATTCTGAGAAACTTGTTCGTGATGTGTGTACTCAACTAAAAGAGTTGAACCTTTCTATTGATAGAGCAGTTTTGAAACACTCTTTTTGTGGATTCTGCAAGTGGATATTTGGATTGCTTTGAGGATTTCGTTGGAAGCGGGAATTCGGTATAAACACTAGACAGCAGCATTCCCAGAAATTTCTTTCGGATATTTCCATTCAACTCATAGAGATGAACATGGCCCTTCATAGAGCAGGTTTGAAACACTCTTTTTGTAGTTTGTGGAAGTGGACATTTCGATCGCCTTGACGCCTACGGTGAAAAAGGAAATATCTTCCCATAAACAATAGACAGAAGCATTCTCAGAAACTTGTTGGTGATATGTGTCCTCAACTAACAGAGTTGAACTTTGCCATTGATAGAGAGCAGTTTTGAAACACTCTTTTTGTGGAATCTGCAAGTGGATATTTGGATAGCTTGGAGGATTTCGTTGGAAGCGGGAATTCAAATTAAAGGTAGACAGCAGCATTCTCAGAAATTTTTTCTGATGTCTGCATTCAACTCATAGAGTTGAAGATTCCCTTTCATAGAGCAGGTTTGAAACACTCTTTCTGGAGTATCTGGATGTGGACATTTGGAGCGCTTTGATGCCTACGGTGAAAAAGTAAATATCTTCCCATAAAAACGAGACAGAAGGATTCTGAGAAACAAGTTTGTGATGTGTGTACTCAGCTAACAGAGTGGAACCTCTCTTTTGATGCAGCAGTTTGGAAACACTCTTTTTGTAGAAACTGTAAGTGGATATTTGGATAGCTCTAATGATTTTGTTGGAAACGGGATTATCATCATCTAAAATCTAGACAGAAGCACTCTCAGAAACTACTTTGTGATATCTGCATTCAAGTCACAGAGTTGAACATTCGCTTTCTTAGAGCACGTTGGAAACACTCTTTTTGTAGTGTCTGGAAGTGGACATTTGGAGCGCTTTGATGTCTTTGGTGAAAAAGGGAATGTCTTCCCATAAAAACTAGACAGAAGCATTCTCAGAAACTTGTTTGTGATGTGTGTACCCAGCTAAAGGAGTTGAACATTTCTATTGATAGAGCAGTTTTGAAACACTCTTTTTGTGGAAAATGCAAGTGAATATTTGGATAGCTTGGAGGATTTCGTTGGAAGAGGGAATTCAAATAAAAGGTAGACAGCCAGCATTCTCAGAAATTTCTTTCTGATGTCTGCATTCAACTCATAGAGTTGAAGATTCCCTTTCATAGAGCAGGTTTGAAACACTCTTTCTGGAGTATCTGGATGTGGACATTTGGAGCGCTTTGATGCCTACGGTGGAAAAGTAAATATCTTCCCATAAAAACGAGACAGAGGATTCTGAGAAACAAGTTTGTAATGTGTGTACTCAGCTAACAGAGTGGAACCTTTCTTTTTACAGAGCAGCTTTGAAACTCTATTTTTGTGGATTCTGCAAATTGATATTTAGATTGCTTTAACGATATCGTTGGAAAAGGGAATATCGTCATACAAAATCTAGACAGAAGCATTCTCACAAACTTCTTTGTGATGTGTGTCCTCAACTAACAGAGTTGAACCTTTCTTTTGATGCAGCAATTTGGAAACACCCTTTTGGTAGAAACTGTAACTGGATATTTGGATAGCTCTAACGATTTCGTTGGAAACGGGAATATCATCATCTAATATCTAGACAGAAGCACTATTAGAAACTACTTGGTGATATCTGCATTCAAGTCACAGAGTTGAACATTCCCTTACTTTGAGCACGTTTGAAACACTCTTTTGGAAGAATCTGGAAGTGGACATTTGGAGCGCTTTGATGCCTTTGGTGAAAAGGAAACGTCTTCCAATAAAAGCCAGACAGAAGCATTCTCAGAAACTTGTTCGTGATGTGTGTACTCAACTAAAAGAGTTGAACCTTTCTATTGATAGAGCAGTTTTGAAACACTCTTTTTGTCGATTCTGCAAGTGGATATTTGGATTGTTTGAGGATTTCGTTGGAAGCGGGAATTCGTATAAAAACTAGACAGCAGCATTCCCAGAAATTTCTTTCGGATATTTCCATTCAACTCATAGAGATGAACATGGCCTTTCATAGAGCAGGTTTGAAACACTCTTTTTGTAGTTTGTGGAAGTGGACATTTCGATCGCCTTGACGCCTACGGTGAAAAAGGAAATATCTTCCCATAAAAAATAGACAGAAGCATTCTCAGAAACTTGTTGGTGATATGTGTCCTCAACTAACAGAGTTGAACTTTGCCATTGATAGAGAGCAGTTTTGAAACACTCTTTTTCCGGAATCTGCAAGTGGATATTTGGATAGCTTGGAGGATTTCGTTGGAAGCGGGAATTCAAATAAAAGGTAGACAGCAGCATTCTCAGAAATTTCTTTCTGATGTCTGCATTCAACTCATAGAGTTGAACATTCCCTTTCATAGGGCAGGTTTGAAATACTCTTTCTGTAGTATCTGGATGTGGACATTTGGAGCGCTTTGATGCCTACGGTGAAAAAGTAAATATCTTCCCATAAAAACGAGACAGAAGGATTCTCAGAAACAAGTTTGTGATGTGTGTACTCAGCTAACAGAGTGGAACCACTCTTTTGATGTCAGCAGTTTGGAAACACTCTTTTTGTAGAAACTGTAAGTGGATATTTGGATAGCTCTAATGATTTCGTTGGAAACGGGAATATCATCATGTAAAATCTAGACAGAAGCCCTCTCAGAAACTACTTTGTGATATCTGCATTCAAGTCACAGAGTTGAACATTCGCTTTCTTAGAGCACGTTGGAAACACTCTTTTTGTAGTGCCTGGAAGTGGACATTTGGAGCGCTTTGATGCCTTTGGTGAAAAAGGGAACGTCTTCCCATAAAAACTAGACAGAAGCATTCTCAGAAACTTGTTTGTGATGTGTGTACCCAGCTAAAGGAGTTGAACATTTCTATTGATAGAGCAGTTTTGAAAAACTCTTTTTGTGGAAAATGCAAGTGGATATTTGGATAGCTTGGAGGATTTCGTTGGAATCGGGAATTCAAATAAAAGGTAGACAGCAGCATTCTCAGAAATTACTTTCTGATGTCTGCATTCAACTCATAGAGTTGAAGATTCCCTTTCATAGAGCAGGTTTGAAACACTCTTTCTGTAGTATCTGGATGTGGACATTTGGAGCGCTTTGATACCTACGGTGAAAAAGTAAATATCTTCCCATAAAAACTAGACAGAAGGATTCTCAGAAACAAGTTTGTGATGTGTGTACTCAGCTAACAGAGTGGAACCTCTCTTTTGATGCAGCAGTTTGGAAACACTCTTTTTGTAGAAACTGTAAGTGGATATTTGGATAGCTCTAATGATTTCGTTGGAAACGGGAATATCATCATCTAAAATACTAGACAGAAGCCCTCTCAAAAACTACTTTGTGATATCTGCATTCAAGTCACAGAGTTGAACATTCGCTTTCTTAGAGCACGTTTGAAACACTCTTTTTGTAGTGTCTGGAAGTGGACATTTGGAGCGCTTTGATGCCTTTGGTGAAAAAGGGAATGTCTTCCCATAAAAACTAGACAGAAGCATTCTCAGAAACTTGTTTGTGATGTGTGTACCTAGCTAAAGGAGTTGAACATTTCTATTGATAGAGCAGTTTTGAAACACTCTTTTTGTGGAAAATGCAGGTGGATATTTGGATAGGTTGGAAGATTTCGTTGGAAGCGGGAATTCAAATAAATGGTAGACAGCAGCATTCTCAGAAATTTCTTTCTGATGTCTGCATTCAACTCATAGAGTTGAAGATTCCCTTTCATAGAGCAGGTTTGAAACACTCTTTCTGGAGTATCTGGATGTGGACATTTGGAGCGCTTTGATGCCTACGGTGGAAAAGTAAATATACTTCCCATAAAAACGAGACAGAAGGATTCTGAGAAACAAGTTTGTGATGTGTGTACTCAGCTAACAGAAGTGGAACCTTTCTTTTTACAGAGCAGCTTTGAAACTCTATTTTTGTGGATTCTGCAAATGGATATTTAGATTGCTTTAACGATATCGTTGGAAAAGGGAATATCGTCATACAAAATCTAGACAGAAGGATTCTCACAAACTTCTTTGTGATGTGTGTCCTCAACTAACAGAGTTGAACCTTTCTTTTGATGCAGCAGTTTGGAAACACTCTTTTTGTAGAAACTGTAAGTGGATATTTGGATAGCTCTAACGATTTCGTTGGAAACGGGAATATCATCCTGTAAAATCTGGACAGAAGCACTATTAGAAACTACTTGGTGATATCTGCATTCATGTCACAGAGTTGAACATTCCCTTACTTTGAGCACGTTTCAAACACTCTTTTGGAAGAATCTGGAAGTGGACATTTGGAGCGCTTTGATGCCTTTGGTGAAAAGGAAACGTCTTCCAATAAAAGCCAGACAGAAGCATTCTCAGAAACTTGTTTGTGATGTGTGTACTCAACTAAAAGAGTTGAACCTTTCTATTGATAGAGCAGTTTTGAAACACTCTTTTTGTGGATTCTGCAAGTGGATATTTGGATTGCTTTGAGGATTTCGTTGGAAGCGGGAATTCGTATAAAAACTAGACAGCAGCATTCCCAGAAATTTCTTTCGGATATTTCCATTCGACTCATAGAGATGAACATGGCCTTTCATAGAGCAGGTTTGAAACACTCTTTTTGTAGTTTGTGGAAGTGGACATTTCGATCGCCTTGATGCCTACGGTGAAAAAGGAAATATCTTCCCATAAAAAATAGACAGAAGCATTCTCAGAAACTTGTTGGTGATATGTGTCCTCAACTAACAGAGTTGAACTTTGCCATTGATAGAGAGCAGTTTTGAAACACTCTTTTTGTGGAATCTGCAAGTGGATATTTGGATAGCTTGGAGGATTTCGTTGGAAGCGGGAATTCAAATAAAAGGTAGACAGCAGGATTCTCAGAAACAAGTTTGTGATGTGTGTACTCAGCTAACAGAGTGGATCCTTTCTTTTTACAGAGCAGCTTTGAAACTCTATTTCTGTGGATTCTGCAAATTGATATTTGGGTTGATTTAACGATATCGATGGAAAAGGGAATATCTTCATACAAAATCTAGACAGAAGCTTTCTCAGAAACTTCTTTGTGATGTGTGTCCTCAACTCACAGAGTTGAACCTTTCTTTAGATGCAGCAGTTTGGAAACACTCTTTTTGTAGAAACTGTAAGTGGATATTTGGGTAGGTCTAACGATATCGTTGGAAACGAGAATACCTTCATCTAAAGTATACACAGAATCAGTCTCAGAAACTACTTTGTGATATCTGCATTCCAGTCACAGAGTTGAAAACTCCCTTACTTAGAGCAGGTTTGAAACACTCTTTTTGTAGAATCTGGAAGTGGACATTTGGAGCGCTTTGATGCCTTTGGTTAAAAAGGAAATGTCTTCCCTTAAGAAGTAGACAGAAGCATTCTCAGAAACATGTTTGTGATGTGTGTACCCAGCTAAAGGAGTTGAACATTTCTATTGATAGAGCAGTTTTGAAACACTCTTTTTGTGGAAAATGCAAGTGGATATTTGGATAGCTTGGAGGATTTCGTTGGAAGCGGGAATTCAAATAAAAGGTAGACAGCAGCATTCTCAGAAATTTCTTTCTGATGTCTGCATTAAACTCATAGAGTTGAAGATTCCCTTTCATAGAGCAGGTTTGAAACACTCTTTCTGGAGTATCTGGATGTGGACATTTGGAGCGCTTTGATGCCTACGGTGAAAAAGTAAATATCTTCCCATAAAAACGAGACATAAGGATTCTGAGAAACAAGTTTGTGATGTGTGTACTCAGCTAACGGAGTGGAACCTCTCTTTTGATGCAGCAGTTTGGAAACACTCTTTTTGTAGAAACTGTAAGTGGATATTTGGATAGCTCTAATGATTTCGTTGGAAACGGGAATATCATCATCTAAAATCTAGACAGAAGCACTCTCAGAAACTACTGTGTGATATCTGCATTCAAGTCACAGAGTTGAACATTCGCTTTCTTAGAGCACGTTTGAAACACTCTTTTTGTAGTGTCTGGAAGTGGACATTTGGAGCGCTTTGATTCCTTTGGTGAAAAAGGGAATGTCTACCCATAAAAACTAGACAGAAGCATTGTCAGAAACTTGTTTGTGATGTGTGTACCCAGCCAAAGGAGTTGAACATTTCTATTGATAGAGCAGGTTTGAAACACTCTTTTTGTGGAAAATGCAGGTGGATATTTGGATAGCTTGGAGGATTTCGTTGGAAGCGGGAATTCAAATAAAAGGTAGACAGCAGCATTCTCAGAAATTTCTTTCTGATGTCTGCATTCAACTCATAGAGTTGAAGATTCCCTTTCATGGAGCAGGTTTGAAACAGTCTTTCTGGAGTATCTGGATGTGGACATTTGGAGCGCTTTGATGCCTACGGTGAAAAAGTAAATATCTTCCCATAAAAACGAGACAGAAGGATTCTGAGAAACAAGTTTGTGATGTGTGTACTCAGCTAACAGAGTGGAACCTCTCTTTTGATGCAGCAGTTTGGAAACACTCTTTTTGTAGAAACTGTAAGTGGATATTTGGATAGCTCTAATGATTTCGTTGGAAACGGGAATATCATCATCTAAAATCTAGACAGAAGCCCTCTCAGAAACTACTTTGTGATATCTGCATTCAAGTCACAGAGTTGAACCTTCGCTTTCTTAGAGCACGTTTGAAACACTCTTTTTGTAGTGTCTGGAAGTGGACATTTGGAGCGCTTTGATGCCTTTGGTGAAAAAGGGAATGTCTTCCCATAAAAACTAGACAGAAGCATTCTCAGAAACTTGTTTGTGATGTGTGTACCCAGCTAAAGGAGATGAACATTTCTATTGATAGAGCAGTTTTGAAACACTCTTTTTGTGGAAAATGCAAGTGGATATTTGGATAGCTTGGAGGATTTCGTTGGAAGCGGGAATTCAAATAAAAGGTAGACAGCAGCATTCTCAGAAATTTCTTTCTGATGTCTGCATTCAACTCATAGAGTTGAAGATTCCCTTTCATAGGGCAGGTTTGAAACACTCTTTCTGGAGTATCTGGATGTGCACATTTGGAGCGCTTTGATGCCTACGGTGGAAAAGTAAATATCTTCCCATAAAAACGAGACAGAAGGATTCTCAGAAACAAGTTTGTGATGTGTGTACTCAGCTAACAGAGTGGAACCTTTCTTTTTACAGAGCAGCTTTGAAACTCTAGTTTTGTGGATTCTGCAAATTGATATTTAGATTGCTTTAACGATATCGTTGGAAAAGGGAATATCGTCATACAAAATCTAGACAGAAGCATTCTCACAAACTTCTTTGTGATGTGTGTCCTCAACTAACAGAGTTGAACCTTTCTTTTGTTGCAGCAATTTGGAAACACCCTTTTGGTAGAAACTGTAACTGGATATTTGGATAGCTCTAACGATTTCGTTGGAAAAGGGAATATCATCATCTAAAATGTAGACAGAAGCCCTCTCAGAAACTACTTTGTGATATCTGCATTCAAGTCACAGAGTTGAACATTCGCTTTCTTAGAGCACGTTTGAAACACTCTTTTGGAAGAATCTGGAAGTGGACATTTGGAGCGCTTTGATGCCTTTGGTGAAAAGGAAACGTCTTCCAATAAAAGCCAGACAGAAGCATTCTCAGAAACTTGTTTGTGATGTGTGTACTCAACTAAAAGAGTTGAACCTTTCTATTGATAGCGCAGTTTTGAAACACTCTTTTTGTGGATTCTGCAAGTGGATATTTGGATTGCTTTGAGGATTTCGTTGGAAGCGGGAATTCATATAAAAACTAGACAGCAGCATTCCCAGAAATTTCTTTCGGATATTTCCATTCAACTCATAGAGATGAACATCGCCTTTCATAGAGCAGGTTTGAAACACTCTTTTTGTAGTTTGTGGAAGTGGACATTTCGATCGCCTTGACGCCTACGGTGAAAAAGGAAATATCTTCCCATAAAAAATAGACAGAAGCATTCTCAGAAACTTGTTGGTGATATGTGTCCTCAACTAACAGAGTTGAACTTTGCCATTGATAGAGAGCAGTTTTGAAACACTCTTTTTGTGGAATCTGCAAGTGGATATTTGGATAGCTTGGAGGATTTCGTTGGAAGCGGGAATTCAAATAAAAGGTAGACAGCAGCATTCTCAGAAATTTCTTTCTGATGTCTGCATTCAACTCATAGAGTTGAAGATTCCCTTTCATAGAGCAGGTTTGAAAGACTCTTTCTGGAGTATCTGGATGTGGACATTTGGAGCGCTTTGATGCCTACGGTGGAAAAGTAAATATCTTCCCATAAAAACGAGACAGAAGGATTCTCAGAAACAAGTTTGTGATGTGTGTACTCAGCTAACAGAGTGGAACCTTTCTTTTTACAGAGCAGCTTTGAAACTCTATTGTTGTGGATTCTGCAAATTGATATTTAGATTGCTTTAACGATATCGTTGGAAAAGGGAATACCGTCATACAAAATCTGGACAGAAGCACTCTCACAAACTTCTTTGTGATGTGTGTCCTCAACTAACAGAGTTGAACCTTTCTTTTGATGCAGCAATTTGGAAACACCCTTTTGGTAGAAACTGTAACTGGATATTTGGATAGCTCTAACGATTTCGTTGGAAACGGGAATATCATCATCTAAAATCTAGACAGAAGCACTATTAGAAACTACTTAGTGATATCTGCATTCAAGTCACAGAGTTGAACATTCCCTTACTTTGAGCACGTTTGAAACACTCTTTTGGAAGAATCTGGAAGTGGACATTTGGAGCGCTTTGATGCCTTGTGTGAAAAGGAAACGTCTTCCAATAAAAGCCAGACAGAAGCATTCTCAGAAACTTGTTTGTGATGTGTGTACTCAACTAAAAGAGTTGAACCTTTCTATTGATAGAGCAGTTTTGAAACACTCTTTTTGTGGATTCTGCAAGTGGATATTTGGATTGCTTTGAGGATTTCGTTGGAAGCGGGAATTCGTATAAAAACTAGACAGCAGCATTCCCAGAAATTTCTTTCGGATATTTCCATTCAACTCATAGAGATGAACATGGCCTTTCATAGAGCATGTTTGAAACACTCTTTTTGTAGTTTGTGGAAGTGGACATTTCGATCGCCTTGACGCCTACGGTGAAAAAGGAAATATCTTCCCATAAAAAATAGACAGAAGCATTCTCAGAAACTTGTTGGTGATATGTGTCCTCAACTAACAGAGTTGAACTTTGCCATTGATAGAGAGCAGTTTTGAAACACTCTTTTTGTGGAATCTGCAAGTGGATATTTGGATAGCTTGGAGGATTTCGTTGGAAGCGGGAATTCAAATAAAAGGTAGACAGCAGCATTCTCAGAAATTTCTTTCTGATGTCTGCATTCAACTCATAGAGTTGAAGATTCCCTTTCATAGAGCAGGTTTGAAACACTCTTTCTGGAGTATCTGGATGTGGACATTTGGAGCGCTTTGATGCCCACGGTGAAAAAGTAAATATCTTCCCAGAAAAACGAGACAGAAGGATTCTGAGAAACAAGTTTGTGATGTGTGTACTCAGCTAACAGAGTGGAACCTTTCTTTTTACAGAGCAGCTTTGAAACTCTATTTTTGTGGATTCTGCAAATGGATACTTAGATTGCTTTAACGATATCGTTGGAAAAGGGAATATCGTCATACAAAATCTAGACAGAAGCATTCTCACAAACAGCTTTGTGACGTGTGTCCTCAACTAACAGAGTTGAACTTTTCTTTTGATGCAGCAGTTTGGAAACACCCTTTTGGTAGAAACTGTAAGTGGATATTTGGATAGCTCTAACGATTTCGTTGGAAACGGGAATATCATCATCTAAAATCTAGACAGAAGCACTATTAGAAACTACTTGGTGATATCTGCATTCAAGTCACAGAGTTGAACATTCCCTTACTTCGACCACGTTTGAAACACTCTTTTGGAAGAATCTGGAAGTGGACATTTGGAGCGCTTTGATGCCTTTGTTGAAAAGGAAACGTCTTCCAATAAAAGCCAGACAGAAGCATTCTCAGAAACTTGTTTGTGATGTGTGTACTCAACTAAAAGAGTTGAACCTTTCTATTGATAGAGCAGTTTTGAAACACTCTTTTTGTGGATTCTGCAAGTGGATATTTGGATTGCTTTGAGGATTTCGTTGGAAGCGGGAATTCGTATAAAAACTAGACAGCAGCATTCCCAGAAATTTCTTTCGGATATTTCCATTCGACTCATAGAGATGAACATGGCCTTTCATAGAGCAGGTTTGAAACACTCTTTTTGTAGTTTGTGGAAGTGGACATTTCGATCGCCTTGACGCCTACGGTGAAAAAGGAAATATCTTCCCATAAAAAATAGACAGAAGCATTCTCAGAAACTTGTTGGTGATATGTGTCCTCAACTAACAGAGATGAACTTTGCCATTGATAGAGAGCAGTTTTGAAACACTCTTTTTGTGGAATCTGCAAGTGGATATTTGGATAGCTTGGAGGATTTCGTTGGAAGCGGGAATTCAAATAAAAGGTAGACAGCAGGTTTCTCAGAAACAAGTTTGTGATGTGTGTACTCAGCTAACAGAGTGGAACCTTTCTTTTTAAAGAGCAGCTTTGAAACTCTATTTTTGTGGATTCTGCAAATTGATATTTAGATTGCTTTAACGATATCGTTGGAAAAGGGAATATCGTCATACAAAATCTAGACAGAAGCATTCTCACAAACTTCTTTGTGATGTGTGTCCTCAACTAACAGAGTTGAAACTTTCTTTTGATGCAGCAATTTGGAAACAGCCTTTTGGTAGAAACTGTAACTGGATATTTGGATAGCTCTAGCGATTTCGTTGGAAACGGGAATATCATCATCTAAAATCTAGACAGAAGCACTATTAGAAATTACTTGGTGATATCTGCATTCAAGTCACAGAGTTGAACATTCCCTTACTTTGAGCACGTTTCAAACACTCTTTTGGAAGAATCTGGAAGTGGACATTTGGAGCGCTTTGATGCCTTTGGTGAAAAGGAAACGTCTTCCAATAAAAGCCAGACAGAAGCATTCTCAGAAACTTGTTTGTGATGTGTGTACTCAACTAAAAGAGTTGAACCTTTCTATTGATAGAGCAGTTTTGAAACACTCTTTTTGTGGATTCTGCAAGTGGATATTTGGATTGCTTTGAGGATTTCGTTGGAAGCGGGAATTCGTATAAAAACTAGACAGCAGCATTCCCAGAAATTTCTTTCGGATATTTCCATTCGACTCATAGAGATGAACATGGCCTTTCATAGAGCAGGTTTGAAACACTCTTTTTGTAGTTTGTGGAAGTGGACATTTCGATCGCCTTGACGCCTACGGTGAAAAAGGAAATATCTTCCCATAAAAAATAGACAGAAGCATTCTCAGAAACTTGTTGGTGATATGTGTCCTCAACTAACAGAGTTGAACTTTGCCATTGATAGAGAGCAGTTTTGAAACACTCTTTTTGTGGAATCTGCAAGTGGATATTTGGATAGCTTGGAGGATTTCGTTGGAAGCGGGAATTCAAATAAAAGGTAGACAGCAGCATTCTCAGAAATTTCTTTCTGATGTCTGCATTCAACTCATAGAGTTGAAGATTCTCTTTCATAGAGCAGGTTTGAAACACTCTTTCTGGAGTATCTGGATGTGGACATTTGGAGCGCTTTGATGCCTACGGTGAAAAAGTAAATATCTTCCCAGAAAAACGAGACAGAAGGATTCTCAGAAACACGTTTGTGATGTGTGTACTCAGCTAACAGAGTGGAACCTTTCTTTTTACAGAGCAGCTTTGAAACTCTATTTTTGTGGATTCTGCAAATTGATATTTAGATTGCTTTAACGATATCGTTGGAAAAGGGAATATCGTCATACAAAATCTGGACAGAAGCATTCTCACAAACTTCTTTGTGATGTGTGTCCTCAACTAACAGAGTTGAACCTTTCTTTTGATGCAGCAGTTTGGAAACACTGTTTTTGTAGCAACTGTAAGTGGATATTTGGATAGCTCTAACGATTTCGTTGGAAACGGGAATATCATCATCTAAAATCTAGACAGAAAGCACTATTAGCAAACTACTTGGTGATATCTGCATTCAAGTCACAGAGTTGAACATTCCCTTACTTTGAGCACGTTTCAAACACTCTTTTGGAAGAATCTGGAAGTGGACATTTGGAGCGCTTTGATGCCTTTGGTGAAAAGGAAACGTCTTCCAATAAAAGCCAGACAGAAAGCATTCTCAGAAACTTGTTTGTGATGTGTGTACTCAACTAAAAGAGTTGAACCTTTCTATTGATAGAGCAGTTTTGAAACACTCTTTTTGTGGATTCTGCAAGTGGATATTTGGATTGCTTTGAGGATTTCGTTGGAAGCGGGAATTCGTATAAAAACTAGACAGCAGCATTCCCAGAAATTTCTTTCGGATATTTCCATTCGACTCATAGAGATGAACATGGCCTTTCATAGAGCAGGTTTGAAACACTCTTTTTGTAGTTTGTGGAAGTGGACATTTCGATCGCCTTGACGCCTACGGTGAAAAAGGAAATATCTTCCCATAAAAAATAGACAGAAGCATTCTCAGAAACTTGTTGGTGATATGTGTCCTCAACTAACAGAGTTGAACTTTGCCATTGATAGAGAGCAGTTTTGAAACACTCTTTTTGTGGAATCTGCAAGTGGATATTTGGATAGCTTGGAGGATTTCGTTGGAAGCGGGATTTCAAATAAAAGGTAGACAGCAGCATTCTCAGAAATTTCTTTCTGATGTCTGCATTCAACTCATAGAGTTGAAGATTCCCTTTCATAGAGCAGGTTTGAAACACTCTTTCTGGAGTATCTGGATGTGGACATTTGGAGCGCTTTGATGCCTACGGTGAAAAAGTAAATATCTTCCCATAAAAACGACACAGAAGGATTCTCAGAAACAAGTTTGTGATGTGTGTACTCAGCTAACAGAGTGGAACCTCTCTTTTGATGCAGCAGTTTGGAAACACTCTTTTTGTAGAAACTGTAAGTGGATATTTGGATAGCTCTAATGATTTCGTTGGAAACGGGAATATCATCATCTAAAATCTAGACAGAAGGACTCTCAGAAACTACTTTTTGATATCTGCATTCAAGTCACAGAGTTGAACATTCGCTTTCTTAGAGCACTTTTGAAACACTCTATTTGTCGTATCTGGAAGTGGACATTTGGAGCTCTTTGATGCCTTTGGTGAAAAAGGAAATGTCTTCCCATAAAAACTAGACAGAAGCATTCTCAGAAACTTGTTTGTGATGTGTGTACCCAGCTAAAGGAGCTGAACATTTCTATTGATAGAGCAGTTTTGAAACACTCTTTTTGTGGAAAATGCAAGTGGATATTTGGATAGCTTGGAGGATTTCGTTGGAAGCGTGAATTCAAATAAAAGGTAGACAGCAGCATTCTCAGAAATTTCTTTCTGATGTCTCCATTCAACTCATAGAGTTGAAGATTCCCTTTCATAGAGCAGGTTTGAAACACTCTTTCTGGAGTATCTGGATGTGGACATTTGGAGCGCTTTGATGCCTACGGTGAAAAAGTAAATATCTTCCCATAAAAACGAGACAGAAGGATTCTCAGAAACAAGTTTGTGATGTGTGTACTCAGCTAACAGAGTGGAACCTTTCTTTTTACAGAGCAGCTTTGAAACTCTATTTTTGTGGATTCTGCAAATTGATATTTAGATTGCTTTAACGATATCGTTGGAAAAGGGAATATCGTCATACAAAATCTGGACTGAAGCATTCTCACAAACTTCTTTGTGATGTGTGTCCTCAACTAACAGAGTTGAACTTTTCTTTTGATTCAGCAGTTTGGAAACACTGTTTTTGTAGAAACTGTAAGTGGATATTTGGATAGCTCTAACGATTTCGTTGGAAACGGGAATATCATCATCTAAAATCTAGACAGAAGCACTATTAGAAACTACTTGGTGATATCTGCATTCAAGTCACAGTGTTGAACATTCCCTTACTTTGAGCACGTTTGAAACACTCTTTTGGAAGAATCTGGAAGTGGACATTTGGAACGTTTTGATGCCTTTGGTGAAAAGGAAACGTCTTCCAATAAAAGCCAGACAGAAGCATTCTCAGAAACTTGTTTGTGATGTGTGTACTCAACTAAAAGAGTTGAACCTTTCTATTGATAGAGCAGTTTTGAAACACTCTTTTTGTGGATTCTGCAAGTGGATATTTGGATTGCTTTGAGGATTTCGTTGGAAGTGGGAATTCGCATAAAAACTAGACAGCAGCATTCCCAGAAATTTCTTTCGGATATTTCCATTCGACTCATAGAGATGAACATGGCCTTTCATAGAGCAGGTTTGAAACACTCTTTTTGTAGTTTGTGGAAGTGGACATTTCGATCGCCTTGACGCCTACGGTGAAAAAGGAAATATCTTCCCATAAAAAATAGACAGAAGCATTCTCACAAACTTGTTGGTGATATGTGTCCTCAACTAACAGAGTTGAACTTTGCCATTGATAGAGAGCAGTTTTGAAACACTCTTTTTGTGGAATCTGCAAGTGGATATTTGGATAGCTTGGAGGATTTCGTTGGAAGCGGGAATTCAAATAAAAGGTAGACAGCAGCATTCTCAGAAATTTCTTTCTGATGTCTGCATTCAACTCATAGAGTTGAAGATTCCCTTTCATAGAGCAGGTTTGAAACACTCTTTCTGGAGTATCTGGATGTGGACATTTGGAGCGCTTTGATGCTTACGGTGAAAAAGTATAATCTTCCCATAAAAACGAGACAGAAGGATTCTGAGAAACAAGTTTGTGATGTGTGTACTCAGCTAACAGATTGGAACCTCTCTTTTGATGCAGCAGTTTGGAAACACTCGTTTTGTAGAAACTGTAAGTGCATATTTGGATAGCTCTAATGATTTCGTTGGAAACGGGAATATCATCATCTAAAATCTAGACAGAAGCACTCTCAGAAACTACTTTGTGATATCTGCATTCAAGTCACAGAGTTGAACATTCGCTTTCTTAGAGCACGTTTGAAACACTCTTTTTGTAGTGTCTGGAAGTGGACATTTGGAGCGCTTTGTTTCCTTTGGTGAAAAAGGGAATGTCTACCCATAAAAACTAGACAGAAGCATTCTCAGAAACTTGTTTGTGATGTGTGTACCCAGCCAAAGGAGTTGAACATTTCTATTGATAGAGCAGTTTTGAAACACTCTTTTTGTGTAAAATGCAGGTGGATATTTGGATAGCTTGGAGGATTTCGTTGGAAGCGGGAATTCAAATAAAAGGTAGACAGCAGCATTCTCAGAAATTTCTTTCTGATGTCTGCATTCAACTCATAGAGTTGAAGATTCCCTTTCATAGAGCAGGTTTGAAACACTTGTTCTGGAGTATCTGGATGTGGACATTTGGAGCGCTTTGATGCCTACGGTGGAAAAGTAAATATCTTCCCATAAAAACGAGACAGAAGGATTCTCAGAATCAAGTTTGTGATGTGTGTACTCAGCTAACAGAGTGGAACCTTTCTTTTTACAGAGCAGCTTTGAAACTCTATTTTTGTGGATTCTGCAAATTGATATTTAGATTGCTTTAACGATATCGTTGGAAAAGGGAATATCGTCATACAAAATCTAGACAGAAGCATTCTCACAAACTTCTTTGTGATGTGTGTCCTCAACTAACAGAGTTGAACCTTTCTTTTGATGCAGCAGTTTGGAAACACCCTTTTGGTAGAAACTGTAAGTGGATATTTGGATAGCTCTAACGATTTCGTTGGAAACGGTAATATCATAATCTAAAATCTAGACAGAAGCACTATTAGAAACTACTTGGTGATATCTGCATTCAAGTCACAGAGTTGAACATTCCCTTACTTTGAGCACGTTTGAAACACTCTTTTGGAAGAATCTGGAAGTGGACATTTGGAGCGCTTTGATGCCTTTGGTGAAAAGGAAACATCTTCCAATAAAAGCCAGACAGAAGCATTCTCAGAAACTTGTTTGTGATGTGTGTACTCAACTAAAAGAGTTGAACCTTTCTATTGATAGAGCAGTTTTGAAACACTCTTTTTGTGGATTCTGCAAGTGGATATTTGGATTGCTTTGAGGATTTCGTTGGAAGCGGGAATTCGTATAAAAACTAGACAGCAGCATTCCCAGAAATTTCTTTCGGATATTTCCATTCGACTCATAGAGATGAACATGGCCTTTCATAGAGCAGGTTTGAAACACTCTTTTTGTAGTTTGTGGAAGTGGACATTTCGATCGCCTTGACGCCTACGGTGAAAAAGGAAATATCTTCCCATAAAAAATAGACAGAAGCATTCTCAGAAACTTGTTGGTGATATGTGTCCTCAACTAACAGAGTTGAACTTTGCCATTGATAGAGAGCAGTTTTGAAACACTCTTTTTGTGGAATCTGCAAGTGGATATTTGGATAGCTTGGAGGATTTCGTTGGAAGCGGGAATTCAAATAAAAGGTAGACAGCAGCATTCTCAGAAATTTCTTTCTGATGTCTGCATTCAACTCATAGAGTTGAACATTCCCTTTCATAGAGCAGGTTTGAAACACTCTTTCTGGAGTATCTGGATGTGGACATTTGGAGCGCTTTGATGCCTACGGCGAAAAAGTATAATCTTCCCATAAAAACGAGACAGAAGCTTTCTCAGAAAATTCTTTGTGATGTGTGTCCTCAACTAACAGAGTTGAACCTTTCTTTAGATGCAGCAGTTTGGAAACACTCTTTTTGTAGAAACTGTAAGTGGATATTTGGATAGGTCTAACGATATCGTTGGAAACGGGAATATCTTCATCTAAAGTATACACAGAAGCAGTCTCAGAAACTACATTGTGATATCTGCATTCCAGTCACAGAGTTGAAAACTCCCTTACTTAGAGCAGGTTTGAAACACTCTTTTTGTAGAATCTGGAAGTGGACATTTGGAACGCTTTGATGCCTTTGGTGAAAAAGGAAATGTCTTCCCTTAAAAAGTAGACAGAAGCATTCTCAGAAACTTGTTTGTGATGTGTGTACCCAGCCAAAGGAGTTGAACATTTCTATTGATAGAGCAGTTTTGAAACACTCTTGTTGTGGAAATTGCAGGTGGATATTTGGATAGCTTGGAGGATTTCGTTGGAAGCGGGAATTCAAATAAAAGGTAGACAGCAGCATTCTCAGAAATTTCTTTCTGATGTCTGCATTCAACTCATAGAGTTGAAGATTCCCTTTCATAGAGCAGGTTTGAAACACTCTTTCTGGAGTATCTGGATGTGGACATTTGGAGCGCTTTGATGCCTATGGTGAAAAAGTAAATATCTTCCCAGAAAAACGAGACAGAAGGATTCTCTGAAACAAGTTTGTGATGTGTGTACTCAGCTAACTGAGTGGAACCTTTCTTTTTACAGAGCAGCTTTGAAACTCTATTTTTGTGGATTCTGCAAATTGATATTTAGATTGCTTTAACGATATCGTTGGAAAAGGGAATATCGTCATACAAAATCTGGACAGAAGCATTCTCACAAACTTCTTTGTGATGTGTGTCCTCAACTAACAGAGTTGAACCTTTCTTTTGATGCAGCAGTTTGGAAACACTCTTTTTGTAGAAACTGTAAGTGGATATTTGGATAGCTCTAACGATTTCGCTGGAAACGGGAATATCGTCATCTAAAATCTAGACAGAAGCACTATTACAAACTACTTGGTGATATCTGCATTCAAGTCACAGAGTTGAACATTCCCTTACTTTGAGCACGTTTGAAACACTCTTTTGGAAGAATCTGGAAGTGGACATTTGGAGCGCTTTGATACCTTTGTTGAAAAGGAAACGTCTTCCAATAAAAGCCAGACAGAAGCATTCTCAGAAACTTGTTTGTGATGTGTGTACTCAACTAAAAGAGTTGAACCTTTCTATTGATAGAGCAGTTTTGAAACACTCTTTTTGTGGATTCTGCAAGTGGATATTTGGATTGCTTTGAGGATTTCGTTGGAAGCGGGAATTCGTATAAAAACTAGACAGCAGCATTCCCAGAAATTTCTTTCGGATATTTCCATTCGACTCATAGACATGAACATGGCCTTTCATAGAGCAGGTTTGAAACACTCTTTTTGTAGTTTGTGGAAGTGGACATTTCGATCGCCTTGACGCCTACGGTGAAAAAGGAAATATCTTCCCATAAAAAATAGACAGAAGCATTCTCAGAAACTTGTTGGTGATATGTGTCCTCAACTAACAGAGTTGAACTTTGCCATTGATAGAGAGCAGTTTTGAAACACTCTTTTTGTGGAATCTGCAAGTGGATATTTGGATAGCTTGGAGGATTTCGTTGGAAGCGGGAATTCAAATAAAAGGTAGACAGCAGCATTCTCAGAAATTTCTTTCTGATGTCTGCATTCAACTCATAGAGTTGAACATTCCCTTTCATAGAGCAGGTTTGAAACACTCTTTCTGGAGTATCTGGATGTGGACATTTGGAGCGCTTTGATGCCTACGGTGAGAAAGTAAATATCTTCCCATAAAAACGAGACAGAAGGATTCTGAGAAACAAGTTTGTGATGTGTGTACTCAGCTAACAGAGTGGAACCTCTCTTTTTGATGCAGCAGTTTGGAAACACTCTTTTTGTAGAAACTGTAAGTGGATATTTGGATAGCTCTAATGATTTCGTTGGAAACGGGAATATCATCATCTAAAATCTAGACAGAAGCCCTCTCAGAAACTACTTTGTGATATCTGCATTCAAGTCACAGAGTTGAACATTCGCTTTCTTAGAGCACGTTGGAAACACTCTTTTTGTAGTGTCTGGAAGTGGACATTTGGAGCGCTTTGATGCCTTTGGTGAAAAAGGGAATGTGTTCCCATAAAAACTAGACAGAAGCATTCCCAGAAACTTGTTTGTGATGTGTGTACCCAGCTAAAGGAGTTGAATTTTGCATTGATAGAGAGCAGTTTTGAAACCCTCTTTTTGTGGAAAATGCAAGTGGATATTTGTATAGCTTGGAGGATTTCGTTGGAAGCGGGAATTCAAATAAAAGGTAGACAGCAGCATTCTCAGAAATTTCTTTCTGATGTCTGCATTCAACTCATAGAGTTGAAGATTCCCTTTCATAGAGCAGGTTTGAAACAGTCTTTCTGGAGTATCTGGATGTGGACATTTGGAGCGCTTTGATGCCTACGGTGAAAAAGTAAATATCTTCCCATAAAAACGAGACAGAAGGATTCTCAGAAACAAGTTTGTGATGTGTGTACTCAGCTAACAGAGTGGAACCTTTCTTTTTACAGAGCAGCTTTGAAACTCTATTTTTCTGGATTCTGCAAATTGATATTTAGATTGCTTTAACGATATCGTTGGAAAAGGGAATATCGTCATACAAAATCTAGACAGAAGCATTCTCACAAACTTCTTTGTGGTGTGTGTCCTCAACTAACAGAGTTGAACCTTTTTTTTGATGCAGCAATTTGGAAACACCCTTTTTGTAGAAACTGTAACTGGATATTTGCTTAGCTCTAACGATTTCGTTGGAAACGGGAATATCATCATCTAAAATCTAGACAGAAGCACTATTAGAAACTACTTGGTGATATCTGCATTCAAGTCACAGAGTTGAACATTCCCTTACTTTGAGCACGTTTGAAACACTCTTTTGGAAGAATCTGGAAGTGGACATTTGGAGCGCTTTGATGCCTTTGGTGAAAAGGAAACGTCTTCCAATAAAAGCCAGACAGAAGCATTCTCAGAAACTTGTTTGTGATGTGTGTACTCAACTAAAAGAGTTGAACCTTTCTATTGATAGAGCAGTTTTGAAACACTCTTTTTGTGGATTCTGCAAGTGGATATTTGGATTGCTTTGAGGATTTCGTTGGAAGCGGGAATTCGTATAAACACTAGACAGCAGCATTCCCAGAATTTTCTTTCGGATATTTCCATTCAACTCATAGAGATGAACATGGCCTTTCATAGAGCAGGTTTGAAACACTCTTTTTGTAGTTTGTGGAAGTGGACATTTCGATCGCCTTGACGCCTACGGTGAAAAAGGAAATATCTTCCCATAAAAAATAGACAGAAGCATTCTCAGAAACTTGTTTGTGATGTGTGTACCTAGCTAAAGGAGTTGAACATTTCTATTGATAGAGCAGTTTTGAAACACTCTTTTTGTGGAAAATGCAGGTGGATATTTGGATAGGTTGGAAGATTTCGTTGGAAGCGGGAATTCAAATAAAAGGTAGACAGCAGCATTCTCAGAAATTTCTTTCTGATGTCTGCATTCAACTCATAGAGTTGAAGATTCCCTTTCGTAGAGCAGGTTTGAAACACTCTTTCTGGAGTATCTGGATGTGGACATTTGGAGCGCTTTGATGCCTACGGTGAAAAAGTAAATATCTTCCCATAAAAACGAGACAGAAGGATTGTGAGAAACAAGTTTGTGATGTGTGTACTCAGCTAACAGAGTGGAACCTCTCTTTTGATGCAGCAGTTTGGAAACTCTCTTTTTGTAGAAACTGTAAGTGGATATTTGGATAGCTCTAATGATTTCGTTGGAAACGGGAATATCATCATCTAAAATCTAGACAGAAGCCCTCTCAGAAACTACTTTGTGATATCTGCATTCAAGTCACAGAGTTGAACATTCTGCTTTCTTAGAGCACGTTTGAAACACTCTTTTTGTAGTGTCTGGAAGTGGACATTTGGAGCGCTTTGATGTCTTTGGTGAAAAAGGGAATGTCTTCCCATAAAAACTAGACAGAAGCATTCTCAGAAACTTGTTTGTGATGTGTGTACCCAGCCAAAGGAGTTGAACATTTCTATTGATAGAGCAGTTTTGAAACACTCTTGTTGTGGAAAATGCAAGTGGATATTTGGATAGCTTGGAGGATTTCGTTGGAAGCCGGAATTCAAATAAAAGGTAGACAGCCAGCATTCTCAGAAATTTCTTTCTGATGTCTGCATTCAACTCATAGAGTTGAAGATTCCCTTTCATTGAGCAGGTTTGAAACAGTCTTTCTGGAGTATCTGGATGTGGACATTTGGAGCGCTTTGATGCCTACGGTGAAAAAGTAAATATCTTCCCATAAAAACGAGACAGAGGAATCTCAGAAACAAGTTTGTGATGTGTGTACTCAGCTAACAGAGTGGAACCTTTCTTTTTACAGAGCAGCTTTGAAACTCTATTTTTGTGGATTCTGCAAATGGATATTTAGATTGCTTTAACGATATCGTTGGAAAAGGGAATATCATCATACAAAATCTGGACAGAAGCATTCTGACAAACTTCTTTGTGATGTGTGTCCTCAACTAACAGAGTTGAACCTTTCTTTTGATGCAGCAGTTTGGAAACACCCTTTTGGTAGAAACTGTAAGTGGATATTTGGATAGCTCTAACGATTTCGTTGGAAACGGGAATATCATCATCTAAAATCTAGACAGAAGCACTACTAGAAACTACTTGGTGATATCTGCATTCAAGTCACAGAGTTGAACATTCCCTTACTTTGAGCACGTTTCAAACACTCTTTTGGAAGAATCTGGAAGTGGACATTTGGAGCGCTTTGATGCCTTTGGTGAAAAGGAAACGTCTTCCAATAAAAGCCAGACAGAAGCATTCTCAGAAACTTGTTTGTGATGTGTGTACTCAACTAAAAGAGTTGAACCTTTCTATTGATAGAGCAGTTTTGAAACACTCTTTTTGTGGATTCTGCAAGTGGATATTTGGATTGCTTTGAGGATTTCGTTGGAAGCGGGAATTCGTATAAAAACTAGACAGCAGCATTCCCAGAAATTTCTTTCGGATATTTCCATTCGACTCATAGAGATGAACATGGCCTTTCATAGAGCAGGTTTGAAACACTCTTTTTGTAGTTTGTGGAAGTGGACATTTCGATCGCCTTGACCGCCCACGGTGAAAAAGGAAATATCTTCCCATAAAAAATAGACAGAAGCATTCTCAGAAACTTGTTGGTGATATGTGTCCTCAACTAACAGAGTTGAACTTTGCCATTGATAGAGAGCAGTTTTGAAACACTCTTTTTCCTGAATCTGCAAGTGGATATTTGGATAGTTTGGAGGATTTAGTTGGAAGCGGGAATTCAAATAAAAGGTAGACAGCAGCATTCTCAGAAATTTCTTTCTGATGTCTGCATTCAACTCATAGAGTTGAAGATTCCCTTTCATAGAGCAGGTTTGAAACACTCTTTCTGGAGTATCTGGATGTGGACATTTGGAGCGCTTTGATGCCTACGGTGAAAAAGTAAATATCTTCCCAGAAAAACGAGACAGAAGGATTCTCAGAAACAAGTTTGTGATGTGTGTACTCAGCTAACAGAGTGGAACCTTTCTTTTTACAGAGCAGCTTTGAAAGTCTATTTTTGTGGATTCTGCAAATTGATATTTAGATTGCTTTAACGATATCGTTGGAAAAGGGAATATCGTCATACAAAATCTAGACAGAAGCATTCTCACAAACTTCTTTGTGATGTGTGTCCTCAACTAACAGACTTGAACCTTTCTTTTGATGCAGCAGTTTGGAAACACCCTTTTGGTAGAAACTGTAACTGGATATTTGGATAGCTCTAACGATTTCGTTGGAAACGGGAATATCATCATCTAAAATCTAGACAGAAGCACTATTAGAAACTACTTGTGATATCTGCATGCAAGTCACAGAGTTGAACATTCCCTTACTTTGAGCACGTTTGAAACACTCTTTTGTAAGAATCTGGAAGTGGACGTTTGGAGCTCTTTGATGCCTTTGGTGAAAAGGAAACATCTTCCAATAAAAGCCAGAAAGAAGCATTCTCAGAAACTTCTTTGTGATGTGTGTACTCAACTAAAAGTGTTGAACCTTTCTATTGATAGAGCAGTTTTGCAACACTCTTTTTGTGGATTCTGCAAGTGGATATTTGGATTGCTTTGAGGATTTCGTTGGAAGCGGGAATTCGTATAAAAACTAGACAGCAGCATTTTCAGAAATTTCTTTCGGATATTTCCATTCAACTCATAGAGATGAACATGGCCTTTCATAGAGCAGGTTTGAAACACTCTTTTTGTAGTTTGTGGAAGTGGACATTTTGATCGCCTTGACGCCTATGGTGAAAAAGGGAATATCTTCCCATAAAAAATAGACAGAAGCATTCTCAGAAACTTGTTGGTGATATGTGTCCTCAACTAACAGAGTTGAACTTTGCCATTGATAGAGAGCAGTTTTGAAACACTCTTTTTGTGGAATCTGCAAGTGGATATTTGGATAGCTTGGAGGATTTCGTTGGAAGCGGGAATTCAAATAAAAGGTAGACAGCAGCATTCTCAGAAATTTCTTTCTGATGTCTGCATTCAACTCATAGAGTTGAACATTCCCTTTCATAGAGCAGGTTTGAAACACTCTTTCTGTAGTATCTGGATGTGGACATTTGGAGCGCTTTGATGCCTACGGTGAAAAAGTATAATCTTCCCATAAAAACGAGACAGAAGGATTCTCAGAAACAAGTTTGTGATGTGTGTACTCAGCTAACAGAGTGGAACCTCTCTTTTGATGCAGCAGTTTGGAAACACTCTTTTTGTAGAAACTGTAAGTGGATATTTGGATAGCTCTAATGATTTCGTTGGAAACGGGAATATCATCATGTAAAATCTAGACAGAAGCACTCTCAGAAACTACTTTGTGATATCTGCTTTCAAGTCACAGAGTTGAACATTCGTTTTCTTAGAGCACTTTTGAAACACTCTTTTTGTAGTATCTGGAAGTGGACATTTGGAGCTCTTTGATGCCTTTGGTGAAAAAGGAAATGTCTTCCCATAAAAACTAGACAGAATCATTCTCAGAAACTTGTTTGTGATGTGTGTACCCAGCCAAAGGAGTTGAACATTTCTATTGATAGAGCAGTTTTGAAACACTCTTTTTGTGGAAAATGCAAGTGGATATTTGGATAGCTTGGAGGATTTCGTTGGAAGCGGGAATTCAAATAAAAGGTAGACAGCAGGATTCTCAGAAACAAGTTTGTGATGTGTGTACTCAGCTAACAGAGTGGAACCTTTCTTTTTACAGAGCAGCTTTGTAACTCTATTTTTGTGGATTCTGCAAATTGATATTTAGATTGCTTTAACGATATCGTTGGAAAAGGGAATATCGTCATACAAAATCTAGACAGAAGCATTCTCGCAAACTTCTTTGTGATGTGTGTCCTCAACTAACAGAGTTGAACCTTTCTTTTGATGCAGCAATTTGGAAACACCCTTTTGGTAGAAACTGTAACTGGATATTTGGATAGCTCTAACGATTTCGTTGGAAACGGGAATATCATCATCTAAAATGTAGACAGAAGCACTATTAGAAACTACTTGGTGATATCTGCATTCAAGTCACAGAGTAGAACATTCCCTTACTTCGAGCACGTTTGAAACACTCTTTTGGAAGAATCTGGAAGTGGACATTTGGAGCGCTTTGATGCCTTTGGTGAAAAGGAAACGTCTTCCAATAAAAGCCAGACAGAAGCATTCTCAGAAACTTGGTTGTGATGTGTGTACTCAACTAAAAGAGTTGAACCTTTCTATTGATAGAGCAGTTTTGAAACACTCTTTTTGTGGATTCTGCAAGTGGATATTTGGATTGCTTTGAGGATTTCGTTGGAAGCGGGAATTCATATAAAAACTAGACAGCAGCATTCCCAGAAATTTCTTTCGGATATTTCCATTCAACTCATAGAGATGAACATCGCCTTTCATAGAGCAGGTTTGAAACACTCTTTTTGTAGTTTGTGGAAGTGGACATTTCGATCGCCTTGACGCCTACGGTGAAAAAGGAAATATCTTCCCATAAAAAATAGACAGAAGCATTCTCAGAAACTTGTTGGTGATATGTGTCCTCAACTAACAGAGTTGAACTTTGCCATTGATAGAGAGCAGTTTTGAAACACTCTTTTTGTGGAATCTGCAAGTGGATATTTGGATAGCTTGGAGGATTTCGTTGGAAGCGGGAATTCAAATAAAAGGTAGACAGCAGCATTCTCAGAAATTTCTTTCTGATGTCTGCATTCAACTCATAGAGTTGAAGATTCCCTTTCATAGAGCAGGTTTGAAACACTCTTTCTGGAGTATCTGGATGTGGACATTTGGAGCGCTTTGATGCCTACGGTGAAAAAGTAAATATCTTCCCATAAAAACGCGACAGAAGGATTCTCAGAAACAACTTTGTGATGTGTGTACTCAGCTAACAGAGTGGAACCTCTCTTTTGATGCAGCAGTTTGGAAACACTCTTTTTGTAGAAACTGTAAGTGGATATTTGGATAGCTCTAATGATTTCGTTGGAAACGGGAATATCATCATCTAAAATCTAGACAGAAGCCCTCTCAGAAACTACGTTGTGATATCTGCATTCAAGTCACAGAGTTGAATATTCGCTTTCTTAGAGCACGTTTGAAACACTCTTTTTGTAGTGTCTGGAAGTGGACATTTGGAGCGCTTTGATGCCTTTGGTGAAAAAGGGAATGTCTTCCCATAAAAACTAGACAGAAGCATTCTCAGAAACTTGTTTGTGATGTGTGTACCCAGCTAAAGGAGTTGAACATTTCTATTGATAGAGCAGTTTTGAAACACTCTTTTTGTGGAAAATGCAAGTGGATATTTGGATAGCTTGGAGGATTTCGTTGGAAGCAGGAATTCAAATAAAAGGTAGACAGCAGCATTCTCAGAAATTTCTTTCTGATGTCTGCATTCAACTCATAGAGTTGAAGATTCCCTTTCCTAGAGCAGGTTTGAAACACTCTTTCTGGAGTATCTGGATGTGGACATTTGGAGCGCTTTGATGCCTACGGTGAAAAAGTAAATATCTTCCCATAAAAACGAGACAGAAGGATTCTGAGAGACAAGTTTGTGATGTGTGTACTCCAGCTAACAGAGTGGAACCTTTCTTTTTACAGAGCAGCTTTGAAACTCTATTTTTGTGGATTCTGCAAATGGATATTTAGATTGCTTTAACGATATCGTTGGAAAAGGGAATATCGTCATACAAAATCTGGACAGAAGCATTCTCACAAACTTCTTTGTGATGTGTGTCCTCAACTAACAGAGTTGAACCTTTCTTTTGATGCAGCAGTTTGGAAACACTGTTTTTGTAGCAACTGTAAGGGGATATTTGGATAGCTCTAACGATTTCGTTGGAAACGGGAATATCATCATCTAAAATCTAGACAGAAGCACTATTAGCAAACTACTTGGTGATATCTGCATTCAAGTCACAGAGTTGAACATTCCCTTACTTTGAGCACGTTTCAAACACTCTTTTGGAAGAATCTGGAAGTGGACATTTGGAGCGCTTTGATGCCTTTGGTGAAAAGGAAACGTCTTCCAATAAAAGCCAGACAGAAGCATTCTCAGAAACTTGTTTGTGATGTGTGTACTCAACTAAAAGAGTTGAACCTTTCTATTGATAGAGCAGTTTTGAAACACTCTTTTTGTGGATTCTGCAAGTGGATATTTGGATTGCTTTGAGGATTTCGTTGGAAGCGGGAATTCGTATAAAAACTAGACAGCCAGCATTCCCAGGAAATTTCTTTCGGATATTTCCATTCAACTCATAGAGATGAACATGGCCTTTCATAGAGCAGGTTTGAAACACTCTTTTTGTAGTTTGTGGAAGTGGACATTTCGATCGCCTTGACGCCTACGGTGAAAAAGGAAATATCTTCCCATAAAAAATAGACAGAAGCATTCTCAGAAACTTGTTGGTGATATGTGTCCTCAACTAACAGAGTTGAACTTTGCCATTGATAGAGAGCAGTTTTGAAACACTCTTTTTGTGGAATCTGCAAGTGGATATTTGGATAGCTTGGAGGATTTCGTTGGAAGCGGGAATTCAAATAAAAGGTAGACAGCAGCATTCTCAGAAATTACTTTCTGATGTCTGCATTCAACTCATAGAGTTGAAGATTCCCTTTCATAGAGCAGGTTTGAAACACTCTTTCTGGAGTATCTGGATGTGGACATTTGGAGCGCTTTGATGCCTACGGTGAAAAAGTAAATATCTTCCCATAAAAACGAGACAGAAGCATTCTCACAAACTTCTTTGTGATGTGTGTCCTCAACTAACAGAGTTGAACTTTTCTTTTGATGCAGCAGTTTGGAAACACTCTTTTTGTAGAAACTGTAAGTGGATATTTGGATAGCTCTAATGATTTCGTTGGAAACGGGAATATCATCATCTAAAATCTAGACAGAAGCCCTCTCAGAAACTACTTTGTGATATCTGCATTCAAGTCACAGAGTTGAACATTCGCTTTCTTAGAGCACGTTGGAAACACTCTTTTTGTAGTGTCTGGAAGTGGACATTTGGAGCGCTTTGATGCCTTTGGTGAAAAAGGGAATATCTTCCCATAAAAACTAGACAGAAGCATTCTCAGAAACTTGTTTGTGATGTGTGTACCCAGCCAAAGGAGTTGAACATTTCTATTAATAGAGCAGTTTTGAAACGCTCTTTTTGTGGAAAATGCAGGTGGATATTTGGATAGCTTGGAGGATTTCGTTGGAAGCGGGAATTCAAATAAAAGGTAGACAGCCAGCATTCTCAGAAAATTTCCTTCTGATGTCTGCATTCAACTCATAGAGTTGAAGACTCCCTTTCATAGAGCAGGTTTGAAACACTCTTTCTGGAGTATCTGGATGTGGACATTTGGAGCGCTTTGATGCCTACGGTGAAAAAGTAAATATCTTCCCATAAAAACGAGACAGAGGATTCTGAGAAACAAGTTTGTGATGTGTGTACTCAGCTAACAGAGTGGAACCTTTCTTTTTACAGAGCAGCTTTGAAACTCTATTTTTGTGGATTCTGCAAATGGATATTTAGATTGCTTTAATGATATCGCTGGAAAAGGGAATATGGTCATACAAAATCTAGACAGGAAGCATTCTCACAAACTTCTTTGTGATGTGTGTCCTCAACTAACAGAGTTGAACTTTTCTTTTGATGCAGCAGTTTGGAAACACTCTTTTTATAGAAACTGTAAGTGGATATTTGGATAGCTCTAACGATTTCGTTGGAAACGGGAATATCATCATCTAAAATCTAGACAGAAGCACTATTAGAAACTACTTGGTGATATCTGCATTCAAGTCAAAGAGTTGAACATTCCCTTACTTTGAGCACGTTTGAAACACTCTTTTGGAAGAATCTGGAAGTGGACATTTGGAGCGCTTTGATGCCTTTGGTGAAAAGGAAACGTCTTCTAATAAAAGCCAGACAGAAGCATTCTCAGAAACTTGTTTGTGATGTGTGTACTCAACTAAAAGAGTTGAACCTTTCTATTGATAGAGCAGTTTTGAAACACTCTTTTTGTGGATTCTGCAAGTGGATATTTGGATTGCTTTGAGGATTTCGTTGGAAGCGGGAATTCGTATAAAAACTAGACAGCAGCATTCCCAGAAATTTCTTTCGGATATTTCCATTCGACTCATAGAGATGAACATGGCCTTTCGTAGAGCAGGTTTGAAACACTCTTTTTGTAGTTTGTGGAAGTGGACATTTCGATCGCCTTGACGCCTACGGTGAAAAAGGAAATATCTTCCCATAAAAAATAGACAGAAGCATTCTCAGAAACTTGTTGGTGATATGTGTCCTCAACTAACAGAGTTGAACTTTGCCATTGATAGAGAGCAGTTTTGAAACACTCTTTTTGTGGAATCTGCAAGTGGATATTTGGATAGCTTGGAGGATTTCGTTGGAAGCGGGAATTCAAATAAAAGGTAGACAGCAGGATTCTCAGAAACAAGTTTGTGATGTGTGTACTCAGCTAACAGAGTGGAACCTCTCTTTTTACAGAGCAGCTTTGAAACTCTATTTTTGTGGATTCTGCAAATTGATATTTAGATTGCTTTAACGATATCGTTGGAAAAGGGAATATCGTCATACAAAATCTAGACAGAAAGCATTCTCACAAACTTCTTTGTGATGTGTGTCCTCAACTAACAGAGTTGAACCTTTCTTTTGATGCAGCAGTTTGGAAACACTCTTTTTGTAGCAACTGTAAGTGGATATTTGGATAGCTCTAACGATTTCGTTGGAAACGGGAATATCATCATCTAAAATCTAGACAGAAGCACTATTAGAAACTACTTGGTGATATCTGCATTCAAGTCACAGAGTTGAACATTCCCTTACTTTGAGCACGTTTCAAACACTCTTTTGGAAGAATCTGGAAGTGGACATTTGGAGCGCTTTGATGCCTTTGGTGAAAAGGAAACGTCTTCCAATAAAAGCCAGACAGAAGCATTCTCAGAAACTTGTTTGTGATGTGTGTACTCAACTAAAAGAGTTGAACCTTTCTATTGATAGAGCAGTTTTGAAACACTCTTTTTGTGGATTCTGCAAGTGGATATTTGGATTGCTTTGAGGATTTCGTTGGAAGCGGGAATTCGTATAAAAACTAGACAGCAGCATTCCCAGAAATTTCTTTCGGATATTTCCATTCGACTCATAGAGATGAACATGGCCTTTCATAGAGCAGGTTTGAAACACTCTTTTTGTAGTTTGTGGAAGTGGACATTTCGATCGCCTTGACGCCTACGGTGAAAAAGGAAATATCTTCCCATAAAAAATAGACAGAAGCATTCCCAGAAATTTCTTTCGGATATTTCCATTCGACTCATAGAGATGAACATGGCCTTTCATAGAGCAGGTTTGAAACACTCTTTTTGTAGTTTGTGGAAGTGGACATTTCGATCGCCTTGACGCCTACGGTGAAAAAGGAAATATCTTCCCATAAACTAACAGAGCATTCTCAGAAATTTCTTTCTGATGTCTCCATTCAACTCATAGAGTTGAAGATTCCCTTTCATAGAGCAGGTTTGAAACACTCTTTCTGGAGTATCTGGATGTGGACATTTGGAGCGCTTTGATGCCTACGGTGAAAAAGTAAATATCTTCCCATAAAAACGAGACAGAAGGATTCTCAGAAACAAGTTTGTGATGTGTGTACTCAGCTAACAGAGTGGAACCTTTCTTTTTACAGAGCAGCTTTCAAACTCTATTTTTGTGGATTCTGCAAATTGATATTTAGATTGCTTTAACGATATCGTTGGAAAAGGGAATATTGTCATACAAACTCTGGACAGAAGCATTCTCACAAAACTTCTTTGTGATGTGTGTCCTCAACTAACAGAGTTGAACCTTTCTTTTGATGCAGCAGTTTGGAAACACTCTTTTTGTAGAAACTGTAAGTGGATATTTGGATAGCTCTAACGATTTCGTTGGAAACGGGAATATCATCATCTAAAATCTAGACAGAAGCACTATTAGAAACTACTTGGTGATATCTGCATTCAAGTCACAGAGTTGAACATTCCCTTACTTTGAGCACGTTTCAAACACTCTTTTGGAAGAATCTGGAAGTGGACATTTGGAGCGCTTTGATGCCTTTGGTGAAAAGGAAACGTCTTCCAATAAAAGCCAGACAGAAGCATTCTCAGAAACTTGTTTGTGATGTGTGTACTCAACTAAAAGAGTTGAACCTTTCTATTGATAGAGCAGTTTTGAAACACTCTTTTTGTGGATTCTGCAAGTGGATATTTGGATTGCTTTGAGGATTTCGTTGGAAGCGGGAATTCGTATAAAAACTAGACAGCAGCATTCCCAGAAATTTCTTTCGGATATTTCCATTCAACTCATAGAGATGAACATGGCCTTTCATATTGAAACACTCTTTTTGTAGTTTGTGGAAGTGGACATTTCGATCGCCTTGACGCCTGTGGTGAAAAAGGAAATATCTTCCCATAAAAAATAGACAGAAGCATTCTCAGAAACTTGTTGGTGATATGTGTCCTCAACTAACAGAGTTGAACTTTGCCATTGATAGAGAGCAGTTTTGAAACACTCTTTTTGTGGAATCTGCAAGTGGATATTTGGATAGCTTGGAGGATTTCGTTGGAAGCGGGAATTCAAATAAAAGGTAGACAGCAGCATTCTCAGGAAATTTCTTTCTGATGTCTGCATTCAACTCATAGAGTTGAAGATTCCCTTTCATAGAGCAGGTTTGAAACACTCTTTCTGGAGTATCTGGATGTGGACATTTGGAGCGCTTTGATGCCTACGGTGGAAAAGTAAATATCTTCCCATAAAAACGAGACAGAAGGATTCTGAGAAACAAGTTTGTGATGTGTGTACTCGGCTAACAGAGTGGAACCTCTCTTTTGATGCAGCAGTTTGGAAACACTCTTTTTATAGAAACTGTAAGTGGATATTTGGATAGCTCTAATGATTTCGTTGGAAACGGGAATATCATCATCTAAAATCTAGACAGAAGCCCTCTCAGAAACTACTTTGTGATATCTGCATTCAAGTCACAGAGTTTAACATTCGCTTTCTTAGAGCACGTTTGAAACACTCTTTTTGTAGTGTCTGGAAGTGGACATTTGGAGCGCTTTGATGCCTTTGGTGAAAAAGGGAATGTCTTCCCATAAAAACTAGACAGAAGCATTCTCAGAAACTTGTTTGTGATGTGTGTACCCAGCCAAAGGAGTTGAACATTTCTATTGATAGAGCAGTTTTGAAACACTCTTTTTGTGGAAAATGCAGGTGGATATTTGGATAGCTTGGAGGATTTCGTTGGAAGCAGGAATTCAAATAAAAGGTAGACAGCAGCATTCTCAGAAATTTCTTTCTGATGTCTGCATTCAACTCATAGAGTTGAAGATTCCCTTTCATAGAGCAGGTTTGAAACACTCGTTCTGGAGTATCTGGATGTGGACATTTGGAGCGCTTTGATGCCTACGGTGGAAAATTATATATCTTCCCATAAAAACGAGACAGAAGGATTCTCAGAAACAAGTTTGTGATGTGTGTACTCAGCTAACAGAGTGGATCCTTTCTTTTTACAGAGCAGCTTTGAAATTCTATTTCTGTGGATTCTGCAAATTGATATTTGGGTTGATTTAACGACATCGTTGGAAAAGGGAATATCTTCATACAAAATCTAGACAGAAGTATTCTCACAAACTTCTTTGTGATGTGTGTCCTCAACTAACAGAGTTGAACCTTTCTTTTGATGCAGCAGTTTGGAAACACCCTTTTGGTAGAAACTGTAAGTGGATATTTGGATAGCTCTAACGATTTCGTTGGAAACGGGAATATCATCATCTAAAATCTAGACAGAAGCACTATTAGAAACTACTTGGTGATATCTGCATTCAAGTCACAGAGTTGAACATTCCCTTACTTCGAGCACGTTTGAAACACTCTTTTGGAAGTATCTGGAAGTGGACATTTGGAGCGCTTTGATGCCTTTGGTGAAAAGGAAACGTCTTCCAATAAAAGCCAGACAGAAGCATTCTCAGAAACTTGTTCGTGATGTGTGTACTCAACTAAAAGAGTTGAACCTTTCTATTGATAGAGCAGTTTTGAAACACTCTTTTTGTGGATTCTGCAAGTGGATATTTGGATTGCTTTGAGGATTTCTTTGGAAGCGGGAATTCGTATAAACACTAGACAGCAGCATTCCCAGAAATTTCTTTCGGATATTTCCATTCAACTCATAGAGATGAACATGGCCTTTCATAGAGCAGGTTTGAAACACTCTTTTTGTAGTTTGTGGAAGTGGACATTTCGATCGCCTTGACGCCTACGGTGAAAAAGGAAATATCTTCCCATAAAAAATAGACAGAAGCATTCTCAGAAACTTGTTGGTGATATGTGTCCTCAACTAACAGAGTTGAACTTTGCCATTGATAGAGAGCAGTTTTGAAACACTCTTTTTGTGGAATCTGCAAGTGGATATTTGGATAGCTTGGAGGATTTCGTTGGAAGCGGGAATTCAAATAAAAGGTAGACAGCAGCATTCTCAGAAATTTCTTTCTGATGTCTGCATTCAACTCATAGAGTTGAAGATTCCCTTTCATAGAGCAGGTTTGAAACACTCTTTCTGGAGTATCTGGATGTGGACATTTGGAGCGCTTTGATGCCTACGATGAAAAAGTAAATATCTTCCCAGAAAAACGAGACAGAAGGATTCTGAGAAACAAGTTTGTGATGTGTGTACTCAGATAACAGAGTGGAACCTCTCTTTTGATGCAGCAGTTTGGAAACACTCTTTTTGCAGAAACTGTAAGTGGATATTTGGATAGCTCTAATGATTTCGTTGGAAACGGGAATATCATCATCTAAAATCTAGACAGAAGCACTCTCAGAAACTACTTTGTGATATCTGCATTCAAGTCACAGAGTTGAACATTCGCTTTCTTAGAGCACGTTTGAAACACTCTTTTTGTAGTGTCTGGAAGTGGACATTTGGAGCGCTTTGATGGCTTTGGTGAAAAAGGGAACGTCTTCCCATAAAAACTAGACAGAAGCATTCTCAGAAACTTGTTTGTGATGTGTGTACCCAGCCAAAGGAGTTGAACGTTTCTATTGATAGAGCAGTTTTGAAACACTCTTGTTGTGGAAAATGCAAGTGGATATTTGGATAGTTTGGAGGATTTCGTTGGAAGCGGGAATTCAAATAAAAGGTAGACAGCAGCATTCTCAGAAATTTCTTTCTGATGTCTGCATTCAACTCATAGAGTTGAAGATTCCCTTTCATAGAGTAGGTTTGAAACACTCGTTCTGGAGTATCTGGATGTGGACATTTGGAGAGCTTTGATGCCTACGGTGAAAAAGTAAATATCTTCCCATAAAAACGAGACAGAAAGGATTCTGAGAAACAAGTTTGTGATGTGTGTACTCAGCTAACAGAGTGGAACCTTTCTTTTTACAGAGCAGCTTTGAAACTCTATTTTTGTGGATTCTGCAAATGGATATTTAGATTGCTTTAACGATATCGTTGGAAAAGGGAATATCGTCATACAAAATCTAGACAGAGCATTCTCACAAACTTCTTTGTGATGTGTGTCCTCAACTAACAGAGTTGAACCTTTCTTTTGATGCAGCAATTTGGAAACACCCTTTTGGTAGAAACTGTAACTGGATATTTGCTTAGCTCTAACGATTCCGTTGGAAACGGGAATATCATCATCTAAAATCTAGACAGAAGCACTATTAGAAACTACTTGGTGATATCTGCATTCAAGTGACAGAGTTGAACATTCCCTTACTTTGAGCACGTTTGAAACACTCTTTTGGAAGAATCTGGAAGTGGACATTTGGAGCGCTTTGATGCCTTTGTTGAAAAGGAAACGTCTTCCAATAAAAGCCAGACAGAAGCATTCTCAGAAACTTGTTCGTGAAGTGTGTACTCAACTAAAAGAGTTGAACCTTTCTATTGATAGAGCAGTTTTGAAACACTCTTTTTGTGGATTCTGCAAGTGGATATTTGGATTGCTTTGAGGATTTCGTTGGAAGCGGGAATTCGTATAAACACTAGACAGCAGCATTCCCAGATATTTCTTTCGGATATTTCCATTCAACTCATAGAGATGAACATGGCCTTTCATAGAGCAGGTTTGAAACACTCTTTTTGTAGTTTGTGGCAGTGGACATTTCGATCTCCTTGACGCCTACGGTGAAAAAGGAAATATCTTCCCATAAAAAATAGACAGAAGCATTCTCAGAAACTTGTTGGTGATATGTGTCCTCAACTAACAGAGTTGAACTTTGCCATTGATAGAGAGCAGTTTTGAAACACTCTTTTTGTGGAATCTGCAAGTGGATATTTGGATAGCTTGGAGGATTTCGTTGGAAGCGGGAATTCAAATAAAAGGTAGACAGCAGCATTCTCAGAAATTTCTTTCTGATGTCTGCATTCAACTCATAGAGTTGAAGATTCCCTTTCATAGAGCAGGTTTGAAACACTCGTTCTGGAGTATCTGGATGTGGACATTTGGAGCGCTTTGATGCCTACGGTGCAAAAGTAAATATCTTCCCATAAAAACGAGACAGAAGGATTCTGAGAAACAAGTTTGTGATGTGTGTACTCAGCTAACAGAGTGGAACCTCTCTTTTGATGCAGCAGTTTGGAAACACTCTTTTTGTAGAAAGTGTAAGTGGATATTTGGATAGCTCTAATGATTTCGTTGGAAACGGGAATATCATCATCTAAAATCTAGACAGAAGCACTCTCAGAAACTACTTTGTGATATCTGCATTCAAGTCACAGAGTTGAACATTCGCTTTCTTAGAGCACGTTTGAAACACTCTTTTTGTAGTCTCTGGAAGTGGACATTTGGAGCGCTTTGATGCCTTTGGTGAAAAAGGGAATGTCTTCCCATAAAAACTAGACAGAAGCATTCTCAGAAACTTGTTTGTGATGTGTGTACCCAGCCAAAGGAGTTGAACATTTCTATTGATAGAGCAGTTTTGAAACACTCTTGTTGTGGAAAATGCAAGTGGATATTTTGATAGCTTGGAGGATTTCGTTGGAAGCGGGAATTCAAATAAAAGGTAGACAGCAGCATTCTCAGAAATTACTTTCTGATGTCTGCATTCAACTCATAGAGTTGAAGATTCCCTTTCATAGAGCAGGTTTGAAACACTCTTTCTGTAGTATCTGGATGTGGACTTTTGGAGCGCTTTGATACCTACGGTGAAAAAGTAAATATCTTCCCATAAAAAGTAGACAGAAGGATATTCAGAAACAAGTTTGTGATATGTGTACTCAGCTAACAGAGTGTATCCTTTCTTTTTACAGAGCAGCTTTGAGACTCTATTTCTGTGGATTCTGCAAATTGATATTTGGGTTGATTTAACGATATCGTTGGAAAAGGGAATATCTTCATACAAAATCTAGACAGATAAGCATTCTCACAAACTTCTTTGTGATGTGTGTCCTCAACTAACAGAGTTGAACCTTTCTTTTGATGCAGCAATTTGGAAGCACCCTTTTGGTAGAAACTGTAACTGGATATTTGGATAGCTCTAACGATTTCGTTGGAAACGGGAATATCATCATCTAAAATGTAGACAGAAGCACTATTAGAAACTACTTGGTGATATTTGCATTCAAGTCACAGAGTTGAACATTCCCTTACTTCGACCACGTTTGAAACACTCTTTTGGAAGAATCTGGAAGTGGACATTTGGAGCGCTTTGATGCCTTTGGTGAAAAGGAAACGTCTTCCAATAAAAGCCAGACAGAAGCATTCTCAGAAACTTGTTCGTGATGTGTGTACTCAACTAAAAGAGTTGAACCTTTCTATTGATAGAGCAGTTTTGAAACACTCTTTTTGTGGATTCTGCAAGTGGATATTTGGATTGCTTTGAGGATTTCGTTGGAAGCGGGAATTCGTATAAACACTAGACAGCAGCATTCCCAGAAATTTCTTTCGGATATTTCCATTCAACTCATAGAGATGAACATGGCCTTTCATAGAGCAGGTTTGAAACACTCTTTTTGTAGTTTGTGGAAGTGGACATTTCGATCGCGTTGACGCCTACGCTGAAAAAGGAAATATCTTCCCATAAAAAATAGACAGAAGCATTCTCAGAAACTTGTTGGTGATATGTGTCCTCAACTAACAGAGTTGAACTTTGCCATTGATAGAGAGCAGTTTTGAAACACTCTTTTTGTGGAATCTGCAAGTGGATATTTGGATAGCTTGGAGGATTTCGTTGGAAGCGGTAATTCAAATAAAAGGTAGACAGCAGCATTCTCAGAAATTTCTTTCTGATGTCTGCATTCAACTCATAGAGTTGAAGATTCCCTTTCATAGAGCAGGTTTGAAACACTCTTTCTGGAGTATCTGGATGTGGACATTTGAAGCGCTTTGATGCCTACGGTGAGAAAGTAAATATCTTCCCATAAAAACGAGACAGAAGGATTCTGAGAAGCAAGTTTGTGATGTGTGTACTCAGCTAACAGAGTGGAACCTCTCTTTTGATGCAGCAGTTTGGAAACACTCTTTTTGTAGAAACTGTAAGTGGATATTTGGATAGCTCTAACGATTTCGTTGGAAACGGGAATATCATCATCTAAAATCTAGACAGAAGCCCTCTCAGAAACTACTTTGTGATATCTGCATTCAAGTCACAGAGTTGAACATTCGCTTTCTTAGAGCACGTTTGAAACACTCTTTTTGTAGTGTCTGGAAGTGGACATTTGGAGCGCTTTGATTCCTTTGGTGAAAAAGGGAACGTCTTCCCATAAAAACTAGACAGAAGCTTTCTCAGAAACTTGTTTGTGATGTGTGTACCCAGCGAAAGGATTTGAACATTTCTATTGATAGAGCAGTTTTGAAACACTCTTTTTGTGGAATCTGCAAGTGGATATTTGGATAGCTTGGAGGTTTTCGTTGGAAGCGGGAATTCAAATAAAAGGTAGACAGCAGCATTCTCAGAAATTTCTTTCTGATGTCTGCATTCAACTCATAGTAGTTGAAGATTCCCTTTCATAGAGCAGGTTTGAAACACTCTTTCTGGAGTATCTGGATGTGGACATTTGGAGCGCTTTGATGCCTACGGTGAAAAAGTAAATATCTTCCCATAAAAACGACACAGAAGGATTCTCAGAAACAAGTTTGTGATGTGTGTACTCAGCTAACAGAGTGGAACCTCTCTTTTGATGCAGCAGTTTGGAAACACTCTTTTTGTAGAAACTGTAAGTGGATATTTGGATAGCTCTAATGATTTCGTTGGAAACGGGAATATCATCATCTAAAATCTAGACAGAAGCAGTCTCAGAAACTACTTTGTGATATCTGCATTCCAGTCACAGAGTTGAAAACTCCCTTACTTAGAGCAGGTTTGAAACACACTTTTTGTAGAATCTGGAAGTGGATATTTGGAGTGCTTTGATGCCTTTGGTGAAAAAGGAAATGTCTTCCCTTAAAAAGTAGACAGAAGCTTTCTCAGAAACTTGTATGTGATGTGTGTACTCAACTAAAAGAGTTGAACCTTTCTATTGATAGAGCAGTTTTGAAACACTCTTTTTGTGGAATCTGCAAGTGGATATTTGGATTGCTTTGAGGACTTCGTTGGAAGCGGGAATTCATAAAAAAGTAGACAGCAGCATTCTCAGAAATTTCTTTCTGATGTCTGCATTCAACTCATAGAGTTGAAGATTCCCTTTCATAGAGCAGGTTTGAAACAGTCTTTCTGGTGTATCTGGATGTGGACATTTGGAGCGCTTTGATGCCTACGGTGAAAAAGTAAATATCTTCCCATAAAAACGAGACAGAAGGATTCTGAGAAACAAGTTTGTGATGTGTGTACTCAGCTAACAGAGTGGAACCTTTCTTTTTACAGAGCAGCTTTGAAACTCTATTTTTGTGGATTCTACAAATTGATATTTAGATTGCTTTAACGATATCGTTGGAAAAGGGAATATGGTCATACAAAATCTAGACAGAAGCATTCTCACAAACTTCTTTGTGATGTGTGTCCTCAACTAACAGAGTTGAACCTTTCTTTTGATGCAGCAGTTTGGAAACACTCTTTTTGTAGAAACTGTAAGTGGATATTTGGATAGCTCTAACGATTTCGCTGGAAACGGGAATATCGTCATCTAAAATCTAGACAGAAGCACTATTAGAAACTACTTGGTGATATCTGCATTCAAGTCAAAGAGTTGAACATTCCCTTACTTTGAGCACGTTTGAAACACTCTTTTGGAAGAATCTGGAAGTGGACATTTGGAGCGCTTTGATGCCTTTGGTGAAAAGGAAACGTCTTCCAATAAAAGCCAGACAGAAGCATTCTCAGAAACTTGTTTGTGATGTGTGTACTCAACTAAAAGAGTTGAACCTTTCTATTGATAGAGCAGTTTTGAAACACTCTTTTTGTGGATTCTGCAAGTGGATATTTGGATTGCTTTGAGGATTTCGTTGGAAGCGGGAATTCGTATAACAACTAGACAGCAGCATTCCCAGAAATTTCTTTCGGATATTTCCATTCAACTCATAGAGATGAACATGGCCTTTCATAGAGCAGGTTTGAAACACTCTTTTTGTAGTTTGTGGAAGTGGACATTTCGATCGCCTTGACGCCTACGGTGAAAAAGGAAATATCTTCCCATAAAAAATAGACAGAAGCATTTTCAGAAACTCGTTGGTGATATGTGTCCTCAACTAACAGAGTTGAACTTTGCCATTGATAGAGAGCAGTTTTGAAACACTCTTTTTGTGGAATCTGCAAGTGGATATTTTGATAGCTTGGAGGATTTCGTTGGAAGCGGAAATTCAAATAAAAGGTAGACAGCCAGCATTCTCAGAAATTTCTTTCTGATGTCTGCATTCAACTCATAGAGTTGAACATTCCCTTTCATAGAGCAGGTTTGAAATACTCTTTCTGTGGTATCTGGATGTGGACATTTGGAGCGCTTTGAGGCCTACGGTGAAAAAGTAAATATCTTCCCATAAAAACGAGACAGAGGATTCTGAGAAACAAGTTTGTGATGTGTGTACTCAGCTAACAGAGTGGAACCTCTCTTTTGATGCAGCAGTTTGGAAACACTCTTTTTGTAGAAACTGTAAGTAGATATTTGGATAGCTCTAACGATTTCGTTGGAAACGGGAATATCATCATCTAAAATCTAGACAGAAGCCCTCTCAGAAACTACTTTGTGATATCTGCATTCAACTCACAGAGTTGAACATTCGGTTTCTTAGAGCACGTTTGAAACACTCTTTTTGTAGTGTCTGGAAGTCGACATTTGGAGCGCTTTGATGCCTTTGGTGAAAAAGGGAATGTCTTCCCATAAAAACTAGACAGAAGCATTCTCAGAAACTTGTTTGTGATGTGTGTACCCAGAAAAAAGGAGTTGAACATTTCTATTGATAGAGCAGTTTTGAAACACTCTTTTTGTGGAAAATGCAGGTGGATATTTGGATAGCTTGGAGGATTTCGTTGGAAGCGGGAATTCAAATAAAAGGTAGACAGCAGCATTCTCAGAAATTTCTTTCTGATGTCTGCATTCAACTCATAGAGTTGAAGATTCCCTTTCATAGAGCAGGTTTGAAAAACTCTTTCTGGAGTATCTGGATGTGGACATTTGGAGCGCTTTGATGCCTACGGTGAAAAAGTAAATATCTTCCCATAAAAACGAGACAGAAGGATTCTCAGAAACAAGTTTGTGATGTGTGTACTCAGCTAACTGAGTGGAACCTTTCTTTTTACAGAGCAGCTTTGAAACTCTATTTTTGTGGATTCTGCAAATGGATATTTAGATTGCTTTAACGATATCGTTGGAAAAGGGAATATCGTCATACAAAATCTGGACAGAAGCATTCTCACAAACTTCTTTGTGATGTGTGTCCTCAACTATCAGAGTTGAACCTTTCTTTTGATGCAGCGGTTTGGAAACACTCTTTTTGTAGAAACTGTAAGTGGATATTTGGATAGCTCTAATGATTTCGTTGGAAACGGGAATATCATCATCTAAAATCTAGACAGAAGCACTATTAGAAACTACTTGGTGATACCTGCATTCAAGTCACAGAGTTGAACATTCCCTTACTTCGACCACGTTTGAAACACTCTTTTGGAAGAATCTGGAAGTGGACATTTGGAGCGCTTTGATGCCTTTGGTGAAAAGGAAACGTCTTCCAATAAAAGCCAGACAGAAGCATTCTCAGAAACTTGTTTGTGATGTGTGTACTCAATTAAAAGAGTTGAACCTTTCTATTAATAGTGTAGTTTTGAAACACTCTTTTTGTGGATTCTGCAAGTGGATATTTGGATTGCTTTGAGGATTTCGTTGGAAGCGGGAATTCGTATAAAAACTAGACAGCAGCATTCCCAGAAATTTCTTTCGGATATTTCCATTCAACTCATAGAGATGAACATGGCCTTTCATAGAGCAGGTTTGAAACACTCTTTTTGTAGTTTGTGGAAGTGGACATTTCGATCGCCTTGACGCCTACGCTGAAAAAGGAAATATCTTCCCATAAAAAATAGACAGAAGCATTCTCAGAAACTTGTTGGTGATATGTGTCCTCAACTAACAGAGTTGAACTTTGCCATTGATAGAGAGCAGTTTTGAAACACTCTTTTTGTGGAATCTGCGAGTGGATATTTGGATAGTTTGGAGGATTTCGTTGGAAGCGGGAATTCAAATAAAAGGTAGACAGCAGCATTCTCAGAAATTTCTTTCTGATGTTTGCATTCAACTCATAGAGTTGAACATTCCCTTTAATAGAGCAGGTTTGAAACACTCTTTCTGTACTATCTGGATGTGGACATTTGGAGCGCTTTGACGCCTACGGTGAAAAAGGAAATGTCTTCCCATAAAAAATTGAAGAAGGATTCTGAGAAACAAGTTTGTGATGTGTGTACTCAGCTAAGAGTGTGGAACCTCTCTTTTGATGCAGCAGTTTGGAAACACTCTTTTTGTAGAAACTATAAGTGGATATTTGGATAGCTGTAATGATTTCGTTGGAAACGGGAATATCATCATCTAAAATCTAGACAGAAGCCCTCTCAGAAACTACTTTGTGATATCTGCATTCAAGTCACAGAGTTGAACATTCGCTTTCTTAGAGCACGTTTGAAACACTCTTTTTGTAGTGTCTGGAAGTGGACATTTGGAGCGCTTTGATGCCTTTGGTGAAAAAGTGAATGTCTTCCCATAAAAACTAGACAGAAGCATTCTCAGAAACTTGTTTGTGATGTGTGTACCCAGCCAAAGGAGTTGAACATTTCTATTGATAGAGCAGTTTTGAAACACTCTTTTTGTGGAAAATGCAAGTGGATATTTGGATAGCTTGGAGGATATCGTTGGAAGCGGGAATTCAAATAAAAGGTAGACAGCAGCATTCTCAGAAATTTCTTTCTGATGTCTGCATTCAACTCGTAGAGTTGAAGATTCCCTTTCATAGAGCAGGTTTGAAACACTCTTTCTGGAGTATCTGGATGTGGACATTTGGAGCGCTTTGATGCCTACGGTGAAAAAGTAAATATCTTCCCATAAAAACGAGACAGAAGGATTCTCAGAAACAAGTTTTTGATGTGTGTACTCAGCCAAAAGAGTGGAACCTTTCTTTTTACAGAGCAGCTTTGAAACTGTATTTTTGTGGATTCTGCAAATTTATATTTAGATTGTTTTAACGATATCGTTGGAAAAGGGAATATCGTCATACAAAATCTAGACAGAAGCATTCTCACAAACTTCTTTGTGATGTGGGTCCTCAACTAACAGAGTTGAACCTTTCTTTTGATGCAGCAATTTGGAAACACCCTTTTGGTAGAAACTGTAACTGGATATTTGGATAGCTCTAACGATTTCGTTGGAAACGGGAATATGATCATCTAAAATCTAGACAGAAAGCACTATTAGAAACTACTTGGTGATATCTGCATTCAAGTCACAGAGTTGAACATTCCCTTACTTTGAGCACGTTTGAAACACTCTTTTGGAAGAATCTGGAAGTGGACATTTGGAGCGCTTTGATGCCTTTGGTGAAAAGGAAACGTCTTCCAATAAAAGCCAGACAGAAGCATTCTCAGAAACTTGTTTGTGATGTGTGTACTCAACTAAAAGAGTTGAACCTTTCTATTGATAGAGCAGTTTTGAAACACTCTTTTTGTGGATTCTGCAAGTGGATATTTGGATTGCTTTGAGGATTTCGTTGGAAGCGGGAATTCGTATAAAAACTAGACAGCAGCATTCCCAGAAATTTCTTTCGGATATTTCCATTCGACTCATAGAGATGAACATGGCCTTTCATAGAGCAGGTTTGAAACACTCTTTTTGTAGTTTGTGGAAGTGGACATTTTGATCGCCTTGACGCCTACGGTGAAAAAGGAAATATCTTCCCATAAAAAATAGACAGAAGCATTCTCAGAAACTTGTTGGTGATATGTGTCCTCAACTAACAGAGTTGAACTTTGCCATTGATAGAGAGCAGTTTTAAAACACTCTTTGTGTGGAATCTGCAAGTGGATATTTGGATAGCTTGGAGGATTTCGTTGGAAGCGGGAATTCAAATAAAAGGTAGACAGCAGCATTCTCAGAAATATCTTTCTGATGTCTGCATTCAACTCATAGAGTTGAAGATTCCCTTTCATAGAGCAGGTTTGAAACACTCTTTCTGGAGTATCTGGATGTGGACATTTGGAGCGCTTTGATGCCTACGGTGAAAAAGTAAATATCTTCCCATAAAAAGGAGACAGAAGGATTCTGAGAAACAAGTTTGTGATGTGTGTACTCAGCTAACAGAGTGGAACCTCTCTTTTGATGCAGCAGTTTGGAAACACTCTTTTTGTAGAAACTGTAAGTGGATATTTGGATAGCTCTAATCATTTCGTTGGAAACGGGAATATCATCATCTAAAATCTAGACAGAAGCACTCTCAGAAACTACTTTGTGATATGTGCATTCAAGTCACAGAGTTGAACATTCGCTTTCTTAGAGCACGTTGGAAACACTCTTTTTGTAGTGTCTGGAAGTGGACATTTGGAGCGCTTTGATGCCTTTGGTGAAAAAGGGAACGTCTTCCCATAAAAACTAGACAGAAGCATTCTCAGAAACTTGTTTGTGATGTGTGTACCCAGCCAAAGGAGTTGAACATTTCTATTGATAGAGCAGTTTTGAAACACTCGTTTTGTGGAAAATGCAGGTGGATATTTGGATAGCTTGGAGGATTTCGTTGGAAGCGGGAATTCAAATAAAAGGTAGACAGCAGCATTCTCAGAAATTACTTTCTGATGTCTGCATTCAACTCATAGAGTTGAAGATTCCCTTTCATAGAGCAGGTTTGAAACACTCTTTCTGTAGTATCTGGATGTGGACATTTGGAGCGCTTTGATATCTACGGTGAAAAAGTAAATATCTTCCCATAAAAACTAGACAGAAGGATTCTCAGAAACAAGTTTGTGATGTGTGTACTCAGCTAACAGAGTGGAACCTTTCTTTTTACAGAGCAGCTTTCAAACTCTATTTTTGTGGATTCTGCAAATTGATATTTAGATTGCTTTAACGATATCGTTGGAAAAGGGAATATTGTCATACAAAATCTGGACAGAAGCTTTCTCAGAAACTTCGTTGTGATGTGTGTCCTCAAGTAACAGAGTTGAACCTTTCTTTAGATGCAGCAGTTTGGAAACACTCTTTTTGTAGAAACTGTAAGTGGATATTTGGGTAGGTCTAACGATATCGTTGGAAACGGGAATATCTTCATCTAAAGTATACACAGAAGCACTATTAGAAACTACTTGGTGATATCTGCATTAAAGTCAAAGAGTTGAACATTCCCTTACTTTGAGCACGTTTGAAACACTCTTTTGGAAGAATCTGGAAGTGGACATTTGGAGCGCTTTGATGCCTTTGGTGAAAAGGAAACGTCTTCCAATAAAAGCCAGACAGAAGCATTCTCAGAAACTTGTTTGTGATGTGTGTACTCAACTAAAAGAGTTGAACCTTTCTATTGATAGAGCAGTTTTGAAACACTCTTTTTGTGGATTCTGCAAGTGGATATTTGGATTGCTTTGAGGATTTCGTTGGAAGCGGGAATTCGTATAAAAACTAGACAGCAGCATTCCCAGAAATTTCTTTCGGATATTTCCATTCGACTCATAGAAATGAACATGGCCTTTCATAGAGCAAGTTTGAAACACTCTTTTTGTAGTTTGTGGAAGTGGACATTTCGATCGCCTTGACGCCTACGGTGAAAAAGGAAATATCTTCCCATAAAAAATAGACAGAAGCATTCTCAGAAACTTGTTGGTGATATGTGTCCTCAACTAACAGAGTTGAACTTTGCCATTGATAGAGAGCAGTTTTGAAACACTCTTTTTGTGGAATCTGCAAGTGGATATTTGGATAGCTTGGAGGATTTCGTTGGAAGCGGGAATTCAAATAAAAGGTAGACAGCAGCATTCTGAGAAATTTCTTTCTGATGTCTGCATTCAACTCATAGAGTTGAAGATTCCCTTTCATAGAGCAGGTTTGAAACACTCTTTCTGTAGTATCTGGATGTGGACATTTGGAGCGCTTTGATGCCTACGGTGAAAAAGTATAATCTTCCCATAAAAACGAGACAGAAGGATTCTCAGAAACAAGTTTGTGATGTGTGTACTCAGCTAACAGAGTGGAACCTCTCTTTTGATGCAGCAGTTTGGAAACACTCTTTTTGTAGAAACTGTAAGTGGATATTTGGATAGCTCTAATGATTTCGTTGGAAACGGGAATATCATCTAAAATCGAGACAGAAGCAGTCTCAGAAACTACTTTGTGATATCTGCATTCCAGTCACATAGTTGAAAACTCTCTTACTTAGAGCAGGTTTGAAACACTCTTTTTGTAGAATCTGGAAGTGGACATTTGGAGCGCTTTGATGCCTTTGGTGAAAAAGGAAATGTCTTCCCTTAAAAAGTAGACAGAAGCATTCTCAGAAACTTGTTTGTGATGTGTGCACCCAGCTAAAGGAGTTGAACATTTCTATTGATAGAGCAGTTTTGAAGCACTCTTTTTGTGGAAAATGCAAGTGGATATTTGGATAGCTTGGAGGATTTCGTTGGAAGCGGGAGTTCAAATAAAAGGTAGACAGCAGCATTCTCAGAAATTTCTTTCTGATGTCTGCATTCAACTCATAGAGTTGAAGATTCCCTTTCATAGAGCAGGTTTGAAACACTCTTTCTGGAGTATCTGTATGTGGACATTTGGAGCGCTTTGATGCCTACGGTGAAAAAGTAAATATCTTCCCATAAAAACGAGACAGAAGGATTCTCAGAAACAAGTTTGTGATGTGTGTACTCAGCTAACAGAGTGGAACCTTTCTTTTTACAGAGCAGCTTTGAAACTCTATTGTTGTGGATTCTGCAAATTGATATTTAGATTGCTTTAACGATATCGTTGGAAAAGGGAATACCGTCATACAAAATCTAGACAGAAGCATTCTCACAAACTTCTTTGTGATGTGTGTCCTCAACTAACAGAGTTGAACCTTTCTTTTGATGCAGCAATTTGGAAGCACCCTTTTGATAGAAACTGTAACTGGATATTTGGATAGCTCTAACGATTTCGTTGGAAACGGGAATATCATCATCTAAAATCTAGACAGAAGCACTATTAGAAACTACTTGGTGATATCTGCATTCAAGTCACAGAGTTGAACATTCCCTTACTTCGAGCACGTTTGAAACACTCTTTTGGAAGAATCTGGAAGTGGACATTTGGAGCGCTTTGATGCCTTTGGTGAAAAGGAAACGTCTTCCAATAAAAGCCAGACAGAAGCATTCTCAGAAACTTGTTTGTGATGTGTGTACTCAACTAAAAGAGTTGAACCTTTCTATTGATAGAGCAGTTTTGAAACACTCTTTTTGTGGATTCTGCAAGTGGATATTTGGATTGCGTTGAGGATTTCGTTGGAAGCGGGAATTCGTATAAAAACTAGACAGCAGCATTCCCAGAAATTTCTTTCGGATATTTCCATTCAACTCATAGAGATGAACATGGCCTTTCATAGAGCAGGTTTGAAACACTCTTTTTGTAGTTTGTGGAAGTGGACATTTCGATCGCCTTGACGCCTACGCTGAAAAAGGAAATATCTTCCCATAAAAAATAGACAGAAGCATTCTCAGAAACTTGTTGGTGATATGTGTCCTCAACTAACAGAGTTGAACTTTGCCATTGATAGAGAGCAGTTTTGAAACACTCTTTTTGTGGAATCTGCAAGTGGATATTTGGATAGCTTGGAGGATTTCGTTGGAAGCGGGAATTCAAATAAAAGATAGACAGCAGCATTCTCAGAAATTTCTTTCTGATGTCTGCATTCAACTCATAGAGTTGAAGATTCCCTTTCATAGAGCAGGTTTGAAACACTCTTTCTGGAGTATCTGGATGTGGACATTTGGAGCGCTTTGATGCCTACGGTGGAAAAGTAAATATCTTCCCATAAAAACGAGACAGAAGGATTCTGAGAAACAAGTTTGTGATGTGTGTACTCGGCTAACAGAGTGGAACCTCTCTTTTGATGCAGCAGTTTGGAAACACTCTTTTTGTAGAAACTGTAAGTGGATATTTGGATAGCTCTAATGATTTCTTTGGAAACGGGAATATCATCATCTAAAATCTAGACAGAAGCACTCTCAGAAACTACTTTGTGATATCTGCATTCAAGTCACAGAGTTGAACATTCGCTTTCTTAGAGCACGTTTGAAACACTCTTTTTGTAGTGTCTGGAAGTGGACATTTGGAGCGCTTTGATGCCTTTGGTGAAAAAGGGAACGTCTTCCCATAAAAACTAGACAGAAGCATTCTCAGAAACTTGTTTGTGATGTGTGTACCCAGCCAAAGGAGTTGAACATTTCTATTGATAGAGCAGTTTTGGAACACTCTTGTTGTGGAAAATGCAGGTGGATATTTGGATAGCTTGGAGGATTTCGTTGGAAGCGGGAATTCAAATAAAAGGTAGACAGCAGCATTCTCAGAAATTTCTTTCTGATGTCTGCATTCAACTCATAGAGTTGAAGATTCCCTTTCATAGAGCAGGTTTGAAACACTCGTTCTGGGGTATCTGGATGTGGACATTTGGAGCGCTTTGATGCCTACGGTGGAAAAGTAAATATCTTCCCATAAAAACGAGACAGAAGGATTCTCAGAAACAAGTTTGTGATGTGTGTACTCAGCTAACAGAGTGGAACCTTTATTTTTACAGAGCAGCTTTGAAACTCTATTTTTGTGGATTCTGCAAATTGATATTTAGATTGCTTTAACGATATTGTTGGAAAAGGGAATATCGTCATACAAAATCTAGACAGAAGCATTCTCACAAACTTCTTTGTGATGTGTGTCCTCAACTAACAGAGTTGAACCTTTCTTTTGATGCAGCAATTTGGAAACACCCTTTTGGTAGAAACTGTAACTGGATATTTGCTTAGCTCTAACGATTTCGTTGGAAACGGGAATATCATCATCTGAAATCTAGACAGAAGCACTATTAGAAACTACTTGGTGATATCTGCATTCAAGTCACAGAGTTGAACATTCCCTTACTTTGAGCACGTTTGAAACACTCTTTTGGAAGAATCTGGAAGTGGACATTTGGAGCGCTTTGATGCCTTTGGTGAAAAGGAAACGTCTTCCAATAAAAGCCAGACAGAAGCATTCTCAGAAACTTGTTCGTGATGTGTGTACTCAACTAAAAGAGTTGAACCTTTCTATTGATAGAGCAGTTTTGAAACACTCTTTTTGTGGATTCTGCAAGTGGATATTTGGATTGCTTTGAGGATTTCGTTGGAAGCGGGAATTCGTATAAACACTAGACAACAGCATTCCCAGAAATTTCTTTCGGATATTTCCATTCAACTCATAGAGATGAACATGGCCTTTCATAGAGCAGGTTTGAAACACTCTTTTTGTAGTTTGTGGAAGTGGACATTTCGATCGCCTTGACGCCTACGGTGAAAAAGGAAATATCTTCCCATAAAAAATAGACAGAAGCATTCTCAGAAACTTGTTGGTGATATGTGTCCTCAACTAACAGAGTTGAACTTTGCCATTGATAGAGAGCAGTTTTGAAACACTCTTTTTGTGGAATCTGCAAGTGGATATTTGGATAGCTTGGAGGATTTCGTAGGAAGCGGGAATTCAAATAAAAGGTAGACAGCAGCATTCTCAGAAATTTCTTTCTGATGTCTGCATTCAACTCATAGAGTTGAAGATTTCCTTTCATAGAGCAGGTTTGAAACACTCTTTCTGGAGTATCTGGATGTGGACATTTGGAGCGCTTTGATGCCTACGGTGAAAAAGTAAATATCTTCCCATAAAAACGAGACAGAAGGATTCTCAGAAACAAGTTTGTGATGTGTGTACTCAGCTAACAGAGTGGAACCTCTCTTTTGATGCAGCAGTTTGGAAACACTCTTTTTGTAAAAACTGTAAGTGGATATTTGGATAGCTCTAATGATTTCGTTGGAAACGGGAATATCATCATCTAAAATCTAGACAGAAGCCCTCTCAGAAACTACTTTGTGATATCTGCATTCAAGTCACAGAGTTGAACATTCGCTTTCTTAGAGCACGTTTGAAACACTCTTTTTGTAGTGTCTGGAAGTGGACATTTGGAGCGCTTTGATGTCTTTGGTGAAAAAGGGAATGTCTTCCCATAAAAACTAGACAGAAGCATTCTCAGAAACTTGTTTGTGATGTGTGTACCCAGCCAAAGGAGTTGAACATTTCTATTGATAGAGCAGTTTTGAAACACTCTTGTTGTGGAAAATGCAGGTGGATATTTGAATAGCTTGGAGGATTTCGTTGGAAGCGGGAATTCAAATAAAAGGTAGACAGCAGCATTCTCAGAAATTTCTTTCTGATGTCTGCATTCAACTCATAGAGTTGAAGATTCCCTTTCATAGAGCAGGTTTGAAACACTCTTTCTGGAGTATCTGGATGTGGACATTTCGAGCGCTTTGATGCCTACGGTGAAAAAGTAAATATCTTCCCATAAAAACGAGACAGAGAAGGATTCTGAGAAACAAGTTTGTGATGTGTGTACTCAGCTAACAGAGTGGAACCTTTCTTTTTACAGAGCAGCTTTGAAACTCTATTTTTGTGGATTCTGCAAATGGATATTTAGATTGCTTTAACGATATCGTTGGAAAAGGGAATATCGTCATACAAAATCTAGACAGAAGCTTTCTCAGAAACTTCTTTGTGATGTGTGTCCTCAACTCACAGATTTGAACCTTTCTTTAGATGCAGCACTTTGGAAACACTCTTTTTGTAGAAACTGTAAGTGGATATTTGGGTAGGTCTAACGATATCGTTGGAAACGGGAATATCTTCATCTGAAGTATACACAGAAGCACTATTAGAAACTACTTGGTGATATCTGCATTCAAGTCACAGAGTTGAACATTCCCTTACTTTGAGCACGTTTCAAACACTCTTTTGGAAGAATCTGGAAGTGGACATTTGGAGCGCTTTGATGCCTTTGGTGAAAAGGAAACGTCTTCCCATAAAAGCCAGACAGAAGCATTCTCAGAAACTTGTTTGTGATGTGTGTACTCAACTAAAAGAGTTGAACCTTTCTATTGATAGAGCAGTTTTGAAACACTCTTTTTGTGGATTCTGCAAGTGGATATTTGGATTGCTTTGAGGATTTCGTTGGAAGCGGGAATTCGTATAAAAACTAGACAGCAGCATTCCCAGAAATTTCTTTCGGATATTTCCATTCGACTCACAGAGATGAACATGGCCTTTCATAGAGCAGGTTTGAAACACTCTTTTTGTAGTTTGTGGAAGTGGACATTTCGATCGCCTTGACGCCTACGGTGAAAAAGGAAATATCTTCCCATAAAAAATAGACAGAAGCATTCTCAGAAACTTGTTGGTGATATGTGTCCTCAACTAACAGAGTTGAACTTTGCCATTGATAGAGAGCAGTTTTGAAACACTCTTTTTGTGGAATCTGCAAGTGGATATTTGGATAGCTTGGAGGATTTCGTTGGAAGCGGGAATTCAAATAAAAGGTAGACAGCAGGATTCTGAGAAACAAATTTGTGATGTGTGTACTCAGCTAACAGAGTGGAACCTCTCTTTTGATGCAGCAGTTTGGAAACACTCTTTTTGTAGAAACTGTAAGTGGATATTTGGAAGCCCTAATGATTTTGTTGGAAACGGGATTATCATCATCTAAAATCTAGACAGAAGCCCTCTCAGAAACTACTTTGTGATATCTGCATTCAAGTCACAGAGTTGAACATTCACTTTCTTAGAGCACGTTGGAAACACTCTTTTTGTAGTGTCTGGAAGTGGACATTTGGAGTGCTTTGATGCCTTTGGTGAAAAAGGGAATGTCTTCCCATAAAAACTAGACAGAAGCATTCTCAGAAACTTGTTTGTGATGTGTGTACCCAGACAAAGGAGTTGAACATTTCTATTGATAGAGCAGTTTTGAAACACTCTTGTTGTGGAAAATGCAGGTGGATATTTGGATAGCTTGGAGGATTTCGTTGGAAGCGGGAATTCAAATAAAAGGTAGACAGCAGTATTCTCAGAAATTTCTTTCTGATGTCTGCATTCAACTCATAGAGTTGAAGATTCCCTTTCATAGAGCAGGTTTGAAACACTCTTTCTGGAGTATCTGGATGTGGACATTTGGAGCGCTTTGATGCCTACGGTGAAAAAGTAAATATCTTCCCATAAAAACGAGACAGAAGGATTCTGAGAGACAAGTTTGTGATGTGTGTACTCAGCTAACAGAGTGGAACCTTTCTTTTTACAGAGCAGCTTTGAAACTCTATTTTTGTGGATTCTGCAAATGGATATTTAGATTGCTTTAACGATATCGTTGGAAAAGGGAATATCGTCATACAAAAACGGACAGAAGCATTCTCACAAACTTCTTTGTGACGTGTGTCCTCAACTAACAGAGTTGAACCTTTCTTTTGATGCAGCAGTTTGGAAACACTGTTTTTGTAGCAACTGTAAGTGGATATTTGGATAGCTCTAACGATTTCGTTGGAAACGGGAATATCATCATCTAAATTCTAGACAGAAGCACTATTAGAAACTACTTGGTGATATCTGCATTCAAGTCACAGAGTTGAACATTCCCTTACTTTGAGCACGTTTCAAACACTCTTTTAGAAGAATCTGGAAGTGGACATTTGGAGCGCTTTGATGCCTTTGGTGAAAAGGAAACGTCTTCCAATAAAAGCCAGACAGAAGCATTCTCAGAAACTTGTTTGTGATGTGTGTACTCAACTAAAAGAGTTGAACCTTTCTATTGATAGAGCAGTTTTGAAACACTCTTTTTGTGGATTCTGCAAGTGGATATTTGGATTGCTTTGAGGATTTCGTTGGAAGCGGGAATTCGTATAAAAACTAGACAGCAGCATTCCCAGAAATTTCTTTCGGATATTTCCATTCGACTCATAGAGATGAACATGGCCTTTCATAGAGCAGGTTTGAAACACTCTTTTTGTAGTTTGTGGAAGTGGACATTTCGATCGCCTTGACGCCTACGGTGAAAAAGGAAATGTCTTCCCATAAAAAATTGAAGAAGCATTCTCAGAAACTTGTTGGTGATATGTGTCCTCAACTAACAGAGTTGAACTTTGCCATTGATAGAGAGCAGTTTTGAAACACTCTTTTTGTGGAATCTGCAAGTGGATATTTGGATAGCTTGGAGGATTTCGTTGGAAGCGGGAATTCAAATAAAAGGTAGACAGCAGCATTCTCAGAAATTTCTTTCTGATGTCTGCATTCAACTCATAGAGTTGAAGATTCCCTTTCATAGAGCAGGTTTGAAACACTCTTTCTGGAGTTTCTGGATGTGGACATTTGGAGCGCTTTGATGCCTACGGTGAAAAAGTAAATATCTTCCCAGAAAAACGAGACAGAGAAGGATTCTGAGAAACAAGTTTGTGATGTGTGTACTCAGCTAACAGAGTGGAACCTTTCTTTTTACAGAGCAGCTTTGAAACTCTATTTTTGTGGATTCTGCAAATGGATATTTAGATTGCTTTAATGATATCGCTGGAAAAGGGAATATGGTCATACAAAATCTAGACAGAAGCATTCTCACAAACTTCTTTGTGATGTGTGTCCTCAACTAACAGAGTTGAACCTTTCTTTTGATGCAGCAGTTTGGAAACACTGTTTTTGTAGCAACTGTAAGTGGATATTTGGATAGCTCTAACGATTTCGTTGGAAACGGGAATATCATCATCTAAAATCTAGACAGAAGCACTATTAGAAACTACTTGGTGATATCTGCATTCAAGTCACAGAGTTGAACATTCCCTTACTTTGAGCACGTTTCAAACACTCTTTTGGAAGAATCTGGAAGTGGACATTTGGAGCGCTTTGATGCCTTTGGTGAAAAGGAAACGTCTTCCAAAAAAAGCCAGACAGAAGCATTCTCAGAAACTTGTTCGTGATGTGTGTACTCAACTAAAAGAGTTGAACCTTTCTATTGATAGTGCAGTTTTGAAACACTCTTTTTGTGAATTCTGCAAGTGGATATTTGGATTGCTTTGAGGATTTCGTTGGAAGCGGGAATTCGTATAAACACTAGACAGCAGCATTCCCAGAAATTTCTTTCGGATATTTCCATTCGACTCATAGAGATGAACATGGCCTTTCATAGAGCAGGTTTGAAACACTCTTTTTGTAGTTTGTGGAAGTGGACATTTCGATCGCCTTGACGCCTACGGTGAAAAAGGAAATATCTTCCCATAAAAAATAGACAGAAGCATTCTCAGAAACTTGTTGGTGATATGTGTCCTCAACTAACAGAGTTGAACTTTGCCATTGACAGAGAGCAGTTTTGAAACACTCTTTTTGTGGAATCTGCAAGTGGATATTTGGATAGCTTGGAGGATTTCGTTGGAAGCGGGAATTCAAATAAAAGGTAGACAGCAGCATTCTCAGAAATTTCTTTCTGATGTCTGCATTCAACTCATAGAGTTGAAGATTCCCTTTCATAGAGCACGTTTGAAACACTCTTTCTGGAGTATCTGGATGTGGACATTTGGAGCGCTTTGATGCCTACGGTGAAAAAGTAAATATCTTCCCATAAAAACGAGACAGAAGGATTCTGAGAAACAAGTTTGTGATGTGTGTACTCAGCTAACAGACTGGAACCTCTCTTTTGATGCAGCAGTTTGGAAACACTCTTTTTGTAGAAACTGTAAGTGGATATTTGGATAGCTCTAATGATTCCGTTGGAAACGGGAATATCATCATCTAAAATCTAGACAGAAGCCCTCTCAGAAACTACTTTGTGATATCTGCATTCAAGTCACAGAGTTGAACATTCGCTTTCTTAGAGCACGTTTGAAACACTCTTTTTGTAGTGTCTGGAAGTGGAGATTTGGAGCGCTTTGATGCCTTTGGTGAAAAAGGGAACGTCTTCCCATAAAAACTAGACAGAAGCATTCTCAGAAACTTGTTTGTGATGTGTGTACCCAGCCAAAGGAGTTGAACATTTCTATTGATAGAGCAGTTTTGAAACACTCTTGTTGTGGAAAATGCAAGTGGATATTTGGATAGCTTGGAGGATTTCGTTGGAAGCGGGAATTCAAATAAAAGGTAGACAGCAGCATTCTCAGAAATTTCTTTCTGATGTCTGCATTCAACTCATAGAGTTGAAGATTCCCTTTCATAGAGTAGGTTTGAAACACTCGTTCTGGAGTATCTGGATGTGGACATTTGGAGCGCTTTGATGCCTACGGTGGAAAAGTAAATATCTTCCCATAAAAACGAGACAGAAAGGATTCTGAGAAACAAGTTTGTGATGTGTGTACTCAGCTAACAGAAGTGGAACCTTTCTTTTTACAGAGCAGCTTTGAAACTCTATTTTTGTGGATTCTGCAAATTGATATTTAGATTGCTTTAACGATATCGTTGGAAAAGGGAATATCGTCATACAAAACCTAGACAGAAGCATTCTCACAAACTTCTTTGTGATGTGTGTCCTCAACTAACAGAGTTGAACCTTTCTTTTGATGCAGCAATTTGGAAACACCCTTTTGGTAGAAACTGTAACTGGATATTTGGATAGCTCTAACGATTTCGTTGGAAACGGGAATATCATCATCTAAAATGTAGGCAGAAGCACTATTAGAAACTACTTGGTGATATCTGCATTCAAGTCACAGAGTTGAACATTCCCTTACTTGGAGCACGTTTGAAACACTCTTTTGGAAGAATCTGGAAGTGGACATTTGGAGCGCTTTGATGCCTTTGGTGAAAAGGAAACGTCTTCCAATAAAAGCCAGACAGAAGCATTCTGAGAAACTTGTTCGTGATGTGTGTACTCAACTAAAAGAGTTGAACCTTTCTATTGATAGAGCAGTTTTGAAACACTCTTTTTGTGGATTCTGCAAGTGGATATTTGGATTGCTTTGAGGATTTCGTTGGAAGCGGGAATTCGTATAAACACTAGACAGCAGCATTCCCAGAAATTTCTTTCGGATATTTCCATTCAACTCATAGAGATGAACATGGCCTTTCATAGAGCAGGTTTGAAACACTCTTTTTGTAGTTTGTGGAAGTGGACATTTCGATCGCCTTGACGCCTACGGTGAAAAAGGAAATATCTTCCCATAAAAAATAGACAGAAGCATTCTCAGAAACTTGTTGGTGATATGTGTCCTCAACTAACAGAGTTGAACTTTGCCATTGATAGAGAGCAGTTTTGAAACACTCTTTTTGTGGAATCTGCAAGTGGATATTTGGATAGCTTGGAGGATTTCGTTGGAAGCGGGAATTCAAATAAAAGACAGCAGCATTCTCAGAAATTTCTTTCTGATGTCTGCATTCAACTCATAGAGTTGAACATTCCCTTTCATAGAGCAGGTTTGAAACACTCTTTCTGGAGTATCTGGATGTGGACATTTGGAGCGCTTTTATGCCTACGGTGAAAAAGTAAATATCTTCCCATAAAAACGAGACAGAAGGATTCTGAGAAACAAGTTTGTGATGTGTGTACTCAGCTAACAGAGTGGAACCTCTCTTTTGATGCAGCAGTTTGGAAACACTCTTTTTGTAGAAACTGTAAGTGGATATTTGGATAGCTCTAATGATTTCTTTGGAAACGGTAATATCATCATCTAAAATCTAGACAGAAGCCCTCTCAGAAACTACTTTGTGATATCTGCATTGAAGTCACAGAGTTGAACATTCGCTTTCTTAGAGCACGTTGGAAACACTCTTTTTGTAGTGTCTGGAAGTGGACATTTGGAGCGCTTTGATGCCTTTGGTGAAAAAGGGAATGTCTTCCCATAAAAACTAGACAGAAGCATTCTCAGAAACTTGTTTGTGATGTGTGTACCCAGCTAAAGGAGTTGAACATTTCTATTGATAGAGCAGTTTCGAAACACTCTTTTTGTGGAAAATGCAGGTGGATATTTGGATAGCTTGGAGGATTTCGTTGGAAGCGGGAATTCAAATAAAAGGTAGACAGCAGCATTCTCAGAAATTTCTTTCTGATGTCTGCATTCAACTCATAGAGTTGAACATTCCCTTTCATAGAGCAGGTTTGAAACACTCTTTCTGGAGTATCTGGATGTGGACATTTGGAGCGCTTTGATTCCTACGGTGAAAAAGTAAATATCTTCCCATAAAAACGAGACAGAAGGATTCTGAGAGACAAGTTTGTGATGTGTGTACTCAGCTAACAGAGTGGAACCTTTCTTTTTACAGAGCAGCTTTGAAACTCTATTTTTGTGGATTCTGCAAATGGATATTTAGATTGCTTTAATGATATCGTTGGAAAAGGGAATATCGTCATACAAAATCTGGACAGAAGCATTCTCACAAACTTCTTTGTGATGTGTGTCCTCAACTAACAGAGTTGAACCTTTCTTTTGATGCAGCAGTTTGGAAACACTCTTTTTGTAGAAACTGTAAGTGGATAATTGGATAGCTGTAACGATTTCGTTGGAAACGGGAATATCGTCATCTAAAATTTAGACAGAAGCACTATTAGAAACTACTTGGTGATATCTGCATTCAAGTCAAAGAGTTGAACATTCCCTTACTTTGAGCACGTTTGAAACACTCTTTTGGAAGAATCTGGAAGTGGACATTTGGAGCGCTTTGATGCCTTTGGTGAAAAGGAAACGTCTTCCAATAAAAGCCAGACAGAAGCATTCTCAGAAACTTGTTCTTGACGTGTGTACTCAACTAAAAGAGTTGAACCTTTCTATTGATAGAGCAGTTTTGAAACACTCTTTTTGTGGATTCTGCAAGTGGATATTTGGATTGCTTTGAGGATTTCGTTGGAAGCGGGAATTCGTATAACAACTAGACAGCAGCATTCCCAGAAATTTCTTTCGGATATTTCCATTCGACTCATAGAGATGAACATGGCCTTTCATAGAGCAGGTTTGAAACACTCTTTTTGTAGTTTGTGGAAGTGGACATTTCGATCGCCTTGACGCCTACGGCGAAAAAGGAAATATCTTCCCATAAAAAATAGACAGAAGAATTCTCAGAAACTTGTTTGTGATGTGAATCCTCAACTGACAGAGGTGAACCTTGCCATTGATAGAGCAGTTTAGAAACACTCTTTTTGTGGAATCTGCATGTGGATATTTGGATAGCCTGGAGGATTTCGTTGGAAGCGGGAATTCAAATGAAAGGTAGACAGCAGCATTCTCAGAAATTTCTTTGTGATGTTTGCATTCAACTCATAGAGTTGAACATTCCCTTTCATAGAGCAGGTTTGAAACACTCTTTCTGTACTATCTGGATGTGGACATTGGGAACGCTTTGATGCCTATGGTGAAAAAGAAAATATCTTCCCATAAAAGCTAGACAGAAGGATTCTCAGAAACATGTTTGTGATGTGTGTCCTCAGCTAACAGAGTGGAACCTCTCTTTTGATGCAGCACTTTGGAAACTCTCTTTTTGTAGAAACTGTAAGTGGATATTTGGATAGCTCTAATGATTTCATTGGAAACGGGAATATCATCATCTAAAATCTAGACAGAAGCCCTCTCAGAAACTACTTTGTGATATCTGCATTCAAGTCACAGAGTTGAACATTCGCTTTCTTAGAGCACGTTTGAAACACTCTTTTTGTAGTGTCTGAAAGTGGACCTTTGGAGCGCTCTGATGCCTTTGGTGAAAAAGGGAATGTCTTCCCATAAAAACTAGACAGAAGCATTCTCAGGAAACTTGTTTGTGATGTGTGTACCCAGCTAATGGAGTTGAACATTTCTATTGATAGAGCAGTTTTGAAACACTCTTTTTGTGGAAAATGCAAGTGGATATTTGGATAGCTTGGAGGATTTCGTTGGAAGCGGGAATTCAAATAAAAGGTAGACAGCAGCATTCTCAGAAATTTCTTTCTGATGTCTGCATTCAACTCATAGAGTTGAAGATTCCCTTTCATTGAGTAGGTTTGAAACACTCGTTCTGGAGTATATGGATGTGGACATTTGGAGCGCTTTGATGCCTACGGTGGAAAAGTAAATATCTTCCCATAAAAACGAGACAGAAGGTATTCTGAGCAAACAAGTTTGTGATGTGTGTACTCAGCTAACAGAGTGGAACCTTTCTTTTTACAGAGCAGCTTTGAAACTCTATTTTTGTGGATTCTGCAAATGGATATTTAGATTGCTTTAATGATATCGCTGGAAAAGGGAATATGGTCATACAAAATCTAGACAGAAGCATTCTCACAAACTTCTTTGTGATGTGTGTCCTCAACTAACAGAGTTGAACCTTTCTTTTGATGCAGCAATTTGGAAACACCCTTTTGGTAGAAACTGTAACTGGATATTTGGATAGCTCTAACGATTTCCTTGGAAACGGGAATATCATCATCTAAAATCTAGACAGAAGCACTATTAGAAACTACTTGGTGATATCTGCATTCAAGTCACAGAGTTGAACATTCCCTTACTTTGAGCACGTTTGAAACACTCTTTTGGAAGAATCTGGAAGTGGACATTTGGAGCGCTTTGATGCCTTTGGTGAAAAGGAAACGTCTTCCAATAAAAGCCAGACAGAAGCATTCTCAGAAACTTGTTGGTGATGTGTGTACTCAACTAAAAGAGTTGAACCTTTCTATTGATAGAGCAGTTTTGAAACACTCTTTTTGTGGATTCTGCAAGTGGATATTTGGATTGCTTTGAGGATTTCGTTGGAAGCGGGAATTCGTATAAACACTAGACAGCAGCATTCCCAGAAATTTCTTTCGGATATTTCCATTCAACTCATAGAGATGAACATGGCCTTTCATAGAGCAGGTTTGAAACACTCTTTTTGTAGTTTGTGGAAGTGGACATTTCGATCGCCTTGACGCCTACGGTGAAAAAGGAAATATCTTCCCATGAAAAATAGACAGAAGCATTCTCAGAAACTTGTTGGTGATATGTGTCCTCAACTAACAGAGTTGAACTTTGCCATTGATAGAGAGCAGTTTTGAAACACTCTTTTTGTGGAATCTGCAAGTGGATATTTGGATAGCTTGGAGGATTTCGTTGGAAGCGGGAATTCAAATAAAAGGTAGACAGCAGCATTCTCAGAAATTTCTTTCTGATGTCTGCATTCAACTCATAGAGTTGAAGATTCCCTTTCATAGAGCAGGTTTGAAACACTCTTTCTGGAGTATCTGGATGTGGACATTTGGAGCGCTTTGATGCCTACGGTGAAAAAGTATAATCTTCCCATAAAAACGAGACAGAAGGATTCTGAGAAAAAAGTTTGTGATGTGTGTACTCAGCTAACAGAGTGGAACCTCTCTTTTGATGCAGCAGTTTGGAAACACTCTTTTTGTAGAAACTGTAAGTGGATATTTGGATAGCTGTAATGATTTCGTTGGAAACGGGAATATCATCATCTAAAATCTAGACAGAAGCCCTCTCAGAAACTACTTTGTGATATCTGCATTCAAGTCACAGAGTTGAACATTCGGTTTCTTAGAGCACGTTTGAAACACTCTTTTTGTAGTGTCTGGAAGTGGACATTTGGAGCGCTTTGATGCCTTTGGTGAAAAAGGGAATGTCTTCCCATAAAAACTAGACAGAAGCATTCTCAGAAACTTGTTTGTGATGTGTGTACCCAGCTAATGGAGTTGAACATTTCTATTGATAGAGCAGTTTTGAAACACTCTTTTTGTGGAAAATGCAAGTGGATATTTGGATAGCTTGGAGGATTTCGTTGGAAGCGGGAATTCAAATAAAAGGTAGACAGCAGCATTCTCAGAAATTTCTTTCTGATGTCTGCATTCAACTCATAGAGTTGAAGATTCCCTTTCATAGAGCAGGTTTGAAACACTCTTTCTGGAGTATCTGGATGTGTACATTTGGAGCGCTTTGATGCCTACGGTGAAAAAGTAAATATCTTCCCAGAAAAACGAGACAGAAGGATTCTGAGAAACAAGTTTGTGATGTGTGTACTCAGCTAACAGAGTGGAACCTTTCTTTTTACAGAGCAGCTTTGAAACTCTATTTTTGTGGATTCTGCAAATTGATATTTAGATTGCTTTAACGATATCGTTGGAAAAGGGAATATTGTCATACAAAATCTGGACAGAAGCATTCTCACAAACTTCTTTGTGACGTGTGTCCTCAACTAACAGAGTTGAACCTTTCTTTTGATGCAGCAGTTTGGAAACACTCTTTTTGTAGAAACTGTAAGTGGATATTTGGATAGCTCTAACGATTTCGTTGGAAACGGGAATATCATCATCTAAAATGCTAGACAGAAGCACTATTAGAAACTACTTTGTGATATCTGCATTCAAGTCACAGAGTTGAAGATTCGCTTTCTTAGAGCACGTTGGAAACACTCTTTTTGTAGTGTCTGGAAGTGGACATTTGGAGCGCTTTGATGCCTTTGGTGAAAAAGGGAATGTCTTCCCATAAAAACTAGACAGAAAGCATTCTCAGCAAACTTGTTTGTGATGTGTGTACCCAGCCAAAGGAGTTGAACATTTCTATTGATAGAGCAGTTTTGAAACGCTCTTTTTGTGGAAAATGCAGGTGGATATTTGGATAGCTTGGAGGATTTCGTTGGAAGCGGGAATTCAAATAAAAGGTAGACAGCAGCATTCCCAGAAATTTCTTTCGGATATTTCCATTCAACTCATAGAGATGAACATGGCCTTTCATATTGAAACACTCTTTTTGTAGTTTGTGGAAGTGGACATTTCGATCGCCTTGACGCCTACGGTGAAAAAGGAAATATCTTCCCATGAAAAATAGACAGAAGCATTCTCAGAAACTTGTTGGTGATATGTGTCCTCAACTAACAGAGTTGAACTTTGCCATTGATAGAGAGCAGTTTTGAAACACTCTTTTTGTGGAATCTGCAAGTGGATATTTGGATAGCTTGGAGGATTTCGTTGGAAGCGGGAATTCAAATAAAAGGTAGACAGCAGCATTCTCAGAAATTTCTTTCTGATGTCTGCATTCAACTCATAGAGTTGAAGATTCCCTTTCATAGAGCAGGTTTGAAACACTCTTTCTGGAGTATCTGGATGTGGACATTTGGAGCGCTTTGATACCTATGGTGAAAAAGTAAATATCTTCCCATAAAAACGAGACAGAAGGATTCTGAGAAACTAGTTTGTGATGTGTGTACTCAGCTAACAGAGTGGAACCTCTGTTTTGATGCAGCAGTTTGGAAACACTCTTTTTGTAGAAACTGTAAGTGGATATTTGGATAGCTCTGATGATTTCGTTGGAAACGGGAATATCATCATCTAAAATCTAGACAGAAGCACTCTCAGAAACTACTTTTTGATATCTGCATTCAAGTCACAGAGTTGAACATTCGGTTTCTTAGAGCACTTTTGAAACACTCTTTTTGTAGTATCTGGAAGTGGACATTTGGAGCTCTTTGATGCCTTTGGTGAAAAAGGAAATGTCTTCCCATAAAAACTAGACAGAAGCATTCTCAGAAACTTGTTTGTGATGTGTGCACCCAGCTAAAGGAGTTGAACATTTATTGATAGAGCAGTTTTGAAGCACTCTTTTTGTGGAAAATGCAAGTGGATATTTGGATAGTTTGGAGGATTTCGTTGGAAGCGGGAGTTCAAATAAAAGGTAGACAGCAGCATTCTCAGAAATTTCTTTGTGATGTTTGCATTCAACTCATAGAGTTGAACATTCCCTTTCATAGAGCAGGCTTGAAACACTCTTTCTGCACTATCTGGATGTGGACATTTGGAACGCTTTGATGCCTACGGTGAAAAAGTAAATATCTTCCCATAAAAACGAGACAGAAGGATTCTGAGAAACAAGTTTGTGATGTGTGTACTCAGCTAACAGAGTGGAACCTCTCTTTTGATGCAGCAGTTTGGAAACACTCTTTTTGTAGAAACTGTAAGTGGATATTTGGATAGCTCTAATGATTTCGTTGGAAACGGGAATATCATCATCTAAAGTCTAGACAGAAGCCCTCTCAGAAACTACTTTGTGATATCTGCATTCAAGTCACAGAGTTGAACATTCGCTTTCTTAGAGCACGTTTGAAACACTCTTTTTGTAGTGTCTGGAAGTGGACATTTGGAGCGCTTTGATTCCTTTGGTGAAAAAGGGAATGTCTACCCATAAAAACTACACAGAAGCATTCTCAGAAACTTGTTTGTGATGTGTGTACCCAGCCAAAGGGAGTTGAACATTTCTATTGATAGAGCAGTTTTGAAACACTCTTGTTGTGGAAAATGCAAGTGGATATTTGGATAGCTTGGAGGATTTCGTTGGAAGCGGGAATTCAAATAAAAGGTAGACAGCAGCATTCTCAGAAATTTCTTTCTGATGTCTGCATTCAACTGATAGAGTTGAAGATTCCCTTTCATAGAGCAGGTTTGAAACACTCGTTCTGGAGTATCTGGATGTGGACATTTGGAGCGCTTTGATGCCTACGGTGGAAAAGTAAATATCTTCCCATAAAAACGAGACAGAAGGATTCTGAGAAACAAGTTTGTGATGTGTGTACTCAGCTAACAGAGTGGAACCTTTCTTTTCACAGAGCAGCTTTGAAACTCTATTTTTGTGGATTCTGCAAATTGATATTTAGATTGCTTTAACGATATCGTTGGAAAAGGGAATATCGTCATACAAAATCTAGACAGAAGCATTCTCACAAACTTCTTTGTGATGTGTGTCCTCAACTAACAGAGTTGAACCTTTCTTTTGATGCAGCAATTTGGAAACACCCTTTTGGTAGAAACTGTAACTGCATATTTGGATAGCTCTAATGATTTCGTTGGAAACGGGAATATCATCATCTAAAATCTAGACAGAAGCACTATTAGAAACTACTTGGTGATATCTGCATTCAAGTCACAGAGTTGAACATTCCCTTACTTCGAGCACGTTTGAAACACTCTTTTGGAAGAATCTGGAAGTGGACATTTGGAGCCTTTTGATGCCTTTGGTGAAAAGGAAACGTCTTCCAATAAAAGCCAGACAGAAGCATTCTCAGAAACTTGTTCGTGATGTGTGTACTCAACTAAAAGAGTTGAACCTTTCTATTGATAGAGCAGTTTTGAAACACTCTTTTTGTGGATTCTGCAAGTGGATATTTGGATTGCTTTGAGGATTTCGTTGGAAGCGGGAATTCGTATAAACACTAGACAGCAGCATTCCCAGAAATTTCTTTCGGATATTTCCATTCAACTCATAGAGATGAACATGGCCTTTAATAGAGCAGGTTTGAAACACTCTTTTTGTAGTTTGTGGAAGTGGACATTTCGATCGCCTTGACGCCTACGGTGAAAAAGGAAATATCTTCCCATAAAAAATAGACAGAAGCATTCTCAGAAACTTGTTGGTGATATGTGTCCTCAACTAACAGAGTTGAACTTTGCCATTGATAGAGAGCAGTTTTGAAACACTCTTTTTGTGGAAAATGCAAGTGGATATTTGGATAGCTTGGAGGATTTCGTTGGAAGTGAGAATTCAAATAAAAGGTAGACAGCAGCATTCTCAGAAATTTCTTTCTGATGTCTGCATTCAACTCATAGAGTTGAAGATTCCCTTTCATAGAGCAGGTTTGAAACACTCTTTCTGGGGTATCTGGATGTGGACATTTGGAGCGCTTTGATGCCTACGGTGAAAAAGTAAATATCTTCCCATAAAAACGAGACAGAAGGATTCTGAGAAACAAGTTTGTGATGTGTGTACTCAGCTAACAGAGTGGAACCTCTCTTTTGATGCAGCAGTTTGGAAACACTCTTTTTGTAGAAACTGTAAGTGGATATTTGGATAGCTCTAATGATTTCGTTGGAAACGGGAATATCATCATTTAAAGTCTAGACAGAAGCCCTCTCAGAAACTACTTTGTGATATCTGCATTCAAGTCACAGAGTTGAACATTCGCTTTCTTAGAGCACGTTTGAAACACTCTTTTTGTAGTGTCTGGAAGTGGACATTTGGAGCGCTTTGATTCCTTTTGTGAAAAAGGGAATGTCTACCCATAAAAACTAGACAGAAGCATTCTCAGAAACTTGTTTGTGATGTGTGTACCCAGCTAAAGGATTTGAACATTTCTATTGATAGAGCAGTTTTGAAACACTCTTTTGGTGGAAAATGCAAGTGGATATTTGGATAGCTTGGAGGATTTCGTTGGAAGCGGGAATTCAAATAAAAGGTAGACAGCAGCATTCTCAGAAATTTCTTTCTGATGTCTGCATTCAACTCATAGAGTTGAAGATTCCCTTTCATAGAGCAGGTTTGAAACAGTCTTTCTGGAGTATCTGGATGTGGACATTTGGAGCGATGCCTACGGTGAAAAAGTAAATATCTTCCCATAAAAACGAGACAGAAGGATTCTGAGAAACAAGTTTGTGATGTGTGTACTCAGCTAACAGAGTGGAACCTTTCTTTTTACAGAGCAGCTTTGAAACTCTATTTTTGTGGATTCTGCAAATTGATATTTAGATTGCTTTAACGATATCGTTGGAAATGGGAATATCGTCATACAAAATCTGGACAGAAGCATTCTCACAAACTTCTTTGTGACGTGTGTCCTCAACTAACAGAGTTGAACCTTTCTTTTGATGCAGCAGTTTGGAAACACTCTTTTTGTAGCAACTGTAAGTGGATATTTGGATAGCTCTAACGATTTCGTTGGAAACGGGAATATCATCATCTAAAATCTAGACAGAAGCACTATTAGAAACTACTTGGTGATATCTGCATTCAAGTCACAGAGTTGAACATTCCCTTACTTTGAGCACGTTTCAAACACTCTTTTGGAAGAATCTGGAAGTGGACATTTGGAGTGCTTTGATGCCTTTGGTGAAAAGGAAACGTCTTCCAATAAAAGCCAGACAGAAGCATTCTCAGAAACTTGTTTGTGATGTGTGTACTCAACTAAAAGAGTTGAACCTTTCTATTGATAGAGCAGTTTTGAAACACTCTTTTTGTGGATTCTGCAAGTGGATATTTGGATTGCTTTGAGGATTTCGTTGGAAGCGGGAATTCGTATAAAAACTAGACAGCAGCATTCCCAGAAATTTCTTTCCGATATATCCATTCAACTCATAGAGATGAACATGGCCTTTCATAGAGCAGGTTTGAAACACTCTTTTTGTAGTTTGTGGAAGTGGACATTTCGATCGCCTTGACGCCTACGGTGAAAAAGGAAATATCTTCCCATAAAAAATAGACAGAAGCATTCTCAGAAACTTGTTGGTGATATGTGTCCTCAACTAACAGAGTTGAACTTTGCCATTGATAGAGAGCAGTTTTGAAACACTCCTTCTGTGGAATCTGCAAGTGGATATTTGGATAGCTTGGAGGATTTCGTTGGAAGCGGGAATTCAAATAAAAGGTAGACAGCAGCATTCTCAGAAATTTCTTTCTGATGTCTGCATTCAACTCATAGAGTTGAAGATTCCCTTTCATAGAGCAGGTTTGAAACACTCTTTCTCGAGTATCTGGATGTGGACATTTGGAGCGCTTTGATGCCTACGGTGAGAAAGTAAATATCTTCCCATAAAAACGAGACAGAAGGATTCTGAGAAACAAGTTTGTGATGTGTGTACTCAGCTAACAGAGTGGAACCTCTCTTTTGATGCAGCAGTTTGGAAACACTCTTTTTGTAGAAACTGTAAGTGGATATTTGGATAGCTCTAATGATTTCGTTGGAAACGGGAATATCATCATATAAAATCTAGACAGAAGCCCTCTCAGAAACTACTTTGTGATATCTGCATTCAAGTCACAGAGTTGAACATTCGCTTTCTTAGAGCACGTTTGAAACACTCTTTTTGTGGTGTCTGGAAGTGGACATTTGGAGCGCTTTGATGTCTTTGGTGAAAAAGGGAATGTCTTCCCATAAAAACTAGACAGAAGCATTCTCAGAAAGTTGTTTGTGATGTGTGTACCCAGCCAAAGGAGTTGAACATTTCTATTGATAGAGCAGTTTTGAAACACTCTTGTTGTGGAAAATGCAGGTGGATATTTGGATAGCTTGGAGGATTTCGTTGGAAGCGGGAATTCAAATAAAAGGTAGACAGCAGGATTCTCAGAAACAAGTTTGTGATGTGTGTACTCAGCTAACAGAGTGGATCCTTTCTTTTTACAGAGCAGCTTTGAAACTCTATATCTGTGGATTCTGCAAATTGATATTTGGGTTGATTTAACGATATCGTTGGAAAAGGGAATATCTTCATACAAAATCTAGAGAGAAGCATTCTCACAAACTTCTTTGTGATGTGTGTCCTCAACTAACAGAGTTGAACCTTTCTTTTGATGCAGCAATTTGGAAACACCCTTTTGGTAGAAACTGTAACTGGATATTTGGATAGCTCTAACGATTTCGTTGGAAACGGGAATATCATCATCTAAAATCTAGACAGAAGCACTATTAGAAACTACTTGGTGATATCTGCATTCAAGTCACAGAGTAGAACATTCCCTTACTTCGAGCACGTTTGAAACACTCTTTTGGAAGAATCTGGAAGTGGACATTTGGAGCGCTTTGATGCCTTTGGTGAAAAGGAAACGTCTTCCAATAAAAGCCAGACAGAAGCATTCTCAGAAACTTATTCGTGATGTGTGTACTCAACTAAAAGAGTTGAACCTTTCTATTGATAGAGCAGTTTAGAAACACTCTTTTTGTGGATTCTGCAAGTGGATATTTGGATTGCTTTGAGGATTTCGTTGGAAGCGGGAATTCGTATAAACACTAGACAGCAGCATTCCCAGAAATTTCTTTTGGATATTTCCATTCAACTCATAGAGATGAACATGGCCTTTCATATTGAAACACTCTTTTTGTAGTTTGTGGAAGTGGACATTTCGATCGCTTTGACGCCTACGGTGAAAAAGGAAATATCTTCCCATAAAAAATAGACAGAAGCATTCTCAGAAACTTGTTGGTGATATGTGTCCTCAACTAACAGAGTTGAACTTTGCCATTGATAGAGAGCAGTTTTGAAACACTCTTTTTGTGGAATCTGCAAGTGGATATTTGGATAGCTTGGAGGATTTCGTTGGAAGCGGGAATTCAAATAAAAGGTAGACAGCAGCATTCTCAGAAATTTCTTTCTGATGTCTGCATTCAACTCATAGAGTTGAAGATTCCCTTTCATAGAGCAGGTTTGAAACACTCTTTCTGGAGTATCTGGATGTGGACATTTGGAGCGCTTTGATGCCTACGGTGAAAAAGTAAATATCTTCCCAGAAAAACGAGACAGAGGATTCTGAGAAACAAGTTTGTGATGTGTGTACTCAGCTAACAGAGTGGAACCTCTCTTTTGATGCAGCAGTTTGGAAATACTCTTTTTGTAGAAACTGTAAGTGGATATTTGGATAGCTCTAATGATTTCGTTGGAAACGGGAATATCATCATCTAAAATCTAGACAGAAGCCCTCTCAGAAACTACTTTGTGATATCTGCATTCAAGTCACAGAGTTGAACATTCGCTTTCTTAGAGCACGTTTGAAACACTCTTTTTGTAGTGTCTGGAAGTGGACATTTGGAGCGCTTTGATGGCTTTGGTGAAAAAGGGAATGTCTTCCCATAAAAACTAGACAGAAGCATTCTCAGAAACTTGTTTGTGATGTGTGTACCCAGCTAAAGGAGTTGAACATTTCTATTGATAGAGCAGTTTTTAAACACTCTTTTTGTGGAAAATGCAAGTGGATATTTGGATAGCTTGGAGGATTTCGTTGGAAGCGGGAATTCAAATAAAAGGTAGACAGCAGCATTCTCAGAAATTTCCTTCTGATGTCTGCATTCAACTCATAGAGTTGAAGACTCCCTTTCATAAAGCAGGTTTGAAACACTCTTTCTGGAGTATCTGGATGTGGACATTTGGAGCGCTTGGATGCCTACGGTGAAAAAGTAAATATCTTCCCATAAAAACGAGACAGAAGGATTCTGAGAAACAAGTTTGTGATGGGCGTACTCAGCTAACAGAGTGGAACCTCTCTTTTGATGCAGCAGTTTGGAAAAACTCTTTTTGTAGAAACTGTAAGTGGATATTTGGATAGCTCTAATGATTTCGTTGGAAACGGGAATATCATCATCTAAAATCTAGACAGAAGCCCTCTCAGAAACTACTTTGTGATATCTGCATTCAAGTCACAGAGTTGAACATTCGCTTTCTTAGAGCACGTTGGAAACACTCTTTTTGTAGTGTCTGGAAGTGGACATTTGGAGCGCTTTGATTCCTTTGGTGAAAAAGGGAATGTCTACCCATAAAAACTAGACAGAAGCATTCTCAGAAACTTGTTTGTGATGTGTGTACCCACCCAAAGGAGTTGAACATTTCTATTGATAGAGCAGTTTTGAAACACTCTTTTTGTGGAAAATGCAGGTGGATATTTGGATAGCTTGGAGGATTTCGTTGGAAGCGGGAATTCAAATAAAAGTTAGACAGCAGCATTCTCAGAAATTTCTTTCTGATGTCTGCATTCAACTCATATAGTTGAAGATTCCCTTTCATAGAGCAGGTTTGAAACACTCGTTCTGGAGTATCCGGATGTGGACATTTGGAGCGCTTTGATGCCTACGGTGGAAAAGTAAATATCTTCCCATAAAAACGAGACAGAAGGATTCTCAGAAACAAGTTTGTGATGTGTGTACTCAGCTAACAGAGTGGAACCTTTCTTTTTACAGAGCAGCTTTGAAACTCTATTGTTGTGGATTCTGCAAATTGATATTTAGATTGCTTTAACGATATCGTTGGAAAAGGGAATACCGTCATACAAAATCTAGACAGAAGCATTCTCACAAACTTCTTTGTGATGTGTGTCCTCAACTAACAGAGTTGAACCTTTCTTTTGATGCAGCAATTTGGAAACACCCTTTTGGTAGAAACTGTAACTGGATATTTGGATAGCTCTAACGATTTCGTTGGAAACGGGAATATCATCATCTAAAATGTAGACAGAAGCACTATTAGAAACTACTTGGTGATATCTGCATTCAAGTCACAGAGTTGAACATTCCCTTACTTCGAGCACGTTTGAAACACTCTTTTGGAAGAATCTGGAAGTGGACATTTGGAGCGCTTTGATGCCTTTGGTGAAAAGGAAACGTCTTCCAATAAAAGCCAGACAGAAGCATTCTCAGAAACTTGTTCGTGATGTGTGTACTCAACTAAAAGAGTTGAACCTTTCTATTGATAGAGCAGTTTTGAAACACTCTTTTTGTGGATTCTGCAAGTGGATATTTGGATTGCTTTGAGGATTTCGTTGGAAGCGGGAATTCGTATAAACACTAGACAGCAGCATTCCCAGAAATTTCTTTCGGATATTTCCATTCAACTCATAGAGATGAACATGGCCTTTCATAGAGCAGGTTTGAAACACTCTTTTTATAGTTTGTGGAAGTGGACATTTCGATCGCCTTGACGCCTACGGTGAAAAAGGAAATATCTTCCCATAAAAAATAGACAGAAGCATTCTCAGAAACTTGTTGGTGATATGTGTCCTCAACTAACAGAGTTGAACTTTGCCATTGATAGAGAGCAGTTTTGAAACACTCTTTTTGTGGAATCTGCAAGTGGATATTTGGATAGCTTGGAGGATTTCGTTGGAAGCGGGAATTCAAATAAAAGGTAGACAGCAGCATTCTCAGAAATTTCTTTCTGATGTCTGCATTCAACTCATAGAGTTGAAGATTCCCTTTCATAGAGCAGGTTTGAAACACTCTTTCTGGAGTATCTGGATGAGGACATTTGGAGCGCTTTGATGCCTACGGTGAAAAAGTAAATATCTTCCCATAAAAACGAGACAGAAGGATTCTCAGAAACAAGTTTGTGATGTGTGTACTCAGCTAACAGAGTGGAACCTCTCTTTTGATGCAGCAGTTTGGAAACACTCTTTTTGTAGAAACTGTAAGTGGATATTTGGATAGCTCTAATGATTTCGTTGGAAACGGGAATATCATCATCTAAAATCTAGACAGAAGCACTCTCAGAAACTACTTTGTGATATCTGCATTCAAGTCACAGAGTTGAACATTCGCTTTCTTAGAGCACGTTTGAAACACTCTTTTTGTAGTGTCTGGAAGTGGACATTTGGAGCGCTTTGATTGCCTTTGGTGAAAAAGGGAATGTCTACCCATAAAAACTAGACAGAAGCTTTCTCAGAAACTTGTTTGTGATGTGTGTACCCAGCGAAAGGAGTTGAACATTTCTATTGATAGAGCAGTTTTGAAACACTCTTTTTGTGGAATCTGCAAGTGGATATTTGGATAGCTTGGAGGTTTTCGTTGGAAGCGGGAATTCAAATAAAAGGTAGACAGCAGCATTCTCAGAAATTTCTTTCTGATGTCTGCATTCAACTCATAGAGTTGAAGATTCCCTTTCATAGAGCAGGTTTGAAACACTCGTTCTGGAGTATCTAGATGTGGACATTTGGAGCGCTTTGATGCCTACGGTGGAAAAGTATATATCTTCCCATAAAAACGAGACAGAAGGATTCTCAGAAACAAGTTTGTGATGTGTGTACTCAGCTAACAGAGCGGAACCTTTCTTTTTACAGAGCAGCTTTGAAACTCTATTTTTGTGGATTCTGCAAATTGATATTTAGATTTCTTTAACGATATCGTTGGAAAAGGGAATATGGTCATACAAAATCTAGACAGAAGCATTCTCACAAACATCTTTGTGATGTGTGTCCTCAACTAACAGAGTTGAACCTTCCTTTTGATGCAGCAGTTTGGAAACACTCTTTTTGTAGAAACTGTAAGTGGATATTTGGATAGATTTAACGATTTCATTGGAAACGGGAATATCATCATCTAAAATCTAGACAGAAGCACTATTAGAAACTACTTGGTGATATCTGCATTCAAGTCACAGAGTTGAACATTCCCTTACTTTGAGCACGTTTGAAACACTCTTTTGGAAGAATCTGGAAGTGGACATTTGGAGCGCTTTGATGCCTTTGGTGAAAAGGAAACGTCTTCCAATAAAAGCCAGACAGAAGCATTCTCAGAAACTTGTTCGTGATGTGTGTACTCAACTAAAAGAGTTGAACCTTTCTATTGATAGAGCAGTTTTGAAACACTCTTTTTGTGGATTCTGCAAGTGGATATTTGGATTGCTTTGAGGATTTCGTTGGAAGCGGGAATTCGTATAAACACTAGACAGCAGCATTCCCAGAAATTTCTTTCGGATATTTCCATTCAAATCATAGAGATGAACATGGCCTTTCATAGAGCAGGTTTGAAACACTCTTTTTGTAGTTTGTGGAAGTGGACATTTCGATCGCCTTGACGCCTACGGTGAAAAAGGAAATATCTTCCCATAAAAAATAGACAGAAGCATTCTCAGAAACTTCTTGGTGATATGTGTCCTCAACTAACAGAGTTGAACTTTGCCATTGATAGAGAGCAGTTTTGAAACACTCTTTTTGTGGAATCTGCAAGTGGATATTTGGATAGCTTGGAGGATTTCGTTGGAAGCGGGAATTCAAATAAAAGGTAGACAGCAGCATTCTCAGAAATTTCTTTCTGATGTCTGCATTCAACTCATAGAGTTGAACATTCCCTTTCATAGAGCAGGTTTGAAACACTCTTTCTGGAGTATCTGGATGTGGACATTTGGAGCGCTTTGATGCCTACGGTGAAAAAGTAAATATCTTCCCATAAAAACGAGACAGAAGGATTCTGAGAAACAAGTTTGTGATGTGTGTACTCAGCTAACAGAGTGGAACCTCTCTTTTGATGCAGCAGTTTGGAAACACTCTTTTTGTAGAAACTGTAAGTGGATATTTGGATAGCTCTAATGATTCCGTTGGAAACGGGAATATCATCATCTAAAATCTAGACAGAAGCCCTCTCAGAAACTACTTTGTGATATCTGCATTCAAGTCACAGAGTTGAACATTCGCTTTCTTAGAGCACGTTGGAAACACTCTTTTTGTAGTGTCTGGAAGTGGACATTTGGAGCGCTTTGATGCCTTTGGTGAAAAAGGGAACGTCTTCCCATAAAAACTAGACAGAAGCATTCTCAGAAACTTGTTTGTGATGTGTGTACCCAGCCAAAGGAGTTGAACATTTCTATTGATAGAGCAGTTTTGAAACACTCTTTTTGTGGAAAATGCAAGTGGATATTTGGATAGCTTGGAGGATTTCGTTGGACGCGGGAATTCAAATAAAAGGTAGACAGCAGCATTCTCAGAAATTTCTTTCTGATGTCTGCATTCAACTCATAGAGGTTGAAGATTCCCTTTCATAGAGCAGGTTTGAAACACTCGTTCTGGAGTATCTGGATGTGGACATTTGGAGCGCTTTGATGCCTACGGTGGAAAAGTAAATATCTTCCCATAAAAACGAGACAGAAGGATTCTGAGAAACAAGTTTGTGATGTGTGTACTCAGCTAACAGAGTGGAACCTTTCTTTTTACAGAGCAGCTTTGAAACTCTATTTTTGTGGATTCTGCAAATGGATATTTAGATTGCTTTAACGATATCGTTGGAAAAGGGAATATCGTCATACAAAATGCTAGACAGAAGCATTCTCACAAACTTCTTTGTGATGTGTGTCCTCAACTAACAGAGTTGAACCTTTCTTTTGATGCAGCAATTTGGAAACACCCTTTTGGTAGAAACTGTAACTGGATATTTGGATAGCTCTAACGATTTTGTTGGAAACGGGAATATCATCATCTAAAATCTAGACAGAAGCACTATTAGAAACTACTTGGTGATATCTGCATTCAAGTCACAGAGTAGAACATTCCCTTACTTCGAGCACGTTTGAAACACTCTTTTGGAAGAATCTGGAAGTGGACATTTGGAGCGCTTTGATGCCTTTGGTGAAAAGGAAACGTCTTCCAATAAAAGCCAGACAGAAGCATTCTCAGAAACTTGTTGGTGATGTGTGTACTCAACTAAAAGAGTTGAACCTTTCTATTGATAGAGCAGTTTTGAAACACTCTTTTTGTGGATTCTGCAAGTGGATATTTGGATTGCTTTGAGGATTTCGTTGGAAGCGGGAATTCATATAAAAACTAGACAGCAGCATTTCCAGAAATTTCTTTCGGATATTTCCATTCAACTCATAGAGATGAACATGGCCTTTCATAGAGCAGGTTTGAAACACTCTTTTTGTAGTTTGTGGAAGTGGACATTTCGATCGCCCTGATGCCTATGGTGAAAAAGGAAATATCTTCTCATAAAAAATAGACAGAAGCATTCTCAGAAACTTGTTGGTGATATGTGTCCTCAACTAACAGAGTTGATCTTTGCCATTGATAGAGAGCAGTTTTGAAACACTCTTTTTGTGGAATCTGCAAGTGGATATTTGGATAGCTTGGAGGATTTCGTTGGAAGCGGGAATTCAAATAAAAGGTAGACAGCAGCATTCTCAGAAATTTCTTTCTGATGTCTGCATTCAACTCATAGAGTTGAAGATTCCCTTTCTTAGAGCAGGTTTGAAACACTCTTTCTGGAGTATCTGGATGTGGACATTTGGAGCGCTTGGATGCCTACGGTGAAAAAGTAAATATCTTCCCATAAAAACGAGACAGAAGGATTCTGAGAAACAAGTTTGTGATGTGTGTACTCAGCTAACAGAGTGGAACCTCTCTTTTGATGCAGCAGTTTGGAAACACTCTTTTTGTAGAAACTGTAAGTGGATATTTGGATAGCTCTAATGATTTCGTTGGAAACGGGAATATCATCATCTAATATCTAGACAGAAGCCCTCTCAGAAACTACTTTGTGATATCTGCATTCAACTCACAGAGTTGAACATTCGGTTTCTTAGAGCACGTTTGAAACACTCTTTTTGTAGTGTCTGGAAGTGGACATTTGGAGCGCTTTGATGCCTTTGGTGAAAAAGGGAACGTCTTCCCATAAAAACTAGACAGAAGCTTTCTCAGAAACTTGTTTTTGATGTGTGTACCCAGCGAAAGGAGTTGAACATTTCTATTGATAGAGCAGTTTTGAAACACTCTTTTTGTGGAATCTGCAAGTGGATATTTGGATAGCTTGGAGGTTTTCGTTGGAAGCGGGAATTCAAATAAAAGGTAGACAGCAGCATTCTCAGAAATTTCTTTCTGATGTCTGCATTCAACTCATAGAGTTGAAGATTCCCTTTCATAGAGCAGGTTTGAAACACTCTTTCTGGAGTATCTGGATGTGGACATTTGCAGCGCTTTGATGCCTACGGTGAAAAAGTAAATATCTTCCCATAAAAACGAGACAGAAGGATTCTGAGAAACAAGTCTGTGATGTGTGTACTCAGCTAACAGAGTGGAACCTTTCTTTTTACAGAGCAGCTTTGAAACTCTATTTTTGTGGATTCTGCAAATTGATATTTAGATTGCTTTAACGATATCGTTGGAAAAGGGAATATCGTCATACAAAATCTAGACAGAAGCATTCTCACAAACTTCTTTGTGATGTGTGTCCTCAACTAACAGAGTTGAACCTTTCTTTTGATGCAGCAATTTGGAAACACCCTTTTGGTAGAAACTGTAAGTGGATATTTGGATAGCTCTAACGATTTCATTGGAAACGGGAATATCATCATCTAAAATCTAGACAGAAGCACTATTAGAAACTACTTGGTGATATCTGCATTCAAGTCACAGAGTTGAACATTCCCTTACTTCGACCACGTTTGAAACACTCTTTTGGAAGAATCTGGAAGTGGACATTTGGAGCGCTTTGATGCCTTTGGTGAAAAGGAAACGTCTTCCAATAAATGCCAGACAGAAGCATTCTCAGAAACTTGTTCGTGATGTGTGTACTCAACTAAAAGAGTTGAACCTTTCTATTGATAGAGCAGTTTTGAAACACTCTTTTTGTGGATTCTGCAAGTGGATATTTGGATTGCTTTGAGGATTTCGTTGGAAGCGGGAATTCGTATAAACACTAGACAGCAGCATTCCCAGAAATTTCTTTCGGATATTTCCATTCAACTCATAGAGATGAACATGGCCTTTCATATTGAAACACTCTTTTTGTAGTTTGTGGAAGTGGACATTTCGATCGCCTTGACGCCTACGGTGAAAAAGGAAATATCTTCCCATAAAAAATAGACAGAAGCATTCTCAGAAACTTGTTGGTGATATGTGTCCTCAACTAACAGAGTTGAACTTTGCCATTGATAGAGAGCAGTTTTGAAACACTCTTTTTGTGGAATCTGCAAGTGGATATTTGGATAGCTTGGAGGATTTCGTTGGAAGCGGGAATTCAAATAAAAGGTAGACAGCAGGATTCTCAGAAACAAGTTTGTGATGTGTGTACTCAGCTAGCAGAGTGGAACCTTTCTTTTTACAGAGCAGCTTTGAAACTCTATTTTTGTGGATTCTGCAAATTGATATTTAGATTGCTTTAACGATATCGTTGGAAAAGGGAATATCATCATACAAAATCTAGACAGAAGCTTTCTCAGAAACTTCTTTGTGATGTGTGTCCTCAACTAACAGAGTTGAAACTTTCTGTTGATGCAGCAGTTTGGAAACACTCTTTTTGTAGAAACTGTAAGTGGATATTTGGGTAGGTCTAACGATATCGTTGGAAACGGGAATATCTTCATCTAACGTATACACAGAAGCACTATTAGAAACTACTTGGTGATATCTGCATTCAAGTCACAGAGTAGAACATTCCCTTACTTCGAGCACGTTTGAAACACTCTTTTGGAAGAATCTGGAAGTGGACATTTGGAGCGCTTTGATGCCTTTGGTGAAAAGGAAACGTCTTCCAATAAAAGACAGACAGAAGCATTCTCAGAAACTTGTTTGTGATGTGTGTACTCAACTAAAAGAGTTGAACCTTTCTATTGATAGAGCAGTTTTGAAACACTCTTTTTGTGGATTCTGCAAGTGGATATTTGGATTGCTTTGAGGATTTCGTTGGAAGCGGGAATTCATATAAAAACTAGACAGCAGCATTCCCAGAAATTTCTTTCGGATATTTCCATTCGACTCATAGAGATGAACATGGCCTTTCATAGAGCAGGTTTGAAACACTCTTTTTGTAGTTTGTGGAAGTGGACATTTCGATCGCCTTGACGCCTACGGTGAAAAAGGAAATATCTTCCCATAAAAAATAGACAGAAGCATTCTCAGAAACTTGTTTGTGATGTGTGTACCCAGCCAAAGGAGTTGAACATTTCTATTGATAGAGCAGTTTTGAAACACTCTTTTTGTGGAAAATGCAGGTGGATATTTGGATAGCTTGGAGGATTTCGTTGGAAGCGGGAATTCATATAAAAACTAGACAGCAGCATTCCCAGAAATTTCTTTCTGATGTCTGCATTCAACTCATAGAGTTGAAGATTCCCTTTCATAGAGCAGGTTTGAAACACTCGTTCTGGAGTATCTGGATGTGGACATTTGGAGCGCTTTGATGCCTACGGTGGAAAAGTAAATATCTTCCCATAAAAACGAGACAGAAGGATTCTCAGAAACATGTTTGTGATGTGTGTACTCAGCTAACAGAGTGGATCCTTTCTTTTTACAGAGCAGCTTTGAAACTCTATTTCTGTGGATTCTGCAAATTGATATTTGGGTTGATTTAACGATATCTTTGGAAAAGGGAATATCTTCATACAAAATCTAGAGAGAAGCATTCTCACAAACTTCTTTGTGATGTGTGTCCTCAACTAACAGAGTTGAACCTTTCTTTTGATGCATCAGTTTGGAAACACTCTTTTTGTAGAAACTGTAAGTGGATATTTGGATAGCTCTAACGATTTCGTTGGAAACGGGAATATCATCATCTAAAATCTAGACAGAAGCACTATTAGAAACTACTTGGTGATATCTGCATTCAAGTCACAGAGTTGAACATTCCCTTACTTTGAGCACGTTTCAAACACTCTTTTGGAAGAATCTGGAAGTGGACATTTGGAGCGCTTTGATGCCTTTGGTGAAAAGGAAACGTCTTCCAATAAAAGCCAGACAGAAGCATTCTCAGAAACTTGTTTGTGATGTGTGTACTCAACTAAAAGAGTTGAACCTTTCTATTGATAGAGCAGTTTTGAAACACTCTTTTTGTGGATTCTGCAAGTGGATATTTGGATTGCTTTGAGGATTTCGTTGGAAGCGGGAATTCGTATAAAAACTAGACAGCCAGCATTCCCAGAAATTTCTTTCGGATATTTCCATTCAACTCATAGAGATGAACATGGCCTTTCATAGAGCAGGTTTGAAACACTCTTTTTGTAGTTTGTGGAAGTGGACATTTCGATCGCCTTGACGCCTACGGTGAAAAAGGAAATATCTTCCCATAAACAATAGACAGAGCATTCTCAGAAACTTGTTGGTGATATGTGTCCTCAACTAACAGAGTTGAACTTTGCCATTGATAGAGAGCAGTTTTGAAACACTCTTTTTGTGGAATCTGCAAGTGGATATTTGGATAGCTTGGAGGATTTCGTTGGAAGCGGGAATTCAAATAAAAGGTAGACAGCAGCATTCTCAGAAATTTCTTTCTGATGTCTGCATTCAACTCATAGAGTTGAAGATTCCCTTTCATAGAGCAGGTTTGAAACACTCTTTCTGGAGTATCTGGATGTGGACATTTGGAGCGCTTTGATGCCTACGGTGAAAAAGTAAATATCTTCCCAGAAAAACGAGACAGAAGGATTCTGAGAAACAAGTTTGTGATGTGTGTACTCAGCTAACAGAGTGGAACCTCTCTTTTGATCCAGCAGTTTGGAAACACTCTTTTTGTAGAAACTGTAAGTGGATATTTGGATAGCTCTAATGATTTCGTTGGAAACGGGAATATCATCATCTAAAATCTAGACAGAAGCCCTCTCAGAAACTACTTTGTGATATCTGCATTCAAGTCACAGAGTTGAACATTCGCTTTCGTAGAGCACGTTGGAAACACTCTTTTTGTAGTGTCTGGAAGTGGACATTTGGAGCGCTTTGATGCCTTTGGTGAAAAAGGGAATGTCTTCCCATAAAAACTAGACAGAAGCATTCTCAGAAACTTGTTTGTGATCTGTGTACCCAGCGAAAGGAGTTGAACATTTCTATTGATAGAGCAGTTTTGAAACACTCTTTTTGTGGAATCTGCAAGTGGATATTTGGATAGCTTGGAGTTTTTCGTTGGAAGCGGGAATTCAAATAAAAGCTAGACAGCAGCATTCTGAGAAATTTCTTTCTGATGTCTGCATTCAACTCATAGAGTTGAAGATTCCCTTTCATAGAGCAGGTTTGAAACACTCTTTCTGGAGTATCTGGATGTGGACATTTGGAGCGCTTTGATGCCTACGGTGAAAAAGTAAATATCTTCCCATAAAAACGAGACAGAAGGATTCTCAGAAACAAGTTTGTGATGTGTGTACTCAGCTAACAGAGTGGAACCTCTCTTTTGATGCAGCAGTTTGGAAACACTCTTTTTGTGGAAACTGTAAGTGGATATTTGGATAGCTCTAATGATTTCGTTGGAAACGGGAATATCATCATCTAAAACCTAGACAGAAGCCCTCTCAGAAACTACTTTGTGATATCTGCATTCAAGTAACAGAGTTGAACATTCGGTTTCCTAGAGCACGTTTGAAACACTCTTTTCGTAGTGTCAGGAAGTGGACATTTGGAGCGCTTTGATGCCTTTGGTGAAAAAGGGAATGTCTTCCCATAAAAACTAGACAGAAGCATTCTCAGAAACTTGTTTGTGATGTGTGTACCCAGCAAAAGGAGTTGAACATTTCTATTGATAGAGCAGTTTTGAAACACTCTTGTTGTGGAAAATGCAGGTGGATATTTGGATAGCTTGGAGGATTTCGTTGGAAGCGGGAATTCAAATAAAAGGTAGACAGCAGCATTCTCAGAAATTTCTTTCTGATGTCTGCATTCAACTCATAGAGTTGAAGATTCCCTTTCATAGAGCAGGTTTGAAACACTCGTTCTGGAGTATCTGGATGTGGACATTTGGAGCGCTTTGATGCCTACGGTGGAAAAGTAAATATCTTCCCATAAAAACGAAACAGAAGGATTCTCAGAAACAAGTTTGTGATGTGTGTACTCAGCTAACAGAGTGGAACCTTTCTTTTTACAGAGCAGCTTTGAAACTCTGTTTTTGTGGATTCTGCAAATTGATATTTAGATTGCTTTAACGATATCGTTGGAAAAGGGAATATCGTCATACAAAATCTAGACAGAAGCATTCTCACAAACTTCTTTGTGATGTGTGTCCTCAACTAACAGAGTTGAACCTTTCTTTTGATGCAGCAGTTTGGAAACACTGTTTTTGTAGCAACTGTAAGTGGATATTTGGATAGCTCTAACGATTTCGTTGGAAACGGGAATATCATCATCTAAAATCTAGACAGAAGCACTATTAGAAACTACTTGGTGATATCTGCATTCAAGTCACAGAGTTGAACATTCCCTTACTTTGAGCACGTTTCAAACACTCTTTTGGAAGAATCTGGAAGTGGACATTTGGAGCGCTTTGATGCCTTTGGTGAAAAGGGAAACGTCTTCCAAAAAAAGCCAGACAGAAGCATTCTCAGAAACTTGTTTGTGATGTGTGTACTCAACTAAAAGAGTTGAACCTTTCTATTGATAGAGCAGTTTTGAAACACTCTTTTTGTGGATTCTGCAAGTGGATATTTGGATTGCTTTGAGGATTTCGTTGGAAGCGGGAATTCGTATAAAAACTAGACAGCAGCATTCCCAGAAATTTCTTTCGGATATTTCCATTCGACTCATAGAGATGAACATGGCCTTTCATAGAGCAGGTTTGAAACACTCTTTTTGTAGTTTGTGGAAGTGGACATTTCGATCGCCTTGACGCCTACGGTGAAAAAGGAAATATCTTCCCATAAAAAATAGACAGAAGAATTCTCAGAAACTTGTTTGTGATGTGTATCCTCAACTGACAGAGTTGAACCTTGCCATTGATAGAGCAGTTTAGAAACACTGTTTTTGTGGAATCTGCAAGTGGATATTTGGATAGCCTGGAGGATTTCGTTGGAAGCGGGAATTCAAATAAAAGGTAGACAGCAGCATTCTCAGAAATTTCTTTGTGATGTTTGCATTCAACTCATAGAGTTGAACATTCCCTTTCATAGAGCAGGTTTGAAACACTCTTTCTGTACTATCTAGATGTGGACATTTGGAACGCTTTGATGCCTACGGTGGAAAAGTAAATATCTTCCCATAAAAGCTAGACAGAAGGATTCTCAGAAACAAGTTTGTGATGTGTGTTCTCAGCTAACAGAGTGGAACCTCTCTTTTCATGCAGCAGTTTGGAAACACTCTTTTTGTAGAAACTGTAAGTGGATATTTGGATAGCTCTAATGATTTCGTTGGAAACGGGAATATCATCATCTAAAATCTAGACAGAAGCCCTCTCAGAAACTACTTTGTGATATCTGCATTCAAGTCACAGAGTTGAACATTCGCTTTCTAAGAGCACGTTTGAAACACTCTTTTTGTAGTGTCTGGAAGTGGACATTTGGAGCGCTTTGATGCCTTTGGTGAAAAAGGGAACGTCTTCCCATAAAAACTAGACAGAAGCATTCTCAGAAACTTGTTTGTGATGTGTGTACCCAGCCAAAGGAGTTGAAGATTTCTATTGATAGAGCAGTTTTGAAACACTCTTGTTGTGGAAAATGCAGGTGGATATTTGGATAGCTTGGAGGATTTCGTTGGAAGCGGGAATTCAAATAAAAGGTAGACAGCAGCATTCTCAGAAATTTCTTTCTGATGTCTGCATTCAACTCATAGAGTTGAAGATTCCCTTTCATAGAGCAGGTTTGAAACACTCTTTGTGGAGTATCTGGATGTGGACATATGGAGCGCTTTGATGCCTACGGTGAAAAGGTAAATATCTTCCCATAAAAACGAGACAGAAGGATTCTCAGAAACAAGTTTGTGATGTGTGTACTCAGCTAACAGAGTGGATCCTTTCTTTTTAAAGAGCAGCTTTGAAACTCTATTTCTGTGGATTCTGCAAATTGATATTTGGGTTGATTTAACAATATCGTTGGAAAAGGGAATATCTTCATACAAAATCTAGACAGAAGCATTCTCACAAACTTCTTTGTGATGTGTGTCCTCAACTAACAGAGTTGAACCTTTCTTTTGATGCAGCAGTTTGGAAACACTCTTTTTGTAGAAACTGTAAGGGGATATTTGGATAGCTCTAACGATTTCGTTGGAAACGGGAATATCATCATCTAAAATCTAGACAGAAGCACTATTAGAAACTACTTGGTGATATCTGCATTCAAGTCACAGAGTTGAACATTCCCTTACTTTGAGCACGTTTCAAACACTCTTTTGGAAGAATCTGGAAGTGGACATTTGGAGCGCTTTGATGCCTTTGGTGAAAAGGAAACGTCTTCCAATAAAAGCCAGACAGAAGCATTCTCAGAAACTTGTTTGTGATGTGTGTACTCAACTAAAAGAGTTGAACCTTTCTATTGATAGAGCAGTTTTGAAACACTCTTTTTGTGGATTCTGCAAGTGGATATTTAGATTGCTTTGAGGATTTCGTTGGAAGCGGGAATTCGTATAAAAACTAGACAGCAGCATTCCCAGAAATTTCTTTCGGATATTTCCATTCAACTCATAGAGATGAACATGGCCTTTCATAGAGCAGGTTTGAAACACTCTTTTTGTAGTTTGTGGAAGTGGACATTTCGATCGCCTTGACGCCTACGGTGAAAAAGGAAATATCTTCCCATAAAAAATAGACAGGAGCATTCTCAGAAACTTGTTGGTGATATGTGTCCTCAACTAACAGAGTTGAACTTTGCCATTGATAGAGAGCAGTTTTGAAACACTCTTTTTGTGGAATCTGCAAGTGGATATTTGGATAGCTTGGAGGATTTCGTTGGAAGCGGGAATTCAAATAAAAGGTAGACAGCAGCATTCTCAGAAATTTCTTTCTGATGTCTGCATTCAACTCATAGAGTTGAAGATTCCCTTTCATAGAGCAGGTTTGAAACACTCTTTCTGGAGTGTCTGGATGTGGACATTTGGAGCGCTTTGATGCCTACGGTGAAAAAGTAAATATCTTCCCATAAAAACGAGACAGAAGGATTCTGAGAAACAAGTTTGTGATGTGTGTACTCAGCTAACAGAGTGGAACCTCTCTTTTGATGCAGCAGTTTGGAAACACTCTTTTTGTAGAAACTGTAAGGGGATATTTGGATAGCTCTAATGATTTCGTTGGAAACGGGAATATCATCATCTAAAATCTAGACAGAAGCCCTCTCAGAAACTACTTTGTGATATCTGCATTCAAGTCACAGAGTTGAATATTCGCTTTCTTAGAGCACGTTTGAAACCCTCTTTTTGTAGTGTCTGGAAGTGGACATTTGGAGCGCTTTGATGCCTTTGGTGAAAAAGGGAATGTCTTCCCATAAAAACTAGACAGAAGCATTCTCAGAAACTTGTTTGTGATGTGTGTACCCAGCTAAAGGAGTTGAACATTTCTATTGATAGAGCAGTTTTGAAACACTCTTTTTGTGGAAAATGCAAGTGGATATTTGGATAGCTTGGAGGATTTCGTTGGAAGAGGGAATTCAAATAAAAGGTAGACAGCAGCATTCTCAGAAATTTCTTTCTGATGTCTGCATTCAACTCATAGAGTTGAAGATTCCCTTTCATAGAGCAGGTTTGAAACACTCTTTCTGGAGTATCTGGATGTGGACATTTGGAGCGCTTTGATGCCTACGGTTAAAAAGTAAATATCTTCCCATAAAAACGAGACAGAAGGATTCTCAGAAACAAGTTTGTAATGTGTGTACTCAGCTAACACAGTGGAACCTTTCTTTTTACAGAGCAGCTTTGAAACTCTATTGTTGTGGATTCTGCAAATTGATATTTAGATTGCTTTAACGATATCGTTGGAAAAGGGAATACCGTCATACAAAATCTAGACAGAAGCATTCTCACAAACTTCTTTGTGATGTGTGTCCTCAACTAACAGAGTTGAACCTTTCTTTTGATGCAGCAATTTGGAAACACCCTTTTGGTAGAAACTGTAACTGGATATTTGGATAGCTCTAACGATTTCGTTGGAAAAGGGAATATCATCATCTAAAATGTAGGCAGAAGCACTATTAGAAACTACTTGGTGATATCTGCATTCAAATCACAGAGTAGAACATTCCCTTACTTCGAGCACGTTTGAAACACTCTTTTGGAAGAATCTGGAAGTGGACATTTGGAGCGCTTTGATGCCTTTGGTGAAAAGGAAACGTCTTCCAATAAAAGCCAGACAGAAGCATTCTCAGAAACTTGTTCGTGATGTGTGTACTCAACTAAAAGAGTTGAACCTTTCTATTGATAGAGCAGTTTTGAAACACTCTTTTTCTGGATTCTGCAAGTGGATATTTGGATTGCTTTGAGGATTTCGTTGGAAGCGGGAATTCATATAAAAACTAGACAGCCAGCATTCCCAGAAATTTCTTTCGGATATTTCCATTCAACTCATAGAGATGAACATCGCCTTTCATAGAGCAGGTTTGAAACACTCTTTTTGTAGTTTGTGGAAGTGGACATTTCGATCGCCTTGACGCCTACGGTGAAAAAGGAAATATCTTCCCATAAACAATAGACAGAGCATTCTCAGAAACTTGTTGGTGATATGTGTCCTCAACTAACAGAGTTGAACTTTGCCATTGATAGAGAGCAGTTTTGAAACACTCTTTTTGTGGAATCTGCAAGTGGATATTTGGATAGCTTGGAGGATTTCGTTGGAAGCGGGAATTCAAATAAAAGGTAGACAGCAGGATTCTGAGAAACAAGTTTGTGATGTGTGTACTCAGCTAACAGAGTGGAACCTCTCTTTTGATCCAGCAGTTTGGAAACACTCTTTTTGTAGAAACTGTAAGTGGATATTTGGATAGCTCTAACGATTTCGTTGGAAACGGGAATATCATCATCTAAAATCTAGACAGAAGCATTCTCACAAACTTCTTTGTGATGTGTGTCCTCAACTAACAGAGTTGAACCTTTCTTTTGATGCAGCAATTTGGAAACACCCTTTTGGTAGAAACTGTAAGTGGATATTTGGATAGCTCTAACGATTTCGTTGGAAACGGGAATATCATCATCTAAAATCTAGACAGAAGCACTATTAGAAACTACTTGGTGATATCTGCATTCAAGTCACAGAGTTGAACATTCCCTTACTTTGAGCACGTTTCAAACACTCTTTTGGAAGAATCTGGAAGTGGACATTTGGAGCGCTTTGATGCCTTTGGTGAAAAGGAAACGTCTTCCAATAAAAGCCAGACAGAAGCATTCTCAGAAACTTGTTTGTGATGTGTGTACTCAACTAAAAGAGTTGAACCTTTCTATTGATAGAGCAGTTTTGCAACACTCTTTTTGTGGATTCTGCAAGTGGATATTTGGATTGCTTTGAGGATTTCGTTGGAAGCGGGAATTCATATAAAAACTAGACAGCAGCATTCCCAGAAATTTCTTTCGGATATTTCCATTCAACTCATAGAGATGAACATGGCCTTTCATAGAGCAGGTTTGAAACACTCTTTTTGTAGTTTGTGGAAGTGGACATTTCGATCGCCTTGACGCCTACGGTGAAAAAGGAAATATCTTCCCATAAAAAATAGACAGATAAGCATTCTCAGAAACTTGTTGGTGATATGTGTCCTCAACTAACAGAGTTGAACTTTGCCATTGATAGAGAGCAGTTTTGAAACACTCTTTTTGTGGAATCTGCAAGTGGATATTTGGATAGCTTGGAGGATTTCGTTGGAAGCGGGAATTCAAATTAAAGGTAGACAGCAGCATTCTCAGAAATTTCTTTCTGATGTCTGCATTCAACTCATAGAGTTGAAGATTCCCTTTCATAGAGCAGGTTTGAAACACTCTTTCTGGAGTATCTGGATGTGGACATTTGGAGCGCTTTGATGCCTACGGTAAAAAGTAAATATCTTCCCATAAAAACGAGACAGAAGGATTCTGAGAAACAAGTTTGTGATGTGTGTACTCAGCTAACAGAGTGGAACCTTTCTTTTTACAGAGCAGCTTTGAAACTCTATTTTTGTGGATTCTGCAAATGGATATTTAGATTGCTTTAATGATATCGTTGGAAAAGGGAATATCGTCATACAAAATCTAGACAGAAGCATTCTCACAAACTTCTTTGTGATGTGTGTCCTCAACTAACAGAGTTGAACCTGTCTTTTGATGCAGCAATTTGGAAGCACCCTTTTGGTAGAAACTGTAACTGGATATTTGGATAGCTCTAACGATTTCGTTGGAAACGGGAATATCATCATCTAAAATGTAGACAGAAGCACTATTAGAAACTACTTGTTGATATCTGCATTCAAGTCACAGAGTTGAGCATTCCCTTACTTTGAGCACGTTTGAAACACTCTTTTGGAAGAATCTGGAAGTGGACATTTGCAGCGCTTTGATGCCTTTGGTGAAAAGGAAACGTCTTCCAATAAAAGCCAGACAGAAGCATTCTCAGAAACTTGTTTGTGATGTGTGTACTCAACTAAAAGAGTTGAACCTTTCTATTGATAGAGCAGTTTTGAAACACTCTTTTTGTGGATTCTGCAAGTGGATATTTGGATTGCTTTGAGGATTTCGTTGGAAGCGGGAATTCGTATAAAAACTAGACAGCAGCATTCCCAGAAATTTTTTCGGATATTTCCATTCGACTCATAGAGATGAACATGGCCTTTCATAGAGCAGGTTTGAAACACTCTTTTTGTAGTTTGTGGAAGTGGACATTTCGATCGCCTTGACGCCTACGGTGAAAAAGGAAATATCTTCCCATAAAAAATAGACAGAAGCATTCTCAGAAACTTGTTGGTGATATGTGTCCTCAACTAACAGAGTTGAACTTTGCCATTGATAGAGAGCAGTTTTGAAACACTCTTTTTGTGGAATCTGCAAGTGGATATTTGGATAGCTTGGAGGATTTCGTTGGAAGCGGGAATTCAAATAAAAGGTAGACAGCAGCATTCTCAGAAATTTCTTTCTGATGTCTGCATTCAACTCATAGAGTTGAAGATTCCCTTTCATAGAGCAGGTTTGAAACACTCTGGAGTATCTGGATGTGGACATTTGGAGCGCTTTGATGCCTACGGTGAAAAAGTAAATATCTTCCCATAAAAACGAGACAGAAGGATTCTCAGAAACAAGTTTGTGATGTGTATACTCAGCTAACAGAGTGGAACCTTTCTTTTTACAGAGCAGCTTTGAAACTCTACTTTTGTGGATTCTGCAAATTGATATTTAGATTGCTTTAACGATATCGTTGGAAAAGGGAATATCGTCATACAAAATCTAGACAGAAGCATTCTCACAAACTTCTTTGTGACGTGTGTCCTCAACTAACAGAGTTGAACCTTTCTTTTGATGCAGCAGTTTGGAAACACTGTTTTTGTAGCAACTGTAAGTGGATATTTGGATAGCTCTAACGATTTCGTTGGAAACGGGAATATCGTCATCTAAAATCTAGACAGAAGCACTATTAGAAACTACTTGGTGATATCTGCATTCAAGTCACAGAGTTGAACATTCCCTTACTTTGAGCACGTTTCAAACACTCTTTTGGAAGAATCTGGAAGTGGACATTTGGAGCGCTTTGATGCCTTTGGTGAAAAGGAAACGTCTTCCAATAAAAGCCAGACAGAAGCATTCTCAGAAACTTGTTTGTGATGTGTGTACTCAACTAAAAGAGTTGAACCTTTCTATTGATAGAGCAGTTTTGAAACACTCTTTTTGTGGATTCTGCAAGTGGATATTTGGATTGCTTTGAGGATTTCGTTGGAAGCGGGAATTCGTATAAAAACTAGACAGCAGCATTCCCAGAAATTTCTTTCGGATATTTCCATTCGACTCATAGAGATGAACATGGCCTTTCATAGAGCAGGTTTGAAACACTCTTTTTGTAGTTTGTGGAAGTGGACATTTCGATCGCCTTGACGCCTACGGTGAAAAAGGAAATATCTTCCCATAAAAAATAGACAGAAGCATTCTCATAAACTTGTTGGTGATATGTGTCCTCAACTAACAGAGTTGAACTTTGCCATTGATAGAGAGCAGTTTTGAAACACTCTTTTTGTGGAATCTGCAAGTGGATATTTGGATAGCTTGGAGGATTTCGTTGGAAGCGGGAATTCAAATAAAAGGTAGACAGCAGCATTCTCAGAAATTTCTTTCTGATGTCTGCATTCAACTCATAGAGTTGAAGATTCCCTTTCATAGAGCAGGTTTGAAACACTCTTTCTGGAGTATCTGGATGTGGACATTTGGAGCGCTTTGATGCCTACGGTGAAAAAGTAAATATCTTCCCATAAAAACGAGACAGAAAGGATTCTCAGAAACAAGTTTGTGATGTGTGTACTCAGCTAACAGAGTGGAACCTCTTTTCTGATGCAGCAGTTTGGAAACACTCTTTTTGTAGAAACTGTAAGTGGATATTTGGATAGCTCTAATGATTTCGTTGGAAACGGGAATATCATCATCTAAAATCTAGACAGAAGCACTCTCAGAAACCACTGTGTGATATCTGCATTCAAGTCACAGAGTTGAACATTCGCTTTCTTAGAGCACGTTTGAAACACTCTTTTTGTAGTGTCTGGAAGTGGACATTTGGAGCGCTTTGATTCCTTTGGTGAAAAAGGGAATGTCTACCCATAAAAACTAGACAGAAGCATTCTCAGAAACTTGTTTGTGATGTGTGTACCCAGCGAAAGGAGTTGAACATTTCTATTGATAGAGCAGTTTTGAAACACTCTTTTTGTGGAATCTGCAAGTGGATATTTGGATAGCTTGGAGGTTTTTGTTGGAAGCGGGAATTCAAATAAAAGGTAGACAGCAGCATTCTCAGAAATTTCTTTCTGATGTCTGCATTCAACTCATAGAGTTGAAGATTCCGTTTCATAGAGCAGGTTTGAAACACTCTTTCTGGAGTATCTGGATGTGGACATTTGGAGCGCTTTGATGCCTACGGTGGAAAAGTAAATATCTTCCCATAAAAACGAGACAGAAGGATTCTGAGAAACAAGTTTGTGATGTGTGTACTCAGCTAACAGAGTGGAACCTTTCTTTTTACAGAGCAGCTTTGAAACTCTATTTTTGTGGATTCTGCAAATGGATATTTAGATTGCTTTAACGATATCGTTGGAAAAGGGAATATCTTCATACAAAATCTAGACAGAAGCATTCTCACAAACTTCTTTGTGATGTGTGTCCTCAACTAACAGAGTTGAACCTTTCTTTTGATGCAGCAATTTGGAAACACCCTTTTGGTAGAAACTGTAAGTGGATATTTGGATAGCTCTAACGATTTCGTTGGAAACGGGAATATCATCATCTAAAATCTAGACAGAAGCACTATTAGAAACTACTTGGTGTTATCTGCATTCAAGTCACAGAGTAGAACATTCCCTTACTTCGAGCACGTTTGAAACACTCTTTTGGAAGAATCTGGAAGTGGACATTTGGAGCGCTTTGATGCCTTTGGTGAAAAGGAAACGTCTTCCAATAAAAGCCAGACAGAAGCATTCTCAGAAACTTGTTGGTGATGTGTGTACTCAACTAAAAGAGTTGAACCTTTCTATTGATAGAGCAGTTTTGAAACACTCTTTTTGTGGATTCTGCAAGTGGATATTTGGATTGCTTTGAGGATTTCGTTGGAAGCGGGAATTCATATAAAAACTAGACAGCCAGCATTCCCAGAAATTTCTTTCGGATATTTCCATTCAACTCATAGAGATGAACATCGCCTTTCATAGAGCAGGTTTGAAACACTCTTTTTGTAGTTTGTGGAAGTGGACATTTCGATCGCCTTGACGCCTACGGTGAAAAAGGAAATATCTTCCCATAAAAAATAGACAGAAGCATTCTCAGAAACTTGTTGGTGATATGTGTCCTCAACTAACAGAGTTGAACTTTGCCATTGATAGAGAGCAGTTTTGAAACACTCTTTTTGTGGAATCTGCAAGTGGATATTTGGATAGCTTGGAGGATTTCGTTGGAAGCGGGAATTCAAATAAAAGGTAGACAGCAGCATTCTCAGAAATTTCTTTCTGATGTCTGCATTCAACTCATAGAGTTGAAGATTCCCTTTCATAGAGCAGGTTTGAAACACTCGTTCTGGAGTATCTGGATGTGGACATTTGGAGCGCTTTGATGCCTACGGTGGAAAAGTAAATATCTTCCCATAATAACGAGACAGAAGGATTCTGAGAAACAAGTTTGTGATGGGCGTACTCAGCTAACAGAGTGGAACCTCTCTTTTGATGCAGCAGTTTGGAAACACTCTTTTTGTAGAAACTGTAAGTGGATATTTGGATAGCTCTAATGATTTCGTTGGAAACGGGAATATCATCATCTAAAATCTAGACAGAAGCCCTCTCAGAAACTACTTTGTGATATCTGCATTCAAGTCACAGAGTTGAACATTCGCTTTCTTAGAGCACGTTTGAAACACTCTTTTTGTAGTGGCTGGAAGTGGACATTTGGAGCGCTTTGATTCCTTTGGTGAAAAAGGGAATGTCTACCCATAAAAACTAGACAGAAGCATTCTCAGAAACTTGTTTGTGATGTGTGTACCCAGCTAAAGGAGTTGAACGTTTCTATTGATAGAGCAGTTTTGAAACACTCTTTTTGTGGAAAATGCTAGTGGATATTTCGATAGCTTGGAGGATTTTCCTTGGAAGCGGGAATTCAAATAAAAGGTAGACAGCAGGAGTCTGAGAAACAAGTTTGTGATGTGTGTACTCAGCTAACAGAGTGGAACCTCTCTTTTGATGCAGCAGTTTGGAAACACTCTTTTTGTAGAAACTGTAAGTGGATATTTGGATAGCTCTAAAGATTTTTTTGGAAACGGGAATATCATCATCTAAAATCTAGACAGAAAGCCCTCTCAGAAACTACTTTGTGATATCTGCATTCAAGTCACAGAGTTGAACATTCGCTTTCTTAGAGCACGTTGGAAACACTCTTTTTGTAGTGTCTGGAAGTGGACATTTGGAGCGCTTTGATGCCTTTGGTGAAAAAGGGAACGTCTTCCCATAAAAACTAGACAGAAGCATTCTCAGAAACTTGTTTGTGATGTGTGTACCCAGCCAAAGGAGTTGAACATTTCTATTGATAGAGCAGTTTTGAAACACTCTTTTTGTGGAAAATGCAAGTGGATATTTGGATAGCTTGGAGGATTTCGTTGGAAGCGGGAATTCAAATAAAAGGTAGACAGCAGGATTCTGAGAAACAAGTTTGTGATGTGTGTACTCAGCTAACAGAGTGGAACCTCTCTTTTGATGCAGCAGTTTGGAAACACTCTTTTTGTAGAAACTGTAAGTGGTTATTTGGATAGCTCTAATGATTTCGTTGGAAACGGGAATATCATCATCTAAAATCTAGACAGAAGCCCTCTCAGAAACTACTTTGTGATATCTGCATTCAAGTCACAGAGTTGAACATTCGCTTTCTTAGAGCACGCTGGAAACACTCTTTTTGTAGTGTCTGGAAGTGGACATTTGGAGCGCTTTGATGCCTTTGGTGAAAAAGGGAACGTCTTCCCATAAAAACTAGACAGAAGCATTCTCAGAAACTTGTTTGTGATGTGTGCACCCAGCTAAAGGAGTTGAACATTTCTATTGATAGAGCAGTTTTGAAGCACTCTTTTTGTGGAAAATGCAAGTGGATATTTGGATAGCTTGGAGGATTTCGTTGGAAGCGGGAGTTCAAATAAAAGGTAGACAGCAGCATTCTCAGAAATTTCTTTCTGATGTCTGCATTCAACTCATAGAGTTGAAGATTCCCTTTCATAGAGCAGGTTTGAAACACTCGTTCTGGAGTATCTGGATGTGGACATTTGGAGCGCTTTGATGCCTACGGTGGAAAAGTAAGTATCTTCCCATAAAAACGAGACATAAGGATTCTCAGAAACAAGTTTGTGATGTGTGTACTCAGCTAACAGAGTGGAACCTTTCTTTTTACAGAGCAGCTTTGAAACTCTATTTTTGTGGATTCTGCAAATGGATATTTAGATTGCTTTAATGATATCGCTGGGAAAGGGAATATGGTCATACAAAATCTAGACAGAAGCATTCTCACAAACTTCTTTGTGATGTGTGTCCTCAACTAACAGAGTTGAACCTTTCTTTTGATGCAGCAGTTTGGAAACACCCTTTTGGTAGAAACTGTAAGTGGATATTTGGATAGCTCTAACGATTTCGTTGGAAACGGGAATATCGTCATCTAAAATCTAGACAGAAGCACTATTAGAAACTACTTGGTGATATCTGCATTCAAGTCACAGAGTTGAACATTCCCTTACTTTGAGCACGTTTCAAACACTCTTTTGGAAGAATCTGGAAGTGGACATTTGGAGCGCTTTGATGCCTTTGGTGAAAAGGAAACGTCTTCCAATAAAAGCCAGACAGAAGCATTCTCAGAAACTTGTTTGTGATGTGTGTACTCAACTAAAAGAGTTGAACCTTTCTATTGATAGAGCAGTTTTGAAACACTCTTTTTGTGGATTCTGCAAGTGGATATTTGGATTGCTTTGAGGATTTCGTTGGAAGCGGGAATTCGTATAAAAACTAGACAGCAGCATTCCCAGAAATTTCTTTCGGATATTTCCATTCAACTCATAGAGATGAACATGGCTTTTCATAGAGCAGGTTTGAAACACTCTTTTTGTAGTTTGTGGAAGTGGACATTTCGATCGCCTTGACGCCTACGGTGAAAAAGGAAATATCTTCCCATAAAAAATAGACAGAAGCATTCTCAGAAACTTGTTGGTGATATGTGTCCTCAACTAACAGAGTTGAACTTTGCCATTGATAGAGAGCAGTTTTGAAACACTCTTTTTGTGGAATCTGCAAGTGGATATTTGGATAGCTTGGAGGATTTCGTTGGAAGCGGGAATTCAAATAAAAGGTAGACAGCAGCATTCTCAGAAATTTCTTTCTGATGTCTGCATTCAACTCATAAAGTTGAAGATTCCCTTTCATAGAGCAGGTTTGAAACACTCTTTCTGGAGTATCTGGATGTGGACATTTGGAGCGCTTTGATGCCTACGGTGGAAAAGTAAATATCTTCCCATAAAAACGAGACAGAAGGATTCTGAGAAACAAGTTTGTGATGTGTGTACTCAGCTAACAGAGTGGAACCTCTCTTTTGATGCAGCAGTTTGGAAACACTCTTTTTGTAGAAACTGTAAGTGGATATTTGGATAGCTCTAATGATTTCGTTGGAAACGGGAATATCATCATCTAAATCTAGACAGAAGCACTCTCAGAAACTACTTTGTGATATCTGCATTCAAGTCACAGAGTTGAACATTCGCTTTCTTAGAGCACGTTGGAAACACTCTTTTTGTAGTGTCTGGAAGTGGACATTTGGAGCGCATTGATGCCTTTGGTGAAAAAGGGAACGTCTTCCCATAAAAACTAGACAGAAGCATTCTCAGAAACTTGTTTGTGATGTGTGTACCCAGCTAAAGGAGTTGAACATTTCTATTGATAGAGCAGTTTTGAAACACTCTTTTTGTGGAAAATGCTAGTGGATATTTCGATAGCTTGGAGGATTTCCTTGGAAGCGGGAATTCAAATAAAAGGTAGACAGCAGCATTCTCAGAAATTACTTTCTGATGTCTGCATTCAACTCATAGAGTTGAAGATTCCCTTTCATAGAGCAGGTTTGAAACACTCTTTCTGTAGTATCTGGATGTGGACATTTGGGGCGCTTTGATACCTACGGTGAAAAGTAAATATCTTCCCATAAAAACTAGACAGAAGGATTCTCAGAAACAAGTTTGTGATGTGTGTACTCAGCTAACAGAGTGGAACCTTTCTTTTTACAGAGCAGCTTTGAAACTCTATTTTTGTGGATTCTGCAAATTGATATTTAGATTGCTTTAACGATATCGTTGGAAAAGGGAATATGGTCATACAAAATCTAGACAGAAAGCATTCTCACAAACTTCTTTGTGATGTGTGTCCTCAACTAACAGAGTTGAACCTTTCTTTTGATGCAGCAATTTGGAAACACCCTTTTGGTAGAAACTGTAACTGGATATTTGGATAGCTCTAACGATTTCGTTGGAAACGGGAATATCATCATCTAAAATGTAGACAGAAGCACTATTAGAAACTACTTGGTGATATCTGCATTCAAGTCAAAGAGTTGAACATTCCCTTACTTTGAGCACGTTTGAAACACTCTTTTGGAAGAATCTGGAAGTGGACATTTGGAGCGCTTTGATGCCTTTGGTGAAAAGGAAACGTCTTCCAATAAAAGCCAGACAGAAGCATTCTCAGAAACTTGTTTGTGATGTGTGTACTCAACTAAAAGAGTTGAACCTTTCTATTGATAGAGCAGTTTTGAAACACTCTTTTTGTGGATTCTGCAAGTGGATATTTGGATTGCTTTGAGGATTTCGTTGGAAGCGGGAATTCGTATAAAAACTAGACAGCAGCATTCCCAGAAATTTCTTTCGGATATTTCCATTCGACTCATAGAGATGAACATGGCCTTTCATAGAGCAGGTTTGAAACACTCTTTTTGTAGTTTGTGGAAGTGGACATTTCGATCGCCTTGACGCCTACGGTGAAAAAGGAAATATCTTCCCATAAAAAATAGACAGAAGCATTCTCAGAAACTTGTTGGTGATATGTGTCCTCAACTAACAGAGTTGAACTTTGCCATTGATAGAGAGCAGTTTTGAAACACTCTTTTTCCTGAATCTGCAAGTGGATATTTGGATAGCTTGGAGGATTTCGTTGGAAGCGGGAATTCAAATAAAAGTTAGACAGCAGCATTCTCAGAAATTTCTTTCTGATGTCTGCATTCAACTCATAGAGTTGAAGATTCCCTTTCATAGAGCAGGTTTGAAACACTCTTTCTGGAGTATCTGGATGTGGACATTTGGAGCGCTTTGATGCCTACGGTGAAAAAGTAAATATCTTCCCAGAAAAACGAGACAGAAGGATTCTCAGAAACAAGTTTGTGATGTGTGTACTCAGCTAACAGAGTGGAACCTCTCTTCTGATGCAGCAGTTTGGAAACACTCTTTTTGTAGAAACTGTAAGTGGATATTTGGATAGCTCTAATGATTTCGTTGGAAATGGGAATATCATCATCTAAAATCTAGACGGAATCCCTCTCAGAAACTACTTTGTGATATCTGCATTCAAGTCACAGAGTTGAACATTCGCTTTCTTAGAGCACGTTTGAAACACTCTTTTTGTAGTGTCTGGAAGTGGACATTTGGAGCGCTTTGATGCCTTTGGTGAAAAAGGGAATGTCTTCCCATAAAAACTAGACAGAAGCATTCTCAGAAACTTGTTTGTGATGTGTGTACCCAGCTAAAGGAGTTGAACATTTCTATTGATAGAGCAGTTTTGAAACACTCTTTTTGTGGAAAATGCAAGTGGATATTTGGATAGCTTGGAGGATTTCGTTGGAAGCGGGAATTCAAATAAAAGGTAGATAGCAGAATTCTCAGAAATTTCTTTCTGATGTCTGCATTCAACTCATAGAGTTGAAGATTCCCTTTCATAGAGCAGGTTTGAAACACTCGTTCTGGAGTATCTGGATGTGGACATTTGGAGCGCTTTGATGCCTACGGTGGAAAAGTAAATATCTTCCCATAAAAACGAGACAGAAGGATTCTCAGAAACAAGTTTGTGATGTGTGTACTCAGCTAACTGAGTGGAACCTTTCTTTTTACAGAGCAGCTTTGAAACTCTATTTTTGTGGATTCTGCAAATTGATATTTAGATTGCTTTAACGATATCGTTGGAAAAGGGAATGTCGTCATACAAAATCTGGACAGAAGCACTCTCAGAAACTTACTCGTGATGTGTGTCCTCAACTAAAGGAGTAGAACCTTTCTTTTCATAGAGAAGTTTTGAAACACTCTTTTTGTAGAAACTGTAAGTGGATATTTGGATAGCTCTAACGATTTCGTTGGAAACGGGAATATCATCATCTAAAATCTAGACAGAAGCACTATTAGAAACTACTTGGTGATATCTGCATTCAAGTCAAAGAGTTGAACATTCCCTTACTTTGAGCACGTTTGAAACACTCTTTTGGAAGAATCTGGAAGTGGACATTTGGAGCGCTTTGATGCCTTTGGTGAAAAGGAAACGTCTTCCAATAAAAGCCAGACAGAAGCATTCTCAGAAACTTGTTTGTGATGTGTGTACTCAACTAAAAGAGTTGAACCTTTCTAATGATAGCGCAGTTTTGAAACACTCTTTTTGTGGATTCTGCAAGTGGATATTTGGATTGCTTTGAGGATTTCGTTGGAAGCGGGAATTCATATAAAAACTAGACAGCAGCATTCCCAGAAATTTCTTTCGGATATTTCCATTCGACTCATAGAGATGAACATGGCCTTTCATAGAGCAGGTTTGAAACACTCTTTTTGTAGTTTGTGGAAGTGGACATTTTGATCGCCTTGACGCCTACGGTGAAAAAGGAATTATCTTCCCATAAAAAATAGACAGAAGCATTCTCAGAAACTTGTTGGTGATATGTGTCCTCAACTAACAGAGTTGAACTTTGCCATTGATAGAGAGCAGTTTTGAAACACTCTTTTTGTGGAATCTGCAAGTGGATATTTGGATAGCTTGGAGGATTTCGTTGGAAGCGGGAATTCAAATAAAAGGTAGACAGCAGCATTCTCAGAAATTTCTTTCTGATGTCTGCATTCAACTCACAGAGTTGAAGATTCCCTTTCATAGAGCAGGTTTGAAACACTCTTTCTGGAGTATCTGGATGTGGACATTTGGAGCGCTTTGATGCCTACGGTGAAAAAGTAAATATCTTCCCAGAAAAACGAGACAGAAGGATTCTCAGAAACAAGTTTGTGATGTGTGTACTCAGCTAACAGAGTGGAACCTTTCTTTTTACAGAGCAGCTTTGAAACTCTATTTTTGTGGATTCTGGAAATTGATATTTAGATTGCTTTAACGATATCGTTGGAAAAGGGAATATCGTCATACAAAATCTGGACAGAAGCATTCTCACAAACTTCTTTGTGATGTGTGTCCTCAACTAACAGAGTTGAACTTTTCTTTTGATGCAGCAGTTTGGAAACACTGTTTTTGTAGAAAATGTAAGTGGATATTTGGATAGCTCTAACGATTTCGTTGGAAACGGGAATATCATCATCTAAAATCTAGACAGAAGCACTATTAGAAACTACTTGGTGATATCTGCATTCAAGTCACAGAGTTGAACATTCCCTTACTTTGAGCACGTTTCAAACACTCTTTTGGAAGAATCTGGAAGTGGACATTTGGAGCGCTTTGATGCCTTTGGTGAAAAGGAAACGTCTTCCAATAAAAGCCAGACAGAAGCATTCTCAGAAACTTGTTTGTGATGTGTGTACTCAACTAAAAGGGTTGAACCTTTCTATTGATAGAGCAGTTTTGAAACACTCTTTTTGTGGATTCTGCAAGTGGATATTTGGATTGCTTTGAGGATTTCGTTGGAAGCGGGAATTCGTATAAAAACTAGACAGCAGCATTCCCAGAAATTTCTTTCGGATATTTCCATTCAACTCATAGAGATGAACATGGCCTTTCATAGAGCAGGTTTGAAACACACTTTTTGTAGTTTGTGGAAGTGGACATTTCGATCGCCTTGACGCCTACGCTGAAAAAGGAATTATCTTCCCATAAAAAATAGACAGAAGCATTCTCAGAAACTTGTTGGTGATATGTGTCCTCAACTAACAGAGTTGAACTTTGCCATTGATAGAGAGCAGTTTTGAAACACTCTTTTTGTGGAATCTGCAAGTGGATATTTGGATAGCTTGGAGGATTTCGTTGGAAGCGGGAATTCAAATAAAAGGTAGACAGCAGCATTCTCAGAAATTTCTTTCTGATGTCTGCATTCAACTCATAGAGTTGAACCTTCCCTTTCATAGAGCAGGTTTGAAATACTCTTTCTGTAGTATCTGGATGTGGACATTTGGAGCGCTTTGATGCCTACGGTGAAAAAGTAAATCTCTTCCCATAAAAACGAGACAGAAGGATTCTGAGAAACAAGTTTGTGATGTGTGTACTCAGCTAACAGAGTGGAACCACTCTTTTGATGCAGCAGTTTGGAAACACTCTTTTTGTAGAAACTGTAAGTGGATATTTGGATAGCTCTAATGATTTCGTTGGAAACGGGAATATCATCATCTAAAATCTAGACAGAAGCACTCTCAGAAACTACTTTGTGATATCTGCATTCAAGTCACAGAGTTGAACATTCGCTTTCTTAGAGCACGTTTGAAACAGTCTTTTTGTAGTGTCTGGAAGTGGACATTTGGAGCGCTTTGATGGCTTTGGTGAAAAAGGGAACGTCTTCCCATAAAAACTAGACAGAAGCATTCTCAGAAACTTGTTTGTGATGTGTGTACCCAGCCAAAGGAGTTGAACATTTCTATTGATAGAGCAGTTTTGAAACACTCTTTTTGTGGAAAATGCAAGTGGATATTTGGATAGCTTGGAGGATTTCGTTGGAAGCGTTAATTCAAATAAAAGGTAGACAGCAGGATTCTGAGAAACAAGTTTGTGATGTGTGTACTCAGCTAACAGAGTGGAACCTTTCTTTTTACAGAGCAGCTTTGAAACTCTATTTTTGTGGATTCTGCAAATGGATATTTAGATTGCATTAATGATATCGCTGGAAAAGGGAATATGGTCATACAAAATCTAGACAGAAGCATTCTCACAAACTTCTTTGTGATGTGTGTCCTCAACTAACAGAGTTGAACCTTTCTTTTGATGCAGCAGTTTGGAAACACTCTTTTTGTAGAAACTGTAAGTGGATATTTGGATAGCTCTAACGATTTCGTTGGAAACGGGAATATCATCATCTAAAATGCTAGACAGAAGCACTATTAGAAACTACTTGGTGATATCTGCATTCAAGTCACAGAGTTGAACATTCCCTTACTTTGAGCACGTTTGAAACACTCTTTTGGAAGAATCTGGAAGTGGACATTTGGAGCGCTTTGATGCCTTTGGTGAAAAGGAAACGTCTTCCAATAAAAGCCAGACAGAAAGCATTCTCAGCAAACTTGTTGGTGATGTGTGTACTCAACTAAAAGAGTTGAACCTTTCTATTGATAGAGCAGTTTTGAAACACTCTTTTTGTGGATTCTGCAAGTGGATATTTGGATTGCTTTGAGGATTTCGTTGGAAGCGGGAATTCGTATAAACACTAGACAGCAGCATTCCCAGAAATTTCTTTCGGATATTTCCATTCAACTCATAGAGATGAACATGGCCTTTCATAGAGCAGGTTTGAAACACTCTTTTTGTAGTTTGTGGAAGTGGACATTTCGATCGCCTTGACGCCTACGGTGAAAAAGGAAATATCTTCCCATAAACAATAGACAGAAGCATTCTCAGAAACTTGTTGGTGATATGTGTCCTCAACTAACAGAGTTGAACTTTGCCATTGATAGAGCGCAGTTTTGAAACACTCTTTTTGTGGAATCTGCAAGTGGATATTTGGATAGCTTGGAGGATTTCGTTGGAAGCGGTAATTCAAATAAAAGGTAGACAGCAGCATTCTCAGAAATTTCTTTCTGATGTCTGCATTCAACTCATAGAGTTGAAGATTCCCTTTCATAGAGCAGGTTTGAAACACTCTTTCTGGAGTATCTGGATGTGGACATTTGGAGCGCTTTGATGCCTACGGTGAGAAAGTAAATATCTTCCCATAAAAACGAGACAGTAAGGATTCTGAGAAACAAGTTTGTGATGTGTGTACTCAGCTAACAGAGTGGAACCTCTCTTTTGATGCAGCAGTTTGGAAACACTCTTTTTGTAGAAACTGTAAGTGGATATTTGGATAGCTCTAATGATTTCGTTGGAAACGGGAATATCATCATCTAAAATCTAGACAGAAGCCCTCTCAGAAACTACTTTGTGATATCTGCATTCAAGTCACAGAGTTGAACATTCGCTTTCTTAGAGCACGTTTGAAACACTCTTTTTGTAGTGTCTGGAAGTGGACATTTGGAGCGCTTTGATTCCTTTGGTGAAAAAGGGAATGTCTACCCATAAAAACTAGACAGAAGCATTCTCAGTAAACTTGTTTGTGATGTGTGTACCCAGCTAAAGGAGTTGAACATTTCTATTGATAGAGCAGTTTTGAAACACTCTTTTTGTGGAAAATGCAAGTGGATATTTGGATAGCTTGGAGGATTTCGTTGGAAGCGGGAATTCAAATAAAAGGTAGACAGGAGCATTCTCAGAAATTTCTTTCTGATGTCTGCATTCAACTCATAGAGTTGAAGATTCCCTTTCATAGAGCAGGTTTGAAACACTCGTTCTGGAGTATCCGGATGTGGATATTTGGAGCGCTTTGATGCCTACGGTGGAAAAGTAAATATCTTCCCATAAAAACGAGACAGAAGGATTCTCAGAAACAAGTTTGTGATGTGTGTACTCAGCTAACAGAGTGGAACCTTTCTTTTTACAGAGCAGCTTTGAAACTCTATTGTTGTGGATTCTGCAAATTGATATTTAGATTGCTTTAACGATATCGTTGGAAAAGGGAATACCGTCATACAAAATCCTAGACAGAAGTATTCTCACAAACTTCTTTGTGATGTGTGTCCTCAACTAACAGAGTTGAACCTTTCTTTTGATGCAGCAATTTGGAAACACCCTTTTGGTAGAAACTGTAACTGGATATTTGGATAGCTCTAACGATTTCGTTGGAAACGGGAATATCATCACCTAAAATCTAGACAGAAGCACTATTAGAAACTACTTGGTGATATCTGCATTCAAGTCACAGAGTAGAACATTCCCTTACTTCGAGCACGTTTGAAACACTCTTTTGGAAGAATCTGGAAGTGGACATTTGGAGCGCTTTGATGCCTTTGGTGAAAAGGAAACGTCTTCCAATAAAAGCCAGACAGAAGCATTCTCAGAAACTTGTTTGTGATGTGTGTACTCAACTAAAAGAGTTGAACCTTTCTATTGATAGAGCAGTTTTGAAACACTCTTTTTGTGGATTCTGCAAGTGGATATTTGGATTGCTTTGAGGATTTCGTTGGAAGCGGGAATTCATATAAAAACTAGACAGCAGCATTCCCAGAAATTTCTTTCGGATATTTCCATTCAACTCATAGAGATTAACATGGCCTTTCATAGAGCAGGTTTGAAACACTCTTTTTGTAGTTTGTGGAAGTGGACATTTCGATCGCCTTGACGCCTACCGTGAAAAAGGAAATATCTTCCCATAAAAAATAGACAGAAGCATTCTCAGAAACTTGTTGGTGATATGTGTCCTCAACTAACAGAGTTGAACTTTGCCATTGATAGAGAGCAGTTTTGAAACACTCTTTTTCCTGAATCTGCAAGTGGATATTTGGATAGCTTGGAGGATTTCGTTGGAAGCGGGAATTCAAATAAAAGGTAGACAGCAGCATTCTCAGAAATTTCTTTCTGATCTCTGCATTCAACTCATAGAGTTGAACATTTCCTTTCATAGGGCAGGTTTGAAATACTCTTTCTGTAGTATCTGGATGTGGACATTTGGAGCGCTTTGATGCCTACGGTGAAAAAGTAAATATCTTCCCATAAAAACGAGACAGAAGGATTCTGAGAAACAAGTTTGTGATGTGTGTACTCAGCTAACAGAGTGGAACCTCTCTTTTGATGCAGTAGTTTGGAAACACTCTTTTTGTAGAAACTGTAAGTGGATATTTGGATAGCTCTAATGATTTCGTTGGAAACGGGAATATCATCATCTAAAATCTCGACAGAATCAGTCTCAGAAACTACTTTGTGATATCTGCATTCCAGTCACAGAGTTGAAAACTCCCTTACTTAGAGCAGGTTTGAAACACTCTTTTTGTAGAATCTGGAAGTGGACATTTGGAGCGCTTTGATGCATTTGGTGAAAAAGGAAATGTCTTCCCTTAAAAAGTAGACAGAAGCATTCTCAGAAACTTGTTTGTGATGTGTGCACCCAGCTAAAGGAGTTGAACATTTATTGATAGAGCAGTTTTGAAGCACTCTTTTTGTGGAAAATGCAAGTGGATATTTGGATAGCTTGGAGGATTTCGTTGGAAGCGGGAGTTCAAATAAAAGGTAGACAGCAAGGATTCTGAGAAACAAGTTTGTGATGTGTGTACTCAGCTAACAGAGTGGAACCTTTCTTTTTACAGAGCAGCTTTGAAACTCTATTTTTGTGGATTCTGCAAATGGATATTTAGATTCCTTTAACGATATCGTTGGAAAAGGGAATATCGTCATACAAAATCTAGACAGAAGCATTCTCAGAAACTTCTTTGTGATGTGTGTCCTCAACTAACAGAGTTGAACATTTCTTTTGATGCAGCAGTTTGGAAACACTCTTTTTGTAGAAACTGTAAGTGGATATTTGGATAGCTCTAACGATTTCATTTGAAACGGGAATATCATCATCTAAAATCTAGACAGAAGCACTATTAGAAACTACTTGGTGATATCGGCATTCAAGTCACAGAGTTGAACATTCCCTTACTTTGAGCACGTTTCAAACACTCTTTTGGAAGAATCTGGAAGTGGACATTTGGAGCGCTTTGATGCCTTTGGTGAAAAGGAAACGTCTTCCAATAAAAGCCAGACAGAAGCATTCTCAGAAACTTGTTTGTGATGTGTGTACTCAACTAAAAGAGTTGAACCTTTCTATTGATAGAGCAGTTTTGAAACACTCTTTTTGTGGATTCTGCAAGTGGATATTTGGATTGCTTTGAGGATTTCGTTGGAAGCGGGAATTCGTATAAAAACTAGACAGCAGCATTCCCAGAAATTTCTTTCGGATATTTCCATTCGATTCATAGAGATGAACATGGCCTTTCATAGAGCAGGTTTGAAACACTCTTTTTGTAGTTTGTGGAAGTGGACATTTCGATCGCCTTGACGCCTACGGTGAAAAAGGAAATATCTTCCCATAAAAAATAGACAGAAGCATTCTCAGAAACTTGTTGGTGATATGTGTCCTCAACTAACAGAGTTGAACTTTGCCATTGATAGAGAGCAGTTTTGAAACACTCTTTTTGTGGAATCTGCAAGTGGATATTTGGATAGCTTGGAGGATTTCGTTGGAAGCGGGAATTCAAATAAAAGGTAGACAGCAGCATTCTCAGTAAATTTCTTTCTGATGTCTGCATTCAACTCATAGTAGTTGAAGATTCCCTTTCATAGAGCAGGTTTGAAACACTCTTTCTGGAGTATCTGGATGTGGACATTTGGAGCGCTTTGATGCCTACGGTGAAAAAGTAAATATCTTCCCAGAAAAACGAGACAGAAGGATTCTCAGAAACAAGTTTGTGATGTGTGTACTCAGCTAACAGAGTGGAAACTTTCTTTTTACAGAGCAGCTTTGAAACTCTATTTTTGTGGATTCTGCAAATTGATATTTAGATTGCTTTAACGATATCGTTGGAAAAGGGAATATCGTCATACAAAATCTAGACAGAAGCATTCTCACAAACTTCTTTGTGACGTGTGTCCTCAACTAACAGAGTTGAACCTTTCTTTTGATGCAGCAGTTTGGAAACACTGTTTCTGTAGCAACTGTAAGTGGATATTTGGATAGCTCTAACGATTTCGTTGGAAACGGGAATATCATCATCTAAAATCTAGACAGAAGCACTATTAGAAACTACTTGGTGATATCTGCATTCAAGTCACAGAGTTGAACATTCCCTTACTTTGAGCACGTTTCAAACACTCTTTTGGAAGAATCTGGAAGTGGACATTTGGAGCGCTTTGATGCCTTTGGTGAAAAGGAAACGTCTTCCAATAAAAGCCAGACAGAAGCATTCTCAGAAACTTGTTTGTGATGTGTGTACTCAACTAAAAGAGTTGAACCTTTCTATTGATAGAGCAGTTTTGAAACACTCTTTTTGTGGATTCTGCAAGTGGATATTTGGATTGCTTTGAGGATTTCGTTGGAAGCGGGAATTCGTATAAAAACTAGACAGCAGCATTCCCAGAAATTTCTTTCGGATATTTCCATTCGACTCATAGAGATGAACATGGCCTTTCATAGAGCAGGTTTGAAACACTCTTTTTGTAGTTTGTGGAAGTGGACATTTCGATCGCCTTGACGCCTACGGTGAAAAAGGAAATATCTTCCCATAAAAGATAGACAGAAGCATTCTCAGAAACTTGTTGGTGATATGTGTCCTCAACTAACAGAGTTGAACTTTGCCATTGATAGAGAGCAGTTTTGAAACACTCTTTTTGTGGAATCTGCAAGTGGATATTTGGATAGCTTGGAGGATTTCGTTGGAAGCGGGAATTCAAATAAAAGGTAGACAGCAGCATTCTCAGAAATTTCTTTCTGATGTCTGCATTCAACTCATAGAGTTGAAGATTCCCTTTCATAGAGGAGGTTTGAAACACTCTTTCTGGAGTATCTGGATGTGGACATTTGGAGCGCTTTGATGCCTACGGTGAAAAAGTAAATATCTTCCCATAAAAACGAGACAGAAGGATTCTGAGAAACAAGTTTGTGATGTGTGTACTCAGCTAACAGAGTGGAACCTCTCTTTTGATGCAGCAGTTTGGAAACACTCTTTTTGTAGAAACTGTAAGTGGATATTTGGATAGCTCTAATGATTTCGTTGGAAACGGGAATATCATCATCTTAAATCTAGACAGAAGCACTCTCAGAAACTACTTTGTGATATCTGCATTCAAGTCACAGAGTTGAACATTCGGTTTCTTAGAGCACGTTGGAAACACTCTTTTTGTAGTGTCTGGAAGTGGACATTTGGAGCGCTTTGATGCCTTTGGTGAAAAAGGGAATGTCTTCCCATAAAAACTAGACAGAAGCATTCTCAGAAACTTGTTTGTGCTGTGTCTACCCAGCTAAAGGAGTTGAACATTTCTATTGATAGAGCAGTTTTGAAACACTCTTTTTGTGGAAAATGCAGGTGGATATTTGGATAGCTTGGAGGATTTCGTTGGAAGCGGGGATTCAAATAAAAAGTAGACAGCAGCATTCTCAGAAATTTCTTTCTGATGTCTGCATTCAACTCATAGAGTTGAAGATTCTCTTTCATAGAGCAGGTTTGAAACACTCGTTCTGGAGTATCTGGATGTGGACATTTGGAGCGCTTTGATGCCTACGGTGGAAAAGTAAATATCTTCCCATAAAAACGAGACAGAAGGATTCTGAGAAACAGGTTTGTGATGTGTGTACTCAGCTAACAGAGTGGAACCTTTCTTTTTACAGAGCAGCTTTGAAACTCTATTTTTGTGGATTCTGCAAATGGATATTTAGATTGCTTTAATGATATCGCTGGAAAAGGGAATATGGTCATACAAAATCTAGACAGAAGCATTCTCACAAACTTCTTTCTGATGTGTGTCCTCAACTAACAGAGTTGAACCTTTCTTTTGATGCAGCAGTTTGGAAACACTCTTTTTGTAGAAACTGTAAGTGGATATTTGGATAGCTCTAACGATTTCGTTGGAAACGGGAATATCATCATCTAAAATCTAGACAGAAGCCCTCTCAGAAACTACTTTGTGATATCTGCATTCAAGTCACAGAGTTGAACATTCGCTTTCTTAGAGCACGTTTGAAACACTCTTTTTGTAGTGTCTGGAAGTGGACATTTGGAGCGCTTTGATGCCTTTGGTGAAAAAGGGGAACGTCTTCCCATAAAAACTAGACAGAAGCATTCTCAGAAACTTGTTTGTGATGTGTGTACCCAGCCAAAGGAGTTGAACATTTCTATTGATAGAGCAGTTTTGAAACACTCTTGTTGTGGAAAATGCAAGTGGATATTTGGATAGCTTGGAGGATTTCGTTGGAAGCGGGAATTCAAATAAAAGGTAGACAGCAGCATTCTCAGAAATTTCTTTCTGATGTCTGCATTCAACTCATAGAGTTGAAGATTCCCTTTCATAGAGCAGGTTTGAAACACTCGTTCTGGAGTATCTGGATGTGGACATTTGGAGCGCTTCGATGCCTACGGTGGAAAAGTAAATATCTTCCCATAAAAACGAGACAGAAGGATTCTCAGAAACAAGTTTGTGATATGTGTACTCAGCTAACAGAGTGGAACCTTTCTTTTTACAGAGCAGCTTTGAAACTCTATTTTTGTGGATTCTGCAAATTGATATTTAGATTGCTTTAACGATATCGTTGGAAAAGGGAATATCGTCATACAAAATCTAGACAGAAGCATTCTCACAAACTTCTTTGTGATGTGTGTCCTCAACTAACAGAGTTGAACCTTTCTTTTGATGCAGCAATTTGGAAACACCCTTTTGGTAGAAACTGTAAGTGGATATTTGGATAGCTCTAACGATTTCGTTGGAAACGGGAATATCATCATCTAAAATCTAGACAGAAGCACTATTAGAAACTACTTGGTGATATCTGCATTCAAGTCACAGAGTAGAACATTCCCTTACTTCGAGCACGTTTGAAACACTCTTTTGGAAGAATCTGGAAGTGGACATTTGGAGCGTTTTGATGCCTTTGGTGAAAAGGAAACGTCTTCCAATAAAAGCCAGACAGAAGCATTCTCAGAAACTTGTTGGTGATGTGTGTACTCAACTAAAAGAGTTGAACCTTTCTATTGATAGAGCAGTTTTGAAACACTCTTTTTGTGGATTCTGCAAGTGGATATTTGGATTGCTTTGAGGATTTCGTTGGAAGCGGGAATTCATATAAAAACTAGACAGCAGCATTCCCAGAAATTTCTTTCGGATATTTCCATTCAACTCATTGAGATGAACATCGCCTTTCATAGAGCAGGTTTGAAACACTCTTTTTGTAGTTTGTGGAAGTGGACATTTCGATCGCCTTGACGCCTACGGTGAAAAAGGAAATATCTTCCCATAAAAAATAGACAGAAGCATTCTCAGAAACTTGTTGGTGATATGTGTCCTCAACTAACAGAGTTGAACTTTGCCATTGATAGAGAGCAGTTTTGAAACACTCTTTTTGTGGAATCTGCAAGTGGATATTTGGATAGCTTGGAGGATTTCGTTGGAAGCGGGAATTCAAATAAAAGGTAGACAGCAGCATTCTCAGAAATTTCTTTCTGATGTCTGCATTCAACTCATAGAGTTGAAGATTCCTTTTCATAGAGCAGGTTTGAAACACTCTTTCTGGAGTATCTGGATGTGGACATTTGGAGCGCTTTGATGCCTACGGTGAAAAAGTATAATCTTCCCATAAAAACGAGACAGAAGGATTCTGAGAAACAAGTTTGTGATGTGTGTACTCAGCTAACAGAGTGGAACCCCTCTTTTGATGCAGCAGTTTGGAAACACTCTTTTTGTAGAAACTGTAAGTGGATATTTGGATAGCTCTAATGATTTCGTTGGAAACGGGAATATCATCATCTAAAATCTAGACAGAAGCCCTCTCAGAAACTACTTTGTGATATCTGCATTCAAGTCACAGAGTTGAACATTCGGTTTCTTAGAGCACGTTGGAAACACTCTTTTTGTAGTGTCTGGAAGTGGACATTTGGAGCGCTGTGATGCCTTTGGTGAAAAAGGGAATGTCTTCCCATAAAAACTAGACAGAAAGCATTCTCAGTAAACTTGTTTGTGATGTGTGTACCCAGCTAAAGGAGTTGAACATTTCTATTGATAGAGCAGTTTTGAAACACTCTTTTTGTGGAAAATGCAAGTGGATATTTGGATAGCTTGGAGGATTTCGTTGGAAGCGGGAATTCAAATAAAAGGTAGACAGCAGCATTCTCAGAAATTTCTTTCTGATGTCTGCATTCAACTCATAGAGTTGAAGATTCCCTTTCATAGAGCAGGTTTGAAACACTCTTTCTGGAGTATCTGGATGTGGACATTTGGAGCGCTTTGATGCCTACGGTGAAAAAGTAAATATCTTCCCATAAAAACGAGACAGAAGGATTCTCAGAAACAAGTTTGTGATGTGTGTACTCAGCTAACAGAGTGGAACCTTTCTTTTTACAGAGCAGCTTTGAAACTCTATTTTTGTGGATTCTGCAAATGGATATTTAGATTGCTTTAATGATATCGCTGGGAAAGGGAATATGGTCATACAAAATACTAGACAGAAGCATTCTCACAAACTTCTTTGTGATGTGTGTCCTCAACTAACAGAGTTGAACCTTTCTTTTGATGCAGCAATTTGGAAACACCCTTTTGGTAGAAACTGTAACTGTATATTTGGATAGCTCTAACGATTCCGTTGGAAACGGGAATATCATCATCTAAAATCTAGACAGAAGCACTATTAGAAACTACTTGGTGATATCTGCATTCAAGTCACAGAGTTGAACATTCCCTTACTTTGAGCACGTTTGAAACACTCTTTTGGAAGAATCTGGAAGTGGACATTTGGAGCGCTTTGATGCCTTTGGTGAAAAGGAAACGTCTTCCAATAAAAGCCAGACAGAAGCATTCTCAGAAACTTGTTCGTGATGTGTGTACTCAACTAAAAGAGTTGAACCTTTCTATTGATAGAGCAGTTTTGAAACACTCTTTTTGTGGATTCTGCAAGTGGATATTTGGATTGCTTTGAGGATTTCGTTGTAAGCGGGAATTCGTATAAACACTAGACAGCCAGCATTCCCAGAATTTCTTTCGGATATTTCCATTCAACTCATAGAGATGAACATGGCCTTTCATAGAGCAGGTTTGAAACACTCTTTTTGTAGTTTGTGGAAGTGGACATTTCGATCGCCTTGACGCCTACGGTGAAAAAGGAAATATCTTCCCATAAAAAATAGACAGAGCATTCTCAGAAACTTGTTGGTGATATGTGTCCTCAACTAACAGAGTTGAACTTTGCCATTGATAGAGAGCAGTTTTGAAACACTCTTTTTCCTGAATCTGCAAGTGGATATTTGGATAGTTTGGAGGATTTCGTTGGAAGCGGGAATTCAAATAAAAGGTAGACAGCAGCATTCTCAGAAATTTCTTTCTGATGTCTGCATTCAACTCATAGAGTTGAACATTCCCTTTCATAGGGCAGGTTTGAAATACTCTTTCTGTAGTATCTGGATGTGGACATTTGGAGCGGTTTGATGCCTACGGTGAAAAAGTAAATATCTTCCCATAAAAACGAGACAGAAGGATTCTGAGAAACAAGTTTGTGATGTGTGTACTCAGCTAACAGAGTGGAACCTCTGTTTTGATGCAGCAGTTTGGAAACACTCTTTTTGTAGAAACTGTAAGTGGATATTTGGATAGCTCTAATGATTTCGTTGGAAACGGGAATATCATCATCTAAAATCTAGACAGAAGCAGTCTCAGAATCTACTTTGTGATATCTGCATTCCAGTCACAGAGTTGAAAACTCCCTTACTTAGAGGAGGTTTGAAACACTCTTTTTGTAGAATCTGGAAGTGGACATTTGGAGCGCTTTGATGCCTTTGGTGAAAAAGGAAACGTCTTCCCTTAAAAAGTAGACAGAAGCATTCTCAGAAACTTGTTTGTGATGTGTGCACCCAGCTAAAGGAGTTGAACATTTATTGATAGAGCAGTTTTGAAGCACTCTTTTTGTGGAAAATGCAAGTGGATATTTGGATAGCTTGGAGGATTTCGTTGGAAGCGGGAGTTCAAATAAAAGGTAGACAGCAGCATTCTCAGAAATTTCTTTCTGATGTCTGCATTCAACTCATAGAGTTGAAGATTCCCTTTCATAGAGCAGGTTTGAAACGCTCTTTCTGGAGTATCTGGATGTGGACATTTGGAGCGCTTTGATGCCTACGGTGAAAAAGTAAATATCTTCCCATAAAAACGAGACAGAAGGATTCTCAGAAACAAGTTTGTGATGTGTGTACTCAGCTAACAGAGTGGAACCTTTCTTTTTACAGAGCAGCTTTGAAACTCTATTTTTGTGGATTCTGCAAATGGATATTTAGATTGCTTTAACGATATCATTGGAAAAGGGAATATCGTCATACAAAATCTGGACAGAAGCATTCTCACAAACTTCTTTGTGATGTGTGTCCTCAACTAACAGAGTTGAACCTTTCTTTTGATGCAGCAGTTTGGAAACACCCTTTTGGTAGAAACTGTAAGTGGATATTTGGATAGCTCTAACGATTTCGTTGGAAACGGGAATATCATCATCTAAAATCTAGACAGAAGCACTATTAGAAACTACTTGGTGATATCTGCATTCAAGTCACAGAGTTGAACATTCCCTTACTTTGAGCACGTTTCAAACACTCTTTTGGAAGAATCTGGAAGTGGACATTTGGAGCGCTTTGATGATGCCTTTGGTGAAAAGGAAACGTCTTCCAATAAAAGCCAGACAGAAGCATTCTCAGAAACTTGTTTGTGATGTGTGTACTCAACTAAAAGAGTTGAACCTTTCTATTGATAGAGCAGTTTTGAAACACTCTTTTTGTGGATTCTGCAAGTGGATATTTGGATTGCTTTGAGGATTTCGTTGGAAGCAGGAATTCGTATAAAATCTAGACAGCAGCATTCCCAGAAATTTCTTTCTGATATTTCCATTGAACTCATAGAGATGAACATGGCCTTTCATAGAGCAGGTTTGAAACACTCTTTTTGTAGTTTGTGGAAGTGGACATTTCGATCGCCTTGATGACTACGGTGAAAAAGGAAATATCTTCCCATAAAAAATAGACAGAAGAATTCTCAGAAACTTTTTGTGATGTGTATCCTCAACTGACAGAGTTGAACCTTGCCATTGATAGAGCAGTTTTGAAACACTCTTTTTGTGGAATCTGCAAGTGGATATTTGGATAGCCTGGAGGATTTCGTTGGAAGCGGGAATTCAAATGAAAGGTAGACAGCAGCATTCTCAGAAATTTCTTTGTGATGTTTGCATTCAACTCATAGAGTTGAACATTCCCTTTCATAGAGCAGGTTTGAAACACTCTTTCTGTACTATCTGGATGTGGACATTTGGAACGCTTTGATGCCTACGGTGAAAAAGTAAATATCTTCCCATAAAAATTAGACAGAAGGATTCTGAGAAACAAGTTTGTGATGTGTGTACTCAGCTAACAGAGTGGAACCTTTCTTTTTACAGAGCAGCTTTGAAACTCTATTTTTGTGGATTCTGCAAATGGATATTTAGATTGCTTTAATGATATCGTTGGAAAAGGGAATATCGTCATACAAAATCTAGACAGAAAGCATTCTCACAAACTTCTTTGTGATGTGTGTCCTCAACTAACAGAGTTGAACCTTTCTTTTGATGCAGCAATTTGGAAGCACCCTTTTGGTAGAAACTGTAACTGGATATTTGGATAGCTCTAACGATTTCGTTGGAAACGGGAATATCATCATCTAAAATGTAGACAGAAGCACTATTAGAAACTACTTGGTGATATCTGCATTTAAGTCACAGAGTTGAACATTCCCTTACTTTGAGCACGTTTCAAACACTCTTTTGGAAGAATCTGGAAGTGGACATTTGGAGCGCTTTGATGCCTTTGGTGAAAAGGAAACGTCTTCCAATAAAAGCCAGACAGAAGCATTCTCAGAAACTTGTTTGTGATGTGTGTACTCAACTAAAAGAGTTGAACCTTTCTATTGATAGAGCAGTTTTGAAACACTCTTTTTGTGGATTCTGCAAGTGGATATTTGGATTGCTTTGAGGATTTCGTTGGAAGCGGGAATTCGTATAAAAACTAGACAGCAGCATTCCCAGAAATTTCTTTCGGATATTTCCATTCGACTCATAGAGATGAACATGGCCTTTCATAGAGCAGGTTTGAAACACTCTTTTTGTAGTTTGTGGAAGTGGACATTTCGATCGCCTTGACGCCTACGGTGAAAAAGGAAATATCTTCCCATAAAAAATAGACCAGAAGCATTCTCAGAAACTTGTTGGTGATATGTGTCCTCAACTAACAGAGTTGAACTTTGCCATTGATAGAGAGCAGTTTTGAAACACTCTTTTTGTGGAATCTGCAAGTGGATATTTGGATAGCTTGGAGGATTTCGTTGGAAGCGGGAATTCAAATAAAAGGTAGACAGCAGCATTCTCAGAAATTTCTTTCTGATGTCTGCATTCAACTCATAGAGTTGAACATTCCCTTTCATAGAGCAGGTTTGAAACACTCTTTCTGGAGTATCTGGATGTGTACATTTGGAGCGCTTTGATGCCTACGGTGAAAAAGTAAATATCTTCCCATAAAAACGAGACAGAAGGATTCTGAGAAACAAGTTTGTGATGTGTGTACTCAGCTAACAGAGTGGAACCTCTCTTTTGATGCAGCAGTTTGGAAACACTCTTTTTGTAGAAACTGTAAGTGGATATTTGGATACCTCTAATGATTTCGTTGGAAACGGGAATATCATCATCTAAAATCTAGACAGAAGCACTCTCAGAAACTACTTTGTGATATCTGCATTCAAGTCACACAGTTGAACATTCGCTTTCTTAGAGCACGTTTGAAACACTCTTTTTGTAGTGTCTGGAAGTGGACATTTGGAGCGCTTTGATTCCTTTGGTGAAAAAGGGAATGTCTACCCATAAAAACTAGACAGAAGCATTCTCAGAAACTTGTTTGTGATGTGTGTACCCAGCCAAAGGAGTTGAACATTTCTATTGATAGAGCAGGTTTGAAACACTCTTTTTGTGGAAAATGCAGGTGGATATTTGGATAGCTTGGAGGATTTCGTTGGAAGCGGGAATTCAAATAAAAGGTAGACAGCAGCATTCTCAGAAATTCCCTTCTGATGTCTGCATTCAACTCATAGAGTTGAAGACTCCCTTTCATAGAGCAGGTTTGAAACACTCTTTCTGGAGTATCTGGATGTGGACATTTGGAGCGCTTTGATGCCTACGGTGAAAAAGTAAATATCTTCCCATAAAAACGAGACAGAAGGATTCTCAGAAAGAAGTTTGTGATGTGTGTACTCAGCTAACAGAGTGGAACCTTTCTTTTTACAGAGCAGCTTTGAAACTCTATTTTTGTGGATTCTGCAAATTGATATTTAGATTGCTTTAACGATATCGTTGGAAAAGGGAATATCGTCATACAAAATACTAGACAGAAGCATTCTCACAAACTTCTTTGTGATGTGTGTCCTCAACTAACAGAGTTGAACCTTTCTTTTGATGCAGCAATTTGGAAACACCCTTTTGGTAGAAACTGTAACTGGATATTTGGATAGCTCTAACGATTTCGTTGGAAACGGGAATATCATCATCTAAAATGTAGACAGAAGCACTATTAGAAACTACTTGGTGATATCTGCATTCAAGTCACAGAGTTGAACATTCCCTTACTTTGAGCACGTTTGAAACACTCTTTTGGAAGAATCTGGAAGTGGACATTTGGAGCGCTTTGATGCCTTTGGTGAAAAGGAAACTTCTTCCAATAAAAGCCAGACAGAAGCATTCTCAGAAACTTGTTCGTGATGTGTGTACTCAACTAAAAGAGTTGAACCTTTCTATTGATAGAGCAGTTTTGAAACACTCTTTTTGTGGATTCTGCAAGTGGATATTTGGATTGCTTTGAGGATTTCGTTGGAAGCGGGAATTCGTATAAACACTAGACAGCAGCATTCCCAGAAATTTCTTTCGGATATTTCCATTCAACTCATAGAGATGAACATGGCCTTTCATAGAGCAGGTTTGAAACACTCTTTTTGTAGTTTGTGGAGGTGGACATTTCGATCGCCTTGACACCTACGGTGAAAAAGGAAATATCTTCCTATAAAAAATAGACAGAAGCATTCTCAGAAACTTGTTGGTGATATGTGTCCTCAACTAACAGAGTTGAACTTTGCCATTGATAGAGAGCAGTTTTGAAACACTCTTTTTGTGGAATCTGCAAGTGGATATTTGGATAGCTTGGAGGATTTCGTTGGAAGCGGGAATTCAAATAAAAGGTAGACAGCAGCATTCTCAGAAATTTCTTTCTGATGTCTGCATTCAACTCATAGAGTTGAACATTCCCTTTCATAGAGCAGGTTTGAAACACTCTTTCTGGAGTATCTGGATGTGGACATTTGGAGCGCTTTATTGCCTACGGTGAAAAAGTAAATATCTTCCCATAAAAACGAGACAGAAGGATTCTGAGAAACAAGTTTGTGATGTGTGTACTCAGCTAACAGAGTGGAACCTCTGTTTTGATGCAGCAGTTTGGAAACACTCTTTTTGTAGAAACTGTAAGTGGATATTTGGATAGCTCTAATGATTTCGTTGGAAACGGGAATATCATCATCTAAATTCTAGACAGAAGCCCTCTCAGAAACTACTTTGTGATATCTGCATTCAAGTCACAGAGTTGAACATTCGCTTTCTTAGAGCACGTTTGAAACACTCTTTTTGTAGTGTCTGGAAGTGGACATTTGGAGCGCTTTCATGCCTTTGGTGAAAAAGGGAATGTCTTCCCATAAAAACTAGACAGAAGCATTCTCAGAAACTTGTTTGTGATGTGTGTACCCAGCTAAAGAGTTGAACATTTGTATTGATAGAGCAGTTTTGAAACACTCTTTTTGTGGAAAATGCAAGTGGATATTTTGATAGCTTGGAGGATTTCGTTGGAAGCGGGAATTCAAATAAAAGGTAGACAGCAGCATTCTCAGAAATTTCTTTCTGATGTCTGCATTCAACTCATAGAGTTGAAGATTCCCTTTCCTAGAGCAGGTTTGAAACACTCTTTCTGGAGTATCTGGATGTGGACATTTGGAGCGCTTTGATGCCTACGGTGAAAAAGTAAATATCTTCCCATAAAAACGAGACAGAAGGATTCTCAGAAACAAGTTTGTGATGTGTGTACTCAGCTAACAGAGTGGAACCTTTCTTTTTACAGAGCAGCTTTGAAACTCTATTTTTGTGGATTCTGCAAATTGATATTTAGATTGCTTTAACGATATCGTTGGAAAAGGGAATATCGTCATACAAAATCCTAGACAGAAGCATTCTCACAAACTTCTTTGTGATGTGTGTCCTCAACTAACAGAGTTGAACCTTTCTTTTGATGCAGCAGTTTGGAACACCCTTTTTGTAGAAACTGTAAGTGGATATTTGGATAGCTCTAACGATTTCGTTGGAAACGGGAATATCATCATCTAAAATCTAGAGAGAAGCAGTATTAGAAACTACTTGGTGATATCTGCATTCAAGTCACAGAGTTGAACATTCCCTTACTTTGAGCACGTTTCAAACACTCTTTTGGAAGAATCTGGAAGTGGACATTTGGAGCGCTTTGATGATGCCTTTGGTGAAAAGGAAACGTCTTCTAATAAAAGCCAGACAGAAGCATTCTCAGAAACTTGTTTGTGATGTGTGTACTCAACTAAAAGAGTTGAACCTTTCTATTGATAGAGCAGTTTTGAAACACTCTTTTTGTGGATTCTGCAAGTGGATATTTGGATTGCTTTGAGGATTTCGTTGGAAGCGGGAATTCGTATAAAAACTAGACAGCAGCATTCCCAGAAATTTCTTTCGGATATTTCCATTCAACTCATAGAGATGAACATGGCCTTTCATAGAGCAGGTTTGAAACACTCTTTTTGTAGTTTGTGGAGGTGGACATTTCGATCGCCTTGACGCCTACGGTGAAAAAGGAAATATCTTCCTATAAAAAATAGACAGAAGCATTCTCAGAAACTTGTTGGTGATATGTGTCCTCAACTAACAGAGTTGAACTTTGCCATTGATAGAGAGCAGTTTTGAAACACTCTTTTTGTGGAATCTGCAAGTGGATATTTGGATAGCTTGGAGGATTTCGTTGGAAGCGGGAATTCAAATAAAAGGTAGACAGCAGCATTCTCAGAAATTTCTTTCTGATGTCTGCATTCAACTCATAGAGTTGAAGATTCCCTTTCATAGAGCAGGTTTGAAACACTCTTTCTGGAGTATATGGATGTGGACATTTGGAGCGCTTTGATGCCTGCGGTGAGAAAGTAAATATCTTCCCATAAAAACGAGACAGAAGGATTCTGAGAAACAAGTTTGTGATGTGTGTACTCAGCTAACAGAGTGGAACCTCTCTTTTGATGCAGTAGTTTGGAAACACACTTTTTGTAGAAACTGTAAGTGGATATTTGGATAGCTCTAATGATTTCGTTGGAAACGGGAATATCATCATCTAAAATCTAGACAGAAGCCCTGTCAGAAACTACTTTGTGATATCTGCATTCAAGTCACAGAGTTGAACATTCGCTTTCTTAGAGCACGTTTGAAACACTCTTTTTGTAGTGTCTGGAAGTGGACATTTGGAGTGCTTTGATGCCTTTGGTGAAAAAGGGAATGTCTTCCCATAAAAACTAGACAGAAGCATTCTCAGAAACTTGTTTGTGATGTGTGTACCCAGCCAAAGGAGTTGAACATTTCTATTGATAGAGCAGTTTTGAAACACTCTTGTTGTGGAAAATGCAGGTGGATATTTGGATAGCTTGGAGGATTTCGTTGGAAGCGGGAATTCAAATAAAGGTAGACAGCAACATTCTCAGAAATTTCTTTCTGATGTGTGCATTCAACTCATAGAGTTGAAGATTCCCTTTCATAGAGCAGGTTTGAAACACTCTTTCTGGAGTATCTGGATGTGGACATTTGGACCGCTTTGATGCCTACGGTGAAAAACTAAATATGTTCCCATAAAAACGAGACAGAAGGATTCTCAGAAACAAGTTTGTGATGTGTGTACTCAGCTAACAGAGTGGAACCTTTCTTTTTACAGAGCAGCTTTGAAACTCTATTCTTGTGGATTCTGCAAATGGATATTTAGATTGCTTTAATGATATCGCTGGAAAAGGGAATATGGTCATACAAAATCTAGACAGAAGCATTCTCACAAACTTCTTTGTGATGTGTGTCCTCAACTAACAGAGTTGAACCTTTCTTTTGATGCAGCAGTTTGGAAACACTCTTTTTGTAGAAACTGTAAGTGGATATTTGGATAGCTCTAACGATTGCGTTGGAAACGGGAATATAATCATCTAAAATCTAGACAGAAGCACTATTAGAAACTACTTGGTGATATCTGCATTCAAGTCAAAGAGTTGAACATTCCCTTACTTTGAGCACGTTTGAAACACTCTTTTGGAAGAATCTGGAAGTGGACATTTGGAGCGCTTTGATGCCTTTGGTGAAAAGGAAACGTCTTCCAATAAAAGCCAGACAGAAGCATTCTCAGAAACTTGTTCTTGATGTGTGTACTCAACTAAAAGAGTTGAACCTTTCTATTGATAGAGCAGTTTTGAAACACTCTTTTTGTGGATTCTGCAAGTGGATATTTGGATTGCTTTGAGGATTTCTTTGGAAGCGGGAATTCGTATAACAACTAGACAGCAGCATTCCCAGAAATTTCTTTCGGATATTTCCATTCAACTCATAGAGATGAACATGGCCTTTCATAGAGCAGGTTTGAAACACTCTTTTTGTAGTTTGTGGAAGTGGACATTTCGATCGCCTTGACGCCTACGGTGAAAAAGGAAATATCTTCCCATAAAAAATAGACAGAAGCATTCTCAGAAACTTGTTGGTGATATGTGCCCTCAACTAACAGAGTTGAACTTTGCCATTGATAGAGAGCAGTTTTGAAACACTCTTTTTGTGGAATCTGCAAGTGGATATTTGGATAGCTTGGAGGATTTCGTTGGAAGCGGGAATTCAAATAAAAGGTAGACAGCAGCATTCTCAGAAATTTCTTTCTGATGTCTGCATTCAACTCATAGAGTTGAACATTCCCTTTCATAGAGCAGGTTTGAAATACTCTTTCTGTAGTATCTGGATGTGGACATTTGGAGCGCTTTGATGCCTATGGTGAAAAAGTAAATATCTTCCCATTAAAACGAGACGGAAGGATTCTGAGAAACAAGTTTGTGATGTGTGTACTCAGCTAACAGAGTGGAAATCTCTTTTGATGCAGCAGTTTCGAAACACTCTTTTTGTAGAAACTGTAAGTGGATATTTGGATAGCTCTAATGATTTCGTTGGAAACGGGAATATCATCATCTAAAATCTAGACAGAAGCACTCTCAGAAACTACTGTGTGATATCTGCATTCAAGTCACAGAGTTGAACATTCGCTTTCGTAGAGCACGTTTGAAACACTCTTTTTGTATTGGCTGGAAGTGGACATTTGGAGCGCTTTGATTCCTTTGGTGAAAAAGGGAATGTCTACCCATAAAAACTAGACAGAAGCGTTCTCAGAAACTTGTTTGTGATGTGTGTACCCAGCTAAAGGAGTTGAAAGTTTCTATTGATAGAGCAGTTTTGAAACACTCTTTTTGTGGAAAATGCAAGTGGATGTTTGGATAGCTAGGAGGATTTCGTTGGAAGCGGGAATTCAAATAAAAGGTAGACAGCAGGATTCTGAGAAACAAGTTTGTGATGTGTGTACTCAGCTAACAGAGTGGAACCTTTCTTTTTACAGAGCAGCTTTGAAACTCTATTTTTGTGGATTCTGCAAATTGATATTTAGATTGCTTTAACGATATCGTTGGAAAAGGGAATATCCTCATACAAAATCTAGACAGAAGCACTCTCAGAAACTACTTTGTGATATCTGCATTCAAGTCACAGAGTTGAACATTCGCTTTCTTAGAGCACTTTTGAAACACTCTTTTTGTAGTATCTAGAAGTGGACATTTGGAGCTCTTTGATGCCTTTGGTGAAAAAGGAAATGTCTTCCCATAAAAACTAGACAGAAGCATTCTCAGAAACTTGTTTGTGATGTGTGCACCCAGCTAAAGGAGTTGAACATTTATTGATAGAGCAGTTTTGAAGCACTCTTTTTGTGGAAAATGCAAGTGGATATTTGGATAGCTTGGAGGATTTCGTTGGAAGCGGGAGTTCAAATAAAAGGTAGACAGCAGCATTCTCAGAAATTTCTTTCTGATGTCTGCATTCAACTCATAGAGTTGAAGATTCCCTTTCATAGAGCAGGTTTGAAACACTCTTTCTGGAGTATCTGGATGTGGACATTTGGAGCGCTTTGATGCCTACGGTGAAAAAGTAAATATCTTCCCATAAAAACGAGACAGAAGGATTCTCAGAAACAAGTTTGTGATGTGTGTACTCAGCTAACAGAGTGGAACCTTTCTTTTTACAGAGCAGCTTTGAAACTCTATTTTTGTGGATTCTGCAAATTGATATTTAGGTTGCTTTAACGATATCGTTGGAAAAGGGAATATCGTCATACAAAATCTAGACAGAAGCATTCTCACAAACTTCTTTGTGATGTGTGTCCTCAACTAACAGAGTTGAACCTTTCTTTTGATGCAGCAATTTGGAAACACCCTTTTGGTAGAAACTGTAACTGGATATTTGGATAGCTCTAACGATTTCGTTGGAAACGGGAATATCATCATCTAAAATCTAGACAGAAGCACTATTAGAAACTACTTGGTGATATCTGCATTCAAGTCACAGAGTTGAACATTCCCTTACTTTGAGCACGTTTGAAACACTCTTTTGGAAGAATCTGGAAGTGGACATTTGGAGCGCTTTGATGCCTTTGGTGAAAAGGAAACGTCTTCCAATAAAAGCCAGACAGAAGCATTCTCAGAAACTTGTTCGTGATGTGTGTACTCAACTAAAAGAGTTGAACCTTTCTATTGACAGAGCAGTTTTGAAACACTCTTTTTGTGGATTCTGCAAGTGGATATTTGGATTGCTTTGAGGATTTCGTTGGAAGCGGGAATTCGTATAAACACTAGACAGCAGCATTCCCAGAAATTTCTTTCGGATATTTCCATTCGACTCATAGAGATGAACATGGCCTTTCATAGAGCAGGTTTGAAACACTCTTTTTGTAGTTTGTGGAAGTGGACATTTGGAGCGCTTTGATGCCTTTGGTGAAAAAGGGAATGTCTTCCCATAAAAACTAGACAGAAGCATTCTCAGAAACTTGTTGGTGATATGTGTCCTCAACTAACAGATTTGAACTTTGCCATTGATAGAGAGCAGTTTTGAAACACTCTTTTTGTGGAATCTGCAAGTGGATATTTGGATAGCTTGGAGGATTTCGTTGGAAGCGGGAATTCAAATAAAAGGTAGACAGCAGCATTCTCAGAAATTTCTTTCTGATGTCTGCATTCAACTCATAGAGTTGAATATTCCCTTTCATAGAGCAGGTTTGAAACACTCTTTCTGGAGTATCTGGATGTGGACATTTGGAGCGCTTTGATGCCTACGGTGAAAAAGTAAATATCTTCCCATAAAAACGACACAGAAGGATTCTCAGAAACAAGTTTGTGATGTGTGTACTCAGCTAACAGAGTGGAACCTCTCTTTTGATGCAGCAGTTTGGAAACACTCTTTTTGTAGAAACTGTAAGTGGATATTTGGATAGCTCTAATGATTTCGTTGGAAACGGGAATATCATCATCTAAAATCTAGACAGAAGCCCTCTCAGAAACTACTTTGTGATATCTGCATTCAAGTCACAGAGTTGAACATTCGCTTTCTTAGAGCACGTTGGAAACACTCTTTTTGTAGTGTCTGGAAGTGGACATTTGGAGCGCTTTGATGCCTTTGGTGAAAAAGGGAATGTCTTCCCATAAAATCTAGACAGAAAGCATTCTCAGAAACTTGTTTGTGATGTGTGCACCCAGCTAAAGGAGTTGAACATTTATTGATAGAGCAGTTTTGAAGCACTCTTTTTGTGGAAAATGCAAGTGGATATTTGGATAGCTTGGAGGATTTCGTTGGAAGCGGGAGTTCAAATAAAAGGTAGACAGCAGCATTCTCAGAAATTTCTTTCTGATGTCTGCATTCAACTCATAGAGTTGAAGATTCCCTTTCATAGAGCAGGTTTGAAACACTCTTTCTGGAGTATCTGGATGTGGACATTTGGAGCGCTTTGATGCCTACGGTGAAAAAGTAAATATCTTCCCATAAAAACGAGACAGAAGGATTCTGAGAGACAAGTTTGTGATGTGTGTACTCAGCTAACAGAGTGGAACCTTTCTTTTTACAGAGCAGCTTTGAAACTCTATTTTTGTGGATTCTGCAAATGGATATTTAGATTGCTTTAACGATATCGCTGGAAAAGGGAATATGGTCATACAAAATCTAGACAGAAGCATTCTCACAAACTTCTTTGTGATGTGTGTCCTCAACTAACAGAGTTGAACTTTTCTTTTGATGCAGCAGTTTGGAAACACTGTTTTTGTAGAAACTGTAAGTGGATATTTGGATAGCTCTAACGATTTCGTTGGAAACGGGAATATCATCATCTAAAATCTAGACAGAAGCACTATTAGAAACTACTTGGTGATATCTGCATTCAAGTCACAGAGTTGAACATTCCCTTACTTTGAGCACGTTTGAAACACTCTTTTGGAAGAATCTGGAAGTGGACATTTGGAGCGCTTTGATGCCTTTGGTGAAAAGGAAACGTCTTCCAATAAAAGTCAGACAGAAGCATTCTCAGAAACTTGTTCTTGATGTGTGTACTCAACTAAAAGAGTTGAACCTTTCTATTGATAGAGCAGTTTTGAAACACTCTTTTTGTGGATTCTGCAAGTGGATATTTGGATTGCTTTGAGGATTTCGTTGGAAGCGGGAATTCGTATAAAAACTAGACAGCAGCATTCCCAGAAATTTCTTTCGGATATTTCCATTCAACTCATAGAGATGAACATGGCCTTTCATAGAGCAGGTTTGAAACACTCTTTTTGTAGTTTGTGGAAGTGGACATTTCGATCGCCTTGACGCCTACGGTGAAAAAGGAAATATCTTCCCATAAAAAATAGACAGAAGCATTCTCAGAAACTTGTTGGTGATATGTGTCCTCAACTAACAGAGTTGAACTTTGCCATTGATAGAGAGCAGTTTTGAAACACTCTTTTTGTGGAATCTGCAAGTGGATATTTGGATAGCTTGGAGGATTTCGTTGGAAGCGGGAATTCAAATAAAAGGTAGACAGCAGCATTCTCAGAAATTTCTTTCTGATGTCTGCATTCAACTCATAGAGTTGAAGATTCCCTTTCATAGAGCAGGTTTGAAACACTCTTTCTGGAGTATCTGGATGTGGACATTTGGAGCGCTTTGATGTCTACGGTGGAAAAGTAAATATCTTCCCATAAAAACGAGACAGAAGGATTCTGAGAAACAAGTTTGTGATGTGTGTACTCAGCTAACAGAGTGGAACCTCTGTTTTGATGCAGCAGTTTGGAAACACTCTTTTTGTAGAAACTGTAAGTGGATATTTGGATAGCTCTAATGATTTCGTTGGAAACGGGAATATCATCATCTAAAATCTAGACAGCAGCCCTCTCAGAAACTACTTTGTGATATCTGCATTCAAGTCACAGAGTTGAACATTCGTTTTCTTAGAGCACGTTTGAAACACTCTTTTTGTAGTGTCTGGAAGTGGACATTTGGAGCGCTTTGATGCCTTTGGTGAAAAAGGGAACGTCTTCCCATAAAAACTAGACAGAAGCATTCTCAGAAACTTGTTTGTGATGTGTGTACCCAGCCAAAGGAGTTGAACATTTCTATTGATAGAGCAGTTTTAAAACACTCTTGTTGTGGAAAATGCAAGTGGATATTTGGATAGCTTGGAGGATTTCGTTGGAAGCGGGAATTCAAATAAAAGGTAGACAGCAGCATTCTCAGAAATTTCTTTCTGATGTCTGCATTCAACTCATAGAGTTGAAGATTCCCTTTCATAGAGCAGGTTTGAAACACTCGTTCTGGAGTATCTGGATGTAGACATTTGGAGCGCTTTGATGCCTACGGTGGAAAAGTAAATATCTTCCCATAAAAACGAGACAGAAGGATTCTCAGAAACAAGTTTTTTATGTGTGTACTCAGCTAATAGAGTGGATCCTTTCTTTTTACAGAGCAGCTTTGAAACTCTATTTCTGTGGATTCTGCAAATTGATATTTGGGTTGATTTAATGACATCGTTGGAAAAGGGAATATCTTCATACAAAATCTAGACAGAAGCATTTTCACAAACTTCTTTGTGATGTGTGTCCTCAACTAACAGAGTTGAACCTTTCTTTTGATGCAGCAATTTGGAAACACCCTTTTGGTAGAAACTGTAACTGGATATTTGGATAGCTCTAACGATTTCGTTGGAAACGGGAATATCATCATCTAAAATGTAGACAGAAGCACTATTAGAAACTACTTGGTGATATCTGCATTCAAGTCACAGAGTTGAACATTCCCTTACTTTGAGCACGTTTCAAACACTCTTTTGGAAGAATCTGGAAGTGGACATTTGGAGCGCTTTGATGCCTTTGGTGAAAAGGAAACGTCTTCCAATAAAAGCCAGACAGAAGCATTCTCAGAAACTTGTTTGTGATGTGTGTACTCAACTAAAAGAGTTGAACCTTTCTATTGATAGAGCAGTTTTGAAACACTCTTTTTGTGGATTCTGCAAGTGGATATTTGGATTGCTTTGAGGATTTCGTTGGAAGCGGGAATTCGTATAAACACTAGACAGCAGCATTCCCAGAAATTTCTTTCGGATATTTCCATTCAACTCATAGAGATGAACATGGCCTTTCATAGAGCAGGCTTGAAACACTCTTTTTGTAGTTTGTGGAAGTGGACATTTCGATCGCCTTGACGCCTACGGTGAAAAAGGAAATATCTTCCCATAAAAATAGACAGAAGCATTCTCAGAAACTTGTTGGTGATATGTGTCCTCATCTAACAGAGTTGAACTTTGCCATTGATAGAGAGCAGTTTTGAAACACTCTTTTTGTGGAATCTGCAAGTGGATATTTGGATAGCTTGGAGGATTTCGTTGGAAGCGGGAATTCAAATAAAAGGTAGACAGCAGCATTCTCAGAAATTTCTTTCTGATGTCTGCATTCAACTCATAGAGTTGAAGATTCCCTTTTATAGAGCAGGTTTGAAACACTCTTTCTGGAGTATCTGGATGTGGACATTTGGAGCGCTTTGATGCCTACGGTGAAAAAGTAAATATCTTCCCATAAAAACGAGACAGAAGGATTCTCAGAAACAAGTTTGTGATGTCTTTACTCAGCTAACAGAGTGGAACCTCTCTTTTGATGCAGCAGTTTGGAAACACTCTTTTTGTAGAAACTGTAAGTGGATATTTGGATAGCTCTAATGATTTCGTTGGAAACGGGAATATCATCATCTAAAATCTAGACAGAAGCCCTCTCAGAAACTACTTTGTGATATCTGCATTCAAGTCACAGAGTTGAACATTCACTTTCTTAGAGCACGTTTGAAACACTCTTTTTGTAGTGTCTGGAAGTGGACATTTGGAGCGCTTTGATGCCTTTGGTGAAAAGGGGAATGTCTTCCCATAAAAACTAGACAGAAGCATTCTCAGAAACTTGTTTGTGATGTGTGTACCCAGCTAAAGGAGTTGAACATTTCTATTGATAGAGCAGTCTTGAAACACTCTTTTTGTGGAAAATGCAAGTGGATATTTGGATAGCTTGGAGGATTTCGTTGGAAGCGGGAATTCAAATAAAAGGTAGACAGCAGCATTCTCAGAAATTTCTTTCTGATGTCTGCATTCAACTCATAGAGTTGAAGATTCTCTTTCATAGAGCAGGTTTGAAACACTCTTTCTGGAGTATCTGGATGTGGACATTTGGAGCGCTTTGATGCCTACGGTGAAAAAGTAAATATCTTCCCATAAAAACGAGACAGAAGGATTCTCAGAAACAAGTTTGTGATGTGTGTACTCAGCTAACAGAGTGGAACCTTTCTTTTTACAGAGCAGCTTTGAAACTCTATTTTTGTGGATTCTGCAAATGGATATTTAGATTGCTTTAACGATATCGTTGGAAAAGGGAATATCGTCATACAAAATCTGGACAGAAGCATTCTCACAAACTTCTTTGTGATGTGTGTCCTCAACTAACAGAGTTGAACCTTTCTTTTGATGCAGCAGTTTGGAAACACTCTTTTTGTAGAAACTGTAAGTGGATATTTGGATAGCTCTAACGATTTCGCTGGAAACGGGAATATCGTCATCTAAAATCTAGACAGAAGCACTATTAGAAACTACTTGGTGATATCTGCATTCAAGTCACAGAGTTGAACATTCCCTTACTTTGAGCACGTTTGAAACACTCTTTTGGAAGAATCTGGAAGTGGACATTTGGAGCGCTTTGATGCCTTTGGTGAAAAGGAAACGGCTTCCAATAAAAGCCAGACAGAAGCATTCTCAGCAAACTTGTTTGTGATGTGTGTACTCAACTAAAAGAGTTGAACCTTTCTATTGATAGAGCAGTTTTGAAACACTCTTTTTGTGGATTCTGCAAGTGGATATTTGGATTGCTTTGAGGATTTCGTTGGAAGCGGGAATTCGTATAAAAACTAGACAGCAGCATTCCCAGAAATTTCTTTCGGATATATCCATTCAACTCATAGAGATGAACATGGCCTTTCATAGAGCAGGTTTGAAACACTCTTTTTGTAGTTTGTGGAAGTGGACATTTCGATCGCCTTGACGCCTACGGTGAAAAAGGAAATATCTTCCCATAAAAAATAGACAGAAGCATTCTCAGAAACTTGTTGTTGATATGTGTCCTCAACTAACAGAGTTGAACTTTGCCATTGATAGAGAGCAGTTTTGAAACACTCTTTTTGTGGAATCTGCAAGTGGATATTTGGATAGCTTGGAGGATTTCGTTGGAAGCGGGAATTCAAATAAAAGGTAGACAGCAGCATTCTCAGGAATTTCTTTCTGATGTCTGCATTCAACTCATAGAGTTGAAGATTCCCTTTCATAGAGCAGGTTTGAAACACTCTTTGTGGAGTATCTGGATGTGGACATTTGGAGCGCTTTGATGCCTACGTTGAAAAAGTAAATATCTTCCCATAAAAACGAGACAGAAAGGATTCTGAGAAACAAGTTTGTGATGTGTGTACTCAGCTAACAGAGTGGAACCTCTCTTTTGATGCAGCAGTTTGGAAACACTCTTTTTGTAGAAACTGTAAGTGGATATTTGGATAGCTCTAATGATTTCGTTGGAAACGGGAATATCATCGTCTAAAATCTAGACAGAAGCCCTCTCAGAAACTACTGTGTGATATCTGCATTCAAGTCACAGAGTTGAACATTCGCTTTCTTAGAGCACGTTTGAAACACTCTTTTTGTAGTGTCTGGAAGTGGACATTTGGAGCGCTTTGATTCCTTTGGTGAAAAAGGGAATGTCTACCCATAAAAACTAGACAGAAGCATTTTCAGAAACTTGTTTGTGATGTGTGTACCCAGCCAAAGGAGTTGAACATTTCTATTGATAGAGCAGTTTTGAAACACTCTTTTTGTGGAAAATGCAGGTGGATATTTGGATAGCTTGGAGGATTTCGTTGGAAGCGGGAATTCAAATAAAAGGTAGACAGCAGCATTCTCAGAAATTTCTTTCTGATGTCTGCATTCAACTCATAGAGTTGAAGATTCCCTTTCATAGAGCAGGTTTGAAATACTCTTTCTGGAGTATCTGGATGTGGACATTTGGAGCGCTTTGATGCCTACGGTGGAAAAGTAAATATCTTCCCATAAAAACGAGACAGAAGGATTCTCAGAAACAAGTTTGTGATGTGTGTACTCAGCTAACAGAGTGGAGCCTTTCTTTTTACAGAGCAGCTTTGAAACTCTATTTTCGTGGATTCTGCAAATTGATATTTAGATTGCTTTAACGATATCGTTGGAAAAGGGAATATCGTCATACAAAATCTAGACAGAAGCATTCTCACAAACTTCTTTGTGATGTGTGTCCTCAACTAACAGAGTTGAACCTTTCTTTTGATGCAGCAATTTGGAAACACCCTTTCGGTAGAAACTGTAACTGGATATTTGGATAGCTCTAACGATTTCGTTGGAAACGGGAATATCATCACCTAAAATCTAGACAGAAGCACTATTAGAAACTACTTGGTGATATCTGCATTCAAGTCACAGAGTAGAACATTCCCTTACTTCGAGCACGTTTGAAACACTCCTTTGGAAGAATCTGGAAGTGGACATTTGGAGCGCTTTGATGCCTTTGGTGAAAAGGAAACGTCTTCCAATAAAAGCCAGACAGAAGCATTCTCAGAAACTTGTTGGTGATGTGTGTACTCAACTAAAAGAGTTGAACCTTTCTATTGATAGAGCAGTTTTGAAACACTCTTTTTGTGGATTCTGCAAGTGGATATTTGGATTGCTTTGAGGATTTCGTTGGAAGCGGGAATTCATATAAAAACTAGACAGCAGCATTCCCAGAAATTTCTTTCGGATATTTCCATTCAACTCATAGAGATGAACATCGCCTTTCATAGAGCAGGTTTGAAACACTCTTTTTGTAGTTTGTGGAAGTGGACATTTCGATCGCCTTGACGCCTACGGTGAAAAAGGAAATATCTTCCCATAAACAATAGACAGAAGCATTCTCAGAAACTTGTTGGTGATATGTGTCCTCAACTAACAGAGTTGAACTTTGCCATTGATAGAGAGCAGTTTTGAAACACTCTTTTTGTGGAATCTGCAAGTGGATATTTGGATAGCTTGGAGGATTTCGTTGGAAGCGGGAATTCAAATAAAAGGTAGACAGCAGCATTCTCAGAAATTTCTTTCTGATGTCTGCATTCAACTCATAGAGTTGAAGATTCCCTTTCATAGAGCAGGTTTGAAACACTCTTTCTGGAGTATCTGGATGTGGACATTTGGAGCGCTTTGATGCCTACGGTGAAAAAGTAAATATCTTCCCATAAAAAAGAGACAGAAGGATTCTGAGAAACAAGTTTGTGATGTGTGTACTCAGCTAACAGAGTGGAACCTTTCTTTTTACAGAGCAGCTTTGAAACTCTATTTTTGTGGATTCTGCAAATTGATATTTAGATTGCTTTAACGATATCGTTGGAAAAGGGAATATCGTCATACAAAACCTAGACAGAAGCATTCTCACAAACTTCTTTGTGACGTGTGTCCTCAACTAACAGAGTTGAACCTTTCTTTTGATGCAGCAGTTTGGAAACACTGTTTTTGTAGCAACTGTAAGTGGATATTTGGATAGCTCTAACGATTTTGTTGGAAACGGGAATATCATCATCTAAAATCTAGACAGAAGCACTATTAGAAACTACTTGGTGATATCTGCATTCAAGTCACAGAGTTGAACATTCCCTTACTTTGAGCACGTTTCAAACACTCTTTTGGAAGAATCTGGAAGTGGACATTTGGAGCGCTTTGATGCCTTTGGTGAAAAGGAAACGTCTTCCAATAAAAGCCAGACAGAAGCATTCTCAGAAACTTGTTTGTGATGTGTGTACTCAACTAAAAAGAGTTGAACCTTTCTATTGATAGAGCAGTTTTGAAACACTCTTTTTGTGGATTCTGCAAGTGGATATTTGGATTGCTTTGAGGATTTCGTTGGAAGCGGGAATTCGTATAAAAACTAGACAGCAGCATTCCCAGAAATTTCTTTCGGATATTTCCATTCGACTCATAGAGATGAACATGGCCTTTCATAGAGCAGGTTTGAAACACTCTTTTTGTAGTTTGTGGAAGTGGACATTTCGATCGCCTTGACGCCTACGGTGAAAAAGGAAATATCTTCCCATAAAAAATAGACAGAAGCATTCTCAGAAACTTGTTGGTGATATGTGTCCTCAACTAACAGAGTTCAACTTTGCCATTGATAGAGAGCAGTTTTGAAACACTCTTTTTGTGGAATCTGCAAGTGGATATTTGGATAGCTTGGAGGATTTCGTTGGAAGCGGGAATTCAAATAAAAGGTAGACAGCAGCATTCTCAGAAATTTCTTTCTGATGTCTGCATTCAACTCATAGAGTTGAAGATTCCCTTTCATAGGGCAGGTTTGAAATACTCTTTCTGTAGTATCTGGATGTGGACATTTGGAGCGCTTTGATGCCTACGGTGAAAAAGTAAATATCTTCCCATAAAAACGAGACAGAAGGATTCTGAGAAACAAGTTTGTGATGTGTGTGCTCAGCTAACAGAGTGGAACCTCTCTTTTGATGCAGCAGTTTGGAAACACTCTTTTTGTAGAAACTGTAAGTGGATATTTGGATAGCTCTAATGATTTCGTTGGAAACGGGAATATCATCATCTAAAATCTAGACAGAAGCCCTCTCAGAAACTACTTTGTGATATCTGCATTCAAGTCACAGAGTTGAACATTCGCTTTCTTAGAGCACGTTTGAAACACTCTTTTTGTAGTGTCTGGAAGTGGACATTTGGAGCGCTTTGATTCCTTTGGTGAAAAAGGGAATGTCTACCCATAAAAACTAGACAGAAGCATTCTCAGAAACTTGTTTGTGATGTGTGTACCCAGCCAAAGGAGTTGAACATTTCTATTGATAGAGCAGTTTTGAAACACTCTTTTTGTGGAAAATGCAGGTGGATATTTGGATAGCTTGGAGGATTTCGTTGGAAGCGGGAATTCAAATAAAAGTTAGACAGCAGCATTCTCAGAAATTTCTTTCTGATGTCTGCATTCAACTCATAGAGTTGAAGATTCCCTTTCATAGAGCAGGTTTGAAATACTCTTTCTGTAGTATCTGGATGTGGACATTTGGAGCGCTTTGATGCCTACGGTGAAAAAGTAAATATCTTCCCATAAAAACGAGACAGAAGGATTCTCAGAAACAAGTTTGTGATGTGTGTACTCAGCTAACAGAGTGGAACCTTTCTTTTTACAGAGCAGCTTTGAAACTCTATTTTTGTGGATTCTGCAAATTGATATTTAGATTGCTTTAACGATATCGTTGGAAAAGGGAATATGGTCATACAAAATCTAGACAGAAGCATTCTCACAAACTTCTTTGTGATGTGTGTCCTCAACTAACAGAGTTGAACCTTTCTTTTGATGCAGCAGTTTGGAAACACTGTTTTTGTAGCAACTGTAAGTGGATATTTGGATAGCTCTAACGATTTCGTTGGAAACGGGAATATCATCATCTAAAATCTAGACAGAAAGCACTATTAGAAACTACTTGGTGATATCTGCATTCAAGTCACAGAGTTGAACATTCCCTTACTTTGAGCACGTTTCAAACACTCTTTTGGAAGAATCTGGAAGTGGACATTTGGAGCGCTTTGATGCCTTTGGTGAAAAGGAAACGTCTTCCAATAAAAGCCAGACAGAAGCATTCTCAGAAACTTGTTTGTGATGTGTGTACTCAACTAAAAGAGTTGAACCTTTCTATTGATAGAGCAGTTTTGAAACACTCTTTTTGTGGATTCTGCAAGTGGATATTTGGATTGCTTTGAGGATTTCGTTGGAAGCGGGAATTCGTATAAAAACTAGACAGCAGCATTCCCAGAAATTTCTTTCGGATATTTCCATTCAACTCATAGAGATGAACATGGCCTTTCATAGAGCAGGTTTGAAACACTCTTTTTGTAGTTTGTGGAAGTGGACATTTCGATCGCCTTGACGCCTACGGTGAAAAAGGAAATATCCTCCCATAAAAAATAGACAGAAGCATTCTCAGAAAACTTGTTGGTGATATGTGTCCTCAACTAACAGAGTTGAACTTTGCCATTGATAGAGAGCAGTTTTGAAACACTCTTTTTCCTGAATCTGCAAGTGGATATTTGGATAGTTTGGAGGATTTCGTTGGAAGCGGGAATTCAAATAAAAGGTAGACAGCAGCATTCTCAGAAATTTCTTTCTGATGTCTGCATTCAACTCATAGAGTTGAACATTCCCTTTCATAGGGCAGGTTTGAAATACTCTTTCTGTAGTATCTGGATGTGGACATTTGGAGCGCTTTGATGCCTACGGTGAAAAAGTAAATATCTTCCCATAAAAACGAGACAGAAGGATTCTGAGAAACTAGTTTGTGATGTGTGTACTCAGCTAACAGAGTGGAACCTCTCTTTTGATGCAGTAGTTTGGAAACACTCTTTTTGTAGAAACTGGAAGTGGATATTTGGATAGCTCTAATGATTTCGTTGGAAACGGGAATATCATCATCTAAAATCTAGACAGAAGCCCTCTCAGAAACTACTTTGTGATATCTGCATTCAAGTCACAGAGTTGAACATTCGCTTTCTTAGAGCACGTTGGAAACACTCTTTTTGTAGTGTCTGGAAGTGGACATTTGGAGCGCTTTGATGCCTTGGTGAAAAAGGGAATGTCTTCCCATAAAAACTAGACAGAAGCATTCTCAGAAACTTGTTTGTGATGTGTGTACCCAGCCAAAGGAGTTGAACATTTCTATTGATAGAGCAGTTTTGAATCACTCTTGTTGTGGAAAATGCAGGTGGATATTTGGATAGCTTGGAGGATTTCGTTGGAAGCGGGAATTCAAATAAAAGGTAGACAGCAGCATTCTCAGAAATTTCTTTCTGATGTCTGCATTCAACTCATAGAGTTGAAGATTCCCTTTCATAGAGCAGGTTTGAAACAGTCTTTCTGGAGTATCTGGATGTGGACATTTGGAGCGCTTTGATGCCTATGGTGAAAAAGTAAATATCTTCCCATAAAAACGAGACAGAAGGATTCTGAGAAACAAGTTTGTGATGTGTGTACTCAGCTAACAGAGTGGAACCTTTCTTTTTACAGAGCAGCTTTGAAACTCTATTTTTGTGGATTCTGCAAATTGATATTTAGATTGATTTAACGATATCGTTGGAAAAGGGAATATCGTCATACAAAATCTAGACAGAAGCATTCTCACAAACTTCTTTGTGATGTGTGTCCTCAACTAACAGAGTTGAACCTTTCTTTTGATGCAGCAGTTTGGAAACACTCTTTTTGTAGAAACTGTAAGTGGATATTTGGATAGCTCTAACGATTTCGTTGGAATCGGGAATATCATCATCTAAAATCTAGACAGAAGCACTATTAGAAACTACTTGGTGATATCTGCATTCAAGTCAAAGAGTTGAACATTCCCTTACTTTGAGCACGTTTGAAACACTCTTTTGGAAGAATCTGGAAGTGGACATTTGGAGCGCTTTGATGCCTTTGGTGAAAAGGAAACGTCTTCCAATAAAAGCCAGACAGAAGCATTCTCAGAAACTTGTTTGTGATGTGTGTACTCAACTAAAAGAGTTGAACCTTTCTATTGATAGCGCAGTTTTGAAACACTCTTTTTGTGGATTCTGCAAGTGGATATTTGGATTGCTTTGAGGATTTCGTTGGAAGCGGGAATTCGTATAAACACTAGACAGCAGCATTCCCAGAAATTTCTTTCGGATATTTCCATTCAACTCATAGAGATGAACATGGCCTTTCATAGAGCAGGTTTGAAACACTCTTTTTGTAGTTTGTGGAAGTGGACATTTCGATCGCCTTGACGCCTACGCTGAAAAAGGAAATATCTTCCCATAAAAAATAGACAGAAGCATTCTCAGAAACTTGTTGGTGATATGTGTCCTCAACTAACAGAGTTGAACTTTGCCATTGATAGAGAGCAGTTTTGAAACACTCTTTTTGTGGAATCTGCAAGTGGATATTTGGATAGCTTGGAGGATTTCGTTGGAAGCGGGAATTCAAATAAAAGGTAGACAGCAGCATTCTCAGAAATTTCTTTCTGATCTCTGCATTCAACTCATAGAGTTGAACATTCCCTTTCATAGGGCAGGTTTGAAATACTCTTTCTGGAGTATCTGGATGTGGACATTTGGAGCGCTTTGATGCCTACGGTGAAAAAGTAAATATCTTCCCATAAAAACGAGACAGAAGGATTCTGAGAAACAAGTTTGTGATGTGTGTACTCAGCTAACAGAGTGGAACCTCTCTTTTGATGCAGCAGTTTGGAAACACTCTTTTTGCAGAAACTGTAAGTGGATATTTGGATAGCTCTAATGATTTCGTTGGAAACGGGAATATCATCATCTAAAATCTAGACAGAAGCCCTCTCAGAAACTACTTTGTGATATCTGCATTCAAGTCACAGAGTTGAACATTCGCTTTCTTAGAGCACGTTGGAAACACTCTTTCTGTGGTGTCTGGAAGTGGACATTTGGAGCGCTTTGATGCCTTTGGTGAAAAAGGGAATGTCTTCCCATGAAAACTAGACAGAAGCATTCTCAGAAACTTGTTTGTGATGTGTGTACCCAGCTAAAAGAGTTGAACATTTCTATTGATAGAGCAGTTTTGAAACACTCTTTTTGTGGAAAATGCAAGTGGATATTTGGATAGCTTGGAGGATTTCGTTGGAAGCGGGAATTCAAATAAAAGGTAGACAGCAGGATTCTCAGAAACAAGTTTGTGATGTGTGTACTCAGCTAACAGAGTGGAACCTTTCTTTTTACAGAGCAGCTTTGAAACTCTATTTTTGTGGATTCTGCAAATTGATATTTAGATTGCTTTAACGATATTGTTGGAAAAGGGAATATGGTCATACAACATCTAGACAGAAGCATTCTCACAAACTTCTTTGTGATGTGTGTCCTCAACTAACAGAGTTGAACCTTTCTTTTGATGCAGCAGTTTGGAAACACTCTTTTTGTAGAAACTGTAAGTGGATATTTGGATAGCTCTAACGATTTCGCTGGAAACGGGAATATCGTCATCTAAAATCTAGACAGAAGCACTATTAGAAACTACTTGGTGATATCTGCATTCAAGTCAAAGAGTTGAACATTCCCTTACTTTGAGCACGTTTGAAACACTCTTTTGGAAGAATCTGGAAGTGGACATTTGGAGCATTTTGATGCCTTTGGTGAAAAGGAAACGTCTTCCAATAAAAGCCAGACAGAAGCATTCTCAGAAACTTGTTTGTGATGTGTGTACTCAACTAAAAGAGTTGAACCTTTCTATTGATAGAGCAGTTTTGAAACACTCTTTTTGTGGATTCTGCAAGTGGATATTTGGATTGCTTTGAGGATTTCGTTGGAAGCGGGAATTCGTATAAAAACTAGACAGCAGCATTCCCAGAAATTTCTTTCGGATATTTCCATTCAAGTCATAGAGATGAACATGGCCTTTCATAGAGCAGGTTTGAAACACTCTTTTTGTAGTTTGTGGAAGTGGACATTTCGATCGCCTTGACGCCTACGGTGAAAAAGGAAATATCTTCCCATAAAAAATAGACAGAAGCATTCTCAGAAACTTGTTGGTGATATGTGTCCTCAACTAACAGAGTTGAACTTTGCCATTGATAGAGAGCAGTTTTGAAACACTCTTTTTGTGGAATCTGCAAGTGGATATTTGGATAGCTTGGAGGATTTCGTTGGAAGCGGGAATTCAAATAAAAGGCAGACAGCAGCATTCTCAGAAATTTCTTTCTGATGTCTGCATTCAACTCATAGAGTTGAAGATTCCCTTTCATAGAGCAGGTTTGAAACACTCTTTCTGGAGTATCTGGATGTGGACATTTGGAGCGCTTTGATGCCTACGGTGAGAAAGTAAATATCTTCCCATAAAAACGAGACAGAAGGATTCTGAGAAACAAGTTTGTGATGTGTGTACTCAGCTAACAGAGTGGAACCTCTCTTCTGATGCAGCAGTTTGGAAACACTTTTTTTGTAGAAACTGTAAGTGGATATTTGGATAGCTCTAATGATTTCGTTGGAAACGGGAATATCATCATCTAAAATCTAGACAGAAGCACTCTCAGAAACTACTTTGTGATATCTGCATTCAAGTCACAGAGTTGAACATTCGCTTTCTTAGAGCACGTTTGAAACACTCTTTTTGTAGTGTCTGGAAGTGGACATTTGGAGCGCTTTGATTCCTTTGGTGAAAAAGGGAATGTCTACCCATAAAAACTACACAGAAGCATTCTCAGAAACTTGTTTGTGATGTGTGCACCCAGCTAAAGGAGTTGAACATTTATTGATAGAGCAGTTTTGAAGCACTCTTTTTGTGGAAAATGCAAGTGGATATTTGGATAGCTTGGAGGATTTCGTTGGAAGCGGGAGTTCAAATAAAAGGTAGACAGCAGCATTCTCAGAAATTTCTTTCTGATGTCTGCATTCAACTCATAGAGTTGAAGATTCCCTTTCATAGAGCAGGTTTGAAACACTCTTTCTGGAGTATCTGGATGTGGACATTTGGAGCGCTTTGATGTCTACGGTGAAAAAGTAAATATCTTCCCAGAAAAACGAGACAGAAGGATTCTGAGAAACAAGTTTGTGATGTGTGTACTCAGCTAACAGAGTGGAACCTTTCTTTTTACAGAGCAGCTTTGAAACTCTATTTTTGTGGATTCTGCAAATTGATATTTAGATTGCTTTAACGATATCGTTGGAAAAGGGAATATCGTCATACAAAATCTGGACAGAAGCATTCTCACAAACTTCTTTGTGATGTGTGTCCTCAACTAACAGAGTTGAACCTTTCTTTTGATGCAGCAATTTGGAAACACCCTTTTGGTAGAAACTGTAACTGGATATTTGGATAGCTCTAATGATTTCGTTGGAAACGGGAATATCATCATCTAAAATCTAGACAGAAGCACTATTAGAAACTACTTGGTGATATCTGCATTCAAGTCACAGAGTTGAACATTCCCTTACTTTGAGCACGTTTGAAACACTCTTTTGGAAGAATCTGGAAGTGGACATTTGGAGCGCTTTGATGCCTTTGGTGAAAAGGAAACGTCTTCCAATAAAAGCCAGACAGAAGCATTCTCAGAAACTTGTTTGTGATGTGTGTACTCAACTAAAAGAGTTGAACCTTTCTATTGATAGAGCAGTTTTGAAACACTCTTTTTGTGGATTCTGCAAGTGGATATTTGGATTGCTTTGAGGATTTCGTTGGAAGCGGGAATTCGTATAACAACTAGACAGCAGCATTCCCAGAAATTTCTTTTGGATATTTCCATTCAACTCATAGAGATGAACATGGCCTTTCATAGAGCAGGTTTGAAACACTCTTTTTGTAGTTTGTGGAAGTGGACATTTCGATCGCCTTGACGCCTACGGTGAAAAAGGAAGTATCTTCCCATAAAAAATAGACAGAAGCATTCTCAGAAACTTGTTGGTGATATGTGTCCTCAACTAACAGAGTTGAACTTTGCCATTGATAGAGAGCAGTTTTGAAACACTCTTTTTGTGGAATCTGCAAGTGGATATTTGGATAGCTTGGAGGATTTCGTTGGAAGCGGGAATTCAAATAAAAGGTAGACAGCAGCATTCTCAGAAATTTCTTTCTGATGTCTGCATTCAACTCATAGAGTTGAAGATTCCCTTTCATAGAGCAGGTTTGAAACACTCTTTCTGGAGTATCTGGATGTGGACATTTGGAGCGCTTTGATGCCTACGGTGAAAAAGTATAATCTTCCCATAAAAACGAGACAGAAGGATTCTCAGAAACAAGATTTTGATGTGTGTACTCAGCTAACAGAGTGGAACCTCTCTTTAGATGCAGCAGTTTGGAAACACTCTTTTTGTAGAAACTGTAAGTGGATATTTGGATAGCTCTAATGATTTCGTTGGAAACGGGAATATCATCATCTAAAATCTAGACAGAAGCCCTCTCAGAAACTACTTTGTGATATCTGCATTCAAGTCACAGAGTTGAACATCCGGTTTCTTAGAGCACGTTTGAAACACTCTTTTTGTAGTGTCTGGAAGTGGACATTTGTAGCGCTTTGATGCCTTTGGTGAAAAAGGGAATGTCTTCCCATAAAAACTAGACAGAAGCATTCTCAGAAACTTGTTTGTGATGTGTGTACCCAGCCAAAGGAGTTGAACATTTCTATTGATAGAGCAGTTTCGAAACACTCTTGTTGTGGAAAATGCAGGTGGATATTTGGATAGCTTGGAGGATTTCGTTGGAAGCGGGAATTCAAATAAAAGGTAGACAGCAGCATTCTCAGAAATTTCTTTCTGATGTCTGCATTCAACTCATAGAGTTGAAGATTCCCTTTCATAGAGCAGGTTTGAAACACTCTTTCTGGAGTATCTGGATGTGGACATTTGGAGCGCTTTGATGCCTACGGTGAAAAAGTAAATATCTTCCCATAAAAACGAGACAGAAGGATTCTCAGAAACAAGTTTGTGATGTGTGTACTCAGCTAACAGAGTGGAACCTTTCTTTTTACAGAGCAGCTTTGAAACTCTATTTTTGTGGATTCTGCAAATGGATATTTAGATTGCTTTAACGATATCGTTGGAAAAGGGAATATCGTCATACAAAATCTAGACAGAAGCATTCTCACAAACTTCTTTGTGATGTGTGTCCTCAACTAACAGAGTTGAACCTTTATTTTGATGCAGCAGTTTGGAAACACTCTTTTTGTAGAAACTGTGAGTGGATATTTGGATAGCTCTAACGATTTCGTTGGAAACGGGAATATCATCATCTAAAATCTAGACAGAAGCACTATTAGAAACTAGTTGGTGATATCTGCATTCAAGTCACAGAGTTGAACATTCCCTTACTTTGAGCACGTTTCAAACACTCTTTTGGAAGAATCTGGAAGTGGACATTTGGAGCGCTTTGATGCCTTTGGTGAAAAGGAAACGTCTTCCAATAAAAGCCAGACAGAAGCATTCTCAGAAACTTGTTTGTGATGTGTGTACTCAACTAAAAGAGTTGAACCTTTCTATTGATAGAGCAGTTTTGAAACACTCTTTTTGTGGATTCTGCAAGTGGATATTTGGATTGCTTTGAGGATTTCGTTGGAAGCGGGAATTCGTATAAAAACTAGACAGCAGCATTCCCAGAAATTTCTTTCGGATATTTCCATTCGACTCATAGAGATGAACATGGCCTTTCATAGAGCAGGTTTGAAACACTCTTTTTGTAGTTTGTGGAAGTGGACATTTCGATCGCCTTGACGCCTACGGTGAAAAAGGAAATATCTTCCCATAAAAAACAGACAGAAGCATTCTCAGAAACTTGTTGGTGATATGTGTCCTCAACTAACAGAGTTGAACTTTGCCATTGATAGAGAGCAGTTTTGAAACACTCTTTTTGTGGAATCTGCAAGTGGATATTTGGATAGCTTGGAGGATTTCGTTGGAAGCGGGAATTCAAATAAAAGGTAGACAGCAGCATTCTCAGAAATTTCTTTCTGATGTCTGCAATCAACTCATAGAGTTGAAGATTCCCGTTCATAGAGCAGGTTTGAAACACTCTTTGTGGAGTATCTGGATGTGGACATTTGGAGCGCTTTGATGCCTACGGTGAAAAAGTAAATATCTTCCCATAAAAACGAGACAGAAGGATTCTGAGAATCAAGTTTGTGATGTGTGTACTCAGCTAACAGAGTGGAACCTCTCTTTTGATGCAGCAGTTTGGAAACACTCTTTTTGTAGAAACTGTAAGTGGATATTTGGATAGCTCTAATGATTTCGTTGGAAACGGGAATATCATCATCTAAAATCTAGACAGAAGCCCTCTCAGAAACTACTTTGTGATATCTGCATTCAAGTCACAGAGTTGAATATTCGCTTTCTTAGAGCACGTTTGAAACACTCTTTTTGTAGTGTCTGGAAGTGGACATTTGGAGCGCTTTGATGCCTTTGGTGAGAAAGGGAATGTCTTCCCATAAAAACTAGAAAGAAGCATTCTCAGGAAACTTGTTTGTGATGTGTGTACCCAGCTAAAGGAGTTGAACATTTCTATTGATAGAGCAGTTTTGAAACACTCTTTTTGTGGAAAATGCAAGTGGATATTTGGATAGCTTGGAGGATTTCGTTGGACGCGGGAATTCAAATAAAAGGTAGACAGCAGAATTCTCAGAAATTTCTTTCTGATGTCTGCATTCAACTCATAGAGTTGAAGATTCCCTTTCATAGAGCAGGTTTGAAACAGTCTTTCTGGAGTATCTGGATGTGGACATTTGGAGCGCTTTGATGCCTACGGTGGAAAAGTAAATATCTTCCCATAAAAACGAGACAGAAGGATTCTGAGAAACAAGTTTGTGATGTGTGTACTCAGCTAACAGAGTGGAACCTTTCTTTTTACAGAGCAGCTTTGAAACTCTATTTTTGTGGATTCTGCAAATGGATATTTAGATTGCTTTAACGATATCGTTGGAAAAGGGAATATGGTCATACAAAATCTAGACAGAAGCATTCTCACAAACTTGTTTGTGATGTGTGTCCTCAACTAACGGAGTTGAACCTTTCTTTTGATGCAGCAATTTGGAAACACCCTTTTGGTAGAAACTGTAACTGGATATTTGGATAGCTCTAACGATTTCGTTGGAAACGGGAATATCATCATCTAAAATGTAGACAGACAAGCACTATTAGAAACTACTTGGTGATATCTGCATTCAAGTCACAGAGTTGAACATTCCCTTACTTTGAGCACGTTTCAAACACTCTTTTGGAAGAATCTGGAAGTGGACATTTGGAGCGCTTTGATGCCTTTGGTGAAAAGGAAACGTCTTCCAATAAAAGCCAGACAGAAGCATTCTCAGAAACTTGTTTGTGATGTGTGTACTCAACTAAAAGAGTTGAACCTTTCTATTGATAGAGCAGTTTTGAAACACTCTTTTTGTGGATTCTGCAAGTGGATATTTGGATTGCTTTGAGGATTTCGTTGGAAGCGGGAATTCGTATAAAAACTAGACAGCAGCATTCCCAGAAATTTCTTTCGGATATTTCCATTCAACTCATAGAGATGAACATGGCCTTTCATAGAGCAGGTTTGAAACACGCTTTTTGTAGTTTGTGGAAGTGGACATTTCGATCGCCTTGACGCCTACGGTGAAAAAGGAAATATCTTCCCATAAAAAATAGACAGAAGCATTCTCAGAAACTTGTTGGTGATATGTGTCCTCAACTAACAGAGTTGAACTTTGCCATTGATAGAGAGCAGTTTTGAAACACTCTTTTTGTGGAATCTGCAAGTGGATATTTGGATAGCTTGGAGGATTTCGTTGGAAGCGGGAATTCAAATAAAAGGTAGACAGCAGCATTCTCAGAAATTTCTTTCTGATGTCTGCATTCAACTCATAGAGTTGAACATTCCCTTTCATAGAACAGGTTTGAAACACTCTTTCTGGAGTATCTGGATGTGGACATTTGGAGCGCTTTGATGCCTACGGTGAAAAAGTAAATATCTTCCCATAAAAACGAGACAGAAGGATTCTCAGAAACAAGTTTGTGATGTTTGTACTCAGCTAACAGAGTGGAACCTCTCTTTTGATGCAGCAGTTTGGAAACACTCTTTTTGTAGAAACTGTAAGTGGATATTTGGATAGCTCTAATGATTTCGTTGGAAACGGGAATATCATCATCTAAAATCTAGAGAGAAGCCCTCTCAGAAACCACTTTGTGATATCTGCATTCAAGTCACAGATTTGAACATTCGTTTTCTTAGAGCACGTTTGAAACACTCTTTTTGTAGTGTCTGGAAGTGGACATTTGGAGCGCTTTGATGCCTTTGGTGAAAAAGGGAATGTCTTCCCATAAAAACTAGACAGAAGCATTCTCAGAAACTTGTTTGTGATGTGTGTACCCAGCCAAAGGAGTTGAACATTTCTATTGATAGAGCAGGTTTGAAACACTCTTTTTGTGGAAAATGCAGGTGGATATTTGGATAGCTTGGAGGATTTCGTTGGAAGCGGGAATTCAAATAAAAGGTAGACAGCAGCATTCTCAGAAATTTCTTTCTGATGTCTGCATTCAACCTCATAGAGTTGAAGATTCCCTTTCATAGAGCAGGTTTGAAACACTCGTTCTGGAGTATCTGGATGTGGACATTTGGAGCGCTTTGATGCCTACAGTGGAAAAGTAAATATCTTCCCATAAAAACGAGACAGAAGGATTCTCAGAAACAAGTTTGTGATGTGTGTACTCAGCTAACAGAGTGGAACCTTTCTTTTTACAGAGCAGCTTTGAAACTCTATTTTTGTGGATTCTGCAAATTGATATTTAGATTGCTTTAATGATATCGTTGGAAAAGGGAATATCGTCATACAAAATCTAGACAGAAGCATTCTCACAAACTTCTTTGTGACGTGTGTCCTCAACTAACAGAGTTGAACCTTTCTTTTGATGCAGCAGTTTGGAAACACTGTTTTTGTAGCAACTATAAGTGGATATTTGGATAGCTCTAACGATTTCGTTGGAAACGGGAATATCATCATCTAAAATCTAGACAGAAGCACTATTAGAAACTACTTAGTGATATCTGCATTCAAGTCACAGAGTTGAACATTCCCTTACTTTGAGCACGTTTGAAACACTCTTTTGGAAGAATCTGGAAGTGGACATTTGGAGCGCTTTGATGCCTTTGGTGAAAAGGAAACGTCTTCCAATAAAAGCCAGACAGAAGCATTCTCAGAAACTTGTTTGTGATGTGTGTACTCAACTAAAAGAGTTGAACCTTTCTATTGATAGAGCAGTTTTGAAACACTCTTTTTGTGGATTCTGCAAGTGGATATTTGGATTGCTTTGAGGATTTCGTTGGAAGCGGGAATTCGTATAAAAACTAGACAGCAGCATTCCCAGAAATTTCTTTCGGATATTTCCATTCAACTCATAGAGATGAACATGGCCTTTCATAGAGCAGGTTTGAAACACTCTTTTTGTAGTTTGTGGAAGTGGACATTTCGATCGCCTTGATGCCTACGGTGAAAAAGGAAATATCTACCCATAAAAAATAGACAGAAGCATTCTCAGAAACTTGTTGGTGATATGTGTCCTCAACTAACAGAGTTGAACTTTGCCATTGATAGAGAGCAGTTTTGAAACACTCTTTTTGTGGAATCTGCAAGTGGATATTTGGATAGCTTGGAGGATTTCGTTGGAAGCGGGAATTCAAATAAAAGGTAGACAGCAGCATTCTCAGAAATTTCTTTCTGATGCCTGCATTCAACTCATAGAGTTGAAGATTCCCTTTCATAGAGCAGGTTTGAAACACTCTTTCTGGAGTATCTGGATGTGGACATTTGGAGCGCTTTGATGCCTACGGTGAGAAAGTAAATATCTTCCCATAAAAACGAGACAGAAGGATTCTGAGAAACAAGTTTGTGATGTGTGTACTCAGCTAACAGAGTGGAACCTCTCTTTTGATGCAGCAGTTTGGAAACACTCTTTTTGTGGAAACTGTAAGTGGATATTTGGATAGCTCTAATGATTTCGTTGGAAACGGGAATATCATCATCTAAAATCTAGACAGAAGCCCTCTCAGAAACTACTTTGTGATATCTGCATTCAAGTCACAGAGTTGAACATTCGCTTTCTTAGAGCACGTTTGAAACCCTCTTTTTGTAGTGTCTGGAAGTGGACATTTGGAGCGCTTTGATGCCTTTGGTGAAAAAGGGAATGTCTTCCCATAAAAACTAGACAGAAGCATTCTCAGAAACTTGTTTGTGATGTGTGTACCCAGCCAAAGGAGTTGAACATTTCTATTGATAGAGCAGTTTTGAAACACTCTTGTTGTGGAAAATGCAGGTGGATATTTGGATAGCTTGGAGGATTTCGTTGGAAGCGGGAATTCAAATAAAAGTTAGACAGCAGCATTCTCAGAAATTTCTTTCTGATGTCTGCATTCAACTCATAGAGTTGAAGATTCCCTTTCATAGAGTAGGTTTGAAACACTCTTTCTGGAGTATCTGGATGTGGACATTTGGAGCGCTTTGATGCCTACGGTGAAAAAGTAAATATCTTCCCATAAAAACGAGACAGAAGGATTCTCAGAAACAAGTTTGTGATGTGTGTACTCAGCTAACAGAGTGGAACCTTTCTTTTTACAGAGCAGCTTTGAAACTCTATTGTTGTGGATTCTGCAAATTGATATTTAGATTGCTTTAACGATATCGTTGGAAAAGGGAATACCGTCATACAAAATCTAGACAGAAGCATTCTCACAAACTTCTTTGTGATGTGTGTCCTCAACTAACAGAGTTGAACCTTTCTTTTGATGCAGCAATTTGGAAACACCCTTTTAGTAGAAACTGTAACTGGATATTTGGATAGCTCTAGCGATTTCGTTGGAAACGGGAATATCATCATCTAAAATCTAGACAGAAGCACTATTAGAAACTACTTGGTGATATCTGCATTCAAGTCACAGAGTTGAACATTCCCTTACTTTGAGCACGTTTGAAACACTCTTTTGGAAGAATCTGGAAGTGGACATTTGGAGCGCTTTGATGCCTTTGGTGAAAAGGAAACGTCTTCCAATAAAAGCCAGAGAGAAGCATTCTCAGAAACTTGTTCGTGATGTGTGTACTCAACTAAAAGAGTTGAACCTTTCTTTTGATAGCGCAGTTTTGAAACACTCTTTTTGTGGATTCTGCAAGTGGATATTTGGATTGCTTTGAGGATTTCGTTGGAAGCGGGAATTCGTATAAACACTAGACAGCCAGCATTCCCAGAAATTTCTTTCGGATATTTCCATTCAACTTATAGAGATGAACATCGCCTTTCATAGAGCAGGTTTGAAACACTCTTTTTGTAGTTTGTGGAAGTGGACATTTCGATCGCCTTGATGCCTACGGTGAAAAAGGAAATATCTTCCCATAAAAAATAGACAGAGCATTCTCAGAAACTTGTTGGTGATATGTGTCCTCAACTAACAGAGTGGATCTTTGCCATTGATAGAGAGCAGTTTTGAAACACTCTTTTTGTGGAATCTGCAAGTGGATATTTGGATAGCTTGGAGGATTTCGTTGGAAGCGGGAATTCAAATAAAAGGTAGACAGCAGCATTCTCAGAAATTTCTTTCTGATGTCTGCATTCAACTCATAGAGTTGAAGATTCCCTTTCATAGAGCAGGTTTGAAACACTCTTTCTGGAGTATCTGGATGTGGACATTTGGAGCGCTTTGATGCCTACGGTGAGAAAGTAAATATCTTCCCATAAAAACGAGACAGAAGGATTCTGAGAAACAAGTTTGTGATGTGTGTACTCAGCTAACAGAGTGGAACCTCTCTTTTGATGCAGCAGTTTGGAAACACTCTTTTTGTAGAAACTGTAAGTGGATATTTGGATAGCTCTAATGATTTCGTTGGAAACGGGAATATCATCATCTAAAATCTAGACAGAAGCCCTCTCAGAAACTACTTTGTGATATCTGCATTCAAGTCACAGAGTTGAACATTCGCTTTCTTAGAGCACGTTGGAAACAATCTTTTTGTAGTGTCTGGAAGTGGACATTTGGAGCGCTTTGATGCCTTTGGTGAAAAAGGGAACGTCTTCCCATAAAAACTAGACAGAAGCATTCTCAGAAACTTGTTTGTGATGTGTGTACCCAGCTAAAGGAGTTGAACATTTCTATTGATAGAGCAGTTTTGAAACACTCTTTTTGTGGAATCTGCAAGTGGATATTTGGATAGCTTGGAGGATTTCGTTGGAAGCGGGAATTCAAATAAAAGGTAGACAGCAGCATTTTCAGAAATTTCTTTCTGATGTCTGCATTCAACTCATAGAGTTGAAGATTCCCTTTCATAGAGCAGGTTTGAAACACTCGTTCTGGAGTATCTGGATGTGGACATTTGGAGCGCTTTGATGCCTACGGTGGAAAAGTAAATATCTTCCCATAAAAACGAGACAGAAGGATTCTGAGAAACAAGTTTGTGATGTGTGTACTCAGCTAACAGAGTGGAACCTTTCTTTTTACAGAGCAGCTTTGAAACTCTATTTTTGTGGATTCTGCAAATTGATATTTAGATTGCTTTAACGATATCGTTGGAAAAGGGAATATCGTCATACAAAATCTAGACAGAAGCATTCTCACAAACTTCTTTGTGATGTGTGTCCTCAACTAACAGAGTTGAACCTATCTTTTGATGCAGCAATTTGGAAACACCCTTTTGGTAGAAACTGTAACTGGATATTTGCTTAGCTCTAACGATTTCGTTGGAAACGGGAATATCATCATCTGAAATCTAGACAGAAGCACTATTAGAAACTACTTGGTGATATCTGCATTCAAGTCACAGAGTTGAACATTCCCTTACTTTGAGCACGTTTGAAACACTCTTTTGGAAGAATCTGGAAGTGGACATTTGGAGCGCTTTGATGCCTTTGGTGAAAAGGAAACGTCTTCCAATAAAAGCCAGACAGAAGCATTCTCAGAAACTTGTTTGTGATGTGTGTACTCAACTAAAAGAGTTGAACCTTTCTATTGATAGAGCAGTTTTGAAACACTCTTTTTGTGGATTCTGCAAGTGGATATTTGGATTGCTTTGAGGATTTCGTTGGAAGCGGGAATTCGTATAAAAACTAGACAGCAGCATTCCCAGAAATTTCTTTCGGATATTTCCATTCAACTCATAGAGATGAACATTGCCTTTCATAGAGCAGGTTTGAAACACTCTTTTTGTAGTTTGTGGAAGTGGACATTTCGATCGCCTTGACGCCTACGGTGAAAAAGGAAATATCTTCCCATAAAAAATAGACAGATAAGCATTCTCAGAAACTTGTTGGTGATATGTGTCCTCAACTAACAGCAGTTGAACTTTGCCATTGATAGAGAGCAGTTTGGAAACACTCTTTTTGTGGAATCTGCAAGTGGATATTTGGATAGCTTGGAGGATTTCGTTGGAAGCGGGAATTCAAATAAAAGGTAGACAGCAGCATTCTCAGAAATTTCTTTCTGATGTCTGCATTCAACTCATAGAGTTGAAGATTCCCTTTCATAGAGCAGGTTTGAAACACTCTTTCTGGAGTATCTGGATGTGGACATTTGGAGCGCTTTGATGCCTACGGTGAAAAAGTAAATATCTTCCCAGAAAAACGAGACAGAAGGATTCTGAGAAACAAGTTTGTGATGTGTGTACTCAGCTAACAGAGTGGAACCTCTCTTTTGATGCAGCAGTTTGGAAACACTCTTTTTGTAGAAACTGTAAGTGGATATTTGGATAGCTCTAATGATTTCGTTGGAAACGGGAATATCATCATCTAAAATCTAGACAGAAGCCCTCTCAGAAACTACTTTGTGATATCTGCATTCAAGTCACAGAGTTGAACATTTGCTTTCTTAGAGCACGTTTGAAACACCCTTTTTGTAGTGTCTGGAAGTGGACATTTGGAGCGCTTTGATGCCTTTGGTGAAAAAGGGAACGTCTTCCCATAAAAACTAGACAGAAGCATTCTCAGAAACTTGTTTGTGATGTGTGTACCCAGCCAAAGGAGTTGAACATTTCTATTGATAGAGCAGTTTTGAAACACTCTTGTTGTGGAAAATGCAGGAGGATATTTGGATAGCTTGGAGGATTTCGTTGGAAGCGGGAATTCAAATAAAAGGTAGACAGCAGCATTCTCACAAACTTCTTTGTGATGTGTGTCCTCAACTAACAGAGTTGAACCTTTCTTTTGATGCAGCAGTTTGGAAACACTCTTTTTGTAGAAACTGTAAGTGGATATTTGGATAGCTCTAATGATTTCGTTGGAAGCGGGAATATCATCATCTAAAATCTAGACAGAAGCCCTCTCAGAAACTACTTGGTGATATCTGCATTCAAGTCACAGAGTTGAACATTCGCTTTCTTAGAGCACGTTTGAAACACTCTTTTTGTAGTGTCTGGAAGTGGACATTTGGAGCGCTTTGATGCCTTTGGTGAAAAAGGGAATGTCTTCCCATAAAAACTAGACAGAAGCATTCTCAGAAACTTGTTTGTGATGTGTGTACCCAGACAAAGGAGTTGAACATTTCTATTGATAGAGCAGTTTTGAAACACTTTTTTTGTGCAAAATGCAGGTGGATATTTGGATAGCTTGGAGGATTTCGTTGGAAGCGGGAATTCAAATAAAAGGTAGACAGCAGCATTCTCAGAAATTTCTTTCTGATTCTGCATTCAACTCATAGAGTTGAAGATTCCCTTTCATAGAGCAGGTTTGAAACACTCGTTCTGGAGTATCTGGATGTGGACATTTGGAGCGCTTTGATGCCTATGGTGGAAAAGTAAATATCTTCCCATAGAAACGAGACAGAAGGATTCTGAGAAACAAGTTTGAGATGTGTGTACTCAGCTAACAGAGTGGAACCTTTCTTTTTACAGAGCAGCTTTGAAACTCTATTTTTGTGGATTCTGCAAATTGATATTTAGATTGCTTTAACGATATCGTTGGAAAAGGGAATATCGTCATACAAAATCTGGACAGAAGCATTCTCACAAACTTCTTTGTGATGTGTGTCCTCAACTAACAGAGTTGAACCTTTCTTTTGATGCAGCAGTTTGGAAACACCCTTTTGGTAGAAACTGTAAGTGGATATTTGGATAGCTCTAACGAATTCGTTGGAAACGGGAATATCATCATCTAAAATCTAGACAGAAGCACTATTAGAAACTACTTGGTGACATCTGCATTCAAGTCACAGAGTTGAACATTCCCTTACTTCGAGCACGTTTGAAACACTCTTTTGGAAGAATCTGGAAGTGGACATTTGGAGCGCTTTGATGCCTTTGGTGAAAAGGAAACGTCTTCCAATAAAAGCCAGACAGAAGCATTCTCAGAAACTTGTTTGTGATGTGTGTACTCAACTAAAAGAGTTGAACCTTTCTATTGATAGAGCAGTTTTGAAACACTCTTTTTGTGGATTCTGCAAGTGGATATTTGGATTGCTTTGAGGATTTCATTGGAAGCGGGAATTCGTATAAACACTAGACAGCAGCATTCCCAGAAATTTCTTTCGGATATTTCCATTCAACTCATAGAGATGAACATGGCCTTTCATAGAGCAGGTTTGAAACACTCTTTTTGTAGTTTGTGGAAGTGGACATTTCGATCGCCTTGACGCCTACGCTGAAAAAGGAAATATCTTCCCATAAAAAATAGACAGAAGCATTCTCAGAAACTTGTTGGTGATATGTGTCCTCAACTAACAGAGTTGAACTTTGCCATTGATAGAGAGCAGTTTTGAAACACTCTTTTTGTGGAATCTGCAAGTGGATATTTGGATAGCTTGGAGGATTTCGTTGGAAGCGGGAATTCAAATAAAAGGTAGACAGCAGCATTCTCAGAAATTTCTTTCTGATGTCTGCATTCAACTCATAGAGTTGAAGATTCCCTTTCATAGAGCAGGTTTGAAATACTCTTTCTGGAGTATCTGGATGTGGACATTTGGAGCGATTTGAGGCCTACGATGAAAAAGTAAATATCTTCCCATAAAAACGAGACAGAAGGATTCTGAGAAACAAGTTTGTGATGTGTGTACTCAGCTAACAGAGTGGAACCTCTCTTTGGATGCAGCAGTTTGGAAACACTCTTTTTGTAGAAACTGTATGTGGATATTTGGATAGCTCTAATGATTTCGTTGGAAACGGGAATATCATCATCTAAAATCTAGACAGAAGCCCTCTCAGAAACTACTTTGTGATATCTGCATTCAAGTCACAGAGTTGAACATTCGCTTTCTTAGAGCACGTTTGAAACACTCTTTTTGTAGTGTCTGGAAGTGGACATTTGGAGCGCTTTGATGCCTTTGGTGAAAAAGGGAACGTCTTCCCATAAAAACTAGACAGAAGCATTCTCAGAAACTTGTTTGTGATGTGTGTACCCAGCCAAAGGAGTTGAACATTTCTATTGCTAGAGCAGTTTTGAAACACTCTTTTTGTGGAAAATGCAGGTGGATATTTGGATAGCTTGGAGGATTTCGTTGGAAGCGGGAATTCAAATAAAAGGTAGACAGCAGCATTCTCAGAAATTTCTTTCTGATGTCTGCATTCAACTCATAGAGTTGAAGATTCCCTTTCATAGAGCAGGTTTGAAACAGTCTTTCTGGAGTATCTGGATGTGGACATTTGGAGTGCTTTGATGCCTACGGTGAAAAAGTAAATATCTTCCCATAAAAACGAGACAGAAGGATTCTCAGAAACAAGTTTGTGATGTGTGTACTCAGCTAACAGAGTGGAACCTTTCTTTTTACAGAGCAGCTTTGAAACTCTATTTTTGTGGATTCTGCAAATTGATATTTAGATTGCTTTAACGATATCGTTGGAAAAGGGAATATCGTCATACAAAATCCAGACAGAAGAATTCTCACAAACTTCTTTGTGATGTGTGTCCTCAACTAACAGAGTTGAACGTTTCTTTTGATGCAGCAGTTTGGAAACACTCTTTTTGTAGAAACTGTAAGTGGATATTTGGATAGCTCTAACGATTTCGTTGGAAACGGGAATATCATCATCTAAAATCTAGACAGAAGCACTATTAGAAACTACTTGGTGATATCTGCATTCAAGTCACAGAGTTGAACATTCCCTTACTTTGAGCACGTTTCAAACACTCTTTTGGAAGAATCTGGAAGTGGACATTTGGAGCGCTTTGATGCCTTTGGTGAAAAGGAAACGTCTTCCAATAAAAGCCAGACAGAAGCATTCTCAGAAACTTGTTTGTGATGTGTGTACTCAACTAAAAGAGTTGAACCTTTCTATTGATAGAGCAGTTTTGAAACACTCTTTTTGTGGATTCTGCAAGTGGATATTTGGATTGCTTTGAGGATTTCGTTGGAAGCGGGAATTCGTATAAAAACTAGACAGCAGCATTCCCAGAAATTTCTTTTGGATATTTCCATTCGACTCATAGAGATGAACATGGCCTTTCATAGAGCAGGTTTGAAACACTCTTTTTGTAGTTTGTGGAAGTGGACATTTCGATCGCCTTGACGCCTACGGTGAAAAAGGAAATATCTTCCCATAAAAAATAGACAGAAGCATTCTCAGAAACTTGTTGGTGATATGTGTCCTCAACTAACAGAGTTGAACTTTGCCATTGATAGAGAGCAGTTTTGAAACACTCTTTTTGTGGAATCTGCAAGTGGATATTTGGATAGCTTGGAGGATTTCGTTGGAAGCGGGAATTCAAATAAAAGGTAGACAGCAGCATTCTCAGAAATTTCTTTCTGATGTCTGCATTCAACTCATAGAGTTGAGCATTCCCTTTCATAGAGCAGGTTTGAAACACTCGTTCTGGAGTATCTGGATGTGGACATTTGGAGCGCTTTGATGCCTACGGTGGAAAAGTAAATATCTTCCCATAAAAACGAGACAGAAGGATTCTGAGAAACAAGTTTGTGATGTGTGTACTCAGCTAACAGAGTGGAACCTCTCTTTTGATGCAGCAGTTTGGAAACACTCTTTTTGTAGAAACTGTAAGTGGATATTTGGATAGCTCTAATGATTTCGTTGGAAACGGGAATATCATCATCTAAAATCTAGACAGAAGCACTCTCAGAAACTACTTTGTGATATCTGCATTCAAGTCACAGAGTTGAACATTCGGTTTCTTAGAGCACGTTTGAAACACTCTTTTTGTAGTGTCTGGAAGTGGACATTTGGAGCGCTTTGATGCCTTTGGTGAAAAAGGGAATGTCTTCCCATAAAAACTAGACAGAAGCATTCTCAGAGACTTGTTTGTGATGTGTGTACCCAGCCAAAGGAGTTGAACATTTCTATTGATAGAGCAGTTTTGAAACACTCTTGTTGTGGAAAATGCAGGTGGATATTTGGATAGTTTGGAGGATTTCGTTGGAAGCGGGAATACAAATAAAAGGTAGACAGCAGCATTCTCAGAAATTTCTTTCTGATGTCTGCATTCAACTCATAGAGTTGAACATTCCCTTTCATAGAGCAGGTTTGAAACACTCTTTCTGGAGTATCTGGATGTGGACATTTGGAGCGCTTTGATGCCTACGGTGAAAAAGTAAATATCTTCCCAGAAAAACGAGACAGAAGGATTCTCAGAAACAAGTTTGTGATGTGTGTACTCAGCTAACAGAGTGGAACCTTTCTTTTTACAGAGCAGCTTTGAAACTCTATTTTTGTGGATTCTGCAAATTGATATTTAGATTGCTTTAACAATATCGTTGGAAAAGGGAATATCGTCATACAAAATCTAGACAGAAAGCATTCTCACAAACTTCTTTGTGATGTGTGTCCTCAACTAACAGAGTTGAACCTTTCTTTTGATGCAGCAGTTTGGAAACACTCTTTTTGTAGAAACTGTAAGTGGATATTTGGATAGCTCTAACGATTTCGTTGGAAACGGGAATATCATCATCTAAAATCTAGACAGAGCACTATTAGAACCTACTTTGTGATATCTGCATTCAAGTCAAAGAGTTGAACATTCCCTTACTTTGAGCACGTTTGAAACACTCTTTTGGAAGAATCTGGAAGTGGACATTTGGAGCGCTTTGATGCCTTTGGTGAAAATGAAACGTCTTCCAATAAAAGCCAGACAGAAGCATTCTCAGAAACTTGTTTGTGATGTGTGTACTCAACTAAAAGAGTTGAACCTTTCTATTGATAGAGCAGTTTTGAAACACTCTTTTTGTGGATTCTGCAAGTGGATATTTGGATTGCTTTGAGGATTTCGTTGGAAGCGGGAATTCGTATAAAAACTAGACAGCAGCATTCCCAGAAATTTCTTTCGGATATTTCCATTCAACTCATACAGATGAACATCGCCTTTCATAGAGCAGGTTTGAAACACTCTTTTTGTAGTTTGTGGAAGTGGACATTTCGATCGCCTTGACGCCTACGGTGAAAAAGGAAATATCTTCCCATAAAAAATAGACAGAAGCATTCTCAGAAACTTGTTGGTGATATGTGTCCTCAACTAACAGAGTTGAACTTTGCCATTGATAGAGAGCAGTTTTGAAACACTCTTTTTGTGGAATCTGCAAGTGGATATTTGGATAGCTTGGAGGATTTCGTTGGAAGCGGGAATTCAAATAAAAGGTAGACAGCAGCATTCTCAGAAATTTCTTTCTGATGTCTGCATTCAACTCATAGTAGTTGAAGATTCCCTTTCATAGAGCAGGTTTGAAACACTCGTTCTGGAGTATCTGGATGTGGACATTTGGAGCGCTTTGATGCCTACGGTGGAAAAGTAAATATCTTCCCATAAAAACGAGACAGAAGGATTCTGAGAAACAAGTTTGTGATGTGTGTACTCAGCTAACAGAGTGGAACCTCTCTTTTGATGCAGCAGTTTGGAAACACTCTTTTTGTAGAAACTGTAAGTGGATATTTGGATAGCTCTAATGATTTCGTTGGAAACGGGAATATCATCATCTAAAATCTAGACAGAAGCCCTCTCAGAAACTACTTTGTGATATCTGCATTCAAGTCACAGAGTTGAACATTAGCTTTCTTAGAGCACGTTGGAAACACTCTTTTTGTAGTGTCTGGAAGTGGACATTTGGAGCGCTTTGATTCCTTTGGTGAAAAAGGGAATGTCTACCCATAAAAACTAGACAGAAGCATTCTCAGAAACTTGTTTGTGATGTGTGTACCCAGCCAAAGGAGTTGAACATTTCTATTGATAGAGCAGGTTTGAAACACTCTTTTTGTGGAAAATGCAGGTGGATATTTGGATAGCTTGGAGGATTTCGTTGGAAGCGGGAATTCAAATAAAAGGTAGACAGCAGCATTCTCAGAAATTTCTTTCTGATGTCTGCATTCAACTCATAGAGTTGAAGATTCCCTTTCATAGAGCAGGTTTGAAACACTCTTTCTGGAGTATCTGGATGTGGACATTTGGAGCACTTTGATGCCTACGGTGAAAAAGGAAATATCTTCCCATAAAAACGAGACAGAAGGATTCTCAGAAACAAGTTTGTGATGTGTGTACTCAGCTAACAGAGTGGAACCTTTCTTTTTACAGAGCAGCTTTCAAACTCTATTTTTGTGGATTCTGCAAATTGATATTTAGATTGCTTTAACGATATCGTTGGAAAAGGGAATATCGTCATACAAAATCTGGACAGAAGCATTCTCACAAACTTCTTTGTGATGTGTGTCCTCAACTAACAGAGTTGAACCTTTCTTTTGATGCAGCAGTTTGGAAACACTCTTTTTGTAGAAAGTGTAAGTGGATATTTGGATAGCTCTAACGATTTCGTTGGAAACGGGAATATCATCATCTAAAATCTAGACAGAAGCACTATTAGAAACTACTTGGTGATATCTGCATTCAAGTCACAGAGTTGAACATTCCCTTACTTTGAGCACGTTTGAAACACTCTTTTGGAAGAATCTGGAAGTGGACATTTGGAGCGCTTTGATGCCTTTGGTGAAAAGGAAACGTCTTCCAATAAAAGCCAGACAGAAGCATTCTCAGAAACTTGTTCGTGATGTGTGTACTCAACTAAAAGAGTTGAACCTTTCTATTGATAGAGCAGTTTTGAAACACTCTTTTTGTGGATTCTGCAAGTGGATATTTGGATTGCTTTGAGGATTTCGTTGGAAGCGGGAATTCGTATAAACTACTAGACAGCAGCATTCCCAGAAATTTCTTTCGGATATTTCCATTCAACTCATAGAGATGAACATGGCCTTTCATAGAGCAGGTTTGAAACACTCTTTTTGTAGTTTATGGAAGTGGACATTTCGATCGCCTTGACGCCTACGGTGAAAAAGGAAATATCTTCCCATAAAAAATAGACAGAAGCATTCTCAGAAACTTGTTGGTGATATGTGTCCTCAACTAACAGAGTTGAACTTTGCCATTGATAGAGAGCAGTTTTGAAACACTCTTTTTGTGGAATCTGCAAGTGGATATTTGGATAGCTTGGAGGATTTCGTTGGAAGCGGGAATTCAAATAAAAGGTAGACAGCAGCATTCTCAGAAATTTCTTTCTGATGTCTGCATTCAACTCATAGAGTTGAAGATTACCTTTCATAGAGCAGGTTTGAAACACTCTTTCTGGAGTATCTGGATGTGGACATTTGGAGCGCTTTGATGCCTACGGTGAAAAAGTAAATATCTTCCCATAAAAACGAGACAGAAGGATTCTGAGAAACAAGTTTGTGATGTGTGTACTCGGCTAACAGAGTGGAACCTCTCTTTTGATGCAGCAGTTTGGAAACACTCTTTTTGTAGAAACTGTAAGTGGATATTTGGATAGCTCTAATGATTTCGTTGGAAACGGGAATATCATCATCTAAAATCTAGACAGAAGCACTCTCAGAAACTACTGTGTGATATCTGCATTCAAGTCACAGAGTTGAACATTCGCTTTCTTAGAGCACGTTTGAAACACTCTTTTTGTAGTGTCTGGAAGTGGACATTTGGAGCGCTTTGATTCCTTTGGTGAAAAAGGGAATGTCTACCCATAAAAACTAGACAGAAGCATCCTCAGAAACTTGTTTGTGATGTGTGTACCCAGCCAAAGGAGTTGAACATTTCTATTGATAGAGCAGTTTTGAAACACTCTTTTTGTGGAAAAGTGCAAGGTGGATATTTGGAGTAGCTTGGAGGATTTCGTTGGAAGCGGGAATTCAAATAAAAGGTAGACAGCAGCATTCTCAGAAATTTCTTTCTGATGTCTGCATTCAACTCATAGAGTTGAAGATTCCCTTTCATAGAGCAGGTTTGAAACACTCTTTCTGGAGTATCTGGATGTGGACATTTGGAGTGCTTTGATGCCCACGGTGAAAAAGTAAATATCTTCCCATAAAAACGAGACAGAAGGATTCTGAGAAACAAGTTTGTGATGTGTGTACTCAGCTAACAGAGTGGAACCTTTCTTTTTACAGAGCAGCTTTGAAACTCTATTTTTGTGGATTCTGCAAATTGATATTTAGATTGCTTTAACGATATCGTTGGAAAAGGGAATATCGTCATACAAAATCTAGACAGAAGCATTCTCACAAACTTCTTTGTGATGTGTGTCCTCAACTAACAGAGTTGAACCTTTCTTTTGATGCAGCAATTTGGAAACACCCTTTTGGTAGAAACTGTAACTGGATATTTGGATAGCTCTAACGATTTCGTTTGAAACGGGAATATCATCATCTAAAATGTAGACAGAAGCACTATTAGAAACTACTTGGTGATATCTGCATTCAAGTCACAGAGTTGAACATTCCCTTACTTTGAGCACGTTTGAAACACTCTTTTGGAAGAATCTGGAAGTGGACATTTGGAGCGCTTTGATGCCTTTGGTGAAAAGGAAACGTCTTCCAATAAAAGCCAGAGAGAAGCATTCTCAGAAACTTGTTCGTGATGTGTGTACTCAACTAAAAGAGTTGAACCTTTCTATTGATAGAGCAGTTTTGAAACACTCTTTTTGTGTATTCTGCAAGTGGATATTTGGATTGCTTTGAGGATTTCGTTGGAAGCGGGAATTCGTATAAACACTAGACAGCAGCATTCCCAGAAATTTCTTTCGGATATTTCCATTCGACTCATAGAGATGAACATGGCCTTTCATAGAGCAGGTTTGAAACACTCTTTTTGTAGTTTGTGGAAGTGGACATTTCGATCGCCTTGACGCCTACGGTGAAAAAGGAAATATCTTCCCATAAAAAAAGACAGAAGCATTCTCAGAAACTTGTTGGTGATATGTGTCCTCAACTAACAGAGTTGAACTTTGCCATTGATAGAGAGCAGTTTTGAAACACTCTTTTTGTGGAATCTGCAAGTGGATATTTGGATAGCTTGGAGGATTTCGTTGGAAGCGGGAATTCAAATAAAAGGTAGACAGCAGCATTCTCAGAAATTTCTTTCTGATGTCTGCATTCAACTCATAGAGTTGAAGATTCCCTTTCATAGAGCAGGTTTGAAACACTCTTTCTGGAGTATCTGGATGTGGACATTTGGAGCGCTTTGATGCCTACGGTGAAAAAGTAAATATCTTCCCATAAAAACGAGTCAGAAGGATTCTCAGAAACAAGTTTGTGATGTGTGTACTCAGCTAACAGAGTGGAACCTCTCTTTTGATGCAGCAGTTTGGAAACACTCTTTTTGTAGAAACTGTAAGTGGATATTTGGATAGCTCTAATGATTTCGTTGGAAACGGGAATATCATCATCTAAAATCTAGAGAGAAGCCCTCTCAGAAACTACTTTGTGATATCTGCATTCAAGCCACAGAGTTGAACATTCGCTTTCTTAGAGCACGTTTGAAACACTCTTTTTGTAGTGTCTGGAAGTGGACATTTGGAGCTGCTTTGATGCCTTTGGTGAAAAAGGGAATGTCTTCCCATAAAAACTAGACAGAAAGCATTCTCAGAAACTTGTTTGTGATGTGTGTACCCAGCCAAAGGAGTTGAACATTTCTATTGATAGAGCAGTTTTGAAACACTCTTGTTGTGGAAAATGCAGGTGGATATTTGGATAGCTTGGAGGATTTCGTTGGAAGCGGGAATTCAAATAAAAGGTAGACAGAGCATTCTCAGAAATTTCTTTCTGATTCTGCATTCAACTCATAGAGTTGAAGATTCCCTTTCATAGAGCAGGTTTGAAACACTCGTTCTGGAGTATCTGGATGTGGACATTTGGAGCGCTTTGATGCCTACAGTGGAAAAGTAAATATCTTCCCATAAAAACGAGACAGAAGGATTCTCAGAAACAAGTTTGGGATGTGTGTACTCAGCTAACAGAGTGGAACCTTTCTTTTTACAGAGCAGCTTTGAAACTCTGTTTTTGTGGATTCTGCAAATTGATATTTAGATTGCTTTAACGATATCGTTGGAAAAGGGAATATCGTCATACAAAATCTAGACAGGAAAGCATTCTCACAAACTTCTTTGTGATGTGTGTCCTCAACTAACAGAGTTGAACCTTTCTTTTGATGCAGCAATTTGGAAACACCCTTTTGGTAGAAACTGTAACTGGATATTTGGATAGCTCTAACGATTTCGTTGGAAACGGGAATATCATCATCTAAAATGTAGACAGAAGCACTATTAGAAACTACTTGGTGATATCTGCATTCAAGTCACAGAGTTGAACATTCCCTTACTTTGAGCACGTTTGAAACACTCTTTTGGAAGAATCTGGAAGTGGACATTTGGAGCGCTTTGATGCATTTGGTGAAAAGGAAACGTCTTCCAATAAAAGCCAGACAGAAGCATTCTCAGAAACTTGTTCGTGATGTGTGTACTCAACTAAAAGAGTTGAACCTTTCTATTGATAGAGCAGTTTTGAAACACTCTTTTTGTGGATTCTGCAAGTGGATATTTGGATTGCTTTGAGGATTTCGTTGGAAGCGGGAATTCGTATAAAAACTAGACAGCAGCATTCCCAGAAATTTCTTTCGGATATTTCCATTCAACTCATAGAGATGAACATGGCCTTTTATAGAGCAGGTTTGAAACACTCTTTTTGTAGTTTGTGGAAGTGGACATTTCGATCGCCTTGACGCCTACGGTGAAAAAGGAAATATCTTCCCATAAAAAATAGACAGAAGCATTCTCAGAAACTTGTTGGTGATATGTGTCCTCAACTAACAGAGTTGAACTTTGCCATTGATAGAGAGCAGTTTTGAAACACTCTTTTTCCTGAATCTGCAAGTGGATATTTGGATAGTTTGGAGGATTTCGTTGGAAGCGGGAATTCAAATAAAAGGTAGACAGCAGCATTCTCAGAAATTTCTTTCTGATGTCTGCATTCAACTCATAGAGTTGAAGATTCCCTTTCATAGAGCAGGTTTGAAACACTCTTTCTGGAGTATCTGGATGTGGACATTTGGAGCGCTTGGATGCCTACGGTTAAAAAGTAAATATCTTCACATAAAAACGACACAGAAGGATTCTGAGAAACAAGTTTGTGATGTGTGTACTCAGCTAACAGAGTGGAACCTCTCTTTTGATGCAGCAGTTTGGAAACACTCTTTTTCTAGAAACTGTAAGTGGATATTTGGATAGCTGTAATGATTTCGTTGGAAACGGGAATATCATCATCTAAAATCTAGACAGAAGCCCTCTCAGAAACTACTTTGTGATATCTGCATTCAAGTCACAGAGTTGAACATTCGCTTTCTTAGAGCACGTTTGAAACACTCTTTTTGTAGTGTCTGGAAGTGGACATTTGGATCGCTTTGATGGCTTTGGTGAAAAAGGGAATGTCTTCCCATAAAAACTAGACAGAAGCATTCTCAGAAACTTGTTTGTGATGTGTGTACCCAGCTAAAGGAGTTGAACGTTTCTATTGATAGAGCAGTTTTGAAACACTCTTTTTGTGGAAAATGCAAGTGGATATTTGGATAGCTTGGAGGATTTCGTTGTAAGCGGGAATTCAAATAAAAGGTAGACAGCAGCATTCTCAGAAGTTTCTTTCTGATGTCTGCATTCAACTCATAGAGTTGAAGATTCCCTTTCATAGAGCAGGTTTGAAACACTCTTTCTGGAGTATCTGGATGTGGACATTTGGAGCGCTTTGATGCCTACGGTGAAAAAGTAAATATCTTCCCATAAAAACGAGACAGAAGGATTCTCAGAAACAAGTTTGTGATGTGTGTACTCAGCTAACAGAGTGGAACCTTTCTTTTTACAGAGCAGCTTTGAAACTCTATTTTTGTGGATTCTGCAAATTGATATTTAGATTGCTTTAACGATATCGTTGGAAAAGGGAATATCGTCATACAAAATATAGACAGAAGCATTCTCACAAACTTCTTTGTGATGTGTGTCCTCAACTAACAGAGTTGAACCTTTCTTTTGATGCAGCAATTTGGAAACACCCTTTTGGTAGAAACTGTAACTGGATATTTGGATAGCTCTAGCGATTTCGTTGGAAACGGGAATATCATCATCTAAAATGTAGACAGAAGCACTATTAGAAACTACTTGGTGATATCTGCATTCAAGTCACAGAGTTGAACATTCCCTTACTTTGAGCACGTTTGAAACACTCTTTTGGAAGAATCTGGAAGTGGACATTTGGAGCGCTTTGATGCCTTTGGTGAAAAGGAAACGTCTTCCAATAAAAGCCAGACAGAAAGCATTCTCAGGAAACTTGTTTGTGATGTGTGTACTCAACTAAAAGAGTTGAACCTTTCTATTGATAGAGCAGTTTTGAAACACTCTTTTTGTGGATTCTGCAAGTGGATATTTGGATTGCTTTGAGGATTTCGTTGGAAGCGGGAATTCATATAAAAACTAGACAGCAGCATTCCCAGAAATTTCTTTCGGATATTTCCATTCAACTCATAGAGATGAACATGGCCTTTCATAGAGCAGGTTTGAAACACTCTTTTTGTAGTTTGTGGAAGTGGACATTTCGATCGCCTTGGCGCCTACGCTGAAAAAGGAAATATCTTCCCATAAAAAATAGACAGAAGCATTCTCAGAAACTTGTTGGTGATATGTGTCCTCAACTAACAGAGTTGAACTTTGCCATTGATAGAGAGCAGTTTTGAAACACTCTTTTTGTGGAATCTGCAAGTGGATATTTGGATAGCTTGGAGGATTTCGTTGGAAGCGGGAATTCAAATAAAAGGTAGACAGCAGGATTCTGAGAAACAAGTTTGTGATGTGTGTACTCAGCTAACAGAGTGCAACCTTTCTTTTTACAGAGCAGCTTTGAAACTCTATTTTTGTGGATTCTGCAAATGGATATTTAGATTGCTTTAACGATATCGTTGGAAAAGGGAATATCGTCATACAAAATCTAGACAGAAGCATTCTCACAAACTTCTTTGTGATGTGTGTCCTCAACTAACAGAGTTGAACCTTTCTTTTGATGCAGCAGTTTGGAAACACTCTTTTTGTAGCAACTGTAAGTGGATATTTGGATAGCTCTAACGATTTCGTTGGAAACGGGAATATCATCATCTAAAATACTAGACAGAAGCACTATTAGAAACTACTTGGTGATATCTGTATTCAAGTCACAGTAGTTGAACATTCCCTTACTTTGAGCACGTTTGAAACACTCTTTTGGAAGAATCTGGAAGTGGACATTTGGAGCGCTTTGATGCCTTTGGTGAAAAGGAAACGTCTTCCAATAAAAGCCAGAGAGAAGCATTCTCAGAAACTTGTTTGTGATGTGTGTACTCAACTAAAAGAGTTGAACCTTTCTATTGATAGAGCAGTTTAGAAACACTCTTTTTGTGGATTCTGCAAGTGGATATTTGGATTGCTTTGAGGATTTCGTTGGAAGCGGGAATTCGTATAAACACTAGACAGCAGCATTCCCAGAAATTTCTTTCGGATATTTCCATTCAACTCATAGAGATGAACATGGCCTTTCATAGAGCAGGTTTGAAACACTCTTTTTGTAGTTTGTGGAAGTGGACATTTCGATCGCCTTGACGCCTACGGTGAAAAAGGAAATATCTTCCCATAAAAAATAGACAGAAGCATTCTCAGAAACTTGTTGGTGATATGTGTCCTCAACTAACAGAGTTGAACTTTGCCATTGATAGAGAGCAGTTTTGAAACACTCTTTTTGTGGAATATGCAAGTGGATATTTGGATAGCTTGGAGGATTTCGTTGGAAGCGGGAATTCAAATAAAAGGTAGACAGCAGCATTCTCAGTAAATTTCTTTCTGATGTCTGCATTCAACTCATAGCAGTTGAAGATTCCCTTTCATAGAGCAGGTTTGAAACACTCGTTCTGGAGTATCTGGATGTGGACATTTGGAGCGCTTTGATGCCTACGGTGGAAAAGTAAATATCTTCCCATAAAAACGAGACAGAAGGATTCTGAGAAACAAGTTTGTGATGTGTGTACTCAGCTAACAGAGTGGAACCTCTCTTTTGATGCAGCAGTTTGGAAACACTCTTTTTGTAGAAACTGTAAGTGGATATTTGGATAGCTCTAATGATTTCGTTGGAAACGGGAATATCATCATCTAAAATCTAGACAGAAGCCCTCTCAGAAACTACTTTGTGATATCTGCATTCAAGTCACAGAGTTGAACATTCGCTTTCTTAGGGCACGTTGGAAACACTCTTTTTGTAGTGTCTGGAAGTGGACATTTGGAGCGCTTTGATGCCTTTGGTGAAAAAGGGAACGTCTTCCCATAAAAACTAGACAGAAGCATTCTCAGAAACTTGTTTGTGATGTGTGTACCCAGCCAAAGGAGTTGAACGTTTCTATTGATACAGCAGTTTTGAAACACTCTTGTTGTGGAAAATGCAGGTGGATATTTGGATAGCTTGGAGGATTTCGTTGGAAGCGGGAATTCAAATAAAAGGTAGACAGCAGGATTCTCAGAAACAAGTTTGTGATGTGTGTACTCAGCTAACAGAGTGGAACCTTTCTTTTTACAGAGCAGCTTTGAAACTCTATTTTTGTGGATTCTGCAAATTGATATTTAGATTGCTTTAACGATATCGTTGGAAAAGGGAATACGGTCATACAAAATCTAGACAGAAGCATTCTCACAAACTTCTTTGTGATGTGTGTCCTCAACTAACAGAGTTGAACTTTTCTTTTGATGCAGCAATTTGGAAACACCCTTTTGGTAGAAACTGTAACTGGATATTTGGATAGCTCTAGCGATTTCGTTGGAAACGGGAATATCATCATCTAAAATGTAGACAGAAGCACTATTAGAAACTACTTGGTGATATCTGCATTCAAGTCACAGAGTAGAACATTCCCTTACTTCGAGCACGTTTGAAACACTCTTTTGGAAGAATCTGGAAGTGGACATTTGGAGCGCTTTGATGCCTTTGGTGAAAAGGAAACGTCTTCCAATAAAAGCCAGACAGAAGCATTCTGAGAAACTTGTTCGTGATGTGTGTACTCAACTAAAAGAGTTGAACCTTTCTATTGATATAGCAGTTTTGAAACACTCTTTTTGTGGATTCTGCAAGTGGATATTTGGATTGCTTTGAGGATTTCGTTGGAAGCAGGAATTCATATAAACACTAGACAGCAGCATTCCCAGAAATTTCTTTCGGATATTTCCATTCAACTCATAGAGATGAACATGGCCTTTCATAGAGCAGGTTTGAAACACTCTTTTTGTAGTTTGTGGAAGTGGACATTTCGATCGCCTTGACGCCTACGGTGAAAAAGGAAATATCTTCCCATAAAAAATAGACAGAAGCATTCTCAGAAACTTGTTGGTGATATGTGTCCTCAACTAACAGAGTTGAACTTTGCCATTGATAGAGAGCAGTTTTGAAACACTCTTTTTGTGGAATCTGCAAGTGGATATTTGGATAGCTGGAGGATTTCGTTGGAAGCGGGAATTCAAATAAAAGGTAGACAGCCAGCATTCTCAGAATTTCTTTCTGATGTCTGCATTCAACTCATAGAGTTGAAGATTCCCTTTCATAGAGCAGGTTTGAAACACTCTTTCTGGAGTATCTGGATGTGGACATTTGGAGCGCTTTGATGCCTACGGTGAAAAAGTAAATATCTTCCCATAAAAACGAGACAGAGGATTCTGAGAAACTAGTTTGTGATGTGTGTACTCAGCTAACAGAGTGGAACCTCTGTTTTGATGCAGCAGTTTGGAAACACTCTTTTTGTAGAAACTGTAAGTGGATATTTGGATAGCTCTAATGATTTCGTTGGAAACGGGAATATCATCATCTAAAATACTAGACAGAAGCCCTCTCAGAAACTACTTTGTGATATCTGCATTCAAGTCACAGAGTTGAACATGCGCTTTCTTAGAGCACGTTTGAAACACTCTTTTTGTAGTGTCTGGAAGTGGACATTTGGAGCGCTTTGATGCCTTTGGTGAAAAAGGGAACGTCTTCCCATAAAAACTAGACAGAAGCATTCTCAGAAACTTGTTTGTGATGTGTGTACCCAGCCAAAGGAGTTGAACATTTCTATTGATAGAGCAGTTTTGAAACACTCTTTTTGTGGAAAATGCAGGTGGATATTTGGATACCTTGGAGGATTTCGTTGGAAGCGGGAATTCAAATAAAAGGTAGACAGCAGGATTCTCAGAAACAAGATTGTGATGTGTGTACTCAGCTAACAGAGTGGAACCTTTCTTTTTACAGAGCAGCTTTGAAACTCTATTTTTGTGGATTCTGCAAATTGATATTTAGATTGCTTTAACGATATCGATGGAAAAGGGAATATCATCATACAAAATCTAGACAGAAGCATTCTCACAAACTTCTTTGTGATGTGTGTCCTCAACTAACAGAGTTGAACCTTTCTTTTGATGCAGCAGTTTGGAAACACTCTTTTTGTAGAAACTGTAAGTGGATATTTGGATAGCTCTAACGATTTCATTGGAAACGGGAATATCATCATCTAAAATGTAGACAGAAGCACTATTAGAAACTACTTGGTGATATCTGCATTCAAGTCACAGAGTTGAACATTCCCTTACTTTGAGCACGTTTGAAACACTCTTTTGGAAGAATCTGGAAGTGGACATTTGGAGCGCTTTGATGCCTTTGGTGAAAAGGAAACGTCTTCCAATAAAAGCCAGACAGAAGCATTCTCAGAAACTTGTTTGTGATGAGTGTACTCAACTAAAAGAGTTGAACCTTTCTATTGATAGAGCAGTTTTGAAACACTCTTTTTGTGGATTCTGCAAGTGGATATTTGGATTGCTTTGAGGATTTCGTTGGAAGCGGGAATTCGTATAAACACTAGACAGCAGCATTCCCAGAAATTTCTTTCGGATATTTCCATTCAACTCATAAAGATGAACATGGCCTTTCATAGAGCAGGTTTGAAACACTCTTTTTGTAGTTTGTGGAAGTGGACATTTCGATCGCCTTGACGCCTACGGTGAAAAAGGAAATATCTTCCCATAAAAAATAGACAGAAGCATTCTCAGAAACTTGTTGGTGATATGTGTCCTCAACTAACAGAGTTGAACTTTGCCATTGATAGAGAGCAGTTTTGAAACACTCTTTTTGTGGAATCTGCAAGTGGATATTTGGATAGCTTGGAGGATTTCGTTGGAAGCGGGAATTCAAATAAAAGGTAGACAGCAGCATTCTCAGAAATTTCTTTCTGATGTCTGCATTCAACTCATAGAGTTGAAGATTCCCTTTCATAGAGCAGGTTTGAAACACTCTTTCTGGAGTATCTGGATGTGGATATTTGGAGCGCTTTGATGCCTACGGTGAGAAAGTAAATATCTTCCCATAAAAACGAGACAGAAGGATTCTGAGAAACAAGTTTGTGATGTGTGTACTCAGCTAACAGAGTGGAACCTCTCTTTTGATGCAGCAGTTTGGAAACACTCTTTTTGTAGAAACTGTAAGTGGATATTTGGATAGCTCTAATGATTTCGTTGGAAACGGGAATATCATCATCTAAAATCTAGACAGAAGCACTCTCAGAAACTACTTTGTGATATCTGCATTCAAGTCACAGAGTTGAACATTCGCTTTCTTAGAGCACGTTGGAAACACTCTTTTTGTAGTGTCTGGAAGTGGACATTTGGAGCGCTTTGATTCCTTTGGTGAAAAAGGGAATGTCTACCCATAAAAACTAGACAGAAGCATTCTCAGAAACTTGTTTGTGATGTGTGTACCCAGCCAAAGGAGTTGAACATTTCTATTGATAGAGCAGGTTTGAAACACTCTTTTTGTGGAAAATGCAGGTGGATATTTGGATAGCTTGGAGGATTTCGTTGGAAGCGGGAATTCAAATAAAAGGTAGACAGCAGCATTCTCAGAAATTTCTTTCTGATGTCTGCATTCAACTCATAGAGTTGAAGATTCCCTTTCATAGAGCAGGTTTGAAACACTCGTTCTGGAGTATATGGATGTGGACATTTGGAGCGCTTTGATGCCTACGGTGGAAAAGTAAATATCTTCCCATAAAAACGAGACAGAAGGATTCTCAGAAACAAGTTTGTGATGTGTGTACTCAGCTAACAGAGTGGAACCTTTCTTTTTACAGAGCAGCTTTGAAACTCTATTTTTGTGGATTCTGCAAATTGATATTTAGATTGCTTTAACGATATCGTTGGAAAAGGGAATATGGTCATACAAAATCTAGACAGAAGCATTCTCACAAACTTCTTTGTGATGTGTGTCCTCAACTAACAGAGTTGAACCTTTCTTTTGATGCAGCAATTTGGAAACACCCTTTTGGTAGAAACTGTAACTGGATATTTGGATAGCTCTAGCGATTTCGTTGGAAACGGGAATATCATCATCTAAAATGTAGACAGAAGCACTGTTAGAAACTACTTGGTGATATCTGCATTCAAGTCACAGAGTTGAACATTCCCTTACTTCGACCACGTTTGAAACACTCTTTTGGAAGAATCTGGAAGTGGACATTTGGAGCGCTTTGATGCCTTTGGTGAAAAGGAAACGTCTTCCAATAAAAGCCAGACAGAAAGCATTCTCAGAAACTTGTTCGTGATGTGTGTACTCAACTAAAAGTAGTTGAACCTTTCTATTGATAGAGCAGTTTTGAAACACTCTTTTTGTGGATTCTGCAAGTGGATATTTGGATTGCTTTGAGGATTTCGTTGGAAGCGGGAATTCGTATAAACACTAGACAGCAGCATTCCCAGAAATTTCTTTCGGATATTTCCATTCAACTCATAGAGATGAACATGGCCTTTCATAGAGCAGGTTTGAAACACTCTTTTTGTAGTTTGTGGAAGTGGACATTTCGATTGCCTTGACGCCTACGGTGAAAAAGGAAATATCTTCCCATAAAAAATAGACAGAAGCATTCTCAGAAACTTGTTGGTGATATGTGTCCTCAACTAACAGAGTTGAACTTTGCCATTGATAGAGAGCAGTTTTGAAACACTCTTTTTGTGGAATCTGCAAGTGGATATTTGGATAGCTTGGAGGATTTCGTTGGAAGCGGGAATTCAAATAAAAGGTAGACAGCAGCATTCTCAGAAATTTCTTTCTGATGTCTGCATTCAACTCATAGAGTTGAAGATTCCCTTTCATAGAGCAGGTTTGAAACACTCTTTCTGGAGTATCTGGATGTGGACATTTGGAGCGCTTTGATGCCTACGGTGAAAAAGTAAATATCTTCCCAAAAAAACGAGACAGAAGGATTCTGAGAAACAAGTTTGTGATGTGTGTACTCAGCTAACAGAGTGGAACCTCTCTTTTGATGCAGCAGTTTGGAAACACTCTTTTTGTAGAAACAGTAAGTGGATATTTGGATAGCTCTAATGATTTCGTTGGAAACGGGAATATCATCATCTAAAATCTAGACAGAAGCACTCTCAGAAACTACTTTGTGATATCTGCATTCAAGTCACAGAGTTGAACATTCGCTTTCTTAGAGCACGTTTGAAACACTCTTTTTGTAGTGTCTGGAAGTGGACATTTGGAGCGCTTTGATGCCTTTGGTGAAAAAGGGAATGTCTTCCCATAAAAACTAGACAGAAGCATTCTCAGAGTCTTGTTTGTGATGGGTGTACCCAGCCAAAGGAGTTGAACATTTCTATTGATAGAGCAGTTTTGAAACACTCTTGTTGTGGAAAATGCAGGTGGATATTTGGATAGCTTGGAGGATTTCGTTGGAAGCGGGAATTCAAATAAAAGGTAGACAGCAGGATTCTCAGAAACAAGTTTGTGATGTGTGTACTCAGCTAACAGAGTGGAACCTTTCTTTTTACAGAGCAGCTTTGAAACTCTATTTTTGTGGATTCTGCAAATGGATATTTAGATTGCTTTAACGATATCGTTGGAAAAGGGAATATCGTCATACAAAATCTGGACAGAAGCATTCTCACAAACAGCTTTGTGACGTGTGTCCTCAACTAACACAGTTGAACCTTTCTTTTGATGCAGCAGTTTGGAAACACCCTTTTGGTAGAAACTGTAAGTGGATATTTGGATAGCTCTAACGATTTCGTTGGAAACGGGAATATCATCATCTAAAATCTAGACAGAAGCACTATTAGAAACTACTTGGTGATATCTGCATTCAAGTCACAGAGTTGAACATTCCCTTACTTTGAGCACGTTTCAAACACTCTTTTGGAAGAATCTGGAAGTGGACATTTGGAGCGCTTTGATGCCTTTGGTGAAAAGGAAACGTCTTCCAATAAAAGCCAGACAGAAGCATTCTCAGAAACTTGTTTGTGATGTGTGTACTCAACTAAAAGAGTTGAACCTTTCTATTGATAGAGCAGTTTTGAAACACTCTTTTTGTGGATTCTGCAAGTGGATATTTGGATTGCTTTGAGGATTTCGTTGGAAGCGGGAATTCGTATAAAAACTAGACAGCAGCATTCCCAGAAATTTCTTTCGGATATTTCCATTCAACTCATAGAGATGAACATGGCCTTTCATAGAGCAGGTTTGAAACACTCTTTTTGTAGTTTGTGGAACTGGACATTTCGATCGCCTTGACGCCTACGGTGAAAAAGGAAATATCTTCCCATAAAAAATAGACAGAAGCATTCTCAGAAACTTGTTGGTGATATGTGTCCTCAACTAACAGAGTTGAACTTTGCCATTGATAGAGAGCAGTTTTGAAACACTCTTTTTGTGGAATCTGCAAGTGGATATTTGGATAGCTTGGAGGATTTCGTTGGAAGCGGGAATTCAAATAAAAGGTAGACAGCAGCATTCTCAGAAATTTCTTTCTGATGTCTGCATTCAACTCATAGAGTTGAAGATTCCCTTTCATAGAGCAGGTTTGAAACACTCTTTCTGGAGTATCTGGATGTGGACATTTGGAGCGCTTTGATACCTACGGTGTAAAAGTAAATATCTTCCCATAAAAACGAGACAGAAGGATTCTGAGAAACAAGTTTGTGATGTGTGTACTCAGCTAACAGAGTGGAACCTCTCTTTTGATGCAGCAGTTTGGAAACACTCTTTTTGTAGAAACTGTAAGTGGATATTTGGATAGCTCTAATGATTTCATTGGAAACGGGAATATCATCATCTAAAATCTAGACAGAAGCCCTCTCAGTAAACTACTTTGTGATATCTGCATTCAAGTCACAGAGTTGAACATTCGCTTTCTTAGAGCACGTTTGAAACACTCTTTTTGTAGTGTCTGGAAGTGGACATTTGGAGCGCTTTGATGCCTTTGGTGAAAAAGGGAACGTCTTCCCATAAAAACTAGACAGAAGCATTCTCAGCAAACTTGTTTGTGATGTGTGTACCCAGCCAAAGGAGTTGAACATTTCTATTGATAGAGCAGTTTTGAAACACTCTTGTTGTGGAAAATGCAGGTGGATATTTGGATAGCTTGGAGGATTTCGTTGGAAGCGGGAATTCAAATAAAAGGTAGACAGCAGCATTCTCAGAAATTTCTTTCTGATGTCTGCATTCAACTCATAGAGTTGAAGATTCCCTTTCATAGAGCAGGTTTGAAACACTCGTTCTGGAGTATCCGGATGTGGACATTTGGAGCGCTTTGATGCCTACGGTGGAAAAGTAAATATCTTCCCATAAAAACGAGACAGAAGGATTCTGAGAGACAAGTTTGTGATGTGTGTACTCAGCTAACAGAGTGGAACCTTTCTTTTTACAGAGCAGCTTTGAAACTCTATTTTTGTGGATTCTGCAAATGGATATTTAGATTGCTTTAACGATATCGTTGGGAAAAGGGAATATGGTCATACAAAATCTAGACAGAAGCATTCTCACAAACTTCTTTGTGATGTGTCTCCTCAACTGACAGAGTTGAACCTTTCTTTTGATGCAGCAGTTTGGAAACACTCTTTTTGTAGAAACTGTAAGTGGATATTTGGATAGCTCTAACGATTTCGTTGGAAACGGGAATATCATCATCTAAAATCTAGACAGAAGCACTATTAGAAACTACTTGGTGATATCTGCATTCAAGTCACAGAGTTGAACATTCCCTTACTTTGAGCACGTTTGAAACACTCTTTTGGAAGAATCTGGAAGTGGACATTTGGAGCGCTTTGATGCCTTTGGTGAAAAGGAAACGTCTTCCAATAAAAGCCAGACAGAAGCATTCTCAGAAACTTGTTTGTGATGTGTGTACTCAACTAAAAGAGTTGAACCTTTCTATTGATGGAGCAGTTTTGAAACACTCTTTTTGTGGATTCTGCAAGTGGATATGTGGATTGCTTTGAGGATTTCGTTGGAAGCGGGAATTCGTATAACAACTAGACAGCAGCATTCCCAGAAATTTCTTTCGGATATTTCCATTCAACTCATAGAGATGAACATGGCCTTTCATAGAGCAGGTTTGAAACACTCTTTTTGTAGTTTGTGGAAGTGGACATTTCGATCGCCTTGACGCCTACGCTGAAAAAGGAAATATCTTCCCATAAAAAATAGACAGAAGCATTCTCAGAAACTTGTTGGTGATATGTGTCCTCAACTAACAGAGTTGAACTTTGCCATTGATAGAGAGCAGTTTTGAAACACTCTTTTTCCTGAATCTGCAAGTGGATATTTGGATAGTTTGGAGGATTTCGTTGGAAGCGGGAATTCAAATAAAAGGTAGACAGCAGCATTCTCAGAAATTACTTTCTGATGTCTGCATTCAACTCATAGAGTTGAAGATTCCCTTTCATAGAGCAGGTTTGAAACACTCTTTCTGTACTATCTGGAAGTGGACATTGGGATCGCTTTGATGCCTACGGTGAAAAAGGAAATATCTTCCCATAAAAGCTAGACAGAAGGATTCTGAGAAACAAGTTTGTGATGTGTGTACTCAGCTAACAGAGTGGAACCTCTCTTTTGATGCAGCAGTTTGGAAACACTCTTTTTGTAGAAACTGTAAGTGGATATTTGGATAGCTCTAATGATTTCGTTGGAAACGGGAATATCATCATCTAAAATCTAGACAGAAGCCCTCTCAGAAACTACTTTGTGATATCTGCATTCAAGTCACAGAGTTGAATATTCGCTTTCTTAGAGCACGTTTGAAACACTCTTTTTGTAGTGTCTGGAAGTGGACATTTGGAGCGCTTTGATGCCTTTGGTGAAAAAGGGAATGTCTTCCCATAAAAACTAGACAGAAGCATTCTCAGAAACTTGTTTGTGATGTGTGTACCCAGCTAAAGGAGTTGAACATTTCTATTGATAGAGCAGTTTTGAAACACTCTTTTTGTGGAATCTGCAGGTGGATATTTGGATAGCTTGGAGGATTTCGTTGGAAGCGGGAATTCAAATAAAAGGTAGACAGCAGCATTCTCAGAAATTTCTTTCTGATGTCTGCATTCAACTCATAGAGTTGAAGATTCCCTTTCATAGAGCAGGTTTGAAACACTCTTTCTGGAGTATCTGGATGTGGACATTTGGAGCGCTTTGATGCCTACGGTGAAAAAGTAAATATCTTCCCATAAAAACGAGACAGAAGGATTCTGAGAGACAAGTTTGTGATGTGTGTACTCAGCTAACAGAGTGGAACCTTTCTTTTTACAGAGCAGCTTTGAAACTCTATTTTTGTGGATTCTGCAAATGGATATTTAGATTGCTTTAATGATATCGTTGGAAAAGGGAATATCGTCATACAAAATCTGGACAGAAGCATTCTCACAAACTTCTTTGTGATGTGTGTCCTCAACTAACAGAGTTGAACCTTTCTTTTGATGCAGCAATTTGGAAACACCCTTTTGGTAGAAACTGTAACTGGATATTTGGATAGCTCTAACGATTTCGTTGGAAACGGGAATATCCTCACCTAAAATCTAGACAGAAGCACTATTAGAAACTACTTGGTGATATCTGCATTCAAGTCACAGAGTTGAACATTCCCTTACTTTGAGCACGTTTCAAACACTCTTTTGGAAGAATCTGGAAGTGGACATTTGGAGCGCTTTGATGCCTTTGGTGAAAAGGAAACGTCTTCCAATAAAAGCCAGACAGATAAGCATTCTCAGCAAACTTGTTTGTGATGTGTGTACTCAACTAAAAGAGTTGAACCTTTCTATTGATAGAGCAGTTTTGAAACACTCTTTTTGTGGATTCTGCAAGTGGATATTTGGATTGCTTTGAGGATTTCGTTGGAAGCGGGAATTCATATAAAAACTAGACAGCAGCATTCCCAGAAATTTCTTTCGGATATTTCCATTCAACTCATAGAGATGAACATGGCCTTTCATAGAGCAGGTTTGAAACACTCTTTTTGTAGTTTGTGGAAGTGGACATTTCGATCGCCTTGACGCCTACGGTGAAAAAGGAAATATCTACCCATAAAAAATAGACAGAAGCATTCTCAGAAACTTGTTGGTGATATGTGTCCTCAACTAACAGAGTTGAACTTTGCCATTGATAGAGAGCAGTTTTGAAACACTCTTTTTGTGGAATCTGCAAGTGGATATTTGGATAGCTTGGAGGATTTCGTTGGAAGCGGGAATTCAAATAAAAGGTAGACAGCAGCATTCTCAGAAATTTCTTTCTGATGTCTGCATTCAACTCATAGAGTTGAAGATTCCCTTTCATAGAGCAGGTTTGAAACACTCGTTCAGAGTATCTGGATGTGGACATTTGGAGCGCTTTGATGCCTACGGTGAAAAAGTAAATATCTTCCCATAAAAACGAGACAGAAAGGATTCTGAGAAACAAGTTTGTGATGTGTGTACTCAGCTAACAGAGTGGAACCTCTCTTTTGATGCAGCAGTTTGGAAACACTCTTTTTGTAGAAACTGTAAGTGGATATTTGGATAGCTCTAATGATTTCTTTGGAAACGGGAATATCATCATCTAAAATCTAGACAGAAGCACTATTAGAAACTACTTTGTGATATCTGCATTCAAGTCACAGAGTTGAACATTCGCTTTCTTAGAGCACGTTGGAAACACTCTTTTTGTAGTGTCTGGAAGTGGACATTTGGAGCGCTTTGATGCCTTTGGTGAAAAAGGGAATGTCTTCCCATAAAAACTAGACAGAAGCATTCTCAGAAACTTGTTTGTGATGTGTCTACCCAGCTAAAGGAGTTGAACATTTCTATTGATAGAGCAGTTTTGAAACACTCTTTTTGTGGAAAATGCAGGTGGATATTTGGATAGCTTGGAGGATTTCGTGGGAAGCGGGAATTCAAATAAAAAGTAGACAGCAGCATTCTCAGAAATTTCTTTCTGATGTCTGCATTCAACTCATAGAGTTGAAGATTCCCTTTCATAGAGCAGGTTTGAAACAGTCTTTCTGGAATATCTGGATGTGGACATTTGGAGCGCTTTGATGCCTACGGTGAAAAAGTAAATATCTTCCCATAAAAACGAGACAGAAGGATTCTGAGAAACAAGTTTGTGATGTGTGTACTCAGCTAACAGAGTGGAACCTTTCTTTTTACAGAGCAGCTTTGAAACTCTATTTTTGTGGATTCTGCAAATTGATATTTAGATTGCTTTAACGATATCGTTGGAAAAGGGAATATCGTCATACAAAATCTAGACAGAAGCATTCTCACAAACTTCTTTGTGATGTGTGTCCTCAACTAACAGACTTGAACCTTTCTTTTGATGCAGCAGTTTGGAAACACCCTTTTGGTAGAAACTGTAAGTGGATATTTGGATAGCTCTAACGATTTCGTTGGAAACGGGAATATCATCATCTAAAATCTAGACAGAAGCACTATTAGAAACTACTTGGTGATATCTGCATTCAAGTCACAGAGTTGAACATTCCCTTACTTTGAGCACGTTTGAAACACTCTTTGGGAAGAATCTGGAAGTGGACATTTGGAGCGCTTTGATGCCTTTGGTGAAAAGGAAACGTCTTCCAATAAAAGCCAGACAGAAGCATTCTCAGAAACTTGTTTGTGATGTGTGTACTCAACTAAAGGAGTTGAACCTTTCTATTGATAGAGCAGTTTTGAAACACTCTTTTTGTGGATTCTGCAAGTGGATATTTGGATTGCTTTGAGGATTTCGTTGGAAGCGGGAATTCATATAAAAACTAGACAGCAGCATTCCCAGAAATTTCTTTCGGATATTTCCATTCAACTCATAGAGATGAACATGGCCTTTCATAGAGCAGGTTTGAAACACTCTTTTTGTAGTTTGTGGAAGTGGACATTTCGATCGCCTTGACGCCTACGGTGAAAAAGGAAATATCTTCCCATAAAAAATAGACAGAAGCATTCTCAGAAACTTGTTGGTGATATGTGTCCTCAACTAACAGAGTTGAACTTTGCCATTGATAGAGAGCAGTTTTGAAACACTCTTTTGCCTGAATCTGCAAGTGGATATTTGGATAGCTTGGAGGATTTCGTTGGAAGCGGGAATTCAAATAAAAGGTAGACAGCAGCATTCTCAGAAATTTCTTTCTGATGTCTGCATTCAACTCATAGAGTTGAAGATTCCCTTTCATAGAGCAGGTTTGAAAAACTCTTTCTGTACTATCTGGATGTAGACATTTGGAGCGCTTTGATGCCTACGGTGAAAAAGTAAATATCTTCCCATAAAAACGAGACAGAAGGATTCTGAGAAACAAGTTTGTGATGTGTGTACTCGGCTAACAGAGTGGAACCTCTCTTTTGATGCAGCAGTTTGGAAACACTCTTTTTGTAGAAACTGTAAGTGGATATTTGGATAGCTCTAATGATTTCGTTGGAAACGGGAATATCATCATCTAAAATCTAGACAGAAGCCGTCTCAGAAACTACTTTGTGATATCTGCATTCAAGTCACAGAGTTGAACATTCGCTTTCTTAGAGCACGTTGGAAACACTCTTTTTGTAGTGTCTGGAAGTGGACATTTGGAGCGCTTTGATGCCTTTGGTGAAAAAGGGAATGTCTTCCCATAAAAACTAGACAGAAGCATTCTCAGAAACTTGTTTGTGATGTGTGTACCCAGCTAAAGGAGTTGAACATTTCTATTGATAGAGCAGTTTTGAAACACTCTTTTTGTGGAAAATGCAAGTGGATATTTGGATAGCTTGGAGGATTTCGTTGGAAGCGGGAATTCAAATAAAAGGTAGACAGCAGCATTCTCAGAAATTTCTTTCTGATGTCTGCATTCAACTCATAGAGTTGAAGATTCCCTTTCATAGAGGAGGTTTGAAACACTCTTTCTGGAGTATCTGGACGTGGACATTTGGAGCGCTTTGATGCCTATGGTGAAAAAGTAAATATCTTCCCATAAAAACGAGACAGAAGCTTTCTCAGAAACTTCTTTGTGATGTGTGTCCTCAACTAACAGAGTTGAACCTTTCTTTTGATGCAGCAGTTTGGAAACACACTTTCTGTAGAAACTGTAAGTGGATATTTGGGTAGGTCTAACGATATCGTTGGAAACGGGAATATCTTCATCTAAAGTATACACAGAAGCAGTCTCAGAAACTACTTTGTGATATCTGCATTCCAGTCACAGGGTTGAAAACTCCCTTACTTAGAGCAGGTTTGAAACACTCTTTTTGTAGAATCTGGAAGTGGACATTTGGAGCGCTTTGATGCCTTTGGTGAAAAAGGAAATGTCTTCCCTTAAAAAGTAGACAGAAGCATTTTCAGAAACTTGTTTGTGATGTGTGTACCCAGCCAAAGGAGTTGAACATTTCTATTGATAGAGCAGTTTTGAAACACTCTTTTTGTGGAAAATGCAGGTGGATATTTGGATAGCTTGGAGGATTTCGTTGGAAGCGGGAATTCAAATAAAAGGTAGACAGCAGCAGCATTCTCAGAAATTTCCTTCTGATGTCTGCATTCAACTCATAGAGTTGAAGACTCCCTTTCATAAAGCAGGTTTGAAACACTCTTTCTGGAGTATCTGGATGTGGACATTTGGAGCGCTTGGATGCCTACGGTGAAAAAGTAAATATCTTCCCATAAAAACGAGACAGAAGGATTCTGAGAAACAAGTTTGTGATGTGTGTACTCAGCTAACAGAGTGGAACCTTTCTTTTTACAGAGCAGCTTTGAAACTCTATTTTTGTGGATTCTGCAAATTGATATTTAGATTGCTTTAACGATATCGTTGGAAAAGGGAATATCCTCATACAAAATATAGACAGAAGCATTCTCACAAACTTCTTTGTGATGTGTGTCCTCAACTAACAGAGTTGAACCTTTCTTTTGATGCAGCAATTTGGAAACACCCTTTTGGTAGAAACTGTAACTGGATATTTGGATAGCTGCTAACGATTTCGTTGGAAAAGGGAATATCATCATCTAAAATGTAGGCAGAAAGCACTATTAGAAACTACTTGGTGATATCTGCATTCAAGTCAAAGAGTTGAACATTCCCTTACTTTGAGCACGTTTGAAACACTCTTTTGGAAGAATCTGGAAGTGGACATTTGGAGCGCTTTGATGCCTTTGGTGAAAAGGAAACGTCTTCCAATAAAAGCCAGACAGAAGCATTCTCAGAAACATGTTCGTGGTGTGTGTACTCAACTAAAAGAGTTGAACCTTTCTATTGATAGAGCAGTTTTGAAACACTCTTTTTGTGGATTCTGCAAGTGGATATTTGGATTGCTTTGAGGATTTCGTTGGAAGCGGGAATTCGTATAAACACTAGACAGCAGCATTCCCAGAAATTTCTTTCGGATATTTCCATTCAACTCATAGAGATGAACATGGCCTTTCATAGAGCAGGTTTGAAACACTCTTTTTGTAGTTTGTGGAAGTGGACATTTCGATCGCCTTGACCGCCTACGGTGAAAAAGGAAATATCTTCCCATAAAAAATAGACAGAAGCATTCTCAGAAACTTGTTGGTGATATGTGTCCTCAACTAACACAGTTGAACTTTGCCATTGATAGAGAGCAGTTTTGAAACACTCTTTTTGTGGAATCTGCAAGTGGATATTTGGATAGCTTGGAGGATTTCGTTGGAAGCGGGAATTCAAATAAAAGGTAGACAGCAGGATTCTGAGAAACAAGTTTGTGATGTGTGTACTCAGCTAACAGAGTGGAACCTCTCTTTTGATGCAGCAGTTTGGAAACACTCTTTTTGTAGAAACTGTAAGTGGATATTTGGATAGCTCTAATGATTTCGTTGGAAACGGGAATATCATCATCTAAAATCTAGACAGAAGCCCTCTCAGAAACTACTTTGTGATATCTGCATTCAAGTCACAGAGTTGAACATTCGGTTTCTTAGAGCACGTTTGAAACACACTTTTTGTAGTGTCTGGAAGTGGACATTTGGAGCGCTTTGATGCCTTTGGTGAAAAAGGGAATGTCTTCCCATAAAAACTAGACAGAAGCATTCTCAGAAACTTGTTTGTGATGTGTGCACCCAGCTAAAGGAGTTGAACATTTCTATTGATAGAGCAGTTTTGAAGCACTCTTTTTGTGGAAAATGCAAGTGGATATTTGGATAGCTTGGAGGATTTCGTTGGAAGCGGGAGTTCAAATAAAAGGTAGACAGCAAGCATTCTCAGAAATTTCTTTCTGATGTCTGCATTCAACTCATAGAGTTGAAGATTCCCTTTCATAGAGCAGGTTTGAAACACTCTTTCTGGAGTATCTGGATGTGGACATTTGGAGCGCTTTGATGCCTACGGTGAAAAAGTAAATATCTTCCCATAAAAACGAGACAGAAGGATTCTCAGAAGCAAGTTTGTGATGTGTGTACTCAGCTAACAGAGTGGAACCTTTCTTTTTACAGAGCAGCTTTGAAACTGTTTTTGTGGATCCTGCAAATTGATATTTGTGTTGATTTAAAGATATCATTGGAAAAGGGAATATCTTCATACAAAATCTAGACAGAAGCATTCTCACAAACTTCTTTGTGACGTGTGTCCTCAACTAACAGAGTTGAACCTTTCTTTTGATGCAGCAGTTTGGAAACACTGTTTTTGTAGAAACTGTAAGTGGATATTTGGATAGCTCTAACGATTTCGTTGGAAACGGGAATATCATCATCTAAAATCTAGACAGAAGCACTATTAGAAACTACTTGGTGATATCTGCATTCAAGTCACAGAGTTGAACATTCCCTTACTTTGAGCACGTTTCAAACACTCTTTTGGAAGAATCTGGAAGTGGACATTTGGAGCGCTTTGATGCCTTTGGTGAAAAGGAAACGTCTTCCAATAAAAGCCAGACAGAAGCATTCTCAGAAACTTGTTTGTGATGTGTGTACTCAACTAAAAGAGTTGAACCTTTCTATTGATAGAGCAGTTTTGAAACACTCTTTTTGTGGATTCTGCAAGTGGATATTAGGATTGCTTTGAGGATTTCGTTGGAAGCGGGAATTCGTATAAAAACTAGACAGCAGCATTCCCAGAAATTTCTTTCGGATATTTCCATTCGACTCATAGAGATGAACATGGCCTTTCATAGAGCAGGTTTGAAACACTCTTTTTGTAGTTTGTGGAAGTGGACATTTCGATCGCCTTGACGCCTACGGTGAAAAAGGAAATATCTTCCCATAAAAAATAGACAGAAGCATTCTCAGAAACTTGTTGGTGATATGTGTCCTCAACTAACAGAGTTGAACTTTGCCATTGATAGAGAGCAGTTTTGAAACACTCTTTTTGTGGAATCTGCAAGTGGATATTTGGATAGCTTGGAGGATTTCGTTGGAAGCGGGAATTCAAATAAAAGGTAGACAGCAGCATTCTCAGAAATTTCTTTCTGATGTCTGCATTCAACTCATAGAGTTGAAGATTCCCTTTCATAGAGCAGGTTTGAAACACTCTTTCTGGAGTATCTGGACGTGGACATTTGGAGCGCTTTGATGCCTACGGTGAAAAAGTAAATATCTTCCCATAAAAACGAGACAGAAGGATTCTGAGAAACAAGTTTGTGATGTGTGTACTCAGCTAACAGAGTGGAACCTTTCTTTTTACAGAGCAGCTTTGAAACTCTATTTTTGTGGATTCTGCAAATTGATATTTAGATTGCTTTAACGATATCGTTGGAAAAGGGAATATCGTCATACAAAATCTAGACACAAGCACTCTCAGAAACTACTTTGTGATATCTGCATTCAAGTCACAGAGTTGAACATTCGCTTTCTTAGAGCACGTTTGAAACACTCTTTTTGTAGTGTCTGGAAGTGGACATTTGGAGCACTTTGATGCCTTTGGTGAAAAAGGGAACGTCTTCCCATAAAAACTAGACAGAAGCATTCTCAGAAACTTGTTTGTGATGTGTGTACCCAGCCAAAGGAGTTGAACATTTCTATTGATAGAGCAGTTTTGAAACACTCTTTTTGTGGAAAATGCAGGTGGATATTTGGATAGCTTGAAGGATTTCGTTGGAAGCGGGAATTCAAATAAAAGGTAGACAGCCAGCATTCTCAGAAATTTCTTTCTGATGTCTGCATTCAACTCATAGAGTTGAAGATTCCCTTTCATAGAGCAGGTTTGAAACACTCTTTCTGGAGTATCTGGATGTGGACATTTGGAGCGCTTTGATGCCTACGGTGAAAAAGTAAATATCTTCCCAGAAAAACGAGACAGAAAGGATTCTCAGAAACAAGTTTGTGATGTGTGTACTCAGCTAACAGAGTGGAACCTTTCTTTTTACAGAGCAGCTTTGAAACTCTATTGTTGTGGATTCTGCAAATTGATATTTAGATTGCTTTAACGATATCGTTGGAAAAGGGAATACCGTCATACAAAATCTAGACAGAAGCATTCTCACAAACTTCTTTGTGATGTGTGTCCTCAACTAACAGAGTTGAACCTTTCTTTTGATGCAGCAATTTGGAAGCACCCTTTTGGTAGAAACTGTAACTGGATATTTGGATAGCTCTAACGATTTCGTTGGAAACGGGAATATCATCATCTAAAATGTAGACAGAAGCACTATTAGAAACTACTTGGTGATATCTGCATTCAAGTCACAGAGTTGAACATTCCCTTACTTTGAGCACGTTTGAAACACTCTTTTGGAAGAATCTGGAAGTGGACATTTGGAGCGCTTTGATGCCTTTGGTGAAAAGGAAACGTCTTCCAATAAAAGCCACACAGAAGCATTCTCAGAAACTTGTTCGTGATGTGTGTACTCAACTAAAAGAGTTGAACCTTTCTATTGATAGAGCAGTTTTGAAACACTCTTTTTGTGGATTCTGCAAGTGGATATTTGGATTGCTTTGAGGATTTCGTTGGAAGCGGGAATTCGTATAAACACTAGACAGCAACATTCCCAGAAATTTCTTTCGGATATTTCCATTCAACTCATAGAGATGAACATGGCCTTTCATATTGAAACACTCTTTTTGTAGTTTGTGTAAGTGGACATTTCGATCGCCTTGATGCCTACGGTGAAAAAGGAAATATCTTCCCATAAAAAATTGACAGAAGCATTCTCAGAAAATTGTTGGTGATATGTGTCCTCAACTAACAGAGTTGAACTTTGCCATTGATAGAGAGCAGTTTTGAAACACTCTTTTTGTGGAATCTGCAAGTGGATATTTGGATAGCTTGGAGGATTTCGTTGGAAGCGGGAATTCAAATTAAAGGTAGACAGCAGCATTCTCAGAAATTTCTTTCTGATGTCTGCATTCAACTCATAGAGTTGAAGATTCCCTTTCATAGAGCAGGTTTGAAACACTCTTTCTGGAGTATCTGGATGTGGACATTTGGAGCGCTTTGATGCCTACGGTGAAAAAGTATAATCTTCCCATAAAAACGAGACAGAAGGATTCTGAGAAACAAGTTTGTGATGTGTGTACTCAGCTAACAGAGTGGAACCTCTCTTTTGATGCAGCAGTTTGGAAACACTCTTTTTGTAGAAACCGTAAGTGGATATTTGGATAGCTCTAATGATTTCGTTGGAAACGGGAATATCATCATCTAAAATCTAGACAGAAGCCCTCTCAGAAACTACTTTGTGATATCTGCATTCAAGTCAGAGAGTTGAACATTCGCTTTCTTAGAGCACGTTTGAAACACTCTTTTTGTAGTGTCAGGAAGTGGACATTTGGAGCGCTTTGATGCCTTTGGTGAAACAGGGAATGTCTTCCCATAAAAACTAGACAGAAGCATTCTCAGAAACTTGTTTGTGATGTGTGTACCCAGCTAAAGGAGTTGAACATTTCCATTGATAGAGCAGTTTTGAAACACTCTTTTTGTGGAAAATGCAAGTGGATATTTGGATAGCTTGGAGGATTTCATTGGAAGCGGGAATTCAAATAAAAGGTAGACAGGAGCATTCTCAGAAATTTCTTTCTGATGTCTGCATTCAACTCATAGAGTTGAAGATTCCCTTTCATAGAGCAGGTTTGAAACACTCGTTCTGGAGTATCTGGATGTGGACATTTGGAGCGCTTTGATGCCTACGGTGGAAAAGAAAATATCTTCCCATAAAAACGAGACAGAAGGATTCTCAGAAACAAGTTTGTGATGTGTGTACTCAGCTAACAGAGTGGATCCTTCCTTTTTACAGAGCAGCTTTGAAACTCTATTTCTGTGGATTCTGCAAATTGATATTTGGGTTGATTTAACGACATCGTTGGAAAAGGGAATATCTTCATACAAAATCTAGACAGAAGCATTCTCACAAACTTCTTTGTGACGTGTGTCCTCAACTAACAGAGTTGAACCTTTCTTTTGATGCAGCAGTTTGGAAACACTCTTTTTGTAGAAACTGTAAGTGGATATTTGGATAGCTCTAACGATTTCGTTGGAAACGGGAATATCATCATCTAAAATCTAGACAGAAGCACTATTAGAAACTACTTGGTGATATCTGCATTCAAGTCACAGAGTTGAACATTCCCTTACTTTGAGCACGTTTCAAACACTCTTTTGGAAGAATCTGGAAGTGGACATTTGGAGCGCTTTGATGCCTTTGGTGAAAAGGAAACGTCTTACAATAAAAGCCAGACAGAAGCATTCTGAGAAACTTGTTCGTGATGTGTGTACTCAACTAAAAGAGTTGAACCTTTCTATTGATAGGGCAGTTTTGAAACACTCTTTTTGTGGATTCTGCAAGTGGATATTTGGATTGCTTTGAGGATTTCGTTGGAAGCGGGAATTCGTATAAACACTAGACAGCAGCATTCCCAGAAATTTCTTTCGGATATTTCCATTCAACTCATAGAGATGAACATGGCCTTTCATAGAGCAGGTTTGAAACACTCTTTTTGTAGTTTGTGGAAGTGGACATTTCGATCGCCTTGACGCCTACGGTGAAAAAGGAAATATCTTCCCATAAAAAATAGACAGAAGCATTCTCAGAAACTTGTTGGTGATATGTGTCCTCAACTAACAGAGTTGAACTTTGCCATTGATAGAGAGCAGTTTTTGAAACACTCTTTTTGTGGAATCTGCAAGTGGATATTTGGATAGCTTGGAGGATTTCGTTGGAAGCGGGAATTCAAATAAAAGGTAGACAGCAGCATTCTCAGAAATTTCTTTCTGATGTCTGCATTCAACTCATAGAGTTGAAGATTCCCTTTCATAGAGCAGGTTTGAAACACTCCTTCTGGAGTATCTGGATGTGGACATTTGGAGCGCTTTGATGCCTACGGTGAAAAAGTAAATATCTTCCCAGAAAAACGAGACAGAAGGATTCTGAGAAACAAGTTTGTGATGTGTGTACTCAGCTAACAGAGTGGAACCTCTCTTTTGATGCAGCAGTTTGGAAACACTCTTTTTGTAGAAACTGTAAGTGGATATTTGGATAGATCTAATGATTTCGTTGGAAACGGGAATATCATCATCTAAAATCTAGACAGAAGCCCTCTCAGAAACTACTTTGTGATATCTGCATTCAAGTCACAGAGTTGAACATTCGGTTTCTTAGAGCACGTTGGAAACACTCCTTTTGTAGTGTCTGGAAGTGGACATTTGGAGCGCTTTGATGCCTTTGGTGAAAAAGGGAATGTCTTCCCATAAAAACTAGACAGAAGCATTCTCAGAAACTTGTTTGTGATGTGTGTACCCAGCTAAAGGAGTTGAACATTTCTATTGATAGAGCAGTTTTGAAACACTCTTTTTGTGGAAAATGCAAGTGGATATTTGGATAGCTTGGAGGATATCGTTGGAAGCGGGAATTCAATAAAAGGTAGACAGCAGCATTCTCAGAAATTTCTTTCTGATGTCTGCATTCAACTCATAGAGTTGAACATTCCCTTTCATAGAGCAGGTTTGAAACACTGTTTCTGGAGTATCTGGATGTGGACATTTGGAGCGCTTTGATGCCTACGGTGAAAAAGTAAATATCTTCCCATAAAAACGAGACAGAAGGATTCTGAGAGACAAGTTTGTGATGTGTGTACTCAGCTAACAGAGTGGAACCTTTCTTTTTACAGAGCAGCTTTGAAACTCTATTTTTGTGGATTCTGCAAATGCATATTTAGATTGCTTTAATGATATCGCTGGAAAAGGGAATATGGTCATACAAAATCTAGACAGAAGCTTTCTCACAAACTTCTTTGTGATGTGTGTCCTCAACTAACAGAGTTGAACCTTTCTTTTGATGCAGCAGTTTGGAAACACTCTTTTTGTAGAAACTGTAAGTGGATATTTGGATAGCTATAACGATTTCGTTGGAAACGGGAATATCATCATCTAAAATCTAGACAGAAGCACTATTAGAAACTACCTGGTGATATCTGCATTCAAGTCACAGAGTAGAACATTCCCTTACTTCGAGCACGTTTGAAACACTCTTTTGGAAGAATCTGGAAGTGGACATTTGGAGCGCTTTGATGCCTTTGGTGAAAAGGAAACGTCTTCCAATAAAAGCCAGACAGAAGCATTCTCAGAAACTTGTTGGTGATGTGTGTACTCAACTAAAAGAGTTGAACCTTTCTATTGATAGAGCAGTTTTGAAACACTCTTTTTGTGGATTCTGCAAGTGGATATTTGGATTGCTTTGAGGATTTCGTTGGAAGCGGGAATTCGTATAAACACTAGACAGCAGCATTCCCAGAAATTTCTTTCGGATATTTCCATTCAACTCATAGAGATGAACATGGCCTTTCATAGAGCAGGTTTGAAACACTCTTTTTGTAGTTTGTGGAAGTGGACATTTCGATCGCCTTGACGCCTACGGTGAAAAAGGAAATATCTTCCCATAAAAAATAGACAGAAGCATTCTCAGAAACTTGTTGGTGATATGTGTCCTCAACTAACAGACTTGAACTTTGCCATTGATAGAGAGCAGTTTTGAAACACTCTTTTTGTGGAATCTGCAAGTGGATATTTGGATAGCTTGGAGGATTTCGTTGGAAGCGGGAATTCAAATAAAAGGTAGACAGCAGCATTCTCAGAAATTTCCTTCTGATGTTTGCATTCAACTCATAGAGTTGAACATTCCCTTTCATAGAGCAGGTTTGAGACACTCTTTCTGTATTATCTGGAAGTGGACATTTGGAAAGCTTTGATGCCTACGGTGAAAAAGTAAATATCTTCCCATAAAAGCTAGACAGAAGGATTCTGAGAAACAAGTTTGTGATGTGTGTACTCAGCTAACAGAGTGGAACCTCTGTTTTGATGCAGCAGTTTGGAAACACTCTTTTTGTAGAAACTGTAAGTGGATATTTGGATAGCTGCTAATGATTTCGTTGGAAACGGGAATATCATCATCTAAAATCTAGACAGAAGCCCTCTCAGAAACTACTTTGTGATATCTGCATTCAAGTCACAGAGTTGAACATTCGCTTTCTTAGAGCACGTTGGAAACACTCTTTTTGTAGTGTCTGGAAGTGGACATTTGGAGCGCTTTGATGCCTTTGGTGAAAAAGGGAATGTCTACCCATAAAAACTAGACAGAAGCATTCTCAGAAACTTGTTTGTGATGTGTCTACCCAGCTAAAGGAGTTGAACATTTCTATTGATAGAGCAGTTTTGAAACACTCTTTTTGTGGAAAATGCAAGTGGATATTTGGATAGCTTGGAGGATTTCGTTGGAAGAGGGAATTCAAATAAAAGGTAGACAGCAGCATTCTCAGAAATTTCTTTCTGATGTCTGCATTCAACTCATAGAGTTGAAGATTCCCTTTCATAGAGCAGGTTTGAAACACTCTTTCTGGAGTATCTGGATGTGGACATTTGGAGCGCTTTGATGCCTACGGTGAAAAAGTAAATATCTTCCCATAAAAACGAGACAGAAGGATTCTCAGAAACAAGTTTGTGATGTGTGTACTCAGCTAACAGAGTGGAACCTTTATTTTTACAGAGCAGCTTTGAAACTCTATTTTTGTGGATTCTGCAAATTGATATTTAGATTGCTTTAACGATATCGTTGGAAAAGGGAATATCGTCATACAAAATCTAGACAGAAGCATTCTCACAAACTTCTTTGTGATGTGTGTCCTCAACTAACAGAGTTGAACCTTTCTTTTGATGCAGCAATTTGGAAACACCCTTTTGGTAGAAACTGTAACTGGATATTTGGATAGCTCTAACGATTTCGTTGGAAACGGGAATATCATCATCTAAAATGTAGACAGAAGCACTATTAGAAACTACTTGGTGATATCTGCATTCAAGTCACAGAGTTGAACATTCCCTTACTTTGAGCACGTTTCAAACACTCTTTTGGAAGAATCTGGAAGTGGACATTTGGAGCGCTTTGATGCCTTTGGTGAAAAGGAAACGTCTTCCAATAAAAGCCAGACAGAAGCATTCTCAGAAACTTGTTTGTGATGTGTGTACTCAACTAAAAGAGTTGAACCTTTCTATTGATAGAGCAGTTTTGAAACACTCTTTTTGTGGATTCTGCAAGTGGATATTTGGATTGCTTTGAGGATTTCGTTGGAAGCGGGAATTCGTATAAAAACTAGACAGCAGCATTCCCAGAAATTTCTTTCGGATATTTCCATTCAACTCATAGAGATGAACATGGCCTTTCATAGAGCAGGTTTGAAACACTCTTTTTGTAGTTTGTGGAAGTGGACATTTCGATCGCCTTGACGCCTACGGTGAAAACGGAAATATCTTCCCATAAAAAATAGACAGAAAGCATTCTCAGAAAACTTGTTGGTGATATGTGTCCTCAACTAACAGAGTTGAACTTTGCCATTGATAGAGAGCAGTTTTGAAACACTCTTTTTGTGGAATCTGCAAGTGGATATTTGGATAGCTTGGAGGATTTCGTTGGAAGCGGGAATTCAAATAAAAGGTAGACAGCAGCATTCTCAGAAATTTCTTTCTGATGTCTGAATTTAACTCATAGAGTTGAAGATTCCCTTTCATAGAGCAGGTTTGAAACACTCTTTCTGGAGTATCTGGATGTGGACATTTGGAGCGCTTTGATGCCTACGGTGAAAAAGTAAATATCTTCCCATAAAAAAGAGACAGAAGGATTCTGAGAAACAAGTTTGTGATGTGTGTACTCAGCTAACAGAGTGGAACCTCTCTTTTGATGCAGCAGTTTGGAAACACTCTTTTTGTAGAAACTGTAAGTGGATATTTGGATAGCTCTAATGATTTCGTTGGAAACGGGAATATCATCATCTAAAATCTAGACAGAAGCCCTCTCAGAAACTACTTTGTGATATCTGCATTCAAGTCACAGAGTTGAACATTCGCTTTCTTAGGGCACGTTGGAAACACTCTTTTTGTAGTGTCTGGAAGTGGACATTTGGAGCGCTTTGATGCCTTTGGTGAAAAAGGGAATGTCTTCCCATAAAAACTAGACAGAAGCATTCTCAGAAACTTGTTTGTGATGTGTGTACCCAGCTAAAGGAGTTGAACATTTCCATTGATAGAGCAGTTTTGAAACACTCTTTTTGTGGAAAATGCAAGTGGATATTTGGATAGCTTGGAGGATTTCGTTGGAAGCGGGAATTCAAATAAAAGGTAGACAGCAGCATTCTCAGAAATTTCTTTCTGATGTCTGCATTCAACTCATAGAGTTGAAGATTCCCTTTCATAGAGCAGGTTTGAAACACTCTTTCTGGAGTATCTGGATGTGGACATTTGGAGCGCTTTGATGCCTACGGTGGAAAAAGTAAATATCTTCCCATAAAAACGAGACAGAAGGATTCTGAGAAACAAGTTTGTGATGTGTGTACTCAGCTAACAGAGTGGAACCTCTCTTTTGATGCAGCAGTTTGGAAACACTCTTTTTGTAGAAACTGTAAGTGGATATTTGGATAGCTCTAATGATTTCGTTGGAAACGGGAATATCATCATCTAAAATCTAGACAGAAGCACTCTCAGAAACTACTTTTTGATATCTGCATTCAAGTCACAGAGTTGAACATTCGCTTTCTTAGAGCACTTTTGAAACACTCTTTTTGTAGTATCTGGAAGTGGACATTTGGAGCTCTTTGATGCCTTTGGTGAAAAAGGAAATGTCTTCCCATAAAAACTAGACAGAAGCTTTCTCAGAAACTTGTTTGTGATGTGTGTACCCAGCGAAAGGAGTTGAACATTTCTATTGATAGAGAAGTTTTGAAACACTCTTTTTGTGGAATCTGCAAGTGGATATTTGGATAGCTTGGAGGTTTTCGTTGGAAGCGGGAATTCAAATAAAAGGTAGACAGCAGCATTCTCAGAAATTTCTTTCTGATGTCTGCATTCAACTCATAGAGTTGAAGATTCCCTTTCATAGAGCAGGTTTGAAACACTCGTTCTGGAGTATCTGGATGTGGACATTTGGAGCGCTTTGATGCCTACAGTGGAAAAGTAAATATCTTCCCATAAAAACGAGACAGAAGGATTCTCAGAATCAAGTTTGTGATGTGTGTACTCAGCTAACAGAGTGGAACCTTTCTTTTTACAGAGCAGCTTTGAAACTCTATTTTTGTGGATTCTGCAAATTGATATTTAGATTGCTTTAACGATATCGTTGGAAAAGGGAATATCGTCATACAAAATCTAGACAGAAGCATTCTCACAAACTTCTTTGTGATGTGTGTCCTCAACTAACAGAGTTGAACCTTTCTTTTGATGCAGCAATTTGGAAACACCCTTTTGGTAGAAACTGTAACTGGATATTTGGATAGCTCTAACGATTTCGTTGGAAACGGGAATATCATCATCTAAAATCTAGACAGAAGCACTATTAGAAACTACCTGGTGATATCTGCATTCAAGTCACAGAGTAGAACATTCCCTTACTTCGAGCACGTTTGAAACACTCTTTTGGAAGAATCTGGAAGTGGACATTTGGAGCGCTTTGATGCCTTTGGTGAAAAAGGAAACGTCTTCTAATAAAAACCAGACAGAAGCATTCTCAGAAACTTGTTTGTGATGTGTGTACTCAACTAAAAGAGTTGAACCTTTCTATTGATAGAGCAGTTTTGAAACACTCTTTTTGTGGATTCTGCAAGTGGATATTTGGATTGCTTTGAGGATTTCGTTGGAAGCGGGAATTCGTATAAACACTAGACAGCAGAATTCCCAGAAATTTCTTTCGGATATTTCCATTCAACTCATAGAGATGAACATGGCCTTTCATAGAGCAGGTTTGAAACACTCTTTTTGTAGTTTGTGGAAGTGGACATTTCGATCGCCTTGACACCTACGCTGAAAAAGGAAATATCTTCCCATAAAAAATAGACAGAAGCATTCTCAGAAACTTGTTGGTGATATGTGTCCTCAACTAACAGAGTTGAACTTTGCCATTGATAGAGAGCAGTTTTCAAACACTCTTTTTGTGGAATCTGCAAGTGGATATTTGGATAGCTTGGAGGATTTCGTTGGAAGCGGGAATTCAAATAAAAGGTAGACAGCAGCATTCTCAGAAATTTCTTTCTGATGTCTGCATTCAACTCATAGAGTTGAAGATTCCCTTTCATAGAGCAGGTTTGAAACACTCTTTCTGGAGTATCTGGATGTGGACATTTGGAGCGCTTTGATGCCTACGGTGGAAAAGTAAATATCTTCCCATAAAAACGAGACAGAAGGATTCTGAGAAACAAGTTTGTGATGTGTGTACTCAGCTAACAGAGTGGAACCTCTCTTTTGATGCAGCAGTTTGGAAACATTCTTTTTGTAGAAACTGTAAGTGGATATTTGGATAGCTCTAATGATTTCGTTGGAAACGGGAATATCATCATCTAAAATCTAGACAGAAGCACTCTCAGAAACTACTTTGTGATATCTGCATTCAAGTCACAGAGTTGAACATTCGCTTTCTTAGAGCACGTTGGAAACACTCTTTTTGTAGTGTCTGGAAGTGGACATTTGGAGCGCTTTGATGCCTTTGGTGAAAAAGGGAACGTCTTCCCATAAAAACTAGACAGAAGCATTCTCAGAAACTTGTTTGTGATGTGTGTACCCAGCCAAAGGAGTTGAACATTTCTATTGATAGAGCAGTTTTGAAACACTCTTTTTGTGGAAAATGCAAGTGGATATTTGGATAGCTTGGAGGATTTCGTTGGAAGCGGGAATTCAAATAAAAGGTAGACAGCAGCATTCTCAGAAATTTCTTTCTGATGTCTGCATTCAACTCATAGAGTTGAAGATTCCCTTTCATAGAGCAGGTTTGAAACACTCGTTCTCGAGTATCCGGATGTGGACATTTGGAGCGCTTTGATGCCTACGGTGGAAAAGTAAATATCTTCCCATAAAAACGAGACAGAAGGATTCTCAGAAACAAGTTTGTGATGTGTGTACTCAGCTAACAGAGTGGAACCTTTCTTTTTACAGAGCAGCTTTGAAACTCTATTTTTGTGGATTCTGCAAATTGATATTTAGATTGCTTTAACGATATCGTTGGAAAAGGGAATATTGTCATACAAAATCTGGACAGAAGCATTCTCACAAACTTCTTTGTGATGTGTGTCCTCAACTAACAGAGTTGAACCTTTCTTTTGATGCAGCAATTTGGAAACACCCTTTTGGTAGAAACTGTAACTGGATATTTGGATAGCTCTAACGATTTCGTTGGAAACGGGAATATCATCATCTAAAATGTAGACAGAAGCACTATTAGAAACTACTTGGTGATATCTGCATTCAAGTCACAGAGTTGAACATTCCCTTACTTCGACCACGTTTGAAACACTCTTTTGGAAGAATCTGGAAGTGGACATTTGGAGCGCTTTGATGCCTTTGGTGAAAAGGAAACGTCTTCCAATAAAAGCCAGACAGAAGCATTCTCAGAAACTTGTTCGTGTTGTGTGTACTCAACTAAAAGAGTTGAACCTTTCTATTGATAGAGCAGTTTTGAAACCCTCTTTTTGTGGATTCTGCAAGTGGATATTTGGATTGCTTTGAGGATTTCGTTGGAAGCGGGAATTCGTATAAACACTAGACAGCAGCATTCCCAGAAATTTCTTTCGGATATTTCCATTCAACTCATAGAGATGAACATGGCCTTTCATAGAGCAGGTTTGAAACACTCTTTTTGTAGTTTGTGGAAGTGGACATTTCGATCGCCTTGACGCCTACGGTGAAAAAGGAAATATCTTCCCATAAAAAATAGACAGAAGCATTCTCAGAAACTTGTTGGTGATATGTGTCCTCAACTAACAGAGTTGAACTTTGCCATTGATAGAGAGCAGTTTTGAAACACTCTTTTTGTGGAATCTGCAAGTGGATATTTGGATAGCTTGGAGGAGTTCGTTGGAAGCGGAAATTCAAATAAAAGGTAGACAGCAGGATTCTCAGAAACAAGTTTGTGATGTGTGTACTCAGCTAACAGAGTGGAACCTCTCTTTTGATCCAGCAGTTTGGAAACACTCTTTTTGTAGAAACTGTAAGTGGATATTTGGATAGCTCTAATGATTTCGTTGGAAACGGGAATATCATCATCTAAAATCTAGACAGAAGCCCTCTCAGAAACTACTTTGTGATATCTGCATTCAAGTCACAGAGTTGAACATTCGCTTTCTTAGAGCACGTTTGAAACACTCTTTTTGTAGTGTCTGGAAGTGGACATTTGGAGCGCTTTGATTCCTTTGGTGAAAAAGGGAATGTCTTCCCATAAAAACTAGACAGAAACATTCTCAGAGACTTGTTTGTGATGTGTGTACCCAGCCAAAGGAGTTGAACATTTCTATTGATAGAGCAGTTTTGAAACACTCTTGTTGTGGAAAATGCAGGTGGATATTTGGATAGCTTGGAGGATTTCGTTGGAAGCGGGAATTCAAATAAAAGGTAGACAGCAGCATTCTCAGAAATTTCTTTCTGATGTCTGCATTCAACTCATAGAGTTGAAGATTCCCTTTCATAGAGCAGGTTTGAAACACTCTTTCTGGAGTATCTGGATGTGGACATTTGGAGCGCTTTGATGCCTACGTTGGAAAAGTAAATATCTTCCCATAAAAACGAGACAGAAGGATTCTCAGAAACAAGTTTCTGATGTGTGTACTCAGCTAACAGAGTGGAACCTTTCTTTTTACAGAGCAGCTTTGAAACTCTATTTTTGTGGATTCTGCAAATTGATATTTAGATTGCTTTAACGATATCGTTGGAAAAGGGAATATCGTCATACAAAATCTGGACAGAAGCATTCTCACAAACTTCTTTGTGATGTGTGTCCTCAACTAACAGAGTTGAAACTTTCTTTTGATGCAGCAGTTTGGAAACACTCTTTTTGTAGAAACTGTAAGTGGATATTTGGATAGCTCTAATGATTTCGTTGGAAACGGGAATATCATCATCTAAAATCTAGACAGAAGCACTATTAGAAACTACTTGGTGATATCTGCATTCAAGTCACAGAGTTGAACATTCCCTTACTTTGAGCACGTTTGAAACACTCTTTTGGAAAAATCTGGAAGTGGACATTTGGAGCGCTTTGATGCCTTTGGTGAAAAGGAAACGTCTTCCAATAAAAGCCAGACAAAAGCATTCTCAGAAACTTGTTCGTGATGTGTGTACTCAACTAAAAGAGTTGAACCTTTCTATTGATAGAGCAGTTTTGAAACACTCTTTTTGTGGATTCTGCAAGTGGATATTTGGATTGCTTTGAGGATTTCGTTGGAAGCGGGAATTCGTATAAACACTAGACAGCAGCATTCCCAGAAATTTCTTTCGGATATTTCCATTCAACTCATAGAGATGAACATGGCCTTTCATAGAGCAGGTTTGAAACACTCATTTTGTAGTTTCTGGAAGTGGACATTTCGATCGCCTTGACGCCTACGGTGAAAAAGGAAATATCTTCCCATAAAAAATAGACAGAAGCATTCTCAGAAACTTGTTGGTGATATGTGTCCTCAACTAACAGAGTTGAACTTTGCCATTGATAGAGAGCAGTTTTGAAACACTCTTTTTGTGGAATCTGCAAGTGGATATTTGGATAGCTTGGAGGATTTCGTTGGAAGCGGGAATTCAAATAAAAGGTAGACAGCAGCATTCTCAGAAATTCCTTTCTGATGTTTGCATTCAACTCATAGAGTTGAACATTCCCTTTAATAGAGCAGGTTTGAAACACTCTTTCTGTACTATCTGGATGTGGACATTTGGAGCGCTTTGATGCCTACGGTGAAAAAGGAAATGTCTTCCCATAAAAAATTGAAGAAGGATTCTCAGAAACAAGTTTGTGATGTGCGTACTCAGCTAACAGAGTGGAACCTCTCTTCTGATGCAGCAGTTTGGAAACACTCTTTTTGTAGAAACTGTAAGTGGATATTTGGATAGCTCTAATGATTTCGTTGGAAACGGGAATATCATCATCTAAAATCTAGACAGAAGCCCTCTCAGAAACTACTTTGTGATATCTGCATTCAAGTCACAGGAGTTGAACATTCGCTTTCTTAGAGCACGTTTGAAACACTCTTTTTGTAGTGTCTGGAAGTGGACATTTGGAGCGCTTTGATGCCTTTGGTGAAAAAGGGAACGTCTTCCCATAAAAACTAGACAGAAGCATTCTCAGAAACTTGTTTGTGATGTGTGCACCCAGCTAAAGGAGTTGAACATTTATTGATAGAGCAGTTTTGAAGCACTCTTTTTGTGGAAAATGCAAGTGGATATTTGGATAGCTTGGAGGATTTCGTTGGAAGTGGGAGTTCAAATAAAAGGTAGACAGCAGCATTCTCAGAAATTTCTTTCTGATGTCTGCATTCAACTCATAGAGTTGAAGATTCCCTTTCATAGAGCAGGTTTGAAACACTCTTTCTGCAGTATCTGGATGTGGACATTTGGAGCGCTTTGATGCCTACGGTGAAAAAGTAAATATCTTCCCATAAAAACGAGACAGAAGGATTCTCAGAAACAAGTTTGTGATGTGTGTACTCAGCTAACAGAGTGGAACCTTTCTTTTTACAGAGCAGCTTTGAAACTCTATTTTTGTGGATTCTGCAAATGGATATTTAGATTGCTTTAATGATATCGCTGGAAAAGGGAATATGGTCATACAAAATATAGACAGATAAGCATTCTCACAAACTTCTTTGTGATGTGTGTCCTCAACTAACAGAGTTGAACCTTTCTTTTGATGCAGCAATTTGGAAACACCCTTTTGGTAGAAACTGTAACTGGATATTTGGATAGCTCTAACGATTTCGTTGGAAACGGGAATATCATCATCTAAAATGTAGACAGAAGCACTATTAGAAACTACTTGGTGATATCTGCATTCAAGTCACAGAGTAGAACATTCCCTTACTTCGAGCACTTTTGAAACACTCTTTTGGAAGAATCTGGAAGTGGACATTTGGAGCGCTTTGATGCCTTTGGTGAAAAGGAAACGTCTTCCAATAAAAGCCAGACAGAAGCATTCTCAGAAACTTGTTTGTGATGTGTGTACTCAACTAAAAGAGTTGAACCTTTCTATTGATAGAGCAGTTTTGAAACACTCTTTTTGTGGATTCTGCAAGTGGATATTTGGATTGCTTTGAGGATTTCGTTGGAAGCGGGAATTCGTATAAACACTAGACAGCAGCATTCCCAGAAATTTCTTTCGGATATATCCATTCAACTCATAGAGATGAACATGGCCTTTCATAGAGCAGGTTTGCAACACTCTTTTTGTAGTTTGTGGAAGTGGACATTTCGATCGCCTTGACGCCTACGGTGAAAAAGGAAATATCTTCCCATAAAAAATAGACAGAAGCATTCTCAAAAACTTGTTGGTGATATGTGTCCTCAACTAACAGAGTTGAACTTTGCCATTGATAGAGAGCAGTTTTGAAACACTCTTTTTGTGGAATCTGCAAGTGGATATTTGGATAGCTTGAAGGATTTCGTTGGAAGCGGGAATTCAAATAAAAGGTAGACAGCAGCATTCTCAGTAAATTTCTTTCTGATGTCTGCATTCAACTCATAGAGTTGAAGATTCCCTTTCATAGAGCAGGTTTGAAACACTCTTTCTGGAGTATCTGGATGTGGACATTTGGAGCGCTTTGATGCCTACGGTGAAAAAGTAAATATCTTCCCAGAAAAACGAGACAGAAGGATTCTGAGAAACAAGTTTGTGATGTGTGTACTCAGCTAACAGAGTGGAACCTCTCTTTTGATGCAGCAGTTTGGAAACACTCTTTTTGTAGAAACTGTAAGTGGATATTTGGATAGCTCTAATGATTTCGTTGGAAACGGGAATATCATCATCTAAAATCTAGACAGAAGCCCTCTCAGAAACTACTTTGTGATATCTGAATTCAAGTCACAGAGTTGAACATTCGCTTTCTTAGAGCACGTTGGAAACACTCTTTTTGTAGTGTCTGGAAGTGGACATTTGGAGCGCTTTGATGCCTTTGGTGAAAAAGGGAATGTCTTCCCATAAAAACTAGACAGAAGCATTCTCAGAAACTTGTTTGTGATGTGTGTACCCAGCCAAAGGAGATGAACATTTCTATTGATAGAGCAGTTTTGAAACTCTCTTTTTGTGGAAAATGCAGGTGGATATTTGGATAGCTTGGAGGATTTCGTTGGAAGCGGGAATTCAAATAAAAGGTAGACAGCAGCATTCTCAGAAATTTCTTTCTGATTCTGCATTCAACTCATAGAGTTGAAGATTCCCTTTCATAGAGCAGGTTTGAAACACTCGTTCTGGAGTATCTGGATGTGGACATTTGGAGCGCTTTGATGCCTACAGTGGAAAAGTAAATATCTTCCCATAAAAACGAGACAGAAGGATTCTCAGAAACAAGTTTGTGATGTGTGTACTCAGCTAACAGAGTGGAACCTTTCTTTTTACAGAGCAGCTTTGAAACTCTAGTTTTGTGGATTCTGCAAATTGATATTTAGATTGCTTTAACGATATCGTTGGAAAAGGGAATATCCTCATACAAAATCTAGACAGAAGCATTCTCACAAACTTCTTTGTGATGTGTGTCCTCAACTAACAGAGTTGAACCTTTCTTTTGATGCAGCAATTTGGAAACACCCTTTTGGTAGAAACTGTAACTGGATATTTGGATAGCTCTAACGATTTCGTTGGAAACGGGAATATCATCATCTAAAATCTAGACAGAAGCACTATTAGAAACTACTTGGTGATATCTGCATTCAAATCACAGAGTAGAACATTCCCTTACTTCGAGCACGTTTGAAACACTCTTTTGGAAGAATCTGAAAGTGGACATTTGGAGCGCTTTGATGCCTTTGGTGAAAAGGAAACGTCTTCCAATAAAAGCCAGACAGAAGCATTCTCAGAAACTTGTTTGTGATGTGTGTACTCAACTAAAAGAGTTGAACCTTTCTATTGATAGAGCAGTTTTGAAACACTCTTTTTGTGGATTCTGCAAGTGGATATTTGGATTGCTTTGAGGATTTCGTTGGAAGCGGGAATTCGTATAAAAACTAGACAGCAGCATTCCCAGAAATTTCTTTCGGATATTTCCATTCGACTCATAGAGATGAACATGGCCTTTCATAGAGCAGGTTTGAAACACTCTTTTTGTAGTTTGTGGAAGTGGACATTTCGATCGCCTTGACGCCTACGGTGAAAAAGGAAATATCTTCCCATAAAAAATAGACAGAAGCATTCTCAGAAACTTGTTGGTGATAGGTGTCCTCAACTAACAGAGTTGAACTTTGCCATTGATAGAGAGCAGTTTTGAAACACTCTTTTTGTGGAATCTGCAAGTGGATATTTGGATAGCTTGGAGGATTTCGTTGGAAGCGGGAATTCAAATAAAAGGTAGACAGCAGCATTCTCAGAAATTTCTTTCTGATGTCTGCATTCAACTCATAGAGTTGAACATTCCCTTTCATAGAGCAGGTTTGAAACACTCTTTCTGGAGTATCTGGATGTGGACATTTGGAGCGCTTTGATGCCTACGGTGAAAAAGTATAATCTTCCCATAAAAACGAGACAGAAGGATTCTGAGAAACAAGTTTGTGATGTGTGTACTCAGCTAACAGAGTGGAACCTCTCTTTTGATGCAGCAGTTTGGAAACACTCTTTTTGTAGAAACTGTAAGTGGATATTTGGATAGCTCTAATGATTTCGTTGGAAACGGGAATATCATCATCTAAAATCTAGACAGAAGCCCTCTCAGAAACTACTTTGTGATATCTGCATTCAACTCACAGAGTTGAACATTCGGTTTCTTAGAGCACGTTTGAAACACTCTTTTTGTAGTGTCTGGAAGTGGACATTTGGAGCGCTTTGATGCCTTTGGTGAAAAAGGGAATGTCTTCCCATAAAAACTAGACAGAAGCATTCTCAGAAACTTGTTTGTGATGTGTGTACCCAGCCAAAGGAGTTGAACATTTCTATTGATAGAGCAGTTTTGAAACACTCTTGTTGTGGAAAATGCAGGTGGATATTTGGATAGCTTGGAGGATTTCGTTGGAAGCGGGAATTCAAATTAAAGGTAGACAGCAGCATTCTCAGAAATTTCTTTCTGATGTCTGCATTCAACTCATAGAGTTGAAGATTCCCTTTCATAGAGCAGGTTTGAAACACACTTTCTGGAGTATCTGGATGTGGACATTTGGAGCGCTTTGATGCCTACGGTGAAAAAGTAAATATCTTCCCATAAAAACGAGACAGAAGGATTCTGAGAAACAAGTTTGTGATGTGTGTACTCAGCTAACAGAGTGGAACCTCTGTTTTGATGCAGCAGTTTGGAAACACTCTTTTTGTAGAAACTGTAAGTGGATATTTGGATAGCTCTAATGATTTCGTTGGAAACGGGAATATCATCATCTAAAATCTAGACAGAAGCACTCTCAGAAACTACTTTGTGATATCTGCATTCAAGTCACAGAGTTGAACATTCGCTTTCTTAGAGCACGTTTGAAACACTGTTTTTGTAGTGTCTGGAAGTGGACATTTGGAGCGCTTTGATGCCTTTGGTGAAAAAGGGAACGTCTTCCCATAAAAACTAGACAGAAGCATTCTCAGAAACTTGTTTGTGATGTGTGCACCCAGCTAAAGGAGTTGAACATTTATTGATAGAGCAGTTTTGAAGCACTTTTTTTGTGGAAAATGCAAGTGGATATTTGGATAGCTTGGAGGATTTCGTTGGAAGCGGGAGTTCAAATAAAAGGTAGACAGCAGCATTCTCAGAAATTTCTTTCTGATGTCTGCATTCAACTCATAGAGTTGAAGATTCCCTTTCATAGAGCAGGTTTGAAACACTCTTTCTGGAGTATCTGGATGTGGACATTTGGAGCGCTTTGATGCCTACGGTGAAAAAGTAAATATCTTCCCATAAAAACGAGACAGAAGGATTCTGAGAAACAAGTTTGTGATGTGTGTACTCAGCTAACAGAGTGGAACCTTTCTTTTTACAGAGCAGCTTTGAAACTCTATTTTTGTGGATTCTGCAAATGGATATTTAGATTGCTTTAATGATATCGTTGGAAAAGGGAATATCGTCATACAAAATCTAGACAGAAGCATTCTCACAAACTTCTTTGTGATGTGTGTCCTCAACTAACAGAGTTGAACCTTTCTTTTGATGCAGCAGTTTGGAAACACTCTTTTTGTAGCAACTGTAAGTGGATATTTGGATAGCTCTAACGATTTCGTTGGAAACGGGAATATCATCATCTAAAATCTAGACAGAAGCACTATTAGAAACTACTTGGTGATATCTGCATTCAAGTCACAGAGTTGAACATTCCCTTACTTTGAGCACGTTTGAAACACTCTTTTGGAAGAATCTGGAAGTGGACATTTGGAGCGCTTTGATGCCTTTGGTGAAAAGGAAACGTCTCCCAACAAAAGCCAGACAGAAGCATTCTCAGAAACTTGTTTGTGATGTGTGTACTCAACTAAAAGAGTTGAACCTTTCTATTGATAGAGCAGTTTTGAAACACTCTTTTTGTGGATTCTGCAAGTGGATATTTGGATTGCTTTGAGGATTTCGTTGGAAGCGGGAATTCATATAACAACTAGACAGCAGCATTCCCAGAAATTTCTTTCGGATATTTCCATTCAACTCATAGAGATGAACATGGCCTTTCATAGAGCAGGTTTGAAACACTCTTTTTGTAGTTTGTGGAAGTGGACATTTCGATCGCCTTGACGCCTACGGTGAAAAAGGAAGTATCTTCCCATAAAAAATAGACAGAAGAATTCTCAGAAACTTGTTTGTGATGTGTATCCTCAACTGACAGAGTTGAACCTTGCCATTGATAGATCAGTTTTGAAACACTCTTTTTGTGGAATCTGCAAGTGGATATTTGGATAGCCTGGAGGATTTCGTTGGAAGCGGGAATTCAAATAAAAGGTAGACAGCAGCATTCTCAGAAATTTCTTTGTGATGTTTGCATTCAACTCATAGAGTTGAACATTCCCTTTCATATAGCAGGTTTGAAACACTCTTTCTGTACTATCTGGATGTGGACATTTGGAAAGCTTTGATGCCTACGGTGAAAAAGTAAATATCTTCCCATAAAAGCTAGACAGAAGGATTCTCGGAAACAAGTTTGTGATGTGTGTACTCAGCTAACAGAGTGGAACCTCTCTTCTGATGCAGCAGTTTGGAAACACTCTTTTTGTAGAAACTGTAAGTGGATATTTGGATAGCTCTAATGATTTCGTTGGAAACGGGAATATCATCATCTAAAATCTAGACAGAAGCCCTCTCAGAAACTACTTTGTGATATCTGCATTCAAGTCACAGAGTTGAACATTCGCTTTCTTAGAGCACGTTTGAAACACTCTTTTTGTAGTGTCTGGAAGTGGACATTTGGAGCGCTTTGATGCCTTTGGTGAAAAAGGCAATGTCTTCCCATAAAAACTAGACAGAAGCATTCTCAGAAACTTGTTTGTGATGTGTGTACCCAGCCAAAGGAGTTGAACATTTCTATTGATAGAGCAGTTTTGAAACACTCTTGTTGTGGAAAATGCAGGTGGATATTTGGATAGCTTGGAGGATTTCGTTGGAAGTGGGAATTCAAATAAAAGGTAGACAGCAGGATTCTGAGAGACAAGTTTGTGATGTGTGTACTCAGCTAACAGAGTGGAACCTTTCTTTTTACAGAGCAGCTTTGAAACTCTATTTTTGTGGATTCTGCAAATGGATATTTAGATTGCTTTAATGATATCGCTGGAAAAGGGAATATGGTCATACAAAATCTAGACAGAAGCATTCTCACAAACTTCTTTGTGATGTGTGTCCTCAACTAACAGAGTTGAACCTTTCTTTTGATGCAGCAATTTGGAAACACCCTTTTGGTAGAAACTGTAACTGGATATTTGGATAGCTCTAGCGATTTCGTTGGAAACGGGAATATCATCATCTAAAATCTAGACATAAGCACTATTAGAAACTACTTGGTGATATCTGCATTCAAGTCACAGAGTTGAACATTCCCTTACTTTGAGCACGTTTCAAACACTCTTTTGGAAGAATCTGGAAGTGGACATTTGGAGCGCTTTGATGCCTTTGGTGAAAAGGAAACATCTTCCAATAAAAGCCAGACAGAAGCATTCTCAGAAACTTGTTTGTGATGTGTGTACTCAACTAAAAGAGTTGAACCTTTCTATTGATAGAGCAGTTTTGAAACACTCTTTTTGTGGATTCTGCAAGTGGATATTTGGATTGCTTTGAGGATTTCGTTGGAAGCGGGAATTCGTATAAAAACTAGACAGCAGCATTCCCAGAAATTTCTTTCGGATATTTCCATTCAACTCATAGAGATGAACATGGCCTTTCATAGAGCAGGTTTGAAACACTCTTTTTGTAGTTTGTGGAAGTGGACATTTCGATCGCCTTGATGCCTACAGTGAAAAAGGAAATATCTTCCCATAAAAAATAGACAGAAGCATTCTCAGAAACTTGTTGGTGATATGTGTCCTCAACTAACAGAGTTGAACTTTGCCATTGATAGAGAGCAGTTTTGAAACACTCTTTTTGTGGAATCTGCAAGTGGATATTTGGATAGCTTGGAGGATTTCGTTGGAAGCGGGAATTCAAATAAAAGGTAGACAGCAGCATTCTCAGAAATTTCTTTCTGATGTCTGCATTCAACTCATAGAGTTGAAGATTCCCTTTCATAGAGCAGGTTTGAAACACTCTTTCTGGAGTATCTGGATGTGGACATTTGGAGCGCTTTGATGCCTACGGTGCAAAAGTAAATATCTTCCCATAAAAACGAGACAGAAGGATTCTGAGAAACAAGTTTGTGATGTGTGTACTCAGCTAACAGATTGGAACCTCTCCTTTGATGCAGCAGTTTGGAAACACTCTTTTTGTAGAAACTGTAAGTGGATATTTGGATAGCTCTAATGATTTCGTTGGAAACGAGAATATCATCATCTAAAATCTAGACAGAAGCCCTCTCAGAAACTACTTTGTGATATCTGCATTCAAGTCACAGAGTTGAACATTCGCTTTCTTAGAGCACGTTTGAAACACTCTTTTTGTAGTGTCTGGAAGTGGACATTTGGAGCGCTTTGATGCCTTTGGTGAAAAAGGGAATGTCTTCCCATAAAAACTAGACAGAAGCATTCTCAGAAACTTGTTTGTGATGTGTGCACCCAGCTAAAGGAGTTGAACATTTATTGATAGAGCAGTTTTGAAGCACTCTTTTTGTGGAAAATGCAAGTGGATATTTGGATAGCTTGGAGGATTTCGTTGGAAGCGGGAGTTCAAATAAAAGGTAGACAGCAAGCATTCTCAGAAATTTCTTTCTGATGTCTGCATTCAACTCATAGAGTTGAAGATTCCCTTTCATAGAGCAGGTTTGAAACACTCTTTCTGGAGTATCTGGATGTGGACATTTGGAGCGCTTTGATTCCTACGGTGAAAAAGTAAAATATCTTCCCATAAAAACGAGACAGAAGGATTCTGAGAGACAAGTTTGTGATGTGTGTACTCAGCTAACAGAGTGGAACCTTTCTTTTTACAGAGCAGCTTTGAAACTCTATTTTTGTGGATTCTGCAAATGGATATTTAGATTGCTTTAATGATATCGTTGGAAAAGGGAATATCGTCATACAAAATCTGGACAGAAGCTTTCTCAGAAACTTCTTTGTGATGTGTGTCCTCAACTAACAGAGTTGAACCTTTCTTTTGATGCAGCAGTTTGGAAACACTCTTTTTGTAGAAACTGTAAGTGGATATTTGGATAGGTCTAACGATATCGTTGGAAACGGGAATATCTTCATCTAAAGTATACACAGAAGCACTATTAGAAACTACTTGGTGATATCTGCATTCAAGTCACAGAGTTGAACATTCCCTTACTTTGAGCACGTTTGAAACACTCTTTTGGAAGAATCTGGAAGTGGACATTTGGAGCGCTTTGATGCCTTTGGTGAAAAGGAAACGTCTTCCAATAAAAGCCAGACAGAAGCATTCTCAGAAACTTGTTCGTGATGTGTGTACTCAACTAAAAGAGTTGAACCTTTCTATTGATAGAGCAGTTTTGAAACACTCTTTTTGTGGATTCTGCAAGTGGATTTTTGGATTGCTTTGAGGATTTCATTGGAAGCGGGAATTCGTATAAACACTAGACAGCAGCATTCCCAGAAATTTCTTTCGGATATTTCCATTCAACTCATAGAGATGAACATGGCCTTTCATAGAGCAGGTTTGAAAAACTCTTTTTGTAGTTTGTGGAAGTGGACATTTCGATCGCCTTGACGCCTACGGTGAAAAAGGAAATATCTTCCCATAAAAAATAGACAGAAGCATTCTCAGAAACTTGTTGGTGATATGTGTCCTCAACTAACAGAGTTGAACTTTGACATTGATAGAGAGCCGTTTTGAAACACTCTTTTTGTGGAAAATGCAAGTGGATATTTGGATAGCTTGGAGGATTTCGTTGGAAGCGGGAATTCAAATAAAAGGTAGACAGCAGGATTCTCAGAAACAAGTTTGTGATGTGTGTACTCAGCTAACAGAGTGGAACCTCTCTTTTGATGCAGCAGTTTGGAAACACTCTTTTTGTAGAAACTGTAAGTGGATATTTGGATAGCTCTAATGATTTCGTTGGAAACGGGAATATCATCATCTAAAATCTAGACAGAAGCCCTCTCAGAAACTACTTTGTGATATCTGCATTCAAGTCACAGAGTTGAACATTCGGTTTCTTAGAGCACGTTTGAAACACTCTTTTTGTAGTGTCTGGAAGTGGACACTTGGAGCGCTTTGATGCCTTTGGTGAAAAAGGGAACGTCTTCCCATAAAAACTAGACAGAAGCATTCTCAGAAACTTGTTTGTGATGTGTGTACCCCGCTAAAGGAGTGAACATTTCTATTGATAGAGCAGTTTTGAAACACTCTTTTTGTGGACAATGCAGGTGGATATTTGGATAGCTTGGAGGATTTCGTTGGAAGCGGGAATTCAAATAAAAGGTAGACAGCAGCATTCTCAGTAAATTTCTTTCTGATGTCTGCATTCAACTCATAGAGTTGAAGATTCCCTTTCATAGAGCAGGTTTGAAACACTCGTTCTGGAGTATCTGGATGTGGACATTTGGAGCGCTTTGATGCCTACGGTGGAAAAGTAAATATCTTCCCATAAAAACGAGACAGAAGGATTCTCAGAAACAAGTTTGTGATGTGTGTACTCAGCTAACAGAGTGGAACCTTTCTTTTTACAGAGCAGCTTTGAAACTCTATTTTTGTGGATTTTGCAAATTGATATTTAGATTGCTTTAGCGATATCGTTGGAAAAGGGAATATCGTCATACAAAATCTAGACAGAAGCATTCTCACAAACTTCTTTGTGATGTGTGTCCTCAACTAACAGAGTTGAACCTTTCTTTTGATGCAGCAGTTTGGAAACACTCTTTTTGTAGCAACTGTAAGTGGATATTTGGATAGCTCTAACGATTTCGTTGGAAACGGGAATATCATCATCTAAAATCTAGACAGAAGCACTATTAGAAACTACTTGGTGATATCTGCATTCAAGTCACAGAGTTGAACATTCCCTTACTTTGAGCACGTTTGAAACACTCTTTTGGAAGAATCTGGAAGTGGACATTTGGAGCGCTTTGATGCCTTTCGTGAAAAGGAAACGTCTTCCAATAAAAGCCAGACAGAAGCATTCTCAGAAACTTGTTTGTGATGTGTGTACTCAACTAAAAGAGTTGAACCTTTCTATTGATAGAGCAGTTTTGAAACACTCTTTTTGTGGATTCTGCAAGTGGATATTTGGATTGCTTTGAGGATTTCGTTGGAAGCGGGAATTCGTATAAAAACTAGACAGCCAGCATTCCCAGCAAATTTCTTTCGGATATTTCCATTCGACTCATAGAGATGAACATGGCCTTTCATAGAGCAGGTTTGAAACACTCTTTTTGTAGTTTGTGGAAGTGGACATTTCGATCGCCTTGACGCCTACGGTGAAAAAGGAAATATCTTCCCATAAAAAATAGACAGAAGCATTCTCAGAAACTTGTTGGTGATATGTGTCCTCAACTAACAGAGTTGAACTTTGCCATTGATAGAGAGCAGTTTTGAAACACTCTTTTTGTGGAATCTGCAAGTGGATATTTGGATAGCTTGGAGGATTTCGTTGGAAGCGGGAATTCAAATAAAAGGTAGACAGCAGCATTCCCAGAAATTTCTTTCTGATGTCTGCATTCAACTCATAGAGTTGAAGATTCCCTTTCATAGAGCAGGTTTGAAACACTCTTTCTGAAGTATCTGGATGTGGACATTTGGAGCGCTTTGATGCCTACGGTGAGAAAGTAAATATCTTCCCATAAAAACGAGACAGAAGGATTCTGAGAAACAAGTTTGTGATGTGTGTACTCAGCTAACAGAGTGGAACCTCTCTTTTGATGCAGCAGTTTGGAAACACTCTTTTTCTAGAAACTGTAAGTGGATATTTGGATAGCTCTAATGATTTCGTTGGAAACGGGAATATCATCATCTAAAATCTAGACAGAAGCCCTCTCAGAAACTACTTTGTGATATCTGCATTCAAGTCACAGATTTGAACATTCGTTTTCTTAGAGCACGTTTGAAACACACTTTTTGTAGTGTCTGGAAGTGGACATTTGTAGCGCTTTGATGCCTTTGGTGAAAAAGGGAATGTCTTCCCATAAAAACTAGACAGAAAGCATTCTCAGCAAACTTGTTTGTGATGTGTGTACCCAGCCAAAGGAGTTGAACATTTCTATTGATAGAGCAGTTTTGAAACACTCTTTTTGTGGAAAATGCAGGTGGATATTTGGATAGCTTGGAGGATTTCGTTGGAAGCGGGAATTCAAATAAAAGGTAGACAGCAGCATTCTCAGAAATTTCTTTCTGATGTCTGCATTCAACTCATAGAGTTGAAGATTCCCTTTCATAGAGCAGGTTTGAAACAGTCTTTCTGGAGTATCTGCATGTGGACATTTGGAGCGCTTTGATGCCTACGGTGAAAAAGTAAATATCTTCCCATAAAAACGAGACAGAAGGATTCTCAGAAACAAGTTTGTGATGTGTATACTCAGCTAACAGAGTGGAACCTTTCTTTTTACAGAGCAGCTTTGAAACTCTATTTTTGTGGATTCTACAAATTGATATTTAGATTGCTTTAACGATATCGTTGGAAAAGGGAATATCGTCATACAAAATCTAGACAGAAGCATTCTCACAAACTTCTTTGTGATGTGTGTCCTCAACTAACAGAGTTGAACCTTTCTTTTGATGCAGCAATTTGGAGGCACCCTTTTGGTAGAAACTGTAACTGGATATTTGGATAGCTCTAACGATTTCGTTGGAAACGGGAATATCATCATCTAAAATGTAGACAGAAGCACTATTAGAAACTACTTGGTGATATCTGCATTCAAGTCACAGAGTTGAACATTCCCTTACTTCGAGCACGTTTGAAACACTCTTTTGGAAGAATCTGGAAGTGGACATTTGGAGCGCTTTGATGCCTTTGGTGAAAAGGAAACGTCTTCCAATAAAAGCCAGACAGAAGCATTCTCAGAAACTTGTTCGTGATGTGTGCACTCAACTAAAAGAGTTGAACCTTTCTATTGATAGAGCAGTTTTGAAACACTCTTTTTGTGGATTCTGCAAGTGGATATTTGGATTGCTTTGAGGATTTCGTTGGAAGCGGGAATTCGTATAAACACTAGACAGCAGCATTCCCAGAAATTTCTTTCGGATATTTCCATTCAACTCATAGAGATGAACATGGCCTTTCATAGAGCAGGTTTGAAACACTCTTTTTGTAGTTTGTGGAAGTGGACATTTCGATCGCCTTGACGCCTACGGTGAAAAAGGAAATATCTTCCCATAAAAAATAGACAGAAGCATTCTCAGAAACTTGTTGGTGATATGTGTCCTCAACTAACAGAGTTGAACTTTGCCATTGATAGAGAGCAGTTTTGAAACACTCTTTTTGTGGAATCTGCAAGTGGATATTTGGATAGCTTGGAGGATTTCGTTGGAAGCGGGAATTCAAATAAAAGGTAGACAGCAGCATTCTCAGAAATTTCTTTCTGATGTCTGCATTCAACTCATAGAGTTGAAGATTCCCTTTCATAGAGCAGGTTTGAAACACTCTTTCTGGAGTATCTGGATGTGGACATTTGGAGCGCTTTGATGCCTACGGTGAAAAAGTAAATATCTTCCCGTAAAAACGAGACAGACGGATTCTGAGAAACAAGTTTGTGATGTGTGTACTCAGCTAACAGAGTGGAACCTCTCTTTTCATGCAGCAGTTTGGAAACACTCTTTTTGTAGAAACTGTAAGTGGATATTTGGATAGCTCTAATGATTTCGTTGGAAACGGGAATATCATCATCTAAAGTCTAGACAGAAGCACTCTCAGAAACTACTTTGTGATATCTGCATTCAAGTCACAGAGTTGAACATTCGCTTTCTTAGAGCACGTTTGAAACACTCTTTTTGTAGTGTCTGGAAGTGGACATTTGGAGCGCTTTGATGCCTTTGGTGAAAAAGGGAATGTCTTCCCATAAAAACTAGACAGAAGCATGCTCAGAAACTTGTTTGTGATGTGTGTACCCAGCCAAAGGAGTTGAACATTTCTATTGATAGAGCAGTTTTGAAACACTCTTGTTGTGGAAAATGCAGGTGGATATTTGGATAGCTTGGAGGATTTCGTTGGAAGCGGGAATTCAAATAAAAGGTAGACAGCAGCATTCTCAGAAATTTCTTTCTGATGTCTGCATTCAACTCATAGAGTTGAAGATTCCCTTTCATAGAGCAGGTTTGAAACACTCGTTCTGGAGTATCTGGATGTGGACATTTGGAGCGCTTTGATGCCTACGGTGGAAAAGTAAATATCTTCCCATAAAAACGAGACAGAAGGATTCTCAGAAACAAGTTTGTGATGTGTGTACTCAGCTAACAGAGTGGAACATTTCTTTTTACAGAGCAGCTTTGAAACTCTATTTTTGTGGATTCTGCAAATTGATATTTAGATTGCTTTAACGATATCGTTGGAAAAGGGAATATCGTCATACAAAATCTAGACAGAAGCATTCTCACAAACTTCTTTGTGATGTGTGTCCTCAACTAACAGAGTTGAACTTTTCTTTTGATGCAGCAGTTTGGAAACACTGTTTTTGTAGAAACTGTAAGTGGATATTTTGATAGCTCTAACGATTTCGTTGGAAACGGGAATATCATCATCTAAAATCTAGACAGAAGCACTATTAGAAACTACTTGGTGATATCTGCATTCAAGTCACAGAGTTGAACATTCCCTTACTTTGAGCACGTTTGAAACACTCTTTTGGAAGAATCTGGAAGTGGACATTTGGAGCGCTTTGATGCCTTTGGTGAAAAGGAAACGTCTTCCAATAAAAGCCAGACAGAAGCATTCTCAGAAACTTGTTTGTGATGTGTGTACTCAACTAAAAGAGTTGAACCTTTCTATTGATAGAGCAGTTTTGAAACACTCTTTTTGTGGATTCTGCAAGAGGATATTTGGATTGCTTTGAGGATTTCGTTGGAAGCGGGAATTCGTATAAAAACTAGACAGCAGCATTCCCAGAAATTTCTTTCGGATATTTCCATTCGACTCATAGAGATGAACATGGCCTTTCATAGAGCAGGTTTGAAACACTCTTTTTGTAGTTTGTGGAAGTGGACATTTCGATCGCCTTGACGCCTACGGTGAAAAAGGAAATATCTTCCCATAAAAAATAGACAGAAGCATTCTCAGAAACTTGTTGGCGATACGTGTCCTCAACTAACAGAGTTGAACTTTGCCATTGATAGAGAGCAGTTTTGAAACACTCTTTTTGTGGAATCTGCAAGTGGATATTTGGATAGCTTGGAGGATTTCGTTGGAAGCGGGAATTCAAATAAAAGGTAGACAGCAGCATTCTCAGAAATTTCTTTCTGATCTCTGCATTCAACTCATAGAGTTGAAGATTCCCTTTCATAGGGCAGGTTTGAAATACTCTTTCTGTAGTATCTGGATGTGGACATTTGGAGCGCTTTGATGCCTACGGTGAAAAAGTAAATATCTTCCCATAAAAACGAGACAGAAGGATTCTGAGAAACAAGTTTGTGATGTGTGTACTCAGCTAACAGAGTGGAACCTCTCTTTTGATGCAGCAGTTTGGAAACACTCTTTTTGTAGAAACTGTAAGTGGATATTTGGATAGCTCTAATGATTTCTTTGGAAACGGGAATATCATCATCTAAAATCTAGACAGAAGCTCACTCAGAAACTACTTTGTGATATCTGCATTCAAGTCACAGAGTTGAACATTCGCTTTCTTAGAGCACGTTTGAAACACTCTTTTTGTAGTGTCTGGAAGTGGACATTTGGAGCGCTTTGATGCCTTTGGTGAAAAAGGGAACGTCTTCCCATAAAAACTAGACAGAAGCATTCTCAGAAACTTGTTTGTGATGTGTGTACCCAGCTAAAGGAGTTGAACATTTCTATTGATAGAGCAGTTTTGAAACACTCTTTTTGTGGAAAATGCAAGTGGATATTTGGATAGCTTGGAGGATTTCGTTGGAAGCGGGAATTCAAATAAAGGTAGACAGCAGCATTCTGAGAAATTAGTTTCTGATGTCTGCATTCAACTCATAGAGTTGAAGATTCCCTTTCATAGAGCAGGTTTGAAACACTGTTTCTGGAGTATCTGGATGTGGACATTTGGAGCGCTTTGATGCCTACGGTGAAAAAGTAAATATCTTCCCATAAGAACGAGACAGAAGGATTCTGAGAAACAAGTTTGTGATGTGTGTACTCAGCTAACAGAGTGGAACCTTTCTTTTTACAGAGCAGCTTTGAAACTCTATTTTTGTGGATTCTGCAAATGGATATTTAGATTGCTTTAATGATACCGCTGGAAAAGGGAATATGGTCATACAAAATCTAGACAGAAGCATTCTCACAAACTTCTTTGTGATGTGTGTCCTCAACTAACAGAGTTGAACCTTTCTTTTGATGCAGCAGTTTGGAAACACTGTTTTTGTAGCAACTGTAATGGATATTTGGATAGCTCTAACGATTTCGTTGGAAACGGGAATATCATCATCTAAAATCTAGACAGAAGCACTATTAGAAACTACTTGGTGATATCTGCATTCAAGTCACAGAGTTGAACATTCCCTTACTTTGAGCACGTTTCAAACACTCTTTTGGAAGAATCTGGAAGTGGACATTTGGAGCGCTTTGATGCCTTTGGTGAAAAGGAAACGTCTTCCAATAAAAGCCAGACAGAAGCATTCTCAGAAACTTGTTTGTGATGTGTGTACTCAACTACAAGAGTTGAACCTTTCTATTGATAGAGCAGTTTTGAAACACTCTTTTGTGGATTCTGCAAGTGGATATTTGGATTGCTTTGAGGATTTCGTTGGAAGCGGGAATTCGTATAAAACTAGACAGCCAGCATTCCCAGAAATTTCTTTCGGATATTTCCATTCAACTCATTGAGATGAACATCGCCTTTCATAGAGCAGGTTTGAAACACTCTTTTTGTAGTTTGTGGAAGTGGACATTTCGATCGCCTTGACGCCTACGGTGAAAAAGGAAATATCTTCCCATAAAAAATAGACAGAGCATTCTCAGAAACTTGTTGGTGATATGTGTCCTCAACTAACAGAGTTGAACTTTGCCATTGATAGAGAGCAGTTTTGAAACACTCTTTTTGTGGAATCTGCAAGTGGATATTTGGATAGCTTGGAGGATTTCGTTGGAAGCGGGAATTCAAATAAAAGGTAGACAGCAGCATTCTCAGAAATTTCTTTCTGATGTCTGCATTCAACTCATAGAGTTGAGCATTCCCTTTCATAGGGCAGGTTTGAAATACTCTTTCTGTAGTATCTGGATGTGGACATTTGGAGCGATTTGAGGCCTACGATGAAAAAGTAAATATCTTCCCATAAAAACGAGACAGAAGGATTCTGAGAAACAAGTTTGTGATGTGTGTACTCAGCTAACAGAGTGGAACCTCTCTTCTGATGCAGCAGTTTGGAAACACTCTTTTTGTAGAAACTGTAAGTGAATATTTGGATAGCTCTAATGATTTCGTTGGAAATGGGAATATCATCAACTAAAATCTAGACAGAAGCCCTCTCAGAAACTACTTTGTGATATCTGTATTCAAGTCACAGAGTTGAACATTCGCTTTCTTAGAGCACGTTGGAAACACTCTTTTTGTAGTGTCTGGAAGTGGACATTTGGAGCGCTTTGATGCCTTTGGTGAAAAAGGGAATGTCTTCCCATAAAAACTAGACAGAAGCATTCTCAGAAACTTGTTTGTGATGTGTGCACCCAGCTAAAGGAGTTGAACATTTATTGATAGAGCAGTTTTGAAGCACTCTTTTTGTGGAAAATGCAAGTGGATATTTGGATAGCTTGGAGGATTTCGTTGGAAGCGGGAGTTCAAATAAAAGGTAGACAGCAGCATTCTCAGAAATTTCTTTCTGATGTCTGCATTCAACTCATAGAGTTGAAGCATTCCCTTTCATAGGAGCAGGTTTGAAACACTCTTTCTGGAGTATCTGGATGTGGACATTTGGAGCGCTTTGATGCCTACGGTGAAAAAGTAAATATCTTCCCATAAAAACGAGACAGAAGGATTCTGAGAAACAAGTTTGTGATGTGTGTACTCAGCTAACAGAGTGGAACCTTTCTTTTTACAGAGCAGCTTTGAAACTCTATTTTTGTGGATTCTGCAAATGGATATTTAGATTGCTTTAACGATATCGTTGGAAAAGGGAATATCGTCATACAAAATCTAGACAGAAGCATTCTCACAAACTTCTTTGTGATGTGTGTCCTCAACTAACAGAGTTGAACCTTTCTTTTGATGCAGCAATTTGGAAACACCCTTTTGGTAGAAACTGTAATTGGATATTTGGATAGCTCTAACGATTTCGTTGGAAACGGGAATATCATCATCTAAAATCTAGACAGAAGCACTATTAGAAACTACTTGGTGATATCTGCATTCAAGACACAGAGTAGAACATTCCCTTACTTTGAGCACGTTTGAAACACTCTTTTGGAAGAATCTGGAAGTGGACATTTGGAGCGCTTTGATGCCTTTGGTGAAAAGGAAACGTCTTCCAATAAAAGCCAGACAGAAGCATTCTCAGAAACTTGTTTGTGATGTGTGTACTCAACTAAAAGAGTTGAACCTTTCTATTGATAGAGCAGTTTTGAAACACTCTTTTTGTGGATTCTGCAAGTGGATATTTGGATTGCTTTGAGGATTTCGTTGGAAGCGGGAATTCGTATAAACACTAGACAGCAGCATTCCCAGAAATTTCTTTCGGATATTTCCATTCAACTCATAGAGATGAACATGGCCTTTCATATTGAAACACACTTTTTGTAGTTTGTGGAAGTGGACATTTCGATCGCCTTGACGCCTACGGTGAAAAAGGAAATATCTTCCCATAAAAAATAGACAGAAGAATTCTCAGAAACTTGTTTGTGATGTGTATCCTCAACTGACAGAGTTGAACCTTGCCATTGATAGAGCAGTTTAGAAACACTCTTTTTGTGGAATCTGCAAGTGGATATTTGGATAGCTTGGAGGATTTCGTTGGAAGCGGGAATTCAAATGAAAGGTAGACAGCAGCATTCTCAGAAATTTCTTTCTGATGTCTGCATTCAACTCATAGCAGTTGAAGATTCCCTTTCATAGAGCAGGTTTGAAACACTCTTTCTGGAGTATCTGGATGTGGACATTTGGAGCGCTTTGATGCCTACGGTGAAAAAGTAAATATCTTCCCATAAAAACGAGACAGAAGGATTCTCAGAAACAAGTTTGTGTTGTGTGTACTCAGCTAACAGAGTGGAACCTTTCTTTTTACAGAGCAGCTTTGAAACTCTATTTTTGTGGATTCTGGAAATTGATATTTAGATTGCTTTAACGATATCGTTGGAAAAGGGAATATCGTCATACAAAATCTGGACAGAAGCCCTCTCAGAAACTACTTTGTGATATCTGCATTCAAGTCACAGAGTTGAACATTCGCTTTCTTAGAGCACGTTGGAAACACTCTTTTTGTAGTGTCTGGAAGTGGACATTTGGAGTGCTTTGATGCCTTTGGTGAAAAAGGGAACGTCTTCCCATAAAAACTAGACAGAAGCATTCTCAGAAACTTGTTTGTGATGTGTGCACCCAGCTAAAGGAGTTGAACATTTATTGATAGAGCAGTTTTGAAGCACTCTTTTTGTGGAAAATGCAAGTGGATATTTGGATAGCTTGGAGGATTTCGTTGGAAGCGGGAATTCAAATAAAAGGTAGACAGCAGGATTCTCAGAAACAAGTTTGTGATGTGTGTACTCAGCTAACAGAGTGGAACCTTTCTTTTTACAGAGCAGCTTTGAAACTCTATTTTTGTGGATTCTGCAAATTGATATTTAGATTGCTTTAACGATATCATTGGAAAAGGGAATATCGTCATACAAAATCTAGACAGAAGCCCTCTCACAAACTACTTTGTGATATCTGCATTCAAGTCACAGAGTTGAACATTCGCTTTCTTAGAGCACGTTGGAAACACTCTTTTTGTAGTGTCTGGAAGTGGACATTTGGAGCGCTTTGATGCCTTTGGTGAAAAAGGGAACGTCTTCCCATAAAAACTAGACAGAAGCATTCTCAGAAACTTGTTTGTGATGTGTGTACCTAGCTAAAGGAGTTGAACATTTCTATTGATAGAGCAGTTTTGAAACACTCTTTTTGTGGAAAATGCAGGTGGATATTTGGATAGGTTGGAAGATTTCGTTGGAAGCGGGAATTCAAATAAATGGTAGACAGCAGGATTCTGAGAAACAAGTTTGTGATATGTGTACTCAGCTAACAGAGTGGAACCTTTCTTTTTACAGAGCAGCTTTGAAACTCTATTTTTGTGGATTCTGCAAATTGATATTTAGATTGCTTTAACGATATCGTTGGAAAAGGGAATATCGTCATACAAAATCTAGACAGAAGCATTCTCACAAACTTCTTTGTGACGTGTGTCCTCATCTAACAGAGTTGAACCTTTCTTTTGATGCAGCAGTTTGGAAACACTGTTTTTGTAGCAACTGTAAGTGGATATTTGGATAGCTCTAACGATTTCGTTGGAAACGGGAATATCATCATCTAAAATCTAGACAGAAGCACTATTAGAAACTACTTGGTGATATCTGCATTCAAGTCACAGAGTTGAACATTCCCTTACTTTGAGCACGTTTCAAACACTCTTTTGGAAGAATCTGGAAGTGGACATTTGGAGCGCTTTGATGCCTTTGGTGAAAAGGAAACGTCTTCCAATAAAAGCCAGACAGAAGCATTCTCAGAAACTTGTTTGTGATGTGTGTACTCAACTAAAAGAGTTGAACCTTTCTATTGATAGAGCAGTTTTGAAACACTCTTTTTGTCGATTCTGCAAGTGGATATTTGGATTGCTTTGAGGATTTCGTTGGAAGCGGCAATTCGTATAAAAACTAGACAGCAGCATTCCCAGAAATTTCTTTCGGATATTTCCATTCAACTCATAGAGATGAACATCGCCTTTCATAGAGCAGGTTTGAAACACTCTTTTTGTAGTTTGTGGAAGTGGACATTTCGATCGCCTTGACGCCTACGGTGAAAAAGGAAATATCTTCCCATAAAAAATAGACAGAAGCATTCTCAGAAACTTGTTGGTGATATGTGTCCTCAACTAACAGAGTTGAACTTTGCCATTGATAGAGAGCAGTTTTGAAACACTCTTTTTGTGGAATCTGCAAGTGGATATTTGGATAGCTTGGAGGATTTCGTTGGAAGCGGGAATTCAAATAAAAGGTAGACAGCAAGCATTCTCAGAAATTTCTTCCTGATGTCTGCATTCAACTCATAGAGTTGAACATTCCCTTTCATAGAGCAGGTTTGAAACACTCTTTCTGGAGTATCTGGATGTGGACATTTGGAGCGCTTTGATGCCTACGGTGAAAAAGTAAATATCTTCCCATAAAAACGAGACAGAAGGATTCTGAGAAACAAGTTTGTGATGTGTGTACTCAGCTAACAGAGTGGAACCTCTCTCTTGATGCAGCAGTTTGGAAACACTCTTTTTGTAGAAACTGTAAGTGGATATTTGGATAGCTCTAATGATTTCGTTGGAAACGGGAATATCATCATCTAAAATCTAGACAGAAGCCCTCTCAGCAAACTACTTTGTGATATCTGCATTCAAGTCAGAGAGTTGAACATTCGCTTTCTTAGAGCACGTTTGAAACACTCTTTTTGTAGTGTCAGGAAGTGGACATTTGGAGCGCTTTGATGCCTTTGGTGAAACAGGGAATGTCTTCCCATAAAAACTAGACAGAAGCATTCTCAGAAACTTGTTTGTGATGTGTGTACCCAGCTAAAGGAGTTGAACGTTTCTATTGATAGAGCAGTTTTGAAACACTCTTTTTGTGGAAAATGCAAGTGGATATTTGGATAGCTTGGAGGATTTCGTTGGAAGCGGGAATTCAAATAAAAGGTAGACAGCAGGATTCTGAGAAACAAGTTTGTGATGTGTGTACTCAGCTAACAGAGTGGAACCTCTCTTTTTACAGAGCAGCTTTGAAACTCTATTTTTGTGGATTCTGCAAATGGATATTTAGATTGCTTTAATGATATCGCTGGAAAAGGGAATATGGTCATACAAAATCTAGACAGAAGCATTCTCACAAACTTCTTTGTGATGTGTGTCCTCAACTAACAGAGTTGAACCTTTCTTTTGATGCAGCAGTTTGGAAACACTCTTTTTGTAGAAACTGTAAGTGGATATTTGGATAGCTCTAACGATTTCGCTGGAAACGGGAATATCGTCATCTAAAATCTAGACAGAAGCACTATTAGAAACTACTTGGTGATATCTGCATTCAAGTCACAGAGTAGAACATTCCCTTACTTTGAGCACGTTTGAAACACTCTTTTGGAAGAATCTGGAAGTGGACATTTGGAGCGCTTTGATGCCTTTGGTGAAAAGGAAACGTCTTCCAATAAAAGCCAGACAGAAGCATTCTCAGAAACTTGTTTGTGATGTGTGTACCCAGCGAAAGGAGTTGAACATTTCTATTGATAGAGCAGTTTTGAAACACTCTTTTTGTGGAATCTGCAAGTGGATATTTGGATAGCTTGGAGGTTTTCGTTGGAAGCGGGAATTCAAATAAAAGGTAGACAGCATTCTCAGAAACTTGTTTGTGATGTGTGTCCTCAACTGACAGAGTTGTACCTTTCTATTGATAGAGTAGTTTTGAAACACTCTTTTTGTGGAATCTGCAAGTGAATATTTGGATAGCTTGGAGGATTTCGTTGGAAGCGGGAATTCAAATGAAAGGTAGACAGCAGCATTCTCAGAAATTTCTTTCTGATGTCTGCATTCAACTCATAGGAGTTGAAGATTCCCTTTCATAGAGCAGGTTTGAAACACTCTTTCTGGAGTATCTGGATGTGGACATTTGGAGCGCTTTGATGCCTACGGTGAAAAAGTAAATATCTTCCCAGAAAAACGAGACAGAAGGATTCTGAGAAACAAGTTTGTGATGTGTGTACTCACCTAACAGAGTGGAACCTCTCTTTTGATGCAGTAGTTTGGAAACACTCTTTTTGTAGAAACTGTAAGTGGATATTTGGATAGCTCTAATGATTTCGTTGGAAACGGGAATATCATCATCTAAAATCTAGACAGAAGCACTCTCAGAAACTACTTTTTGATATCTGCATTCAAGTCATAGTGTTGAACATTCGCTTTCTTAGAGCACTTTTGAAACACTCTTTTTGTAGTATCTGGAAGTGGACATTTGGAGCTCTTTGATGCCTTTGGTGAAAAAGGAAATGTCTTCCCATAAAATCTAGAAAGAAGCATTCTCAGAAACTTGTTTGTGATGTGTGTACCCAGCCAAAGGAGTTGAACATTTCTATTGATAGAGCAGTTTTGAAACACTCTTGTTGTGGAAAATGCAGGTGGATATTTGGATAGCTTGGAGGATTTCGTTGGAAGCGGGAATTCAAATAAAAAGGTAGACAGCAGCATTCTCAGAAATTTCTTTCTGATGTCTGCATTCAACTCATAGAGTTGAAGATTCCCTTTCATAGGGCAGGTTTGAAACAGTCTTTCTGGAGTATCTGGATGTGGACATTTGGAGCGCTTTGATGCCTACGGTGAAAAAGTAAATATCTTCCCATAAAAACGAGACAGAAGGATTCTCAGAAACAAGTTTGTGATGTGTGTACTCAGCTAACAGAGTGGAACCTTTCTTTTTACAGAGCAGCTTTGAAACTCTATTTCTGTGGATTCTGCAAATTGATATTTAGATTGCTTTAATGATATCGTTGGAAAAGGGAATATCGTCATACAAAATCTAGACAGAAGCATTCTCACAAACTTCTTTGTGATGTGTGTCCTCAACTAACAGAGTTGAACTTTTCTTTTGATGCAGCAGTTTGGAAACACTCTTTTTGTAGAAAGTGTAAGTGGATATTTGGATAGCTCTAACGATTTCGTTGGAAACGGGAATATCATCATCTAAAATCTAGACAGAAGCACTATTAGAAACTACTTGGTGATATCTGCATTCAAGTCACAGAGTTGAACATTCCCTTACTTTGAGCACGTTTGAAACACTCTTTTGGAAGAATCTGGAAGTGGACATTTGGAGCGCTTTGATGCCTTTGGTGAAAAGGAAACGTCTTCCAATAAAAGCCAGACAGAAGCATTCTCAGAAACTTGTTTGTGATGTGTGTACTCAACTAAAAGAGTTGAACCTTTCTATTGATAGAGCAGTTTTGAAACACTCTTTTTGTGGATTCTGCAAGTGGATATTTGGATTGCTTTGAGGATTTCGTTGGAAGCGGGAATTCATATAAAAACTAGACAGCAGCATTCCCAGAAATTTCTTTCGGATATTTCCATTCAACTCATAGAGATGAACATCGCCTTTCATAGAGCAGGTTTGAAACACTCTTTTTGTAGTTTGTGGAAGTGGACATTTCGATCGCCTTGACGCCTACAGTGAAAAAGGAAATATCTTCCCATAAAAAATAGACAGAAGCATTCTCAGAAACTTGTTGGTGATATGTGTCCTCAACTAACAGAGTTGAACTTTGCCATTGATAGAGAGCAGTTTTGAAACACTCTTTTTGTGGAATCTGCAAGTGGATATTTGGATAGCTTGGAGGATTTCGTTGGAAGCGGGAATTCAAATAAAAGGTAGACAGCAGCATTCTCAGAAATTTCTTTCTGATGTCTGCATTCAACTCATAGAGTTGAAGATTCCCTTTCATAGAGCAGGTTTGAAACACTCTTTCTGGAGTATCTAGATGTGGACATTTGGAGCGCTTTGATGCCTACGGTGAAAAAGTAAATATCTTCCCATAAAAACGAGACAGAAGGATTCTGAGAAACAAGTTTGTGATGTGTGTACTCAGCTAACAGAGTGGAACCTCTCTTTGGATGCAGCAGTTTGGAAACACTCTTTTTGTAGAAACTGTAAGTGGATATTTGGATAGCTCTAATGATTTCGTTGGAAACGGGAATATCATCATCTAAAATCTAGACAGAAGCCGTCTCAGAAAGTACTTTGTGATATCTGCATTCAAGTCACAGAGTTGAACATTCGGTTTCTTAGAGCACGTTTGAAACACTCTTTTTGTAGTGTCTGGAAGTGGACATTTGGAGCGCTTTGATGCCTTTGGTGAAAAAGGGAATGTCTTCCCATAAAAACTAGACAGAAGCATTCTCAGAAACTTGTTTGTGATGTGTGTACCCAGCTAAAGGAGTTGAACATTTCTATTGATAGAGCAGTTTTGAAACACTCTTTTTGTGGAAAATGCAAGTGGATATTTGGATAGCTTGGAGGCTTTCGTTGGAAGCGGGATTTCAAATAAAAGGTAGACAACAGCATTTCTCAGAAATTTCTTTCTGATGTCTGCATTCAACTCATAGAGTTGAAGATTCCCTTTCATAGAGCAGGTTTGAAACACTCTTTCTGGAGTATCTGGATGTGGACATTTGGAGCGCTTTGATGCCTACGGTGGAAAAGTAAATATCTTCCCATAAAAACGAGACAGAAGGATTCTGAGAAACAAGTTTGTGATGTGTGTACTCAGCTAACAGAGTGGAACCTTTCTTTTTACAGAGCAGCTTTGAAACTCTATTTTTGTGGATTCTGCAAATGGATATTTAGATTGCTTTAATGATATCGTTGGAAAAGGGAATATCGTCATACAAAATCTAGACAGAAGCATTCTCACAAACTTCTTTGTGATGTGTGTCCTCAACTAACAGAGTTGAACCTTTCTTTTGATGCAGCAGTTTGGAAACACTCTTTTTGTAGAAACTGTAAGTGGATATTTGGATAGCTCTAACGATTTCGTTGGAAACGGGAATATCATCATCTAAAATCTAGATAGAAGCACTATTAGAAACTACTTGGTGATATCTGTATTCAAGTCACAGAGTTGAACATTCCCTTACTTTGAGCACGTTTGAAACACTCTTTTGGAAGAATCTGGAAGTGGACATTTGGAGCGCTTTGATGCCTTTGGTGAAAAGGAAACGTCTTCCAATAAAAGCCAGAGAGAAGCATTCTCAGAAACTTGTTCGTGATGTGTGTACTCAACTAAAAGAGTTGAACCTTTCTATTGATAGAGCAGTTTTGAAACACTCTTTTTGTGGATTCTGCAAGTGGATATTTGGATTGCTTTGAGGATTTCGTTGGAAGCGGGAATTCATATAAAAACTAGACAGCAGCATTCCCAGAAATTTTTTTCGGATATTTCCATTCAACTCATAGAGATGAACATGGCCTTTCATAGAGCAGGTTTGAAACACTCTTTTTGTAGTTTGTGGAAGTGGACATTTCGATCGCCTTGACGCCTACGGTGAAAAAGGAAATATCTTCCCATAAAAAATAGACAGAAGCATTCTCAGAAACTTGTTGGTGATATGTGTCCTCAACTAACAGAGTTGAACTTTGCCATTGATAGAGAGCAGTTTTGAAACACTCTTTCTGTGGAATCTGCAAGTGGATATTTGGATAGCTTGGAGGATTTCGTTGGAAGCGGGAATTCAAATAAAAGGTAGACAGCAGCATTCTCAGAAATTTCTTTCTGATGTCTGCATTCAACTCATAGAGTTGAAGATTCCCTTTCATAGAGCAGGTTTGAAAAACTCTTTCTGTACTATCTGGATGTGGACATTTGGAGCGCTTTGATGCCTACGGTGAAAAAGTAAATATCTTCCCATAAAAACGAGACAGAAGGATTCTGAGAAACAAGTTTGTGATGTGTGTACTCAGCTAACAGAGTGGAACCTCTCTTTTGATGCAGCAGTTTGGAAACACTCTTTTTGTAGAAACTGTAAGTGGATATTTGGATAGCTCTAATGATTTCGTTGGAAACGGGAATATCATCGTCTAAAATCTAGACAGAAGCCCTCTCAGAAACTACTTTGTGATATCTGCATTCAAGTCACAGAGTTGAACATTCGGTTTCTTAGAGCACGTTTGAAACACTCTTTTTGTAGTGTCTGGAAGTGGACATTTGGAGCGCTTTGATGCCTTTGGTGAAAAAGGGAACGTCTTCCCATAAAAACTAGACAGAAGCATTCTCAGAAACTTGTTTGTGATGTGTGTACCCAGCTAAAGGAGTTGAATATTTCTATTGACAGAGCAGTTATGAAACACTTTTTTTGTGGAAAATGCAAGTGGATATTTGGATAGCTTGGAGGATTTCGTTGGAAGCGGGAATTCAAATAAAAGGTAGACAGCAGCATTCTCAGAAATTTCTTTCTGATGTCTGCATTCAACTCATAGAGTTGAAGATTCCCTTTCATAGAGCAGGTTTGAAACACTCGTTCTGGAGTATCTGGATGTGGACCTTTGGAGCGCTTTGATGCCTACGGTGGAAAAGTAAATATCTTCCCATAAAAACGAGACAGAAGGGATTCTCAGAAACAAGTTTGTGATGTGTGTACTCAGCTAACAGAGTGGAACCTTTCTTTTTACAGAGCAGCTTTGAAACTCTATTTTTGTGGATTCTGCAAATTGATATTTAGATTGCTTTAACGATATCGTTGGAAAAGGGAATATCGTCATACAAAATCTAGACAGAAGCATTCTCACAAACTTCTTTGTGATGTGTGTCCTCAACTAACAGAGTTGAACCTTTCTTTTGATGCAGCAATTTGGAAACACCCTTTTGGTAGAAACTGTAACTGGATATTTGGATAGCTCTAACGATTTCCTTGGAAACGGGAATATCATCATCTAAAATCTAGACAGAAGCACTATTAGAAACTACTTGGTGATATCTGCATTCAAGTCACAGAGTTGAACATTCCCTTACTTTGAGCACGTTTCAAACACTCTTTTGGAAGAATCTGGAAGTGGACATTTGGAGCGCTTTGATGCCTTTGGTGAAAAGGAAACGTCTTCCAATAAAAGCCAGACAGAAGCATTCTCAGAAACTTGTTTGTGATGTGTGTACTCAACTAAAAGAGTTGAACCTTTCTATTGATAGAGCAGTTTTGAAACACTCTTTTTGTGGATTCTGCAAGTGGATATTTGGATTGCTTTGAGGATTTCGTTGGAAGCGGGAATTCGTATAAAACTAGACAGCAGCATTCCCAGAAAATTTCTTTCGGATATTTCCATTCGACTCATAGAGATGAACATGGCCTTTCATAGAGCAGGTTTGAAACACTCTTTTTGTAGTTTGTGGAAGTGGACATTTCGATCGCCTTGACGCCTACGGTGAAGAAGGAAATATCTTCCCATAAAAAATAGACAGAAGCATTCTCAGAAACTTGTTTGTGATGTGTGTACCCAGCCAAAGGAGTTGAACATTTCTATTGATAGAGCAGTTTTGAAACACTCTTGTTGTGGAAAACGCAGGTGGATATTTGGATAGCTTGGAGGATTTCGTTGGAAGCGGGAATTCAAATAAAAGGTAGACAGCAGCATTCTCAGAAATTTCTTTGTGATGTTTGCCTTCAACTCATAGAGTTGAACATTCCCTTTCATAGAGCAGGTTTGAAACACTCTTTCTGTACTATCTGGATGTGGACATTGGGATCGCTTTGATGCCTATGGTGAAAAAGGAAATATCTTCCCATAAAAGCTAGACAGAAGGATTCTGAGAAACAAGTTTGTGATGTGTGTACTCAGCTAACAGAGTGGAACCTCTCTTTTGATGCAGCAGTTTGGAAACACTCTTTTTGTAGAAACTGTAAGTGGATATTTGGAAGCTCTAATGATTTTGTTGGAAACGGGAATATCATCATCTAAAATCTAGACAGAAGCCCTCTCAGAAACTACTTTGTGATATCTGCATTCAAGTCACAGAGTTGAACATTCGGTTTCTTAGAGCACGTTTGAAACACTCTTTTTGTAGTGTCTGGAAGTGGACATTTGGAGCGCTTTGGTGCCTTTGGTGAAAAAGGGAATGTCTTCCCATAAAAACTAGACAGAAGCATTCTCAGAAACTTGTTTGTGATGTGTGTACCCAGCTAAAGGAGTTGAACGTTTCTATTGATAGAGCAGTTTTGAAACACTCTTTTTGTGGAAAATGCAAGTGGATGTTTGGATAGCTAGGAGGATTTCGTTGGAAGCGGGAATTCAAATAAAAGGTAGACAGCAGGATGCTGAGAAACAAGTTTGTGATGTGTGTACTCAGCTAACAGAGTGGAACCTTTCTTTTTACAGAGCAGCTTTGAAACTCTATTTTTGTGGATTCTGCAAATGGATATTTAGATTGCTTTAATGATATCGCTGGAAAAGGGAATATGGTCATACAAAATCTAGACAGAAGCATTCTCACAAACTTCTTTGTGATGTGTGTCCTCAACTAACAGAGGTTGAACCTTTCTTTTGATGCAGCAATTTGGAAACACCCTTTTGGTAGAAACTGTAACTGGATATTTGGATAGCTCTAACGATTTCGTTGGAAACGGGAATATCATCATCTAAAATCTAGACAGAAGCACTATTAGAAACTACTTGGTGATATCTGCATTCAAGTCACAGAGTTGAACATTCCCTTACTTTGAGCACGTTTCAAACACTCTTTTGGAAGAATCTGGAAGTGGACATTTGGAGCGCTTTGATGCCTTTGGTGAAAAGGAAACGTCTTCCAATAAAAGCCAGACAGAAAACATTCTCAGAAACTTGTTTGTGATGTGTGTACTCAACTAAAAGAGTTGAACCTTTCTATTGATAGAGCAGTTTTGAAACACTCTTTTTGTGGATTCTGCAAGTGGATATTTGGATTGCTTTGAGGATTTCGTTGGAAGCGGGAATTCATATAAAAACTAGACAGCAGCATTCCCAGAAATTTCTTTCGGATATTTCCATTCAACTCATAGAGATGAACATCGCCTTTCATAGAGCAGGTTTGAAACACTCTTTTTGTAGTTTGTGGAAGTGGACATTTCGATCGCCTTGACGCCTACGGTGAAAAAGGAAATATCTTCCCATAAAAAATAGACAGAAGCATTCTCAGAAACTTGTTGGTGATATGTGTCCTCAACTAACAGAGTTGAACTTTGCCATTGATAGAGAGCAGTTTTGAAACACTCTTTTTGTGGAATCTGCAAGTGGATATTTGGATAGCTTGGAGGATTTCGTTGGAAGCGGGAATTCAAATAAAAGGTAGACAGCAGCATTCTCAGAAATTTCTTTCTGATGTCTGCATTCAACTCATAGAGTTGAACATTCCCTTTCATAGAGCAGGTTTGAAACACTCTTTCTGGAGTATCTGGATGTGGGCATTTGGAGCGCTTTGATGCCTACGGTGAAAAAGTAAATATCTTCCCATAAAAACGAGACAGAAGGATTCTGAGAAACAAGTTTGTGATGTGTGTACTCAGCTAACAGAGTGGAACCTCTCTTTTGATGCAGCAGTTTGGAAACACTCTTTTTGTAGAAACTGTAAGTGGATATTTGGATAGCTCTAATGATTTCGTTGGAAACGGGAATATCATCATCTAAAATCTAGACAGAAGCCCTCTCAGAAACTACTTTGTGATATCTGCATTCAAGTCACAGAGTTGAACATTCGCTTTCTTAGAGCACGTTTGCAACACTCTTTTTGTAGTGTCTGGAAGTGGACATTTGGAGCGCTTTGATGCCTTTGGTGAAAAAGGGAACGTCTTCCCATAAAAACTAGACAGAAGCATTCTCAGAAACTTGTTTGTGATGTGTGTACCCAGCTAAAGGAGTTGAACATTTCTATTGATAGAGCAGTTTTGAAACACTCTTTTTGTGGAAAATGCAGGTGGATATTTGGATAGCTTGGAGGATTTCGTTGGAAGCGGGATTTCAAATAAAAGGTAGACAACAGCATTCTCAGAAATTTCTTTCTGATGTCTGCATTCAACTCATAGAGTTGAAGATTCCCTTTCATAGAGCAGGTTTGAAACACTCTTTCTGGAGTATCTGGATGTGGACATTTGGAGCGCTTTGATGCCTATGGTGAAAAAGTAAATATCTTCCCATAAAAACGAGACAGAAAGGATTCTGAGGAAACAAGTTTGTGATGTGTGTACTCAGCTAACAGAGTGGAACCTTTCTTTTTACAGAGCAGCTTTGAAACTCTATTTTTGTGGATTCTGCAAATTGATATTTAGATTGCTTTAACGATATCGTTGGAAAAGGGAATATCGTCATACAAAATCTAGACAGAAGCATTCTCACAAACTTCTTTGTGATGTGTGTCCTCAACTAACAGAGTTGAACCTTTCTTTTGATGCAGCAATTTGGAAACACCCTTTTGGTAGAAACTGTAACTGGATATTTGGATAGCTCTAACGATTTCGTTGGAAACGGGAATATCATCATCTAAAATGTAGACAGAAGCACTATTAGAAACTACTTGGTGATATCTGCATTCAAGTCAAAGAGTTGAACATTCCCTTACTTTGAGCACGTTTGAAACACTCTTTTGGAAGAATCTGGAAGTGGACATTTGGAGCGCTTTGATGCCTTTGGTGAAAAGGAAACGTCTTCCAATAAAAGCCAGACAGAAGCATTCTGAGAAACTTGTTCGTGATGTGTGTACTCAACTAAAAGAGTTGAACCTTTCTATTGATAGAGCAGTTTTGAAACACTCTTTTTGTGGATTCTGCAAGTGGATATTTGGATTGCTTTGAGGATTTCGTTGGAAGCGGGAATTCGTACAAACACTAGACAACAGCATTCCCAGAAATTTCTTTCGGATATTTCCATTCAACTCATAGAGATGAACATGGCCTTTCATAGAGCAGGTTTGAAACACTCTTTTTGTAGTTTGTGGAAGTGGACATTTCGATCGCCTTGACGCCTACGGTGAAAAAGGAAATATCTTCCCATAAAAAATAGACAGAAGCATTCTCAGAAACTTGTTGGTGATATGTGTCCTCAACTAACAGAGTTGAACTTTGCCATTGATAGAGAGCAGTTTTGAAACACTCTTTTTCCTGAATCTGCAAGTGGATATTTGGATAGTTTGGAGGATTTCGTTGGAAGCGGGAATTCAAATAAAAGGTAGACAGCAGCATTCTCAGAAATTTCTTTCTGATGTCTGCATTCAACTCATAGAGTTGAAGATTCCCTTTCATAGAGCAGGTTTGAAACACTCTTTCTGGAGTATCTGGATGTGGACATTTGGAGCGCTTTGATGCCTACGGTGGAAAAGTAAATATCTTCCCATAAAAACGAGACAGAAGGATTCTGAGAAACAAGTTTGTGATGTGTGTACTCAGCTAACAGAGTGGAACCTCTCTTTTGATGCAGCAGTTTGGAAACACTCTTTTTGTAGAAACTGTAAGTGGATATTTGGATAGCTCTAATGATTTCGTTGGAAACGGGAATATCATCATCTAAAATCTAGCCAGAAGCACTCTCAGAAACTACTTTTTGATATCTGCATTCAAGTCACAGACTTGAACATTCGCTTTCTTAGAGCACTTTTGAAACACTCTTTTTGTAGTATCTGGAAGTGGACATTTGGAGCTCTTTGATGCCTTTGGTGAAAAAGGAAATGTCTTCCCATAAAAACTAGACAGAAGCTTTCTCAGAAACTTGTTTGTGATGTGTGTACCCAGCGAAAGGAGTTGAACATTTCTATTGATAGAGCAGTTTTGAAACACTCTTTTTGTGGAATCTGCAAGTGGATATTTGGATAGCTTGTAGGTTTTCGTTGGAAGCGGGAATTCAAATAAAAGGTAGACAGCAGGATTCTGAGAAATAAGTTTGTGATGTGTGTACTCAGCTAACAGAGTGGAACCTCTCTTTTGATGCAGCAGTTTGGAAACACTCTTTTTGTAGAAACTGTAAGTGGATATTTGGATAGCTCTAATGATTTCGTTGGAAACGGGAATATCATCATCTAAAATCTAGACAGAAGCATTCTCACAAACTTCTTTGTGATGTGTGTCCTCAACTAACAGAGTTGAACCTTTCTTTTGATGCAGCAATTTGGAAACACCCTTTTGGTAGAAACTGTAACTGGATATTTGGATAGCTCTAACGATTTCGTTGGAAAAGGGAATATCATCATCTAAAATGTAGACAGAAGCACTATTAGAAACTACTTGGTGATATCTGCATTCAAGTCACAGAGTTGAACATTCCCTTACTTTGAGCACGTTTCAAACACTCTTTTGGAAGAATCTGGAAGTGGACATTTGGAGCGCTTTGATGCCTTTGGTGAAAAGGAAACGTCTTCCAATAAAAGCCAGACAGAAGCATTCTCAGAAACTTGTTTGTGATGTGTGTACTCAACTAAAAGAGTTGAACCTTTCTATTGACAGAGCAGTTTTGAAACACTCTTTTTGTGGATTCTGCAAGTGGATATTTGGATTGCTTTGAGGATTTCGTTGGAAGCGGGAATTCGTATAAAAACTAGACAGCAGCATTCCCAGAAATTTCTTTCGGATATTTCCATTCACCTCATAGAGATGAACATGGCCTTTCAGAGAGCAGGTTTGAAACACTCTTTTTGTAGTTTGTGGAAGTGGACATTTCGATCGCCTTGACGCCTACGGTGAAAAAGGAAATATCTTCCCATAAAAAATAGACAGAAGCATTCTCAGAAACTTGTTGGTGATATGTGTCCTCAACTAACAGAGTTGAACTTTGCCATTGATAGAGAGCAGTTTTGAAACACTCTTTTTGTGGAATCTGCAAGTGGATATTTGGATAGCTTGGAGGATTTCGTTGGAAGCGGGAATTCAAATAAAAGGTAGACAGCAGCATTCTCAGAAATTTCTTTCTGATGTCTGCATTCAACTCATAGAGTTGAAGATTCCCTTTCATAGAGCAGGTTTGAAACACTCTTTCTGGAGTATCTGGATGTGGACATTTGGAGCGCTTTGATGCCTACGGTGAAAAAGTAAATATCTTCCCATAAGAACGAGACAGAAGGATTCTGAGAAACAAGTTTGTGATGTGTGTACTCAGCTAACAGAGTGGAACCTCTCTTTTGATGCAGCAGTTTGGAAACACTCTTTTTGTAGAAACTGTAAGTGGATATTTGGATAGCTCTAATGATTTCGTTGGAAACGGGAATATCATCATCTAAAATCTAGACAGAAGCACTCTCAGAAACTACTTTTTGATATCTGCATTCAAGTCACAGAGTTGAACATTCGCTTTCTTAGAGCACTTTTGAAACACTCTTTTTGTAGTATCTGGAAGTGGACATTTGGAGCTCCTTGATGCCTTTGGTGAAAAAGGAAATGTCTTCCAATAAAAACTAGACAGAAAGCATTCTCAGAAACTTGTTTGTGATGTGTGTACCCAGCCAAAGGAGTTGAACATTTCTATTGATAGAGCAGTTTTGAAACACTCTTTTTGTGGAAAATGCAGGTGGATATTTGGATAGCTTGGAGGATTTCGTTGGAAGCGGGAATTCAAATAAAAGGTAGACAGCAGGATTCTCAGAAACAAGTTTGTGATGTGTGTACTCAGCTAACAGAGTGGAACCTTTCTTTTTACAGAGCAGCTTTGAAACTCTATTTTTGTGGATTTTGCAAATTGATATTTAGATTGCTTTAACGATATCGTTGGAAAAGGGAATATTGTCATACAAAATCTGGACAGAAGCATTCTCACAAACTTCTTTGTGATGTGTGTCCTCAACTAACAGAGTTGAACCTTTCTTTTGATGCAACAGTTTGGAAACACCCTTTTGGTAGAAACTGTAAGTGGATATTTGGATAGCTCTAACGATTTCGTTGGAAACGGGAATATCATCATCTAAAATCTAGACAGAAGCACTATTAGAAACTACTTGGTGATATCTGCATTCAAGTCACAGATTTGAACATTCCCTTACTTTGAGCACGTTTGAAACACTCTTTTGGAAGAATCTGGAAGTGGACATTTGGAGCGCTTTGATGCCTTTGGTGAAAAGGAAACGTCTTCCAATAAAAGCCAGACAGAAGCATTCTCAGAAACTTGTTCGTGATGTGTGTACTCAACTAAAAGTGTTGAACCTTTCTATTGATAGTGCAGTTTTGAAACACTCTTTTTGTGGATTCTGCAAGTGGATATTTGGATTGCTTTGAGGATTTCGTTGGAAGCGGGAATTCGTATAAAAACTAGACAGCAGCATTCCCAGAAATTTCTTTCGGATATTTCCATTCAACTCATAGAGATGAACATGGCCTTTCATAGAGCAGGTTTGAAACACTCTTTTTGTAGTTTGTGGAAGTGGACATTTCGATCGCCTTGACGCCTACGGTGAAAAAGGAAATATCTTCCCATAAAAAATAGACAGAAGCATTCTCAGAAACTTGTTGGTGATATGTGTCCTCAACTAACAGAGTTGAACTTTGCCATTGATAGAGAGCAGTTTTGAAACACTCTTTTTGTGGAATCTGCAAGTGGATATTTGGATAGCTTGGAGGATTTCGTTGGAAGCGGGAATTCAAATAAAAGGTAGACAGCAGCATTCTCAGAAATTTCTTTCTGATGTCTGCATTCAACTCATAGAGTTGAACATTCCCTTTCATAGGACAGGTTTGAAATACTCTTTCTGTAGTATCTGGATGTGGACATGTGGAGCGCTTTGATGCCTACAGTGAAAAAGTAAATATCTTCCCCCATAAAAACGAGACAGAAGGATTCTGAGAAACAAGTTTGTGATGTGTGTACTCAGCTAACAGAGTGGAACCTCTGTTTTGATGCAGCAGTTTGGAAACACTCTTTTTGTAGAAACTGTAAGTGGATATTTGGATAGCTCTAATGATTTCGTTGGAAACGGGAATATCATCATCTAAAATCTAGACAGAAGCCCTCTCAGAAACTACTTTGTGATATCTGCATTCAAGTCACAGAGTTGAACATTCGCTTTCTTAGAGCACGTTTGAAACACTCTTTTTGTAGTGTCTGGAAGTGGACATTTGGAGCGCTTTGATTCCTTTTGTGAAAAAGGGAATGTCTACCCATAAAAACTAGACAGAAGCATTCTCAGAAACTTGTTTGTGATGTGTGTACCCAGCTAAAGGAGTTGAACATGTCTATTGATAGAGCAGTTTTGAAACACTCTTTTTGTGGAAAATGCAAGTGGATATTTGCATAGCTTGGAGGATTTCGTTGGAAGCGGGAGTTCAAATAAAAGGTAGACAGCAGGATTCTGAGAAACAAGTTTGTGATGTGTGTACTCAGCTAACAGAGTGGAACCTTTCTTTTTACAGAGCAGCTTTGAAACTCTATTTTTGTGGATTCTGCAAATGGATATTTAGATTGCTTTAATGATATCGCTGGAAAAGGGAATAGGTCATACAAAATATAGACAGAAGCATTCTCACAAACTTCTTTGTGATGTGTGTCCTCAACTAACAGAGTTGAACCTTTCTTTTGATGCAGCAGTTTGGAAACACTCTTTTGGTAGAAACTGTAACTGGATATTTGGATAGATCTAACGATTTCGTTGGAAACGGGAATATCATCATCTAAAATCTAGACAGAAGCACTATTAGAAACTACTTGGTGATATCTGCATTCAAGTCACAGAGTTGAACATTCCCTTACTTTGAGCACGTTTGAAACACTCTTTTGGAAGAATCTGGAAGTGGACATTTGGAGCGCTTTGATGCCTTTGGTGAAAAGGAAACGTCTTCCAATAAAAGCCAGACAGAAGCATTCTCAGAAACTTGTTCGTGATGTGTGTACTCAACTAAAAGAGTTGAACCTTTCTATTGATAGAGCAGTTTTGAAACACTCTTTTTGTGGATTCTGCAAGTGGATACTTGGATTGCTTTGAGGATTTCGTTGGAAGCGGGAATTCGTATAAACACTAGACAGCAGCATTCCCAGTAAATTTCTTTCGGATATTTCCATTCAACTCATAGAGATGAACATCGCCTTTCATAGAGCAGGTTTGAAACACTCTTTTTGTAGTTTGTGGAAGTGGACATTTCGATCGCCTTGACGCCTACGGTGAAAAAGGAAATATCTTCCCATAAACAATAGACAGAAGCATTCTCAGAAACTTGTTGGTGATATGTGTCCTCAACTAACAGAGTTGAACCTTGCCATTGATAGAGAGCAGTTTTGAAACACTCTTTTTGTGGAATCTGCAAGTGGATATTTGGATAGCTTGGAGGATTTCGTTGCAAGCGGGAATTCAAATAAAAGGTAGACAGCAGCATTCTCAGAAATTTCTTTCTGATGTCTGCATTCAACTCATAGAGTTGAAGATTCCCTTTCATAGAGCAGGTTTGAAACACTCTTTCTGGAGTATCTGGATGTGGACATTTGGAGCGCTTTGATGCCTACGGTGAAAAAGTAAATATCTTCCCAGAAAAACGAGACAGAAGGATTCTCAGAAACAAGTTTGTGATGTGTGTACTCAGCTAACAGAGTGGAACCTCTCTTTTGATGCAGCAGTTTGGAAACACTCTTTTTGTAGAAACCGTAAGTGGATATTTGGATAGCTCTAATGATTTCGTTGGAAACGGGAATATCATCATCTAAAACCTAGACAGAAAGCCCTCTCAGAAACTACTTTGTGATATCTGCATTCAAGTCACAGAGTTGAACATTCGCTTTCTTAGAGCACGTTGGAAACACTCTTTTTGTAGTGTCTGGAAGTGGACATTTGGAGCGCTTTGATTCCTTTGGTGAAAAAGGGAATGTCTACCCATAAAAACTAGACAGAGCATTCTCAGAAACTTGTTTGTGATGTGTGTACCCAGCCAAAGGAGTTGAACATTTCTATTGATAGAGCAGGTTTGAAACACTCTTTTTGTGGAAAATGCAGGTGGATATTTGGATAGCTTGGAGGATTTCGTTGGAAGCGGGAATTCAAATAAAAGGTAGACAGCAGCATTCTAAGAAATTTCTTTCTGATGTCTGCATTCAACTCATAGAGTTGAAGATTCCCTTTCATAGAGCAGGTTTGAAACACTCTTTCTGGAGTATCTGGATGTGGACATTTGGAGCGCTTTGATGCCTACGGTGAAAAAGTAAATATCTTCCCATAAAAACGAGACAGAAGGATTCTCAGAAAGAAGTTTGTGATGTGTGTACTCAGCTAACAGAGTGGAACCTTTCTTTTTACAGAGCAGCTTTGAAACTCTATTTTTGTGGATTCTGCAAATTGATATTTAGATTGCTTTAACGATATCGTTGGAAAAGGGAATATCGTCATACAAAATCTAGACAGAAGCATTCTCACAAACTTCTTTGTGATGTGTCTCCTCAACTAACAGAGTTGAACCTTTCTTTTGATGCAGCAGTTTGGAAACACTCTTTTTGTAGAAACTGTAAGTGGATATTTGGATAGCTCTAACGATTTCGTTGGAAACGGGAATATCATCATCTAAAATCTAGACAGAAGCACTATTAGAAACTACTTGGTGATATCTGCATTCAAGTCACAGAGTTGAACATTCCCTTACTTTGAGCACGTTTGAAACACTCTTTTGGAAGAATCTGGAAGTGGACATTTGGAGCGCTTTGATGCCTTTGGTGAAAAGGAAACGTCTTCCAATAAAAGACAGACAGAAGCATTCTCAGAAACTTGTTCGTGATGTGTGTACTCAACTAAAAGAGTTGAACCTTTCTATTGATAGAGCAGTTTTGAAACACTCTTTTTGTGGATTCTGCAAGTGGATATTTGGATTGCTTTGAGGATTTCGTTGGAAGCGGGAATTCGTATAAACACTAGACAGCAGCATTCCCAGAAATTTCTTTCGGATATTTCCATTCAACTCATAGAGATGAACATGGCCTTTCATAGAGCAGGTTTGAAACACTCTTTTTGTAGTTTGTAGAAGTGGACATTTCGATCGCCTTGACGCCTACCGTGAAAAAGGAAATATCTTCCCATAAAAAATAGACAGAAGCATTCTCAGAAACTTGTTGGTGATATGTGTCCTCAACTAACAGAGTTGAACTTTGCCATTGATAGAGAGCAGTTTTGAAACACTCTTTTTGTGGAATCTGCAAGTGGATATTTGGATAGCTTGGAGGATTTCGTTGGAAGCGGGAATTCAAATAAAAGGTAGACAGCAGCATTCTCAGAAATTTCTTTCTGATGTCTGCATTCAACTCATAGAGTTGAAGATTCCCTTTCATAGAGCAGGTTTGAAACACTCTTTCTGGAGTATCTGGATGTGGACATTTGAAGCGCTTTGATGCCTACGGTGAAAAAGTAAATATCTTCCCATAAAAACGAGACAGAAGGATTCTGAGAAACAAGTTTGTGATGTGTGTACTCGGGCTAACAGAGTGGAACCTCTCTTTTGATGCAGCAGTTTGGAAACACTCTTTTTGTAGAAACTGTAAGTGGATATTTGGATAGCTCTAATGATTTCGTTGGAAACGGGAATATCATCATCTAAAATCTAGACAGAAGCATTCTCAGAAATTTCTTTCTGATGTTTGCATTCAACTCATAGAGTTGAACATTCCCTTTAATAGAGCAGGTTTGAAACACTCTTTCTGTACTATCCGGATGTGGACATTTGGAGCGCTTTGACGCCTACGGTGAAAAAGGAAATGTCTTCCCATAAAAAATTGAAGAATTCTCAGAAACTTGTTTGTGATGTGTGTCCTCAACTGACAGAGTTGTACCTTTCTATTGATAGAGTAGTTTTGAAACACTCTTTTTGTGGAATCTGCAAGTGAATATTTGGATAGCTTGGAGGATTTCGTCGGAAGCGGGAATTCAAATGAAAGGTAGACAGCAGCATTCTCAGAAATTACTTTCTGTTGTCTGCATTCAACTCATAGAGTTGAAGATTCCCTTTCATAGAGCAGGTTTGAAACACTCTTTCTGTAGTATCTGGATGTGGACATTTGGAGCGCTTTGATACCTACGGTGAAAAAGTAAATATCTTCCCATAAAAACTAGACAGAAGGATTCTCAGAAACAAGTTTGTGATGTGTGTACTCAGCTAACAGAGTGGATCCTTTCTTTTTACAGAGCAGCTTTGAAACTCTATTTCTGTGGATTCTGCAAATTGACATTTGGGTTGATTTAACGACATCGTTGGAAAAGGGAATATCTTCATACAAAATCTAGACAGAAGCTTTCTCAGAAACTTCTTTGTGATGTGTGTCCTCAACTAACAGACTTGAACCTTTCTTTTGATGCAGCAGTTTGGAAACACTCTTTTTGTAGAAACTGTAAGTGGATATTTGGATAGGTCTAACGATATCGTTGGAAACGGGAATATCTTCATCTAAAGTATACACAGAAGCACTATTAGAAACTACTTGGTGATATCTGCATTCAAGTCACAGAGTTGAACATTCCCTTACTTTGAGCACGTTTCAAACACTCTTTTGGAAGAATCTGGAAGTGGACATTTGGAGCGCTTTGATGCCTTTGGTGAAAAGGAAACGTCTTCCAATAAAAGCCAGACAGAAGCATTCTCAGAAACTTGTTCGTGATGTGTGTACTCAACTAAAAGGGTTGAACCTTTCTATTGATAGAGCAGTTTTGAAACACTCTTTTTGTGGATTCTGCAAGTGGATATTTGGATTGCTTTGAGGATTTCGTTGGAAGCGGGAATTCGTATAAAAACTAGACAGCAGCATTCCCAGAAATTTCTTTCGGATATTTCCATTCAACTCATAGAGATGAACATGGCCTTTCATAGAGCAGGTTTGAAACACTCTTTTTGTAGTTTGTGGAAGTGGACATTTCGATCGCCTTGACGCCTACGGTGAAAAAGGAAATATCTTCCCATAAAAAATAGACAGAAGAATTCTCAGAAACTTGTTTGTGATGTGTATCCTCAACTGACAGAGTTGAACCTTGCCATTGATAGAGCAGTTTAGAAACCCTCTTTTTGTGGAATCTGCAAGTGGATATTTGGATAGCCTGGAGGATTTCGTTGGAAGCGGGAATTCAAATGAAAGGTAGACAGCAGCATTCTCAGAAATTTCTTTGTGATGTTTGCATTCAACTCATAGAGTTGAACATTCCCTTTCATAGAGCAGGTTTGAAACACTCTTTCTGTACTATCTGGATGTGGACATTTGGAACGCTTTGATGCCTACGGTGAAAAATTAAATATCTTCCCATAAAAGCTAGACAGAAGGATTCTCAGAAACAAGTTTGTGATGTGTGTACTCAGCTAACAGAGTGGAACCTCACTTTTGATGCAGCAGTTTGGAAACACTCTTTTTGTAGAAACTGTAAGTGGATATTTGGATAGCTCTAATGATTTCGTTGGAAACGGGAATATCATCATCTAAAATCGAGACAGAAGCCCTCTCAGAAACTACTTTGTGATATCTGCATTCAAGTCACAGAGTTGAACATTCGCTTTCTTAGAGCACGTTTGAAACACTCTTTTTGTAGTGTCTGGAAGTGGACATTTGGAGCGCTTTGATTCCTTTGGTGAAAAAGGGAATGTCTACCCATAAAAACTAGACAGAAGCATTCTCAGAAACTTGTTTGTGATGTGTGTACCCAGCCAAAGGAGTTGAACATTTCTATTGATAGAGCAGTTTTGAAACGCTCTTTTTGTGGAAAATGCAGGTGGATATTTGGATAGCTTGGAGGATTTCGTTGGAAGCGGGAATTCAAATAAAATTTAGACAGCAAGATTCTCAGAAACAAGTTTGTGATGTGTGAACTCAGCTAACAGAGTGGATCCTTTCTTTTTACAGAGCAGCTTTGAAACTCTATTTCTGTGGATTCTGCAAATTGATATTTGGGTTGATTTAACGACATCGTTGGAAAAGGGAATATCTTCATACAAAATCTAGACAGAAGCATTCTCACAAACTTCTTTGTGATGTGTGTCCTCAACTAACAGAGTTGAACCTTTCTTTTGATGCAGCAGTTTGGAAACACTCTTTTTGTAGAAACTGTAAGTGGATATTTGGATAGCTCTAACGATTTCGTTGGAAACGGGAATATCTTCATCTAAAAAGCACTATTAGAAACTACTTGGTGATATCTGCATTCAAGTCACAGAGTTGAACATTCCCTTACTTTGAGCACGTTTCAAACACTCTTTTGGAAGAATCTGGAAGTGGACATTTGGAGCGCTTTGATGATGACTTTGGTGAAAAGGAAACGTCTTCCAATAATAGCCAGACAGAAGCATTCTCAGAAACTTGTTTGTGATGTGTGTACTCAACTAAAAGAGTTGAACCTTTCTATTGATAGAGCGGTTTTGAAACACTCTTTTTGTGGATTCTGCAAGTGGATATTTGGATTGCTTTGAGGATTTCGTTGGAAGCGGGAATTCGTATAAACACTAGACAGCAGCATTCCCAGAAATTTCTTTCGGATATTTCCATTCAACTCATAGAGATGAACATGGCCTTTCATAGAGCAGGTTTGAAACACTCTTTTTGTAGTTTGTGGAAGTGGACATTTCGATCGCCTTGACGCCTACGGTGAAAAAGGAAATATCTTCCCATAAAAAATAGACAGAAGCATTCTCAGAAACTTGTTGGTGATATGTGTCCTCAACTAACAGAGTTGAACTTTGCCATTGATAGAGAGCAGTTTTGAAACACTCTTTTTGTGGAATCTGCAAGTGGATATTTGGATAGCTTGGAGGATTTCGTTGGAAGCGGGAATTCAAATAAAAGGTAGACAGCCAGCATTCTCAGAAATTTCTTTCTGATGTCTGCATTCAACTCATAGGAGTTGAAGATTCCCTTTCATAGAGCAGGTTTGAAACACTCGTTCTGGAGTATCTGGATGTGGACATTTGGAGCGCTTTGATGCCTACGGTGGAAAAGTAAATATCTTCCCATAAAAACGAGACAGAGGATTCTGAGAAACAAGTTTGTGATGTGTGTACTCAGCTAACAGAGTGGAACCTCTCTTTTGATGCAGTAGTTTGGAAACACCCTTTTTGTAGAAACTGTAAGGGGATATTTGGATAGCTCTAATGATTTCGTTGGAAACGGGAATATCATCATCTAAAATCTAGAGAGAAGCACTCTCAGAAACTACTTTTTCATATCTGCATTCAAGTCACAGAGTTGAACATTCGCTTTCTTAGAGCACTTTTGAAACACTCTTTTTGTAGTATCTGGAAGTGGACATTTGGAGCTCTTTGATGCCTTTGGTGAAAAAAGAAATGTCTTCCCATAAAAACTAGACAGAAGCATTCTCAGAAACTTGTTTGTGATGTGTGTACCCAGCCAAAGGAGTTGAACATTTCTATTGATAGAGCAGTTTTGAAACGCTCTTTTTGTGGAAAATGCAGGTGGATATTTGGATAGCTTGGAGGATTTCGTTGGAAGCAGGAATTCAAATAAAAGGTAGACAGCAGGATTCTGAGAAACAAGGTTTGTGATGTGTGTACTCAGCTAACAGAGTGGAACCTTTCTTTTTACAGAGCAGCTTTGAAACTCTATTTTTGTGGATTCTGCAAATGGATATTTAGATTGCTTTAACGATATCGTTGGAAAAGGGAATATCGTCATACAAAATCTAGACAGAAGCTTTCTCAGAAACTTCTTTGTGTTGTGTGTCCTCAACTCACAGAGTTGAACCTTTCTTTTGATGCAGCAGTTTGGAAACACACTTTTTGTAGAAACTGTAAGTGGATATTTGGATAGGTCTAACGATATCGTTGGAAACGGGAATATCTTCATCTAAAGTATACACAGAAAGCACTATTAGAAACTACTTGGTGATATCTGCATTCAAGTCACAGAGTTGAACATTCCCTTACTTCGACCACGTTTGAAACACTCTTTTGGAAGAATCTGGAAGTGGACATTTGGAGCGCTTTGATGCCTTTGGTGAAAAGGAAACGTCTTCCAATAAAAGCCAGACAGAGCATTCTCAGAAACTTGTTTGTGATGTGTGTACTCAACTAAAAGAGTTGAACCTTTCTATTGATAGCGCAGTTTTGAAACACTCTTTTTGTGGATTCTGCAAGTGGATATTTGGATTGCTTTGAGGATTTCGTTGGAAGCGGGAATTCGTATAAAAACTAGACAGCAGCATTCCCAGAAATTTCTTTCGGATATTTCCATTCAACTCATAGAGATGAACATCGCCTTTTATAGAGCAGGTTTGAAACACTCTTTTTGTAGTTTGTGGAAGTGGACATTTCGATCGCCTTGACGCCTACGGTGAAAAAGGAAATATCTTCCCATAAAAAATAGACAGAAGCATTCTCAGAAACTTGTTGGTGATATGTGTCCTCAACTAACAGAGTTGAAATTTGCCATTGATAGAGAGCAGTTTTGAAACACTCTTTTTGTGGAATCTGCAAGTGGATATTTGGATAGCTTGGAGGATTTCGTTGGAAGCGGGAATTCAAATAAAAGGTAGACAGCAGCATTCTCAGAAATTTCTTTCTGATGTCTGCATTCAACTCATAGAGTTGAAGATTCCCTTTCATAGAGCAGGTTTGAAACACTCTTTCTGGAGTATCTGGATGTGGACATTTGGAGCGCTTTGATGCCTACGGTGGAAAAGTAAATATCTTCCCATAAAAACGAGACAGAAGGATTCTGAGAAACAAGTTTGTGATGTGTGTACTCAGCTAACAGAGTGGAACCTCTCTTTTGATGCAGCAGTTTGGAAACACTCTTTTTGTAGAAACTGTAAGTGGATATTTGGATAGCTCTAATGATTTCGTTGGAAACGGGAATATCATCATCTAAAATCTAGACAGAAGCCCTCTCAGAAACTACTTTGTGATATCTGCATTCAAGCCACAGAGTTGAACATTCGCTTTCTTAGAGCACGTTTGAAACACTCTTTTTGTAGTGTCTGGAAGTGGACATTTGGAGCGCTTTGATGCCTTTGGTGAAAAAGGGAATGTCTTCCCATAAAAACTAGACAGAAGCATTCTCAGAAACTTGTTTGTGATGTGTGTACCCAGCCAAAGGAGTTGAACATTTCTATTGATAGAGCAGTTTTGAAACACTCTCTTTGTGGAAAATGCAGGTGGATATTTGGATAGCTTGGAGGATTTCGTTGGAAGCGGGAATTCAAATAAAAGGTAGACAGCAGCATTCTCAGAAATTTCTTTCTGATGTCTGCATTCAACTCATAGAGTTGAAGATTCCCTTTCATAGAGCAGGTTTGAAACACTCGTTCTGGAGTATCTGGATGTGGACATTTGGAGCGCTTTGATGCCTACGGTGGAAAAGTAAATATCTTCCCATAAAAACGAGACAGAAGGATTCTCAGAAACAAGTTTGTGATGTGTGTTCTCAGCTAACAGAGTGGAACCTTTCTTTTTACAGAGCAGCTTTGAAACGCTATTTTTGTGGATTCTGCAAATTGATATTTAGATTGCTTTAACGATATCGTTGGAAAAGGGAATATCGTCATACAAAATCTAGACAGAAGCATTCTCACAAACTTCTTTGTGATGTGTGTCCTCATCTAACAGAGTTGAACCTTTCTTTTGATGCAGCAGTTTGGAAACACTCTTTTTGTAGAAACTGTAACTGGATATTTGGATAGCTCTAACGATTTCGTTGGAAACGGGAATATCATCATCTAAAATCTAGACAGAAGCACTATTAGAAACTACTTGGTGATATCTGCATTCAAGTCTCAGAGTTGAACATTCCCTTACTTGAGCACGTTTGAAACACTCTTTTGGAAGAATCTGGAAGTGGACATTTGGAGCGCTTTGATGCCTTTGGTGAAAAGGAAACGTCTTCCAATAAAAGCCAGACAGAAGCATTCTCAGAAACTTGTTCGTGATGTGTGTACTCAACTAAAAGAGTTGAACCTTTCTATTGATAGAGCAGTTTTGAAACACTCTTTTTGTGGATTCTGCAAGTGGATATTTGGATTGCTTTGAAGATTTCGTTGGAAGCGGGAATTCGTATAAACACTAGACAGCAGCATTCCCAGAAATTTCTTTCGGATATTTCCATTCAACTCATAGAGATGAACATGGCCTTTCATAGAGCAGGTTTGAAACACTCTTTTTGTAGTTTGTGGAAGTGGACATTTCGATCGCCTTGACGCCTACGGTGAAAAAGGAAATATCTTCCCATAAAAAATAGACAGAAGCATTCTCAGAAACTTGTTGGCGATATGTGTCCTCAACTAACAGAGTTTAACTTTGCCATTGATAGAGAGCAGTTTTGAAACACTCTTTTTGTGGAATCTGCAAGTGGATATTTGGATAGCTTGGAGGATTTCGTTGGAAGCGGGAATTCAAATAAAAGGTAGACAGCAGCATTCTCAGAAATTTCTTTCTGATGTCTGCATTCAACTCATAGAGTTGAACATTCCCTTTCATAGAGCAGGTTTGAAATACTCTTTCTGTAGTATCTGGATGTGGACATTTGGAGCGCTTTGATGCCTACGATGAAAAAGTAAATATCTTCCCATAAAAACGAGACAGAAGGATTCTCAGAAACAAGTTGGTGATGTGTGTACTCAGCTAACAGAGTGGAACCTCTCTTTTGATGCAGCAGTTTGGAAACACTCTTTTTGTAGAAACTGTAAGTGGATATTTGGATAGCTCTAATGATTTCGTTGGAAACGGGAATATCATCATCTAAAATCTAGACAGAAGCACTCTCAGAAACTACTTTGTGATATCTGCATTCAAGTCACAGAGTTGAACATTCGGTTTCTTAGAGCACGTTTGAAACACTCTTTTTGTAGTGTCTGGAAGTGGACATTTGGAGCGCTTTGATTCCTTTGGTGAAAAAGGGAATGTCTACCCATAAAAACTAGACAGAAGCATTCTCAGAAACTTGTTTGTGATGTGTGTACCCAGCCAAAGGAGTTGAACATTTCTATTGATAGAGCAGTTTTGAAACGCTCTTTTTGTGGAAAATGCAGGTGGATATTTGGATAGCTTGGAGGATTTCGTTGGACGCGGGAATTCAAATAAAAGGTAGACAGCAGCATTCTCAGAAATTTCTTTCTGATGTCTGCATTCAACTCATAGAGTTGAAGATTCCCTTTAATGGAGCAGGTTTGAAACACTCGTTCTGCAGTATCTGGATGTGGACATTTGGAGCGCTTTGATGCCTACGGTGGAAAAGTAAATATCTTCCCATAAAAACGAGACAGAAGGATTCTCAGAAACAAGTTTGTGATGTGTGTACTCAGCTAACAGAGTGGAACCTTTCTTTTTACAGAGCAGCTTTGAAACTCTATTTTTGTGGATTCTGCAAATGGATATTTAGATTGCTTTAACGATATCGTTGGAAAAGGGAATATCGTCATACAAAATCTGGACAGAAGCATTCTCACAAACTTCTTTGTGATGTGTGTCCTCAACTAACAGAGTTGAACCTTTCTTTTGATGCAGCAGTTTGGAAACACTCTTTTGGTAGAAACTGTAAGTGGATATTTGGATAGCTCTAACGATTTCGTTGGAAACGGGAATATCATCATCTAAAATCTAGACAGAAGCACTATTAGAAACTACTTGGTGATATCTGCATTCAAGTCACAGAGTTGAACATTCCCTTACTTTGAGCACGTTTGAAACACTCTTTTGGAAGAATCTGGAAGTGGACATTTGGAGCGCTTTGATGCCTTTGGTGAAAAGGAAACGTCTTCCAATAAAAGCCAGACAGAAGCATTCTCAGAAACTTGTTTGTGATGTGTGTACTCAACTAAAAGAGTTGAACCTTTCTATTGATAGAGCAGTTTTGAAACACTCTTTTTGTGGATTCTGCAAGTGGATATTTGGATTGCTTTGAGGATTTCGTTGGAAGCGGCAATTCGTATAAAAACTAGACAGCAGCATTCCCAGAAATTTCTTTCGGATATTTCCATTCAACTCATAGAGATGAACATGGCCTTTCATAGAGCAGGTTTGAAACACTCTTTTTGTAGTTTGTGGAAGTGGACATTTCGATCGCCTTGACGCCTACGGTGAAAAAGGAAATATCTTCCCATAAAAAATAGACAGAAGCATTCTAAGAAACTTGTTGGTGATATGTGTCCTCAACTAACAGAGTTGAACTTTGCCATTGATAGAGAGCAGTTTTGAAACACTCTTTTTGTGGAATCTGCAAGTGGATATCTGGATAGCTTGGAGGATTTCGTTGGAAGCGGGAATTCAAATAAAAGGTAGACAGCAGCATTCTCAGAAATTTCTTTCTGATCTCTGCATTCAACTCATAGAGTTGAACATTCCCTTTCATAGGGCAGGTTTGAAATACTCTTTCTGTAGTATCTGGATGAGGACATTTGGAGCGCTTTGATGCCTACAGTGAAAAAGTAAATATCTTCCCATAAAAACGAGACAGAAGGATTCTGAGAAACAAGTTTGTGATGTGTGTACTCAGCTAACAGAGTGGAACCTCTCTTTTGATGCAGCAGTTTGGAAACACTCTTTTTGTAGAAACTGTAAGTGGATATTTGGATAGCTCTAATGATTTCGTTGAAAACGGGAATATCATCATCTAAAATCTAGACAGAAGCCCTCTCAGAAACTACTTTGTGATATCTGCATTCAAGTCACAGAGTTGAACATTCGGTTTCTTAGAGCACGTTTGAAACACTCTTTTTGTAGTGTCTGGAAGTGGACATTTGGAGCGCTTTGATGCCTTTGGTGAAAAAGGGAATGTCTACCCATAAAAACTAGACAGAAGCATTCTCAGAAACTTGTTTGTGATGTGTGTACCCAGCCAAAGGAGTTGAACATTTAAATTGATAGAGCAGTTGTGAAACACTCTTGTTGTGGAAAATGCAGGTGGATATTTGGATACTTGGAGGATTTCGTTGGAAGCGGGAATTCAAATAAAAGGTAGACAGCAGCATTCTCAGAAATTTCTTTCTGATGTCTGCATTCAACTCATAGAGTTGAAGATTCCCTTTCATAGAGCAGGTTTGAAACACTCGTTCTGGAGTATCTGGATGTGGACATTTGGAGCGCTTTGATGCCTACGTTGGAAAAGTAAATATCTTCCCATAAAAACGAGACAGAAGGATTCTCAGAAACAAGTTTGTGATGTGTGTACTCAGCTAACAGAGTGGAACCTTTCTTTTTACAGAGCAGCTTTGAAACTCTATTTTTGTGGATTCTGCAAATTTATATTTAGATTGCTTTAACGATATCGTTGGAAAAGGGAATATCGTCATACAAAATCTAGACAGAAGCATTCTCACAAACTTCTTTGTGACGTGTGTCCTCAACTAACAGAGTTGAACCTTTCTTTTGATGCAGCAGTTTGGAAACACTGTTTTTGTAGCAACTGTAAGTGGATATTTGGATAGCTCTAACGATTTCGTTGGAAACGGGAATATCATCATCTAAAATCTAGACAGAAGCACTATTAGAAACTACTTGGTGATATCTGCATTCAAGTCACAGAGTTGAACATTCCCTTACTTCGACCACGTTTGAAACACTCTTTTGGAAGAATCTGGAAGTGGACATTTGGAGCGCTTTGATGCCTTTGGTGAAAAGGAAACGTCTTCCAGTAAAAGCCAGACAGAAGCATTCTCAGAAACTTGTTCGTGATGTGTGTACTCAACTAAAAGAGTTGAACCTTTCTATTGATAGAGCAGTTTTGAAACACTCTTTTTGTGGATTCTGCAAGTGGATATTTGGATTGCTTTGAGGATTTCGTTGGAAGCGGGAATTCGTATAAACACTAGACAGCAGCATTCCCAGAAATTTCTTTCGGATATTTCCATTCAACTCATAGAGATGAACATGGCCTTTCATAGAGCAGGTTTGAAACACTCTTTTTGTAGTTTGTGGAAGTGGACATTTCGAACGCCTTGACGCCTACGGTGAAAAAGGAAATATCTTCCCATAAAAAATAGACAGAAGCATTCTCAGAAACTTGTTGGTGATATGTGTCCTCAACTAACAGAGTTGAACTTTGCCATTGATAGAGAGCAGTTTTGAAACACTCTTTTTGTGGAATCTGCAAGTGGATATTTGGATAGCTTGGAGGATTTCGTTGGAAGCGGGAATTCAAATAAAAGGTAGACAGCAGCATTCTCAGAAATTTCTTTCTGATGTCTGCATTCAACTCATAGAGTTGAAGATTCCCTTTCATAGAGCAGGTTTGAAACACTCTTTCTGGAGTATCTGGATGTGGACATTTGGAGCGCTTTGATGCCTACGGTGAAAAAGTAAATATCTTCCCATAAAATCGACACAGAAGGATTCTCAGAAACAAGTTTGTGATGTGTGTACTCAGCTAACAGAGTGGAACCTCTCTTTTGATGCAGCAGTTTGGAAACACTCTTTTTGTAGAAACTGTAAGTGGATATTTGGATAGCTCTGATGATTTCGTTGGAAACGGGAATATCATCATGTAAAAACTAGACAGAAGCACTCTCAGAAACTACTTTGTGATATCTGCATTCAAGTCACAGAGTTGAACATTCGCTTTCTTAGAGCACTTTTGAAACACTCTTTTTGTAGTATCTGGAAGTGGACATTTGGAGCTCTTTGATGCCTTTGGTGAAAAAGGAAATGTCTTCCCATAAAAACTAGACAGAAGCATTCTCAGAAACTTGTTTGTGATGTGTGTACCCAGCCAAAGGAGTTGAACATTTCTATTGATAGAGCACGTTTGAAACACTCTTTTTGTGGAAAATGCAGGTGGATATTTGGATAGCTTGGAGGATTTCGTTGGAAGCGGGAATTCAAATAAAAGGTAGACAGCAGGATTCTCAGAAACAAGTTTGTGATGTGTGTACTCAGCTAACAGAGTGGAACCTTTCTTTTTACAGAGCAGCTTTGAAACTCTATTTCTGTGGATTCTGCAAATTGATATTTAGATTGCTTTAACGATATCGTTGGAAAAGGGAATATCGTCATACAAAATCTAGACAGAAGCATTCTCACAAACTTCTTTGTGATGTGTGTCCTCAACTAACAGAGTTGAACCTTTCTTTTGATGCAGCAATTTGGAAACACCCTTTTGGTAGAAACTGTAACTGGATATTTGGATAGCTCTAACGATTTCGTTGGAAACGGGAATATCATCATCTAAAATGCTAGACAGAAGCACTATTAGAAACTACTTGGTGATATCTGCATTCAAGTCAAAGAGTTGAACATTCCCTTACTTTGAGCACGTTTGAAACACTCTTTTGGAAGAATCTGGAAGTGGACATTTGTAGCGCTTTGATGATGCCTTTGGTGAAAAGAAAACGTCTTCCAATAAAAGCCAGACAGAAGCATTCTCAGAAACTTGTTCGTGATGTGTGTACTCAACTAAAAGAGTTGAACCTTTCTATTGATAGAGCAGTTTTGAAACACTCTTTTTGTGGATTCTGCAAGTGGATATTTGGATTGCTTTGAGGATTTCGTTGGAAGCGGGAATTCGTATAAACACTAGACAGCAGCATTCCCAGAAATTTCTTTCGGATATTTCCATTCAACTCATAGAGATGAACTTGGCCTTTCATAGAGCAGGTTTGAAACACTCTTTTTGTAGTTTGTGGAAGTGGACATTTCGATCGCGTTGACGCCTACGGTGAAAAAGGAAATATCTTCCCATAAAAAATAGACAGAAGCATTCTCAGAAACTTGTTGGTGATATGTGTCCTCAACTAACAGAGTTGAACTTTGCCATTGATAGAGAGCAGTTTTGAAACACTCTTTTTGTGGAATCTGCAAGTGGATATTTGGATAGCTTGGAGGATTTCGTTGGAAGCGGGAATTCAAATAAAGGGTAGACAGCAGCATTCTCAGAAATTTATTTCTGATGTCTGCATTCAACTCATAGAGTTGAACATTCCCTTTCATAGAGCAGGTTTGAAATACTCTTTCTGTAGTATCTGGATGTGGACATTTGGAGCGCTTTGAGGCCTACGATGAAAAAGTAAATATCTTCCCATAAAAACGAGACAGAAGGATTCTGAGAAACAAGTTTGTGATGTGTGTACTCAGCTAACAGAGTGGAAACTCTCTTTTGATGCAGCAGTTTGGAAACACTCTTTTTGTAGAAACTGTAAGTGGATATTTGGATAGCTCTAATGATTTCGTTGGAAACGGGAATATCATCATCTAAAATCTAGACAGAAGCACTCTCAGAAACTACTGTGTGATATCTGCATTCAAGTCACAGAGTTGAACATTCGCTTTCTTAGAGCACGTTTGAAACACTCTTTTTGTAGTGTCTGGAAGTGGACATTTGGAGCGCTTTGATTCCTTTGGTGAAAAAGGGAATGTCTACCCATAAAAACTAGACAGAAGCATTCTCAGAAACTTGTTTGTGATGTGTGCACCCAGCTAAAGGAGTTGAACATTTCTATTGATAGAGCAGTTTTGAAGCACTCTTTTTGTGGAAAATGCAAGTGGATATTTGGATAGCTTGGAGGATTTCGTTGGAAGCGGGAGTTCAAATAAAAGGTAGACAGCAGCATTCTCAGAAATTTCTTTCTGATGTCTGCATTCAACTCATAGAGTTGAAGATTCCCTTTCATAGAGCAGGTTTGAAACACTCTTTCTGGAGTATCTGGATGTGGACATTTGGAGCGCTTTGATGTCTACGGTGAAAAAGTAAATATCTTCCCATAAAAACGAGACAGAAGGATTCTCAGAAACAAGTTTGTGATGTGTGTACTCAGCTAACAGAGTGGAAACTTTCTTTTTACAGAGCAGCTTTGAAACTCTATTTTTGTGGATTCTGCAAATTGATATTTGGTTTGCATTAACGATATCGTTGGAAAAGGGAATATCGTCATACAAAATCTAAACAGAAGCATTCTCACAAACTTCTTTGTGATGTGTGTCCTCAACTAACAGAGTTGAACCTTTCTTTTGATGCAGCAATTTGGAAACACCCTTTTGGTAGAAACTGTAACTGGATATTTGGATAGCTCTAGCGATTTCGTTGGAAACGGGAATATCATCATCTAAAATGTAGACAGAAGCACTATTAGAAACTACTTGGTGATATCTGCATTCAAGTCACAGAGTTGAACATTCCCTTACTTTGAGCACGCTTGAAACACTCTTTTGGAAGAATCTGGAAGTGGACATTTGGAGCGCTTTGATGCCTTTGGTGAAAAGGAAACGTCTTCCAATAAAAGCCAGACAGAAGCATTCTCAGAAACTTGTTTGTGATGTGTGTACTCAACTAAAAGAGTTGAACCTTTCTATTGATAGAGCAGTTTTGAAACACTCTTTTTGTGGATTCTGCAAGTGGATATTTGGATTGCTTTGAGGATTTCGTTGGAAGCGGGAATTCGTATAAAAACTAGACAGCAGCATTCCCAGAAATTTCTTTCGGATATTTCCATTCGACTCATAGAGATGAACATGGCCTTTCATAGAGCAGGTTTGAAACACTCTTTTTGTAGTTTGTGGAAGTGGACATTTCGATCGCCTTGACGCCTACGGTGAAAAAGGAAATAGCTTCCCATAAAAAATAGACAGAAGCATTCTCAGAAACTTGTTGGTGATATGTGTCCTCAACTAACAGAGTTGAACTTTGCCATTGATAGAGAGCAGTTTTGAAACACTCTTTTTGTGGAATCTGCAAGTGGATATTTGGATAGCTTGGAGGATTTCGTTGGAAGCGGGAATTCAAATAAAAGGTAGACAGCAGCATTCTCAGAAATTTCTTTCTGATGTCTGCATTCAACTCATAGAGTTGAAGATTCCCTTTCATAGAGCACGTTTGAAACACTCTTTCTGTAGTATCTGGATGTGGACATTTGGAGCGCTTTGATGCCTACGGTGAAAAAGTAAATATCTTCCCATAAAAACGAGACAGAAGGATTCTGAGAAACAAGTTTGTGATGTGTGTACTCAGCTAACAGAGTGGAACCTCTCTTTTGATGCAGCAGTTTGGAAACACTCTTTTTGTAGAAACTGTAAGTGGATATTTGGATAGCTCTAATGATTTCGTTGGAAACGGGAATATCATCATCTAAAATCTAGACAGAAGCCCTCTCAGAAACTACTTTGTGATATCTGCATTCAAGTCACAGAGTTGAACATTCGCTTTCTTAGAGCACGTTGGAAACACTCGTTTTGTAGTGTCTGGAAGTGGACATTTGGAGCGCTTTGATGCCTTTGGTGAAAAAGGGAACGTCTTCCCATAAAAACTAGACAGAAGCATTCTCAGAAACTTGTTTGTGATGTGTGTACCCAGCCAAAGGAGTTGAACATTTCTATTGATAGAGCAGTTTTGAAACACTCTTTTTGTGGAAAATGCAAGTGGATATTTGGATAGCTTGGAGGATTTCGTTGGAAGCGGGAATTCAAATAAAAGGTAGACAGCAGCATTCTCAGAAATTTCTTTCTGATGTCTGCATTCAACTCATAGAGTTGAAGATTCCCTTTCATAGAGCAGGTTTGAAACACTCTTTCTGGAGTATCTGGATGTGGACATTTGGAGCGCTTTGATGCCTACGGTGAAAAAGTAAATATCTTCCCATAAAAACGAGACAGAAGGATTCTCAGAAACAAGTTTGTGATGTGTGTACTCAGCTAACAGAGTGGAACCTTTCTTTTTACAGAGCAGCTTTGAAACTCTATTTTTGTGGATTCTGCAAATGGATATTTAGATTGCTTTAACGATATCGTTGGAAAAGGGAATATCGTCATACAAAATCTGGACATAAGCATTCTCACAAACTTCTTTGTGACGTGTGTCCTCAACTAACAGAGTTGAACCTTTCTTTTGATGCAGCAATTTGGAAACACCCTTTTGGTAGAAACTGTAACTGGATATTTGGATAGCTCTAGCGATTTCGTTGGAAACGGGAATATCATCATCTATAATCTAGACAGAAGCACTATTAGAAACTACTTGGTGATATCTGCATTCAAGTCACAGAGTTGAACATTCCCTTACTTCGAGCACGTTTGAAACACTCTTTTGGAAGAATCTGGAAGTGGACATTTGGAGCGCTTTGATGCCTTTGGTGAAAAGGAAACGTCTTCCAATAAAAGCCAGACAGAAGCATTCTCAGAAACTTGTTTGTGATGCGTGTACTCAACTAAAAGAGTTGAACCTTTCTATTGATAGAGCAGTTTTGAAACACTCTTTTTGTGGATTCTGCAAGTGGATATTTGGATTGCTTTGAGGATTTCGTTGGAAGCGGGAATTCGTATAAAAACTAGACAGCAGCATTCCCAGAAATTTCTTTCGGATATTTCCATTCAACTCATAGAGATGAACATGGCCTTTCATAGAGCAGGTTTGAAACACTCTTTTTGTAGTTTGTGGAAGTGGACATTTCGATCGCCTTGACGCCTACGGTGAAAAAGGAAATATCTTCCCATAAAAAATAGAAGCATTCTCAGAAACTTGTTGGTGATATGTGTCCTCAACTAACAGAGTTGAACTTTGCCATTGATAGAGAGCAGTTTTGAAACACTCTTTTTGTGGAATCTGCAAGTGGATATTTGGATAGCTTGGAGGATTTCGTTGGAAGCGGGAATTCAAATAAAAGGTAGACAGCAGCATTCTCAGAAATTTCTTTCTGATGTCTGCATTCAACTCATAGAGTTGAACATTCTCTTTCATAGAGCAGGTTTGAAACACTCTTTCTGGAGTATCTGGATGTGGACATTTGGAGCGCTTTGATGCCTACGGTGAAAAAGTAAATATCTTCCCATAAAAACGAGACAGAAGGATTCTGAGAAACAAGTTTGTGATGTGTGTACTCAGCTAACAGAGTGGAACCTCTCTTTTGATGCAGCAGTTTGGAAACACTCTTTTTGTAGAAACTGTAAGTGGATATTTGGATAGCTCTAATGATTTCGTTGGAAACGGGAATATCATCATCTAAAATCTAGACAGAAGCACTCTCAGAAACTACTTTGTGATATCTGCATTCAAGTCACAGAGTTGAACATTCGCTTTCTTAGAGCACGTTTGAAACACTCTTTTTGTAGTGTCTGGAAGTGGACATTTGGAGCGCTTTGAATTGCCTTTGGTGAAAAAGGGAATGTCTTCCCATAAAAACTAGACAGAAGCATTCTCAGAAACTTGTTTGTGATGTGTGTACCCAGCCAAAGGAGTTGAACATTTCTATTGATAGAGCAGGTTTGAAACACTCTTTTTGTGGAAAATGCAGGTGGATATTTGGATAGCTTGGAGGATTTCGTTGGAAGCGGGAATTCAAATAAAAGGTAGACAGCAAGCATTCTCAGAAATTTCTTTCTGATGTCTGCATTCAACTCATAGAGTTGAAGATTCCCTTTCATAGAGCAGGTTTGAAACACTCGTTCTGGAGTATCTGGATGTGGACATTTGGAGCGCTTTGATGCCTACGGTGGAAAAGTAAATATCTTCCCATAAAAACGAGACAGAAGGATTCTCAGAAACAAGTTTGTGATGTGTGTACTCAGCTAACAGAGTGGAACCTTTCTTTTTACAGAGCAGCTTTGAAACTCTATTTTTGTGGATTCTGCAAATTGATATTTAGATTGCTTTAACGATATCGTTGGAAAAGAGAATATCGTCATACAAAATCTAGACAGAAGCATTCTCACAAACTTCTTTGTGATGTGTGTCCTCAACTAACAGAGTTGAACCTTTCTTTTGATGCAGCAATTTGGAAACACCCTTTTGGTAGAAACTGTAACTGGATATTTGGATAGCTCTAACGATTTCTTTGGAAACGGGAATATCATCATCTAAAATCTAGACAGAAGCACTATTAGAAACTACTTGGTGATATCTGCATTCAAGTCACAGAGTTGAACATTCCCTTACTTCGACCACGTTTGAAACACTCTTTTGGAAGAATCTGGAAGTGGACATTTGGAGCACTTTGATGCCTTTGGTGAAAAGGAAACGTCTTCCAATAAAAGCCAGACAGAAAGCATTCTCAGAAACTTGTTCGTGATGTGTGTACTCAACTAAAAGAGTTGAACCTTTCTATTGATAGAGCAGTTTTGAAACACTCTTTTTGTGGATTCTGCAAGTGGATATTTGGATTGCTTTGAGGATTTCGTTGGAAGCGGGAATTCGTATAAACACTAGACAGAGCATTCCCAGAAATTTCTTTCGGATATTTCCATTCAACTCATAGAGATGAACATGGCCTTTCATAGAGCAGGTTTGAAACACACTTTTTGTAGTTTGTGGAAGTGGACATTTCGATCGCCTTGACGCCTACGGTGAAAAAGGAAATATCTTCCCATAAAAAATAGACAGAAGCATTCTCAGAAACTTGTTTGTGATGTGTGTACTCAACTAAAAGAGTTGAACCTTTCTATTGATAGAGCAGTTTTGAAACGCTCTTTTTGTGGAATCTGCAAGTGGATATTTGGATAGCTTGGAGGATTTCGTTGGAAGCGGGAATTCAAATAAAAGGTAGACAGCAGCATTCTCAGAAATTACTTTCTGATGTCTGCATTCAACTCATAGAGTTGAAGATTCCCTTTCATAGAGCAGGTTTGAAACACTCTTTCTGTAGTATCTGGATGTGGACATTTGGAGCGCTTTGATACCTACGGTGAAAAAGTAAGTATCTTCCCATAAAAACTAGACAGAAGGATTCTGAGAAACAAGTTTGTGATGTGTGTACTCAGCTAACAGAGTGGAACCTCTCTTTTGATGCAGCAGTTTGGAAACACTCTTTTTGTAGAAACTGTAAGTGGATATTTGGATAGCTCTAATGATTTCGTTGGAAACGGGAATATCATCATCTAAAATCTAGACAGAAGCACTCTCAGAAACTACTCTGTGATATCTGCATTCAAGTCACAGAGTTGAACATTCGCTTTCATAGAGCACGTTTGAAACACTCTTTTTGTAGTGTCTGGAAGTGGACATTTGGAGCGCTTTGATGGCTTTGGTGAAAAAGGGAATGTCTTCCCATAAAAACTAGGCAGAAGCATTCTCAGAAACTTGTTTGTGATGTGTGTACCCAGCCAAAGGAGTTGAACATTTCTATTGATAGAGCAGTTTTGAAACACTCTTGTTGTGGAAAATGCAAGTGGATATTTGGATAGCTTGGAGGATTTCGTTGGAAGCGGGAATTCAAATAAAAGGTAGACAGCAGGATTCTCAGAAACAAGTTTGTGATGTGTGTACTCAGCTAACAGAGTGGATCCTACCTTTTTACAGAGCAGCTTTGAAACTCTATTTCTGTGGATTCTGCAAATTGATATTTGGGTTGATTTAATGATATCGATGGAAAAGGGAATATCTTCATACAAAATCTAGACAGAAGCATTCTCACAAACTTCTTTGTGATGTGTGTCCTCAACTAACAGAGTTGAACCTTTCTTTTGATGCAGCAGTTTGAAAACACTCTTTTTGTAGAAACTGTAACTGGATATTTGGATAGCTCTAACGATTTCGTTGGAAACGGGAATATCATCATCTAAAATCTAGACAGAAGCACTATTAGAAACTACTTGGTGATATCTGCATTCAAGTCACAGAGTTGAACATTCCCTTACTTTGAGCACGTTTGAAACACTCTTTTGGAAGAATCTGGAAGTGGACATTTGGAGCGCTTTGATGCCTTTGGTGAAAAGGAAACGTCTTCCAATAAAAGCCAGACAGAAGCATTCTCAGAAACTTGTTGGTGATGTGTGTACTCAACTAAAAGAGTTGAACCTTTCTATTGATAGAGCAGTTTTGAAACACTCTTTTTGTGGATTCTGCAAGTGGATATTTGGATTGCTTTGAGGATTTCATTGGAAGCGGGAATTCATATAAAAACTAGACAGCAGCATTCCCAGAAATTTCTTTCGGATATTTCCATTCAACTCATAGAGATGAACATGGCCTTTCATAGAGCAGGTTTGAAACACTCTTTTTGTAGTTTGTGGAAGTGGACATTTCGATCGCCTTGACGCCTACGCTGAAAAAGGAAATATCTTCCCATAAAAAATAGACAGAAGCATTCTCAGAAACTTGTTGGTGATATGTGTCCTCAACTAACAGAGTTGAACTTTGCCATTGATAGAGAGCAGTTTTGAAACACTCTTTTTGTGGAATCTGCAAGTGGATATTTGGATAGCTTGGAGGATTTCGTTGGAAGCGGGAATTCAAATAAAAGTAGACAGCAGCATTCTCAGAAATTTCTTTCTGATGTCTGCATTCAACTCATAGAGTTGAAGATCCCCTTTCATAGAGCAGGTTTGAAACACTCTTTCTGGAGTATCTGGATGTGGACATTTGGAGCGCTTTGATGCCTACGGTGAAAAAGTAAATATCTTCCCATAAAAACGAGACAGAAGGATTCTGAGAAACAAGTTTGTGATGTGTGTACTCAGCTAACAGAGTGGAACCTCTCTTTTGATGCAGCAGTTTGGAAACACTCTTTTTGTAGAAACTGTAAGTGGATATTTGGATAGCTCTAATGATTTCGTTGGAAACGGGAATATCATCATCTAAAATCTAGACAGAAGCACTCTCAGAAACTACTTTGTGATATCTGCATTCAAGTCACAGAGTTGAACATTCGCTTTCTTAGAGCACGTTTGAAACACTCTTTTTGTAGTGTCTGGAAGTGGACATTTGGAGCGCTTTGATGTCTTTGGTGAAAAAGGGAATGTCTTCCCATAAAAACTAGACAGAAAGCATTCTCAGAAACTTGTTTGTGATGTGTGTACCCAGCCAAAGGAGTTGAACATTTCTATTGATAGAGCAGTTTTGAAACGCTCTTTTTGTGGAAAATGCAGGTGGATATTTGGATAGCTTGGAGGATTTCGTTGGAAGCGGGAATTCAAATAAAAGGTAGACAGAGCATTCTCAGAAATTTCTTTCTGATGTCTGCATTCAACTCATAGAGTTGAAGATTCCCTTTCATAGAGCAGGTTTGAAACACTCTTTCTGGAGTATCTGGATGTGGACATTTGGAGCGCTTTGATGCCTACGGTGAAAAAGTAAATATCTTCCCATAAAAACGAGACAGAAGGATTCTCAGAAACAAGTTTGTGATGTGTGTACTCAGCTAACAGAGTGGAACCTTTCTTTTTACAGAGCAGCTTTGAAACTCTATTTTTGTGGATTCTGCAAATTGATATTTAGATTGCTTTAACGATAATCGTTGGAAAAGGGAATATCGTCATACAAAATCTAGACAGAAGCATTCTCACAAACTTCTTTGTGATGTGTGTCCTCAACTAACAGAGTTGAACCTTTCTTTTGATGCAGCAATTTGGAAACACCCTTTTGGTAGAAACTGTAACTGGATATTTGGATAGATCTAACGATTTCGTTGGAAACGGGAATATCATCATCTAAAATGTAGACAGAAGCACTATTAGAAACTACTTGGTGATATCTGCATTCAAGTCAAAGAGTTGAGCATTCCCTTACTTTGAGCACGTTTGAAACACTCTTTTGGAAGAATCTGGAAGTGGACATTTGGAGCGCTTTGATGCCTTTGGTGAAAAGGAAACGTCTTCCAATAAAAGCCAGACAGAAGCATTCTCAGAAACTTGTTTGTGATGTGTGTACTCAACTAAAAGAGTTGAACCTTTCTATTGATAGAGCAGTTTTGAAACACTCTTTTTGTGGATTCTGCAAGTGGATATTTGGATTGCTTTGAGGATTTCGTTGGAAGCGGGAATTCGTATAAAAACTAGACAGCAGCATTCCCAGAAATTTCTTTCGGATATTTCCATTCAACTCATAGAGATGAACATCGCCTTTCATAGAGCAGGTTTGAAACACTCTTTTTGTAGTTTGTGGAAGTGGACATTTCGATCGCCTTGACGCCTACGGTGAAAAAGAAAATATCTTCCCATAAAAAATAGACAGAAGCATTCTCAGAAACTTGTTGGTGATATGTGTCCTCAACTAACAGAGTTGAACTTTGCCATTGATAGAGAGCAGTTTTGAAACACTCTTTTTGTGGAATCTGCAAGTGGATATTTGGATAGCTTGGAGGATTTCGTTGGAAGCGGGAATTCAAATAAAAGGTAGACAGCAGCATTCTCAGAAATTTCTTTCTGATGTCTGCATTCAACTCATAGAGTTGAACATTCCCTTTCATAGGGCAGGTTTGAAATACTCTTTCTGTAGTATCTGGATGTGGACATTTGGAGCGCTTTGATGCCTACGGTGAAAACGTAAATATCTTCCCATAAAAACGAGACAGAAGGATTCTGAGAAACAAGTTTGTGATGTGTGTACTCAGCTAACAGAGTGGAACCTCTCTTTTGATGCAGCAGTTTGGAAACACTCTTTTTGTAGAAACTGTAAGTGGATATTTGGATAGCTTTAATGATTTCGTTGGAAACGGGAATATCATCATCTAAAATCTAGACAGAAGCCCTCTCAGAAACTACTTTGTGATATCTGCATTCAAGTCACAGAGTTGAACATTCGCTTTCTTAGAGCACGTTTGAAACACTCTTTTTGTAGTGTCTGGAAGTGGACATTTGGAGCGCTTTGATTCCTTTTGTGAAAAAGGGAATGTCTACCCATAAAAACTAGACAGAAGCATTCTCAGAAACTTGTTTGTGATGTGTGTACCCAGCCAAAGGAGTTGAACGTTTCTATTGATAGAGCAGTTTTGAAACACTCTTGTTGTGGAAAATGCAAGTGGATATTTGGATAGCTTGGAGGATTTCGTTGGATGCGGGAATTCAAATAAAAGGTAGACAGCAGCATTCTCAGAAATTTCTTTCTGATGTCTGCATTCAACTCATAGAGTTGAAGATTCCCTTTCATAGAGCAGGTTTGAAACACTCGTTCTGGAGTATCTGGATGTGGACATTTGGAGCGCTTTGATGCCTACGGTGGAAAAGTAAATATCTTCCCATAAAAACGAGACAGAAGGATTCTGAGCAAACAAGTTTGTGATGTGTGTACTCAGCTAACAGAGTGGAACCTTTCTTTTTACAGAGCAGCTTTGAAACTCTATTTTTGTGGATTCTGCAAATGGATATTTAGATTGCTTTAACGATATCGTTGGAAAAGGGAATATCGTCATACAAAATCTAGACAGAAGCATTCTCACAAACTTCTTTGTGATGTGTGTCCTCAACTAACAGAGTTGAACCTTTCTTTTGATGCAGCAGTTTGGAAACACTGTTTTTGTAGCAACTGTAAGTGGATATTTGGATAGCTCTAACGATTTCGTTGGAAACGGGAATATCATCATCTAAAATCTAGACAGAAGCACTATTAGAAACTACTTGGTGATATCTGCATTCAAGTCACAGAGTTGAACATTCCCTTACTTTGAGCACGTTTGAAACACTCTTTTGGAAGAATCTGGAAGTGGACATTTGGAGCGCTTTGATGCCTTTGGTGGAAAGGAAACGTCTTCCAATAAAAGCCAGACAGAAGCATTCTCAGAAACTTGTTCGTGATGTGTGTACTCAACTAAAAGAGTTGAACCTTTCTATTGATAGAGCAGTTTTGAAACACTCTTTTTGTGGATTCTGCAAGTGGATATTTGGATTGCTTTGAGGATTTCGTTGGAAGCGGGAATTCGTATAAACACTAGACAGCAGCATTCCCAGAAATTTCTTTCGGATATTTCCATTCAACTCATAGAGATGAACATGGCCTTTCATACTGAAACACTCTTTTTGTAGTTTGTGGAAGTGGACATTTCGATCGCCTTGACGCCTACGGTGAAAAAGGAAATATCTTCCCATAAAAAATAGACAGAAGCATTCTCAGAAACTTGTTGGTGATATGTGCCCTCAACTAACAGAGTTGAACTTTGCCATTGATAGAGAGCAGTTTTGAAACACTCTTTTTTTGGAATCTGCAAGTGGATATTTGGATAGCTTGGAGGATTTCGTTGGAAGCGGGAATTCAAATAAAAGGTAGACAGCAGCATTCTCAGGAAATTTCTTTCTGATCTCTGCATTCAACTCATAGAGTTGAACATTCCCTTTCATAGGGCAGGTTTGAAATACTCTTTCTGGAGTATCTGGATGTGGACATTTGGAGCGCTTTGATGCCTACGGTGAAAAAGTAAATATCTTCCCATAAAAACGAGACAGAAGGATTCTCAGAAACAAGTTTGTGATGTGTGTACTCAGCTAACAGAGTGGAACCTGTCTTTTGATGCAGCAGTTTGGAAACACTTTTTTTGTAGAAACTGTAAGTGGATATTTGGATAGCTCTAATGATTTCGTTGGAAACGGGAATATCATCATCTAAAATCTAGAGAGAAGCCCTCTCAAAAACTACTTTGTGATATCTGCATTCAAGTCACAGAGTTGAACATTCGCTTTCTTAGAGCACGTTTGAAACACTCTTTTTGTAGTGTCTGGAAGTGGAAATTTGGAGCGCTTTGATGCCTTTGGTGAAAAAGGGAATATCTTCCAATAAAAACTAGACAGAAGCATTCTCAGAAACTTGTTTGTGATGTGTGCACCCAGCTAAAGGAGTTGAACATTTATTGATAGAGCAGTTTTGAAGCACTCTTTTTGTGGAAAATGCAAGTGGATATTTGGATAGCTTGGAGGATTTCGTTGGAAGCAGGAGTTCAAATAAAAGGTAGACAGCAGCATTCTCAGAAATTTCTTTCTGATGTCTGCATTCAACTCATAGAGTTGAAGATTCCCTTTCATAGAGCAGGTTTGAAACACTCTTTCTGGAGTATCTGGATGTGGACATTTGGAGCGCTTTGATGCCTACGGTGAAAAAGTAAATATCTTCCCATAAAAACGAGACAGAAGGATTCTGAGAGACAAGTTTGTGATGTGTGTACTCAGCTAACAGAGTGGAACCTTTCTTTTTACAGAGCAGCTTTGAAACTCTATTTTTGTGGATTCTGCAAATGGATATTTAGATTGCTTTAACGATATCGTTGGAAAAGGGAATATCGTCATACAAAATCTGGACAGAAGCATTCTCACAAACTTCTTTGTGACGTGTGTCCTCAACTAACAGAGTTGAACCTTTCTTTTGATGCAGCAGTTTGGAAACACTCTTTTTGTAGAAACTGTAAGTGGATATTTGGATAGCTCTAACGATTTCGTTGGAAACGGGAATATCATCATCTAAAATCTAGACAGAAGCACTATTAGAAACTACTTGGTGATATCTGCATTCAAGTCACAGAGTTGAACATTCCCTTACTTTGAGCACGTTTCAAACACTCTTTTGGAAGAATCTGGAAGTGGACATTTGGAGCGCTTTGATGCCTTTGGTGAAAAGGAAACGTCTTCCAATAAAAGCCAGACAGAAGCAATCTCAGAATCTTCTTTGGGATATATGCACGCAGCTAACAGAGTTGAACCTTTCTATTGACAGAGCAGTTTTGAAACACTCTTTTTGTGGATTCTGCAAGTGGATATTTGGATTGCTTTGAGGATTTCGTTGGAAGCGGGAATTCGTATAACAACTAGACAGCAGCATTCCCAGAAATTTCTTTTGGATATTTCCATTCAACTCATAGAGATGAACATGGCCTTTCATATTGAAACACTCTTTTTGTAGTTTGTGGAAGTGGACATTTCAATCGCCTTGACGCCTACGGTGAAAAAGGAAATATCTTCCCATAAAAAATAGACAGAAGCATTCTCAGAAACTTGTTGGTGATATGTGTCCTCAACTAACAGAGTTGAACTTTGCCATTGATAGAGAGCAGTTTTGAAACACTCTTTTTGTGGAATCTGCAAGTGGATATTTGGATAGCTTGGAGGATTTCGTTGGAAGCGGGAATTCAAATTAAAGGTAGACAGCAGGATTCTGAGAAACAAGTTTGTGATGTGTGTACTCAGCTAACAGAGGGGAACCTCTCTTTTGATGCAGCAGTTTGGAAACACTCTTTTTGTAGAAACTGTAAGTGGATATTTGGATAGCTCTAATGATTTCGTTGGAAACGGGAATATCATCATCTAAAATCTAGACAGAAGCCCTCTCAGAAACTACTTTGTGATATCTGCATTCAAGTCACAGAGTTGAACATTCGGTTTCTTAGAGCACGTTTGAAACACTCTTTTTGTAGTGTCTGGAAGTGGACATTTGGAGCGCTTTGATGCCTTTGGTGAAAAAGGGAATGTCTTCCCATAAAAACTAGACAGAAGCATTCTCAGAAACTTGTTTGTGATGTGTGTACCCAGCCAAAGGAGTTGAACATTTCTATTGATAGAGCAGTTTTGAAACACTCTTGTTGTGGAAAATGCACGTGGATATTTGGATAGCTTGGAGGATTTCGTTGGAAGCGGGAATTCAAATAAAAGGTAGACAGCAGCATTCTCAGAAATTTCTTTCTGATGTCTGCATTCAACTCATAGAGTTGAAGATTCCCTTTCATAGAGCAGGTTTGAAACACTCTTTCTGGAGTATCTGGATGTGGACATTTGGAGCGCTTTGATGCCTACGGTGAAAAAGTAAATATCTTCCCATAAAAACGAGACAGAAGGATTCTCAGAAACAAGTTTGTGATGTGTGTACTCAGCTAACAGAGTGGAACCTTTCTTTTTACAGAGCAGCTTTGAAACTCTATTTTTGTGGATTCTGCAAATTGATATTTAGATTGCTTTAACGATATCGTTGGAAAAGGGAATATCGTCATAGAAAATCTAGACAGAAGCATTCTCACAAACTTCTTTGTGATGTGTGTCCTCAACTAACAGAGTTGAACCTTTCTTTTGATGCAGCAATTTGGAAACACCCTTTTGGTAGAAACTGTAACTGGATATTTGGATAGCTCTAGCGACTTCGTTGGAAACGGGAATATCATCATCTAAAATCTAGACAGAAGCACTATTAGAAACTACTTGGTGATATCTGCATTCAAGTCACAGAGTAGAACATTCCCTTACTTCGAGCACGTTTGAAACACTCTTTTGGAAGAATCTGGAAGTGGACATTTGGAGCGCTTTGATGCCTTTGGTGAAAAGGAAACGTCTTCCAATAAAAGCCAGACAGAAGCATTCTCAGCAAACTTGTTGGTGATGTGTGTACTCAACTAAAAGAGTTGAACCTTTCTATTGATAGAGCAGTTTTGAAACACTCTTTTTGTGGATTCTGCAAGTGGATATTTGGATTGCTTAGAGGATTTCGTTGGAAGCGGGAATTCGTATAAACACTAGACAGCAGCATTCCCAGAAATTTCTTTCGGATATTTCCATTCAACTCATAGAGATGAACATGGCCTTTCATAGAGCAGGTTTGAAACACTCTTTTTGTAGTTTGTGGAAGTGGACATTTCGATCGCCTTGACGCCTACGGTGAAAAAGGAAATATCTTCCCATAAACAATAGACAGAAGCATTCTCAGAAACTTGTTTGTGATGTGTGTACCCAGCCAAAGGAGTTGAACATTTCTATTGATAGAGCAGTTTTGAAACACTCTTGTTGTGGAAAATGCAGGTGGATATTTGGATAGCTTGGAGGATTTCGTTGGAAGCGGGAATTCTAATAAAAGGTAGACAGCAGCATTCTCAGAAATTACTTTCTGATGTGTGCATTCAACCCATAGAGTTGAAGAATCCCTTTCATAGAGCAGGTTTGAAACACTCTTTCTGTAGTATCTGGATGAGGACATTTGGAGCGCTTTGATACCTACGGTGAAAAAGTAAATATCTTCCCATAAAAACTAGACAGAAGGATTCTGAGAAACAAGTTTGTGATGTGTGTACTCAGCTAACAGAGTGGAACCTCTCTTTTGATGCAGCAGTTTGGAAACACTCTTTTTGTAGAAACTGTAAGTGGATATTTGGATAGCTCTAATGATTTCGTTGGAAACGGGAATATCATCATCTAAAATCTAGACAGAAAGCACTCTCAGAAACTACTGTGTGATATCTGCATTCAAGTCACAGAGTTGAACATTCGCTTTCTTAGAGCACGTTTGAAACACTCTTTTTGTAGTGTCTGGAAGTGGACATTTGGAGCGCTTTGATTCCTTTGGTGAAAAAGGGAATGTCTACCCATAAAAACTAGACAGAAGCATTCTCAGAAACTTGTTTGTGATGTGTGTACCCAGCCAAAGGAGTTGAACATTTCTATTGATAGAGCAGTTTTGAAACACTCTTTTTGTGGAAAATGCAGGTGGATATTTGGATAGCTTGGAGGATTTCGTTGGAAGCGGGAATTCAAATAAAAGGTAGACAGCAGCATTCTCAGAAATTTCTTTCTGATGTCTGCATTCAACTCATAGAGTTGAAGATTCCCTTTCATAGAGCAGGTTTGAAACACCCTTTCTGGAGTATCTGGATGTGGACATTTGGAGCGCTTTGATGCCTGCGGTGAAAAAGTAAATATCTTCCCATAAAAACGAGACAGAAGGATTCTCAGAAACAAGTTTGTGATGTGTGTACTCAGCTAAAAGAGTGGAACCTTTCTTTTTACAGAGCAGCTTTGAAAGTCTATTTTTGTGGATTCTGCAAATTGATATTTAGATTGCTTTAACGATATCGTTGGAAAAGGGAATATCGTCATACAAAATCTAGACAGAAGCATTCTCACAAACTTCTTTGTGATGTGTGTCCTCAACTAACAGAGTTGAACCTTTCTTTTGATGCAGCAATTTGGAAACACCCTTTTGGTAGAAACTGTAACTGGATATTTGGATAGCTCTAACGATTTCGTTGTAAACGGGAATATCATCATCTAAAATCTAGACAGAAGCACTATTAGAAACTACTTGGTGATATCTGCATTCAAGTCACAGAGTTGAACATTCCCTTACTTCGAGCACGTTTGAAACACTCTTTTGGAAGAATCTGGAAGTGGACATTTGGAGCGCTTTGATGCCTTTGTTGAAAAGGAAACGTCTTCCAATAAAAGCCAGACAGAAGCATTCTCAGAAACTTGTTCGTGATGTGTGTACTCAACTAAAAGAGTTGAACCTTTCTATTGATAGAGCAGTTTTGAAACACTCTTTTTGTGGATTCTGCAAGTGGATATTTGGATTGCTTTGAGGATTTCGTTGGAAGCGGGAATTCGTATAAACACTAGACAGCAGCATTCCCAGAAATTTCTTTCGGATATTTCCATTCAACTCATAGAGATGAACATGGCCTTTCATAGAGCAGGTTTGAAACACTCTTTATGTAGTTTGTGGAAGTGGACATTTCGATCGCCTTGACGCCTACGGTGAAAAAGGAAATATCTTCCCATAAAAAATAGACAGAAGCATTCTCAGAAACTTGTTGGTGATATGTGTCCTCAACTAACAGAGTTGAACTTTGCCATTGATAGAGAGCAGTTTTGAAACACTCTTTTTCCTGAATCTGCAAGTGGATATTTGGATAGTTGGGAGGATTTCGTTGGAAGCGGGAATTCAAATAAAAGGTAGACAGCAGCATTCTCAGAAATTTCTTTCTGATGTCTGCATTCAACTCATAGAGTTGAACATTCCCTTTCATAGGGCAGGTTTGAAATACTCTTTCTGTAGTATCTGGATGTGGACATTTGGAGCGCTTTGATGCCTACGGTGAAAAAGTAAATATCTTCCCATAAAAACGAGACAGAAGGATTCTGAGAAACAAGTTTGTGATGTGTGTACTCAGCTAACAGAGTGGAACCTCTCTTTTGATGCAGCAGTTTGGAAACACTCTTTTTGTAGAAACTGTAAGTGGATATTTGGATAGCTCTAATGATTTCGTTGGAAACGGGAATATCATCATCTAAAATCTAGACAGAAGCCCTCTCAGAAACTACTTTGTGATATCTGCATTCAAGTCACAGAGTTGAACATTCGCTTTCTTAGAGCACGTTGGAAACACTCTTTTTGTAGTGTCTGGAAGTGGACATTTGGAGCGCTTTGATGCCTTTGGTGAAAAAGGGAACGTCTTCCCATAAAAACTAGACAGAAGCATTCTCAGAAACTTGTTTGTGATGTGTGTACCCAGCTAAAGGAGTTGAACATTTCTATTGATACAGCAGTTTTGAAACACTCTTTTTGTGGAAAATGCAAGTGGATATTTGGATAGCTTGGAGGATTTCGTTGGAAGAGGGAATTCAAATAAAAGGTAGACAGCAGCATTCTCAGAAATTTCTTTCTGATGTCTGCATTCAAATCATAGAGTTGAAGATTCCCTTTCATAGAGCAGGTTTGAAACACTCTTTCTGGAGTATCTGGATGTGGACATTTGGAGCGCTTTGATGCCTACGGTGGAAAAGTAAATATCTTCCCATAAAAACGAGACAGAAGGATTCTCAGAAACAAGTTTGTGATGTGTGTACTCAGCTAACAGAGTGGAACCTTTCTTTTTACAGAGCAGCTTTGAAACTCTATTTTTGTGGATTCTGCAAATTGGTATTTAGATTGCTTTAACGATATCGTTGGAAAAGGGAATATCGTCATGCAAAATCTAGACAGAAGCATTCTCACAAACTTCTTTGTGATGTGTGCCCTCAACTAACAGAGTTGAACCTTTCTTTTGATGCAGCAATTTGGAAACACCCTTTTGGTAGAAACTGTAACTGGATATTTGGATAGCTCTAACGATTTCGTTGGAAACGGGAATATCATCATCTAAAATGTAGACAGAAGCACTATTAGAAACTACTTGGTGATATCTGCATTCAAGTCACAGAGTTGAACATTCCCTTACTTCGAGCACGTTTGAAACACTCTTTTGGAAGAATCTGGAAGTGGACATTTGGAGCGCTTTGATGCCTTTGGTGAAAAGGAAACGTCTTCCAATAAAAGCCAGACAGAAGCATTCTCAGAAACTTGTTTGTGATGTGTGTACTCAACTAAAAGAGTTGAACCTTTCTATTGATAGAGCAGTTTTGAAACACTCTTTTTGTGGATTCTGCAAGTGGATATTTGGATTGCTTTGAGGATTTCGTTGGAAGCGGGAATTCGTATAAAAACTAGACAGCAGCATTCCCAGAAATTTCTTTCGGATATTTCCATTCGACTCATAGAGATGAACATGGCCTTTCATAGAGCAGGTTTGAAACACTCTTTTTGTAGTTTGTGGAAGTGGACATTTCGATCGCCTTGACGCCTACGGTGAAAAAGGAAATATCTTCCCATAAAAAATAGACAGAAGCATTCTCAGAAACTAGTTTGTGATGTGTGTACCCAGCCAAAGGAGTTGAACATTTCTATTGATAGAGCAGTTTTGAAACACTCTTGTTGTGGAAAATGCAGGTGGATATTTGGATAGCTTGGAGGATTTCGTTGGAAGCGGGAATTCAAATAAAAGGTAGACAGCAGCATTCTCAGAAATTTCTTTCTGATGTCTGCATTCAACTCATAGAGTTGAAGATTCCCTTTCATAGAGCAGGTTTGAAACACTCTTTCTGGAGTATCTGGATGTGGACATTTGGAGCGCTTTGATGCCTACGGTGAAAAAGTAAATATCTTCCCATAAAAACGAGACATAAGGATTCTGAGAAACAAGTTTGTGATGTGTGTACTCAGCTAACAGAGTGGAACCTCTCTTTTGATGCAGCAGTTTGGAAACACTCTTTTTGTAGAAACTGTAAGTGGATATTTGGATAGCTCTAATGATTTCGTTGGAAACGGGAATATCATCATCTAAAATCTAGACAGAAGCCCTCTCAGAAACTACTTTGTGATATCTGCATTCAAGTCACAGAGTTGAACATTCGCTTTCTTAGAGCACGTTTGAAACACTCTTTTTCTAGTGTCTGGAAGTGGACATTTGGAGCGCTTTGATGCCTTTGGTGAAAAAGGGAATGTCTTCCCATAAAAACTAGACAGAAGCATTCTCAGAAACTTGTTTGTGATGTGTGTACCCAGCTAAAGGAGTTGAACATTTCTATTGATAGAGCAGTTTTGAAACACTCTTTTTGTGGAAAATGCAAGTGGATATTTGGATAGCTTGGAGGATTTCGTTGGAAGCGGGAATTCAAATAAAAGGTAGACAGCAGGATTCTCAGAAACAAGTTTGTGATGTGTGTACTCAGCTAACAGAGTGGAACCTTTCTTTTTACAGAGCAGCTTTGAAACTCTAGTTTTGTGGATTCTGCTAATTGATATTTAGATTGCTTTAACGATATCGTTGGAAAAGGGAATATCCTCATACAAAATCTAGACAGAAGCATTCTCACAAACTTCTTTGTGATGTGTGTCCTCAACTAACAGAGTTGAACCTTTCTTTTGATGCAGCAATTTGGAAACACCCTTTTGGTAGAAACTGTAACTGGATATTTGGATAGCTCTAACGATTTCGTTGGAAACGGGAATATCATCATCTAAAATGTAGACAGAAGCAGTATTAGAAACTACTTGGTGATATCTGCATTCAAGTCACAGAGTTGAACATTCCCTTACTTTGAGCACGTTTGAAACACTCTTTTGGAAGAATCTGGAAGTGGACATTTGGAGCGCTTTGATGCCTTTGGTGAAAAGGAAACGTCTTCCAATAAAAGCCAGACAGAAGCATTCTGAGAAACTTGTTCGTGATGTGTGTACTCAACAAAAAGAGTTGAACCTTTCTATTGATAGAGCAGTTTTGAAACACTCTTTTTGTGGATTCTGCAAGTGGATATTTGGATTGCTTTGAGGATTTCGTTGGAAGCGGGAATTCGTATAAACACTAGACAGCAGCATTCCCAGAAATTTCTTTCGGATATTTCCATTCAACTCATAGAGATGAACATGGCCTTTCATAGAGCAGGTTTGAAACACTCTTTTTGTAGTTTGTGGAAGTGGACATTTCGATCGCCTTGACGCCTACGGTGAAAAAGGAAATATCTTCCCATAAAAAATAGACAGAAGCATTCTCAGAAACTTGTTGGTGATATGTGTCCTCAACTAACAGAGTTGAACTTTGCCATTGATAGAGAGCAGTTTTGAAACACTCTTTTTGTGGAATCTGTAAGTGGATATTTGGATAGCTTGGAGGATTTCGTTGGAAGCGGGAATTCAAATAAAAGGTAGACAGCAGCATTCTCAGAAATTTCTTTGTGACGTTTGCATTCAACTCATAGAGTTGAAGATTCCCTTTCATAGAGCAGGTTTGAAACACTCTTTCTGTACTATCTGGATGTGGACATTTGGAACGCTTTGATGCCTACGGTGAAAAAGAAAATATCTTCCCATAAAAGCTAGACAGAAGGATTCTGAGAAACAAGTTTGTGATGTGTGTACTCAGCTAACAGAGTGGAACCTCTCTTTTGATGCAGCAGTTTGGAAACGCTCTTTTTGTAGAAACTGTAAGTGGATATTTGGATAGTTCTAATGATTTCGTTGGAAACGGGAATATCATCATCTAAAATCTAGACAGAAGCCCTCTCAGAAACTACTTTGTGATATCTGCATTCAACTCACAGAGTTGAACATTCGGTTTCTTAGAGCACGTTTGAAACACTCTTTTCGTAGTGTCTGGAAGTGGACATTTGGAGCGCTTTGATGCCTTCGGTGAAAAAGGGAATGTCTTCCCATAAAAACTAGACAGAAGCATTCTCAGAAACTTGTTTGTGATGTGTGTACCCAGCCAAAGGAGTTGAACATTTCTATTGATAGAGCAGTTTTGAAACACTCTTTTTGTGGAAAATGCAGGTGGATATTTGGACAGCTTGGAGGATTTCGTTGGAAGCGGGAATTCAAATAAAAGGTAGACAGCAGCATTCTCAGAAATTTCTTTCTGATGTCTGCATTCAACTCATAGAGTTGAAGATTCCCTTTCATAGAGCAGGTTTGAAACACTCTTTCTGGAGTATCTCGATGTGGACATTTGGAGCGCTTTGATGCCTACGGTGAAAAAGTAAATATCTTCCCATAAAAACGAGACAGAAGGATTCTCAGAAACAAGTTTGTGATGTGTGTACTCAGCTAACTGAGTGGAACCTTTCTTTTTACAGAGCAGCTTTGAAACTCTATTTTTGTGGATTCTGCAAATTGATATTTAGATTGCTTTAACGATATCGTTGGAAAAGGGAATATCGTCATACAAAATCTGGACAGAAGCATTCTCACAAACTTCTTTGTGATGTGTGTCCTCAACTAACAGAGTTGAACCTTTCTTTTTATGCAGCAATTTGGAAACACCCTTTTGGTAGAAACTGTAACTGGATATTTGGATAGCTCTAACGATTTCGTTGGAAACGGGAATATCATCATCTAAAATCTAGACAGAAGCACTATTAGAAACTACTTGGTGATATCTGCATTCAAGTCACAGAGTAGAACATTCCCTTACTTCGAGCACGTTTGAAACACTCTTTTGGAAGAATCTGGAAGTGGACATTTGGAGCGCTTTGATGCCTTTGGTGAAAAGGAAACGTCTTCCAATAAAAGCCAGACAGAAGCATTCTGAGAAACTTGTTGGTGATGTGTGTACTCAACTAAAAGAGTTGAACCTTTCTATTGATAGAGCAGTTTTGAAACACTCTTTTTGTGGATTCTGCAAGTGGATATTTGGATTGCTTTGAGGATTTCGTTGGAAGCGGGAATTCGTATAAACACTAGACAGCAGCATTCCCAGAAATTTCTTTCGGATATTTCCATTCAACTCATAGAGATGAACATGGCCTTTCATAGAGCAGGTTTGAAACACTCTTTTTGTAGTTTGTGGAAGTGGACATTTCGATCGCCTTGACGCCTACGGTGAAAAAGGAAATATCTTCCCATAAAAAATAGACAGAAGCATTCTCAGAAACTTGTTGGTGATATGTGTCCTCAACTAACAGAGTTGAACTTTGCCATTGATAGAGAGCAGTTTTGAAACACTCTTTTTGTGGAATCTGCAAGTGGATATTTGGATAGCTTGGAGGATTTAGTTGGAAGCGGGAATTCAAATAAAAGGTAGACAGCAGGATTCTGAGAAACTAGTTTGTGATGTGTGTACTCAGCTAACAGAGTGGAACCTCTGTTTTGATGCAGCAGTTTGGAAACACTCTTTTTGTAGAAACTGTAAGTGGATATTTGGATAGCTCTAATGATTTCTTTGGAAACGGGAATATCATCATCTAAAATCTAGACAGAAGCCCTCTCAAAAACTACTTTGTGATATCTGCATTCAAGTCACAGAGTTGAACATTCGCTTTCTTAGAGCACGTTTGAAACACTCTTTTTGTAGTGTCTGGAAGTGGACATTTGGAGCGCTTTGATGCCTTTGGTGAAAAAGGGAATGTCTTCCCATAAAAACTAGACAGAAGCATTCTCAGAAACTTGTTTGTGATGTGTGTACCCAGCTAAAGGAGTTGAACATTTCCATTGATAGAGCAGTTTTGAAACACTCTTTTTGTGGAAAATGCAAGTGGATATTTGGATAGCTTGGAGGATTTCGTTGGAAGCGGGAATTCAAATAAAAGGAAAACGCCAGGATTCTCAGAAACAAGTTTGTGATGTGTGCACTCAGCTAACAGAGTGGAACCTTTCTTTTTACAGAGCAGCTTTGAAACTCTATTTTTGTGGATTCTGCAAATGGATATTTAGATTGCTTTAACGATATCGTTGGAAAAGGGAATATCGTCATACAAAATCTAGACAGAAGCTTTCTCAGAAACTTCTTTGTGATGTGTGTCCTCAACTAACAGAGTTGAACCTTTCTTTTGATGCAGCAGTTTGGAAACACTCTTTTTGTAGAAACTGTAAGTGGATATTTGGATAGGTCTAACGATTTCGTTGGAAACGGGAATATCATCATCTAAAATCTAGACAGAAGCACTATTAGAAACTACTTGGTGATATCTGCATTCAAGTCACAGAGTTGAACATTCCCTTACTTTGAGCACGTTTCAAACACTCTTTTGGAAGAATCTGGAAGTGGACATTTGGAGCGCTTTGATGCCTTTGGTGAAAAGGAAACGTCTTCCAATAAAAGCCAGACAGAAGCATTCTCAGAAACTTGTTTGTGATGTGTGTACTCAACTAAAAGAGTTGAACCTTTCTATTGATAGAGCAGTTTTGAAACACTCTTTTTGTGGATTCTGTAAGTGGATATTTGGATTGCTTTGAGGATTTCGTTGGAAGCGGGAATTCGTATAAAAACTAGACAGCAGCATTCCCAGAAATTTCTTTCGGATATTTCCATTCAACTCATAGAGATGAACATGGCCTTTCATAGAGCAGGTTTGAAACACTCTTTTTGTAGTTTGTGGAAGTGGACATTTCGATCGCCTTGACGCCTACGGTGAAAAAGGAAATATCTTCCCATAAAAAATAGACAGAAGCATTCTCAGAAACTTGTTGGTGATATGTGTCCTCAACTAACAGAGTTGAACTTTGCCATTGATAGAGAGCAGTTTTGAAACACTCTTTTTCCTGAATCTGCAAGTGGATATTTGTATAGCTTGGAGGATTTCGTTGGAAGCGGGAATTCAAATAAATGGTAGACAGCAGCATTCTCAGAAGTTTCTTTCTGATGTCTGCATTCAACTCATAGAGTTGAACATTCCCTTTCATAGAGCAGGTTTGAAACACTCTTTCTGGAGTATCTGGATGTGGACATTTGGAGCGCTTTGATGCCTACGGTGAAAAAGTAAATATCTTCCCATAAAAACGAGACAGAAGGATTCTGAGAAACAAGTTTGTGATGTGTGTACTCAGCTAACAGAGTGGAACCTCTCTTTTGATGCAGCAGTTTGGAAACACTCTTTTTGTAGAAACTGTAAGTGGATATTTGGATAGCTCTAATGATTTCGTTGGAAACGGGAATATCATCATCTAAAATCTAGACAGAAGCCCTCTCAGAAACTACTTTGTGATATCTGCATTCAAGTCACAGAGTTGAACATTCGGTTTCTTAGAGCACGTTGGAAACACTCTTTTTGTAGTGTCTGGAAGTGGACATTTGGAGCGCTTTGATGCCTTTGGTGAAAAAGGGAATGTCTTCCCATAAAAACTAGACAGAAGCATTCTCAGAAACTTGTTTGTGATGTGTGTACCCAGCCAAAGGAGTTGAACATTTCTATTGATAGAGCAGTTTTGAAACACTCTTTTTGTGGAAAATGCAAGTGGATATTTGGATAGCTTGGAGGATTTCGTTGGAAGCGGGAATTCAAATAAAAGGTAGACAGCAGCATTCTCAGAAATTTCTTTCTGATGTCTGCATTCAACTCATAGAGTTGAAGATTCCCTTTCATAGAGCAGGTTTGAAACACTCGTTCTGGAGTATCTGGATGTGGACATTTGGAGTGCTTTGATGCCTACGGTGGAAAAGTAAATATCTTCCCATAAAAACGAGACAGAAGGATTCTGAGAAACAAGTTTGTGATGTGTGTACTCAGCTAACAGAGTGGAACCTTTCTTTTTACAGAGCAGCTTTGAAACTCTATTTTTGTGGATTCTGCAAATTGATATTTAGATTGCTTTAACGATATCGTTGGAAAAGGGAATATGGTCATACAAAATCTAGACAGAAGCATTCTCACAAACTTCTTTGTGATGTGTGTCCTCAACTAACAGAGTTGAACCTTTCTTTTGATGCAGCAGTTTGGAAACACTGTTTTTGTAGCAACTGTAAGTGGATATTTGGATAGCTCTAACGATTTCGTTGGAAACGGGAATATCATCATCTAAAATCTAGACAGAAGCACTATTAGAAACTACTTGGTGATATCTGCATTCAAGTCACAGAGATGAACATTCCCTTACTTCGAGCACGTTTGAAACACTCTTTTGGAAGAATCTGGAAGTGGACATTTGGAGCGCTTTGATGCCTTTGGTGAAAAGGAAACGTCTTCCAATAAAAGCCAGACAGAAGCATTCTCAGAAACTTGTTCGTGATGTGTGTACTCAACTAAAAGAGTTGAACCTTTCTATTGATAGAGCAGTTTTGAAACACTCTTTTTGTGGATTCTGCAAGTGGATATTTGGATTGCTTTGAGGATTTCGTTGGAAGCGGGAATTCGTATAAACACTAGACAGCAGCATTCCCAGAAATTTCTTTCGGATATTTCCATTCGACTCATAGAGATGAACATGGCCTTTCATAGAGCAGGTTTGAAACACTCTTTTTGTAGTTTGTGGAAGTGGACATTTCAGATCGCCTTGACGCCTACGGTGAAAAAGGAAATATCTTCCCATAAAAAATAGACAGAAGCATTCTCAGAAACTTGTTGGTGATATGTGTCCTCAACTAACAGAGTTGAACTTTGCCATTGATAGAGACCAGTTTTGAAACACTCTTTTTGTGGAATCTGCAAGTGGATATTTGGATAGCTTGGAGGATTTCGTTGGAAGCGGGAATTCAAATAAAAGGTAGACAGCAGCATTCTCAGAAATTTCTTTCTGATGTCTGCATTCAACTCATAGAGTTGAACATTCCCTTTCATAGAGCAGGTTTGAAACACTCTTTCTGGAGTATCTGGATGTGGACATTTGGAGCGCTTTGATGCCTACGGTGAAAAAGTAAATATCTTCCCATAAAAACGAGACAGAAGGATTCTGAGAAACAAGTTTGTGATGTGTGTACTCAACTAACAGAGTGGAACCTCTCTTTTGATGCAGCAGTTTGGAAACACTCTTTTTGTAGAAACTGTAAGTGGATATTTGGATAGCTGTAATGATTTCGTTGGAAACGGGAATATCATCATCTAAAATCTAGACAGAAAGCCCTCTCAGAAACTACTTTGTGATATCTGCATTCAAGTCACAGAGTTGAACATTCGCTTTCTTAGAGCACGTTTGAAACACTCTTTTTGTAGTGTCTGGAAGTGGACATTTGGAGCGCTTTGATGCCTTTGGTGAAAAAGGGAATGTCTTCCCATAAAAACTAGACAGAAGCATTCTCAGAAACTTGTTTGTGATGTGTGCACCCAGCCAAAGGAGTTGAACATTTATTGATAGAGCAGTTTTGAAGCACTCTTTTTGTGGAAAATGCAAGTGGATATTTGGATAGCTTGGAGGATTTCGTTGGAAGCGGGAGTTCAAATAAAAGGTAGACAGCAGCATTCTCAGAAATTTCTTTCTGATGTCTGCATTCAACTCATAGAGTTGAAGATTCCCTTTCATAGAGCAGGTTTGAAACACTCTTTCTGGAGTATCTGGATGTGGACATTTGGAGCGCTTTGATGCCTACAGTGAAAAAGTAAATATCTTCCCAGAAAAACGAGACAGAAGGATTCTCAGAAACAAGTTTGTGATGTGTGTACTCAGCTAACAGAGTGGAACCTTTCTTTTTACAGAGCAGCTTTGAAACTCTATTTTTGTGGATTCTGCAAATGGATATTTAGATTGCTTTAATGATATCGTTGGAAAAGGGAATATCGTCATACAAAATCTGGACAGAAGCATTCTCACAAACTTCTTTGTGATGTGTGTCCTCAGCTAACAGAGTGGAACCTCTCTTTTGATGCAGCAGTTTGGAAACACTCTTTTTGTAGAAACTGTAAGTGGATATTTGGATAGCTCTAATGATTTCGTTGGAAACGGGAATATCATCATCTAAAATCTAGACAGAAGCACTATTAGAAACTACTTGGTGATATCTGCATTCAAGTCACAGAGTAGAACATTCCCTTACTTCGAGCACGTTTGAAACACTCTTTTGGAAGAATCTGGAAGTGGACATTTGGAGCGCTTTGATGCCTTTGGTGAAAAGGAAACGTCTTCCAATAAAAGCCAGACAGAAGCATTCTCAGAAACTTCTTCGTGATGTGTGTACTCAACTAAAAGAGTTGAACCTTTCTATTGATAGCGCAGTTTTGAAACACTCTTTTTGTGGATTCTGCAAGTGGATATTTGGATTGCTTTGAGGATTTCGTTGGAAGCGGGAATTCATATAAAAACTAGACAGCAGCATTCCCAGAAATTTCTTTCGGATATTTCCATTCAACTCATTGAGATGAACATCGCCTTTCATAGAGCAGGTTTGAAACACTCTTTTTGTAGTTTGTGGAAGTGGACATTTCGATCGCCTTGATGCCTACAGTGAAAAAGGAAATATCTTCCCATAAAAAATAGACAGAAGCATTCTCAGAAACTTGTTGGTGATATGTGTCCTCAACTAACAGAGTTGAACTTTGCCATTGATAGAGAGCAGTTTTGAAACACTCTTTTTGTGGAATCTGCAAGTGGATATTTGGATAGCTTGGAGGATTTCGTTGGAAGCGGGAATTCAAATAAAAGGTAGACAGCAGGATTCTGAGAAACAAGTTTGTGATGTGTGTACTCAGCTAACAGAGTGGAACCTCTCTTTTGATGCAGCAGTTTGGAAACACTCTTTTTGTAGAAACTGTAAGTGGATATTTGGATAGCTCTAATGATTTCGTTGGAAACGGGAATATCATCATCTAAAATCTAGACAGAAGCCCTCTCAGAAACTACTTTGTGATATCTGCATTCAAGTCACAGAGTTGAACATTCGCTTTCTTAGAGTACGTTGGAAACACTCTTTTTGTAGTGTCTGGAAGTGGACATTTGGAGCGCTTTGATGCCTTTGGTGAAAAAGGGAATGTCTTCCCATAAAAACTAGACAGAAGCATTCTCAGAAACTTGTTTGTGATGTGTGTACCCAGCCAAAGGAGTTGAACATTTCTATTGATAGAGCAGTTTTGAAACACTCTTTTTGTGGAAAATGCAGGTGGATATTTGGATAGCTTGGAGGATTTCCGTTGGAAGCGGGAATTCAAATAAAAGGTAGACAGCGGATTCTGAGAAACAAGTTTGTGATGTGTGTACTCAGCTAACAGAGTGGAACCTTTCTTTTTACAGAGCAGCTTTGAAACTCTATTTTTGTGGATTCTGCAAATGGATATTTAGATTGCTTTAACGATATCGTTGGAAAAGGGAATATCGTCATACAAAATCTAGACAGAAGCATTCTCACAAACTTCTTTGTGATGTGTGTCCTCAACTAACAGAGTTGAACCTTTCTTTTGATGCAGCAGTTTGGAAACACTCTTTTTGTAGAAACTGTAAGTGGATATTTGGATAGCTCTAACGATTTCGTTGGAAACGGGCATATCATCATCTAAAATCTAGACAGAAGCACTATTAGAAACTACTTGGTGATATCTGCATTCAAGTCACAGAGTTGAACATTCCCTTACTTTGAGCACGTTTGAAACACTCTTTTGGAAGAATCTGGAAGTGGACATTTGGAGCACTGTGATGCCTTTGGTGAAAAGGAAACGTCTTCCAATAAAAGCCAGACAGAAGCATTCTCAGAAACTTGTTCGTGATGTGTGTACTCAACTAAAAGAGTTGAACCTTTCTATTGATAGAGCAGTTTTGAAACACTCTTTTTGTGGATTCTGCAAGTGGATATTTGGATTGCTTTGAGGATTTCGTTGGAAGCGGGAATTCGTATAAACACTAGACAGCAGCATTCCCAGAAATTTCTTTCGGATATTTCCATTCAACTCATAGAGATGAACATGGCCTTTCATAGAGCAGGTTTGAAACACTCTTTTTGTAGTTTGTGGAAGTGGACATTTCGATCGCCTTGACGCCTACGCTGAAAAAGGAAATATCTTCCCATACAAAATAGACAGAAGCATTCTCAGAAACTTGTTGGTGATATGTGTCCTCAACTAACAGAGTTGAACTTTGCCATTGATAGAGAGCAGTTTTGAAACACTCTTTTTGTGGAATCTGCAAGTGGATATTTGGATAGCTTGGCAGGATTTCGTTGGAAGCGGGAATTCAAATAAAAGGTAGACAGCAGCATTCTCAGAAATTACTTTCTGATGTCTGCATTCAACTCGTAGAGTTGAGGATTCCCTTTCATAGAGCAGGTTTGAAACACTCTTTCTGTAGTATCTGGATGTGGACATTTGGAGCGCTTTGATACCTACAGTGAAAAAGTAAATATCTTCCCATAAAAACTAGACAGAAGGATTCTCAGAAACAAGTTTGTGATGTGTGTACTCAGCTAACAGAGTGGATCCTTTCTTTTTACAGAGCAGCTTTGAAACTCTATTTCTGTGGATTCTGCAAATTGATATTTGGGTTGATTTAACGACATCGTTGGAAAAGGGAATATCTTCATACAAAATCTAGACAGAAGCCCTCTCAGAAACTACTTTGTGATATCTGCACTCAAGTCACAGAGTTGAACATTCGCTTTCTTAGAGCACGTTGGAAACACTCTTTTTGTAGTGTCTGGAAGTGGACATTTGGAGCGCTTTGATGCCTTTGGTGAAAAAGGGAATGTCTTCCCATAAAAACTAGACAGAAAGCATTCTCAGAAACTTGTTTGTGATGTGTGTACCCAGCTAAAGGAGTTGAACATTTCTATTGATAGAGCAGTTTTGAAACACTCTTTTTGTGGAAAATGCAAGTGGATATTTGGATAGCTTGGAGGATTTCGTTGGAAGCGGGAATTCAAATAAAAGGTAGACAGAGCATTCTCAGAAATTTCTTTCTGATGTCTGCATTCAACTCATAGAGTTGAAGATTCCCTTTCATAGAGCAGGTTTGAAACACTCTTTCTGGAGTATCTGGATGTGGACATTTGGAGCACTTTGATGCCTACGGTGAAAAAGTAAATATCTTCCCATAAAAACGAGACAGAAGGATTCTCAGAAACAAGTTTGTGATGTGTGTACTCAGCTAACAGAGTGGAACCTTTCTTTTTACAGAGCAGCTTTGAAACTCTATTTTTGTGGATTCTGCAAATGGATATTTAGATTGCTTTAATGATATCGCTGGAAAAGGGAATATGGTCATACAAAATCTAGACAGAAGCATTCTCACAAACTTCTTTGTGATGTGTGTCCTCAACTAACAGAGTTGAACCTTTCTTTTGATGCAGCAATTTGGAAACACCCTTTTGGTAGAAACTGTAACTGGATATTTGGATAGCTCTAACGATTTCGTTGGAAACGGGAATATCATCATCTAAAATCTAGACAGAAGCACTATTAGAAACTACTTGGTGATATCTGCATTCAAGACACAGAGTTGAACATTCCCTTACTTTGAGCACGTTTGAAACACTCTTTTGGAAGAATCTGGAAGTGGACATTTGGAGCGCTTTGATGCCTTTGGTGAAAAGGAAACGTCTTCCAATAAAAGACAGACAGAAGCATTCTCAGAAACTTGTTTGTGATGTGTGTACTCAACTAAAAGAGTTGAACCTTTCTATTGATAGAGCAGTTTTGAAACACTCTTTTTGTGGATTCTGCAAGTGGATATTTGGATTGCTTTGAGGATTTCGTTGGAAGCGGGAATTCGTATAAAAACTAGACAGCAGCATTCCCAGAAATTTCTTTCGGATATTTCCATTTGACTCATAGAGATGAACATGGCCTTTCATAGAGCAGGTTTGAAACACTCTTTTTGTAGTTTGTGGAAGTGGACATTTCGATCGCCTTGACGCCTACGGTGAAAAAGGAAATATCTTCCCATAAAAAATAGACAGAAGCATTCTCAGAAACTTGTTGGTGATATGTGTCCTCAACTAACAGAGTTGAACTTTGCCATTGATAGAGAGCAGTTTTGAAACACTCTTTTTGTGGAATCTGCAAGTGGATATTTGGATAGCTTGGAGGATTTCGTTGGAAGCGGGAATTCAAATAAAAGGTAGACAGCAGCATTCTCAGAAATTTCTTTCTGATGTCTGCATTCAACTCATAGAGTTGAAGATTCCCTTTCATAGAGCAGGTTTGAAACACTCTTTCTGGAGTATCTGGATGTGGACATTTGGAGAGCTTTGATGCCTACTGTGAAAAAGTAAATATCTTCCCATAAAAACGAGACAGAAGGATTCTGAGAAACAAGTTTGTGATGTGTGTACTCAGCTAACAGAGTGGAACCTCTCTTTTGATGCAGCAGTTTGGAAACACTCTTTTTGTAGAAACTGTAAGTGGATATTTGGATAGCTCTAATGATTTCGTTGGAAACGGGAATATCATCATCTAAAATCTAGACAGAAGCACTCTCAGAAACTACTTTGTGATATCTGCATTCAAGTCACAGAGTTGAACATTCCCTTTCTTAGAGCACGTTTGAAACACTCTTTTTGTAGTGTCTGGAAGTGGACATTTGGAGCGCTTTGATTCCTTTGGTGAAAAAGGGAATGTCTACCCATAAAAACTAGACAGAAGCATTCTCAGAAACTTGTTGGTGATATGTGTCCTCAACTAACAGAGTTGAACTTTGCCATTGATAGAGAGCAGTTTTGAAACACTCTTTTTGTGGAATCTGCAAGTGGATATTTGGATAGCTTGGAGGATTTCGTTGTAAGCGGGAATTCAAATAAAAGGTAGACAGCAGCATTCTCAGAAATTTCTTTCTGATGTCTGCATTCAACTCATAGAGTTGAAGATTCCCTTTCATAGAGCAGGTTTGAAACACCCTTTCTGGAGTATCTGGATGTGGACATTTGGAGCGCTTTGATGCCTACGGTGAAAAAGTAAATATCTTCCCATAAAAACGAGACAGAAGGATTCTCAGAAACAAGTTTGTGATGTGTGTACTCAGCTAACAGAGTGGAACCTTTCTTTTTACAGAGCAGCTTTGAAACTCTATTTTTGTGGATTCTGCAAATGGATATTTAGATTGCTTTAACGATATCGTTGGAAAAGGGAATATCGTCATACAAAATCTAGACAGAAGCATTCTCACAAACTTCTTTGTGATGTGTGTCCTCAACTAACAGAGTTGAACCTTTCTTTTGATGCAGCAGTTTGGAAACACTCTTTTTGTAGAAACTGTAAGTGGATATTTGGATAGCTCTAACGATTTCGTTGGAAACGGGAATATCATCATCTAAAATCTAGACATAAGCACTATTAGAAACTACTTGGTGATATCTGCATTCAAGTCACAGAGTTGAACATTCCCTTACTTCGACCACGTTTGAAACACTCTTTTGGAAGAATCTGGAAGTGGACATTTGGAGCGCTTTGATGCCTTTGGTGAAAAGGAAACGTCTTCCAATAAAAGCCAGAGAGAAGCATTCTCAGAAACTTGGTCGTGATGTGTGTACTCAACTAAAAGAGTTGAACCTTTCTATTGATAGAGCAGTTTTGAAACACTCTTTTTGTGGATTCTGCAAGTGGATATTTGGATTGCTTTGAGGATTTCGTTGCAAGCGGGAATTCGTATAAACACTAGACAGCAGCATTCCCAGAAATTTCTTTCGGATATTTCCATTCGACTCATAGAGATGAACATGGCCTTTCATAGAGCAGGTTTGAAACACTCTTTTTGTAGTTTGTGGAAGTGGACATTTCGATTGCCTTGACGCCTACGGTGAAAAAGGAAATATCTTCCCATAAAAAATAGACAGAAGCATTCTCAGAAACTTGTTGGTGATATGTGTCCTCAACTAACAGAGTTGAACTTTGCCATTGATAGAGAGCAGTTTTGAAACACTCTTTTTGTGGAATCTGCAAGTGGATATTTGGATAGCTTGGAGGATTTCGTTGGAAGCGGGAATTCAAATAAAAGGTAGACAGCAGCATTCTCAGAAATTTCTTTCTGATGTCTGCATTCAACTCATAGAGTTGAAGATTCCCTTTCATAGAGCAGGTTTGAAACACTCGTTCTGGAGTATCTGGATGTGGACATTTGGAGCGCTTTGATGCCTACGGTGAAAAAGTAAATATCTTCCCATAAAAACGAGACAGAAGGATTCTGAGAAACAAGTTTGTGATGTGTGTACTCAGCTAACAGAGTGGAACCTCTCTTTTGATGCAGCAGTTTGGAAACACTCTTTTTGTAGAAACTGTAAGTGGATATTTGGATAGCTCTAATGATTTCGTTGGAAACGGGAATATCATCATCTAAAATCTAGACAGAAGGACTCTCAAGAAACTACTTTTTGATATCTGCATTCAAGTCACAGAGTTGAACATTCGCTTTCTTAGAGCACTTTTGAAACACTCTATTTGTCGTATCTGGAAGTGGACATTTGGAGCTCTTTGATGCCTTTGGTGAAAAAGGAAATGTCTTCCCATAAAAACTAGACAGAAGCATTCTCAGAAACTTGTTTGTGATGTGTGCACCCAGCTAAAGGAGTTGAACATTTATTGATAGAGCAGTTTTGAAGCACTCTTTTTGTGGAAAATGCAAGTGGATATTTGGATAGCTTGGAGGATTTCGTTGGAAGCGGGAGTTCAAATAAAAGGTAGACAGCAGCATTCTCAGAAATTTCTTTCTGATGTCTGCATTCAACTCATAGAGTTGAAGATTCCCTTTCATAGAGTAGGTTTGAAACACTCGTTCCGGAGTATCTGGATGTGGACATTTGGAGCGCTTTGATGCCTACGGTGGAAAAGTAAATATCTTCCCATAAAAACGAGACAGAAGGATTCTGAGTAAACAAGTTTGTGATGTGTGTACTCAGCTAACAGAGTGGAACCTTTCTTTTTACAGAGCAGCTTTGAAACTCTATTTTTGTGGATTCTGCAAATGGATATTTAGATTGCTTTAATGATATCGCTGGAAAAGGGAATATGGTCATACAAAATCTAGACAGAAGCATTCTCACAAACTTCTTTGTGATGTGTGTCCTCAACTAACAGAGTTGAACCTTTCTTTTGATGCAGCAGTTTGGAAACACTCTTTTTGTAGAAACTGTAACTGGATATTTGGATAGCTCTAACGATTTCGTTGGAAACGGGAATATCATCATCTAAAATCTAGACAGAAGCACTATTAGAAACTACTTGGTGATATCTGCATTCAAGTCACAGAGTTGAACATTCCCTTACTTTGAGCACGTTTGAAACACTCTTTTGGAAGAATCTGGAAGTGGACATTTGGAGCGCTTTGATGCCTTTGGTGAAAAGGAAACGTCTTCCAATAAAAGCCAGACAGAAGCATTCTCAGAAACTTGTTTGTGATGTGTGTACTCAACTAAAAGAGTTGAACCTTTCCATTGATAGAGCAGTTTTGAAACACTCTTTTTGTGGATTCTGCAAGTGGATATTTGGATTGCTTTGAGGATTTCGTTGGAAGCGGGAATTCGTATAAAAACTAGACAGCAGCATTCCCAGAAATTTCTTTCAGATATTTCCATTCAACTCATAGAGATGAACATGGCCTTTCATAGAGCAGGTTTGAAACACTCTTTTTGTAGTTTGTGGAAGTGGACATTTCGATCGCCTTGACGCCTACGGTGAAAAAGGAAATATCTTCCCATAAAAAATAGACAGAAGCATTCTCAGAAACTTGTTGGTGATATGTGTCCTCAACTAACAGAGTTGAACTTTGCCATTGATAGAGAGCAGTTTTGAAACACTCTTTTTGTGGAATCTGCAAGTGGATATTTGGATAGCTTGGAGGATTTCGTTGGAAGCGGGAATTCAAATAAAAGGTAGACAGCAGCATTCTCAGAAATTTCTTTCTGATCTCTGCATTCAACTCATAGAGTTGAACATTCCCTTTCATAGGGCAGGTTTGAAATACTCTTTCTGTAGTATCTGGATGAGGACATTTGGAGCGCTTTGATGCCTACGGTGAAAAAGTAAATATCTTCCCATAAAAACGAGACAGAAGGATTCTGAGAAACAAGTTTGTGATGTGTGTACTCAGCTAACAGAGTGGAACCTCTCTTTTGATGCAGCAGTTTGGAAACACTCTTTTTGCAGAAACTGTAAGTGGATATTTGGATAGCTCTAATGATTTCGTTGGAAACGGGAATATCATCATCTAAAATCTAGGCAGAAAGCCCTCTCAGAAACTACTTTGTGATATCTGCATTCAAGTCACAGAGTTGAACATTCGCTTTCTTAGAGCACGTTTGAAACACTCTTTTTGTAGTGTCTGGAAGTGGACATTTGGAGCGCTTTGATGCCTTTGGTGAAAAAGGGAACGTCTTCCCATAAAAACTAGACAGAAGCATTCTCAGAAACTTGTTTGTGATGTGTGTACCCAGCTAAAGGAGTTGAACATTTCTATTGATAGAGCAGTTTTGAAACACTCTTTTTGTGGAAAATGCAAGTGGATATTTGGATAGCTTGGAGGATTTCGTTGGAAGCGGGAATTCAAATAAAAGGTAGACAGCAGCATTCTCAGAAATTTCTTTCTGATGTCTGCATTCAACTCATAGAGTTGAAGATTCCCTTTCATAGAGCAGGTTTGAAACACTCGTTCTGGAGTGTCTGGATGTGGACATTTGGAGCGCTTTGATGCCTATGGTGGAAAAGTAAATATCTTCCCATAAAAACGAGACAGAAGGATTCTCAGAAACAAGTTTGTGATGTGTGTACTCAGCTACCAGAGTGGAACCTTTCTTTTTACAGAGCAGCTTTGAAACTCTATTTTTGTGGATTCTGCAAATTGATATTTAGATTGCTTTAACGATATCGTTGGAAAAGGGAATATCGTCATACAAAATCTAGACAGAAGCATTCTCACAAACTTCTTTGTGACGTGTGTCCTCAACTAACAGAGTTGAACCTTTCTTTTGATGCAGCAGTTTGGAAACACTGTTTTTGTAGCAACTGTAAGTGGATATTTGGATAGCTCTAACGATTTCGTTGGAAACGGGAATATCATCATCTAAAATCTAGACAGAAGCACTATTAGAAACTACTTGGTGATATCTGCATTCAAGTCACAGAGTTGAACATTCCCTTACTTTGAGCACGTTTGAAACACTCTTTTGGAAGAATCTGGAAGTGGACATTTGGAGCGCTTTGATGCCTTTGGTGAAAAGGAAACGTCTTCCAATAAAAGCCAGACAGAAGCATTCTCAGAAACTTGTTCGTGATGTGTGTACTCAACTAAAAGAGTTGAACCTTTCTATTGATAGAGCAGTTTAGAAACACTCTTTTTGTGGATTCTGCAAGTGGATATTTGGATTGCTTTGAGGATTTCGTTGGAAGCGGGAATTCGTATAAACACTAGACAGCAGCATTCCCAGAAATTTCTTTCGGATATTTCCATTCGACTCATAGAGATGAACATGGCCTTTCATAGAGCAGGTTTGAAACACTCTTTTTGTAGTTTGTGGAAGTGGACATTTCGATCGCCTTGACGCCTACGGTGAAAAAGGAAATATCTTCCCATAAAAAATAGACAGAAGCATTCTCAGAAACTTGTTGGTGATATGTGTCCTCAACTAACAGAGTTGAACTTTGCCATTGATAGAGAGCAGTTTTGAAACACTCTTTTTGTGGAATCTGCAAGTGGATATTTGGATAGCTTGGAGGATTTCGTTGGAATCGGGAATTCAAATAAAAGGTAGACAGCAGCATTCTCAGAAATTTCTTTGTGATGTTTGCATTCAACTCATAGAGTTGAACATTCCCTTTAATAGAGTAGGTTTGAAACACTCTTTCTGTACTATCTGGATGTGGACATTTGGAGCGCTTTGACGCCTACGGTGAAAAAGGAAATGTCTTCCCATAAAAAATTGAAGAAGGATTCTCAGAAACAGGTTTGTGATGTGTGTACTCAGCTAACAGAGTGGAACCTCTCTTTTGATGCAGCAGTTTGGAAACACTCTTTTTGTAGAAACTGTAAGTGGATATTTGGATAGCTCTAATGATTTCGTTGGAAACGGGAATATCATCATCTAAAATCTAGACAGAAGCACTCTCAGAAACTACTTTGTGATATCTGCATTCAAGTCACAGAGTTGAACATTCGCTTTCTTAGAGCACTTTTGAAACACCCTTTTTGTCGTATCTGGAAGTGGACATTTGGAGCTCTTTGATGCCTTTGGTGAAAAAGGAGATGTCTTCCCATAAAAACTAGACAGAAGCATTCTCAGAAACTTGTTTGTGATGTGTGTACCCAGCCAAAGGAGTTGAACATTTCTATTGATAGAGCAGTTTTGAAACACTCTTTTTGTGGAAAATGCAGGTGGATATTTGGATAGCTTGGAGGATTTCGTTGGAAGCGGGAATTCAAATAAAAGTTAGACAGCAGCATTCTCAGAAATTTCTTTCTGATGTCTGCATTCAACTCATAGAGTTGAACATTCCCTTTCATAGGACAGGTTTGAAATACTCTTTCTGTAGTATCTGGATGTGGACATTTGGAGCGCTTTGATGCCTACAGTGAAAAAGTAAATATCTTCCCATAAAAACGAGACAGAAGGATTCTCAGAAACAAGTTTGTGATGTGTGTACTCAGCTAACAGAGTGGAACCTTTCTTTTTACAGAGCAGCTTTGAAACTCTATTTTTGTGGATTCTGCAAATTGATATTTAGATTGCTTTAACGATATCGTTGGAAAAGGGAATATCGTCATACAAAATCTGGACAGAAGCATTCTCACAAACAGCTTTGTGAAGTGTGTCCTCAACTAACAGAGTTGAACCTTTCTTTTGATGCAGCAGTTTGGAAACACCCTTTTGGTAGAAACTGTAAGTGGATATTTGGATAGCTCTAACGATTTCGTTGGAAACGGGAATACCATCATCTAAAATCTAGACAGAAGCACTATTAGAAACTACTTGGTGATATCTGCATTCAAGTCACAGAGTTGAACATTCCCTTACTTCGAGCACGTTTGAAACACTCTTTTGGAAGAATCTGGAAGTGGACATTTGGAGCGCTTTGATGCCTTTGGTGAAAAGGAAACGTCTTCCAATAAAAGCCAGACAGAAGCATTCTCAGAAACTTGTTTGAGATGTGTGTACTCAACTAAAAGAGTTGAACCTTTCTATTGATAGAGCAGTTTTGAAACACTCTTTTTGTGGATTCTGCAAGTGGATATTTGGATTGCTTTGAGGATTTCGTTGGAAGCGGGAATTCGTATAACAACTAGACAGCAGCATTCCCAGAAATTTCTTTCGGATATTTCCATTCAACTCATAGAGATGAACATGGCCTTTCATAGAGCAGGTTTGAAACACTCTTTTTGTAGTTTGTGGAAGTGGACATTTCGATCGCCTTGACGCCTACGGTGAAAAAGGAAATATCTTCCCCATAAAAAATAGACAGAAGCATTCTCAGAAACTTGTTGGTGATATGTGTCCTCAACTAACAGAGTTGAACTTTGCCATTGATAGAGAGCAGTTTTGAAACACTCTTTTTGTGGAGTTTGCAAGTGGATATTTGGATAGCTTGGAGGATTTCGTTGGAAGCGGGAATTCAAATTAAAGGTAGACAGCAGCATTCTCAGAAATTTCTTTCTGATGTCTGCATTCAACTCATAGAGTTGAACATTCCCTTTCATAGAGCAGGTTTGAAACACTCTTTCTGGAGTATCTGGATGTGGACATTTGGAGCGCTTTGATGCCTACGGTGAAAAAGTAAATATCTTCCCATAAAAACGAGACAGAAGGATTCTGAGAAACAAGTTTGTGATGTGTGTACTCAGCTAACAGAGTGGAACCTCTCTTTTGATGCAGCAGTTTGGAAAAACTCTTTTTGTAGAAACTGTAAGTGGATATTTGGATAGCTCTAATGATTTCGTTGGAAACGGGAATATCATCATCTAAATCTAGACAGAAGCACTCTCAGAAACTACTTTGTGATATCTGCATTCAAGTCACAGAGTTGAACATTCGCTTTCTTAGAGCACGTTTGAAACACTCTTTTTGTAGTGTCTGGAAGTGGACATTTGGAGCGCTTTGATTCCTTTGGTGAAAAAGGGAATGTCTACCCATAAAAACTAGACAGAAGCATTCTCAGAAACTTGTTTGTGATGTGTGTACCCAGCCAAAGGAGTTGAACATTTCTATTGATAGAGCAGTTTTGAAACACTCTTGTTGTGGAAAATGCAGGTGGATATTTGGATAGCTTGGAGGATTTCGTTGGAAGCGGGAAATCAAATAAAAGGTAGACAGCAGCATTCTCAGAAATTTCTTTCTGATGTCTGCATTCAACTCATAGAGTTGAAGATTCCCTTTCATAGAGCAGGTTTGAAACACTCGTTCTGGAGTATCTGGATGTGGACATTTGGAGCGCTTTGATGCCTACGGTGGAAAAGTAAATATCTTCCCATAAAAACGAGACAGAAAGGATTCTCAGAAACAAGTTTGTGATGTGTGTACTCAGCTAACAGAGTGGAACCTTTCTTTTTACACAGCAGCTTTGAAACTCTATTTTTGTGGATTCTGCAAATTGATATTTAGATTGTTTTAACGATATCGTTGGAAAAGGGAATACCGTCATACAAAATCTAGACAGAAGCATTCTCACAAACTTCTTTGTGATGTGTGTCCTCAACTAACAGAGTTGAACTTTTCTTTTGATGCAGCAGTTTGGAAACACTCTTTTTGTAGAAACTGTAAGTGGATATTTGGATAGCTCTAACGATTTCGTTGGAAACGGGAATATCATCATCTAAAATCTAGACAGAAGCACTATTAGAAACTACTTTGTGATATCTGCATTCAAGTCACAGAGTTGAACATTCGCTTTCTTAGAGCACGTTTGAAACACTCTTTTGGAAGAATCTGGAAGTGGACATTTGGAGCGCTTTGATGCCTTTGGTGAAAAGGAAACGTCTTCCAATAAAAGCCAGACAGAAGCATTCTCAGAAACTTGTTCGTGATGTGTGTACTCAACTAAAAGAGTTGAACCTTTCTATTGATGGAGCAGTTTTGAAACACTCTTTTTGTGGATTCTGCAAGTGGATATGTGGATTGCTTTGAGGATTTCGTTGGAAGCGGGAATTCGTATAACAACTAGACAGCAGCATTCCCAGAAATTTCTTTCGGATATTTCCATTCAACTCATAGAGATGAACATGGCCTTTCATAGAGCAGGTTTGAAACACTCTTTTTGTAGTTTGTGGAAGTGGACATTTCGATCGCCTTGACGCCTAAGGTGAAAAAGGAAATATCTTCCCATAAAAAATAGACAGAAGCATTCTCAGAAACTTGTTGGTGATATGTGTCCTCAACTAACAGAGTTGAACTTTGCCATTGATAGAGAGCAGTTTTGAAACACTCTTTTTGTGGAATCTGCAAGTGGATATTTGGATAGCTTGGAGGATTTCGTTGGAAGCGGGAATTCAAATAAAAGGTAGACAGCAGCATTCTCAGAAATTTCTTTCTGATGTCTGCATTCAACTCATAGAGTTGAACATTCCCTTTCATAGAGCAGGTTTGAAACACTCTTTCTGGAGTTTCTGGATGTGGACATTTGGAGCGCTTTGATGCCTACGGTGAAAAAGTAAATATCTTCCCATAAAAACGAGACAGAAGGAATCTGAGAAACAAGTTTGTGATGTGTGTACTCAGCTAACAGAGTGGAACCTCTCTTTTGATGCAGCAGTTTGGCAACACTCTTTTTGTAGAAACTGTAAGTGGATATTTGGATAGCTCTAATGATTTCGTTGGAAACGGGAATATCATCATCTAAAATCTAGACAGAAGCCCTCTCAGAAACTACTTTGTGATATCTGCATTCAAGTCACAGAGTTGAACATTCGCTTTCTTAGAGCACGTTTGAAACACTCTTTTTGTAGTGTCTGGAAGTGGACATTTGGAGCGCTTTGATGCCTTTGGTGAAAAAGGGAACGTCTTCCCATAAAAACTAGACAGAAGCATTCTCAGAAAGTTGTTTGTGATGTGTGTACCCAGCTAAAGGAGTTGAACATTTCTATTGATAGAGTAGTTTTGAAACACTCTTTTTGTGGAAAATGCAAGTGGATATTTGGATAGCTTGGAGGATTTCGTTGGAAGCGGGAATTCAAATAAAAGGTAGACAGCAGCATTCTCAGAAATTTCTTTCTGATGTCTGCATTCAACTCATAGAGTTGAAGATTCCCTTTCATAGAGCAGGTTTGAAACACTCTTTCTGGAGTATCTGGATGTGTACATTTGGAGCGCTTTGATGCCTACGGTGAAAAAGTAAATATCTTCCCAGAAAAACGAGACAGACAAGGATTCTGAGAAACAAGTTTGTGATGTGTGTACTCAGCTAACAGAGTGGAACCTTTCTTTTTACAGAGCAGCTTTGAAACTCTATTTTTGTGGATTCTGCAAATGGATATTTAGATTGCTTTAATGATATCGTTGGAAAAGGGAATATCGTCATACAAAATCTAGACAGAAGCATTCTCACAAACTTCTTTGTGATGTGTGTCCTCAACTAACAGAGTTGAACCTTTCTTTTGATGCAGCAATTTGGAAACACCCTTTTGGTAGAAACTGTAACTGGATATTTGCTTAGCTCTAACGATTTCGTTGGAAACGGGAATATCATCATCTAAAATCTAGACAGAAGCACTATTAGAAACTACTTGGTGATATCTGCATTCAAGTCACATAGTAGAACATTCCCTTACTTCGAGCACGTTTGAAACACTCTTTTGGAAGAATCTGGAAGTGGACATTTGGAGCGCTTTGATGCCTTTGGTGAAAAGGAAACGTCTTCCAATAAAAGCCAGACAGAAGCATTCTCAGAAACTTGTTCGTGATGTGTGTACTCAACTAAAAGAGTTGAACCTTTCTATTGATAGAGCAGTTTTGAAACCCTCTTTTTGTGGATTCTGCAAGTGGATATTTGGATTGCTTTGAGGATTTCGTTGGAAGCGGGAATTCGTATAAACACTAGACAGCAGCATTCCCAGAAATTTCTTTCGGATATTTCCATTCAACTCATAGAGATGAACATGGCCTTTCATATTGAAACACTCTTTTTGTAGTTTGTGGAAGTGGACATTTCGATCGCCTTGACGCCTACGGTGAAAAAGGAAATATCTTCCCATAAAAAATAGACAGAAGCATTCTCAGAAACTTGTTGGTGATATGTGTCCTCAACTAACAGAGTTGAACTTTGCCATTGATAGAGAGCAGTTATGAAACACTCTTTTTGTGGAATCTGCAAGTGGATATTTGGATAGCTTGGAGGATTTCGTTGGAAGCGGGAATTCAAATAAAAGGTAGACAGCAGCATTCTCAGAAATTTCTTTCTGATGTCTGCATTCAACTCATAGAGTTGAACATTCCCTTTCATAGAGCAGGTTTGAAACACTCTTTCTGGAGTATCTGGATGTGGACATTTGGAGCGCTTTGATGCCTACGGTGAAAAAGTAAATATCTTCCCATAAAAACGAGACAGAAGGATTCTGAGAAACAAGTTTGTGATGTGTGTACTCAGCTAACAGAGTGGAACCTCTCTTTTCATGCAGCAGTTTGGAAACACTCTTTTTGTAGAAACTGTAAGTGGATATTTGGATAGCTCTAATGATTTCGTTGGAAACGGGAATATCATCATCTAAAATCTAGACAGAAGCCCTCTCAGCAAACTACTTTGTGATATCTGCATTCAAGTCACAGAGTTGAACATTCGCTTTCTTAGAGCACGTTGGAAACACTCTTTTTGTAGTGTCTGGAAGTGGACATTTGGAGCGCTTTGATGCCTTTGGTGAAAAAGGGAATGTCTTCCCATAAAAACTAGACAGAAGCATTCTCAGAAACTTGTTTGTGATGTGTGTACCCAGCTAAAGGAGTTGAACATTTCTATTGATAGAGCAGTTTTGAAACACTCTTTTTGTGGAAAATGCAAGTGGATATTTGCGTAGCTTGGAGGATTTCGTTGGAAGCGGGAGTTCAAATAAAAGGTAGACAGCAGCATTCTCAGAAATTTCTTTCTGATGTCTGCATTCAACTCATAGAGTTGAAGATTCCCTTTCATAGAGCAGGTTTGAAACACTCGTTCTGGAGTATCTGGATGTGGACATTTGGAGCGCTTTGATGCCTACGGTGGAAAAGTAAATATCTTCCCATAAAAACGAGACAGAAGGATTCTCAGAAACAAGTTTGTGATGTGTGTACTCAGCTAACAGAGTGGAACCTTTCTTTTTACAGAGCAGGTTTGAAACTCTATTTTTGTGGATTCTGCAAATTGATATTTAGATTGCTTTAACGATATCGTTGGAAAAGGGAATATCGTCATACAAAATCTAGACAGAAGCATTCTCACAAACTTCTTTGTGATGTGTGTCCTCAACTAACAGAGTTGAACCTTTCTTTTGATGCAGCAATTTGGAAACACCCTTTTGGTAGAAACTGTAACTGGATATTTGGATAGCTCTAACGATTTCGTTGGAAACGGGAATATCATCATCTAAAATGTAGACAGAAGCACTATTAGAAACTACTTGGTGATATCTGCATTCAAGACACAGAGTAGAACATTCCCTTACTTCGAGCACGTTTGAAACACTCTTTTGGAAGAATCTGGAAGTGGACATTTGGAGCGCTTTGATGCCTTTGGTGAAAAGGAAACGTCTTCCAATAAAAGCCAGACAGAAGCATTCTCAGAAACTTGTTTGTGATGTGTGTACTCAACTAAATGTGTTGAACCTTTCCATTGATAGAGCAGTTTTGAAACACTCTTTTTGTGGATTCTGCAAGTGGATATTTGGATTGCTTTGAGGATTTCGTTGGAAGCGGGAATTCGTATAAACACTAGACAGCAGCATTCCCAGCAAATTTCTTTCGGATATTTCCATTCAACTCATAGAGATGAACATGGCCTTTCATAGAGCAGGTTTGAAACACTCTTTTTGTAGTTTGTGGAAGTGGACATTTCGATCGCCTTGACGCCTACGGTGAAAAAGGAAATATCTTCCCATAAAAAATAGACAGAAGCATTCTCAGAAACTTGTTGGTGATATGTGTCCTCAACTAACAGAGTTGAACTTTGCCATTGATAGAGAGCAGTTTTGAAACACTCTTTTTGTGGAATCTGCAAGTGGATATTTGGATAGCTTGGAGGATTTCGTTGGAAGCGGGAATTCAAATAAAAGGTAGACAGCAGCATTCTCAGAAATTTCTTTCTGATGTCTGCATTCAACTCATAGAGTTGAAGATTCCCTTTCATAGAGCAGGTTTGAAACACTCTTTCTGGAGTATCTGGATGTGGACATTTGGAGCGCTTGGATGCCTTTGGTGAAAAAGGGAACGTCTTCCCATAAAAACTAGACAGAAGGATTCTGAGAAACAAGTTTGTGATGTGTGTACTCAGCTAACAGAGTGGAACCTCTCTTTTGATGCAGCAGTTTGGAAACACTCTTTTTGTAGAAACTGTAAGTGGATATTTGGATAGCTCTAATGATTTCGTTGGAAACGGGAATATCATCATCTAAAATCTAGACAGAAGCCCTCTCAGAAACTACTTTGTGATATCTGCATTCAAGTCACAGAGTTGAACATTCGCTTTCTAAGAGCACGTTTCAAACACTCTTTCTGTAGTGTCTGGAAGTGGACATTTGGAGCGCTTTGATGCCTTTGGTGAAAAAGGGAACGTCTTCCCATAAAAACTAGACAGAAGCATTCTCAGAAACTTGTTTGTGATGTGTGTACCCAGCCAAAGGAGTTGAACATTTCTATTGATAGAGCAGTTTTGAAACACTCTTTTTGTGGAAAATGCAGGTGGATATTTGGATAGCTTGGAGGATTTCGTTGGAAGCGGGAATTCAAATAAAAGGTAGACAGCAGCATTCTCAGAAATTTCTTTCTGATGTCTGCATTCAACTCATAGAGTTGAAGATTCCCTTTCCTAGAGCAGGTTTGAAACACTCTTTCTGGAGTATCTGGATGTGGACATTTGGAGCGCTTTGATGCCTACGGTGAAAAAGTAAATATCTTCCCATAAAAACGAGACAGAAGGATTCTGAGAAACAAGTTTGTGATGTGTGTACTCAGCTAACGGAGTGGAACCTTTCTTTTTACAGAGCAGGTTTGAAACTCTATTTTTGTGGATTCTGCAAATTGATATTTAGATTGCTTTAACGATATCATTGGAAAAGGGAATATCGTCATACAAAATCTAGACAGAAGCATTCTCACAAACTTCTTTGTGATGTGTGTCCTCAACTAACAGAGTTGAACCTTTCTTTTGATGCAGCAGTTTGGAAACACCCTTTTGGTAGAAACTGTAACTGGATATTTGGATAGCTCTAACGATTTCGTTGGAAACGGGAATATCATCATCTAAAATCTAGAGAGAAGCACTATTAGACACTGCTTGGTGATATCTGCATTCAAGTCACAGAGTTGAACATTCCCTTACTTTGAGCACGTTTGAAACACTCTTTTGGAAGAATCTGGAAGTGGACATTTGGAGCGCTTTGATGCCTTGGTGAAAAGGAAACGTCTTCCAATAAAAGCCAGACAGAAGCATTCTCAGAAACTTGTTTGTGATGTGTGTACTCAACTAAAAGAGTTGAACCTTTCTATTGATAGAGCAGTTTTGAAACACTCTTTTTGTGGATTCTGCAAGTGGATATTTGGATTGCTTTGAGGATTTCGTTGGAAGCGGGAATTCGTATAAAAACTAGACAGCAGCATTCCCAGAAATTTCTTTCGGATATTTCCATTCAACTCATAGAGATGAACATGGCCTTTCATAGAGCAGGTTTGAAACACTCTTTTTGTAGTTTGTGGAAGTGGACATTACGATCGCCTTGACGCCTACGGTGAAAAAGGAAATATCTTCCCATAAAAAATAGACAGAAGCATACTCAGAAACTTGTTGGTGATATGTGTCCTCAACTAACAGAGTTGAACTTTGCCATTGATAGAGAGCAGTTTTGAAACACTCTTTTTGTGGAATCTGCAAGTGGATATTTGGATAGCTTGGAGGATTTCGTTGGAAGCGGGAATTCAAATAAAAGGTAGACAGCAGCATTCTCAGAAATTTCTTTGTGATGTTTGCATTCAACTCATAGAGTTGAACATTCCCTTTCATAGAGCAGGTTTGAAACACTCTTTCTGTACTATCTAGATGTGGACATTTGGAACGCTTTGATGCCTACGGTGAAAAAGTAAATATCTTCCCATAAAAACTAGACAGAAGGATTCTCAGAAAGAAGTTTGTGATGTGTCTACTCAGCTAACAGAGTGGAACCTTTCTTTTTACAGAGCAGCTTTGAAACTCTATTTTTGTGGATTCTGCAAATTGATATTTAGATTGCTTTAACGATATCGTTGGAAAAGGGAATATCGTCATACAAAATCTAGACAGAAGCATTCTCACAAACTTCTTTGTGATGTGTGTCCTCAACTAACAGAGTTGAACCTTTATTTTGATGCAGCAGTTTGGAAACACTCTTTTTGTAGAAACTGTAAGTGGATATTTGGATAGCTCTAACGATTTCGTTGGAAACGGGAATATCATCATCTAAAATCTAGACAGAAGCATTCTCAGAAACTTGTTTGTGATGTGTGTACCCAGCTAATGGAGTTGAACATTTCTATTGATAGAGCAGTTTTGAAACACTCTTTTTGTGGAAAATGCAAGTTGATATTTGGATAGCTTGGAGGATTTCGTTGGAAGCGGGAATTCAAATAAAAGGTAGACAGCAAGGATTCTCAGAAACAAGTTTGTGATGTGTGTACTCAGCTAACAGAGTGGAACCTTTCTTTTTACAGAGCAGCTTTGAAACTCTATTTTTGTGGATTCTGCAAATTGATATTTAGATTGCTTTAACGATATCGTTGGAAAAGGGAATATCATCATACAAAATCTAGACAGAAGCATTCTCACAAACTTCTTTGTGATGTGTGTCCTCAACTAACAGAGTTGAACCTTTCTTTTGATGCAGCAATTTGGAAACACCCTTTTGGTAGAAACTGTAACTGGATATTTGGATAGCTCTAACGATTTCGTTGGAAACGGGAATATCATCATCTAAAATCTAGACAGAAGCACTATTAGAAACTACTTGGTGATATCTGCATTCAAGTCACAGAGTTGAACATTCCCTTACTTTGAGCACGTTTCAAACACTCTTTTGGAAGAATCTGGAAGTGGACATTTGGAGCGCTTTGATGCCTTTGGTGAAAAGGAAACGTCTTCCAATAAAAGCCAGACAGAAGCATTCTCAGAAACTTGTTTGTGATGTGTGTACTCAACTAAAAGAGTTGAACCTTTCTATTGATAGAGCAGTTTTGAAACACTCTTTTTGTGGATTCTGCAAGTGGATATTTGGATTGCTTTGAGGATTTCGTTGGAAGCGGGAATTCGTATAAAAACTAGACAGCAGCATTCTCAGAAACTTGTTTGTGATGTGTGTACTCAACTAAAAGAGTTGAACCTTTCTATGATAGAGCAGTTTTGAAACACTCTTTTTGTGGAATCTGCAAGTGGATATTTGGATTGCTTTGAGCATTTCGTTGGAAGCGGGATTTCATATAAAAACTAGACAGCAGCATTCTCAGAAACTTGTTGGTGATATGTGTCCTCAACTAACAGAGTTGAACTTTGCCATTGATAGAGAGCAGTTTTGAAACACTCTTTTTGTGGAATCTGCAAGTGGATATTTGGATAGCTTGGAGGATTTCGTTGGAAGCGGGAATTCAAATAAAAAGGTAGACAGCAGGATTCTCAGAAACAAGTTTGTGATGTGTGTACTCAGCTAACAGAGTGGAACCTCTCTTTTGAATGCAGCAGTTTGGAAACACTCTTTTTGTAGAAACTGTAAGTGGATATTTGGAAAGCTCTAATGATTTCATTGGAAACGGGAATATCATCATGTAAAATCTAGACAGAAAGCCCTCTCAGAAACTACTTTGTGATATCTGCATTCAAGTCACAGAGTTGAACATTCGCTTTCTTAGAGCACGTTGGAAACACTCTTTTTGTAGTGTCTGGAAGTGGACATTTGGAGCGCTTTGATGCCTTTGGTGAAAAAGGGAATGTCTTCCCATAAAAACTAGACAGAGCATTCTCAGAAACTTGTTTGTGATGTGTGTACCCAGCCAAAGGAGTTGAACATTTCTATTGATAGAGCAGTTTTGAAACACTCTTGTTGTGGATAATGCAGGTGGATATTTGGATAGCTTGGAGGATTTCGTTGGAAGCGGGAATTCAAATAAAAGGTAGACAGCAGCATTCTCAGAAATTTCTTTCTGATGTCTGCATTCAACTCATAGAGTTGAAGATTCCCTTTCATAGAGCAGGTTTGAAACACTCGTTCTGGAGTATCTGGATGTGGACATTTGGAGCGCTTTGATGCCTACGGTGGAAAAGTAAATATCTTCCCATAAAAACGAGACAGAAGGATTCTCAGAAACAAGTTTGTGATGTGTGTACTCAGCTAACAGAGTGGAACCTTTCTTTTTACAGAGCAGCTTTGAAACTCTATTTTTGTGGATTCTGCAAATTGATATTTAGATTGCTTTAACGATATCGTTGGAAAAGGGAATACCGTCATACAAAATCTAGACAGAAGCATTCTCACAAACTTCTTTGTGATGTGTGTCCTCAACTAACAGAGTTGAACCTTTCTTTTGATGCAGCAATTTGGAAGCACCCTTTTGGTAGAAACTGTAACTAGATATTTGGATAGCTCTAACGATTTCGTTGGAAACGGGAATATCATCATCTAAAATGTAGACAGAAGCACTATTAGAAACTACTTGGTGATATCTGCATTCAAGTCACAGAGTTGAACATTCCCTTACTTTGAGCACGTTTGAAACACTCTTTTGGAAGAATCTGGAAGTGGACATTTGGAGCGCTTTGATGCCTTTGGTGAAAAGGAAACGTCTTCCAATAAAAGCCAGACAGAGCATTCTCAGAAACTTGTTTGTGATGTGTGTACTCAACTAAAAGAGTTGAACCTTTCTATTGATAGAGCAGTTTTGAAACACTCTTTTTGTGGATTCTGCAAGTGGATATTTGGATTGCTTTGAGGATTTCGTTGGAAGCGGGAATTCGTATAAAAACTAGACAGCAGCATTCCCAGAAATTTCTTTCGGATATTTCCATTCAACTCATAGAGAAGAACATGGCCTTTCATAGAGCAGGTTTGAAACACTCTTTTTGTAGTTTGTGGAAGTGGACATTTCGATCGCCTTGACGCCTACGGTGAAAAAGGAAATATCTTCCCATAAAAAATAGACAGAAGCATTCTCAGAAACTTGTTGGTGATATGTGTCCTCAACTAACAGAGTTGAACTTTGCCATTGATAGAGAGCAGTTTTGAAACACTCTTTTTGTGGAATCTGCAAGTGGATATTTGGATAGCTTGGAGGATTTCGTTGGAAGCGGGAATTCAAATAAAAGGTAGACAGCAGCATTCTCAGAAATTTCTTTCTGATGTCTGCATTCAACTCATAGAGTTGAAGATTCCCTTTCATAGAGCAGGTTTGAAACACTCTTTCTGGAGTATCTGGATGTGGACATTTGGAGCGCTTTGAGGCCTACGGTGAAAAAGTAAATATCTTCCAATAAAAACGAGAGAGAAGGATTCTGAGAAACAAGTTTGTGATGTGTGTACTCAGCTAACAGAGTGGAACCTCTCTTTTGATGCAGCAGTTTGGAAACACTCTTTTTGTAGAAACTGTAAGTGGATATTTTGATAGCTCTAATGATTTCGTTGGAAACGGGAATATCATCATCTAAAATCTAGACAGAAGCACTCTCAGAAACTACTTTGTGATATCTGCATTGAAGTCACAGAGTTGAACATTCGCTTTCTTAGAGCACTTTTGAAACACTCTTTTTGTAGTATCTGGAAGTGGACATTTGGAGCTCTTTGATGCCTTTGGTGAAAAAGGAAATGTCTTCCCATAAAAACTAGACAGAAGCATTCTCAGAAACTTGTTTGTGATGTGTGCACCCAGCTAAAGGAGTTGAACATTTATTGATAGAGCAGTTTTGAAGCACTCTTTTTGTGGAAAATGCAAGTGGATATATGGATAGCTTGGAGGATTTCGTTGGAAGCGGGAATTCAAATAAAAGGTAGACAGCAGCATTCTCAGAAATTTCTTTCTGATGTCTGCATTCAACTCATAGAGTTGAAGATTCCCTTTCATAGAGCAGGTTTGAAACACTCTTTCTGGAGTATCTGGATGTGGACATTTGGAGCGCTTTGATGCTTACGGTGAAAAAGTAAATATGTTCCCATAAAAACGACACAGAAGGATTCTCAGAAACAAGTTTGTGATGTGTGTACTCAGCTAACAGAGTGGAACCTTTCTTTTTACAGAGCAGCTTGGAAACTCTATTTTTGTGGATTCTGCAAATTGATATTTAGATTGCTTTAACAATATCGTTGGAAAAGGGAATATCGTCATACAAAATCTAGACAGAAGCATTCTCACAAACATCTTTGTGATGTGTGTCCTCAACTAACAGAGTTGAACCTTTCTTTTGATGCAGCAGTTTGGAAACACCCTTTTGGTAGAAACTGTAACTGGATATTTGGATAGCTCTAACGATTTCGTTGGAAACGGGAATATCATCATCTAAAATCTAGACAGAAGCACTATTAGAAACTACTTGGTGATATCTGCATTCAAGTCACAGAGTTGAACATTCCCTTACTTTGAGCACGTTTCAAACACTCTTTTGGAAGAATCTGGAAGTGGACATTTGGAGCGCTTTGATGCCTTTGGTGAAAAGGAAACGTCTTCCAATAAAAGCCAGACAGAAGCATTCTCAGAAACTTGTTCGTGATGTGTGTACTCAACTAAAAGAGTTGAACCTTTCTATTGATAGAGCAGTTTTGAAACACTCTTTTTGTGGATTCTGCAAGTGGATATTTGGATTTCTTTGAAGATTTCGTTGGAAGCGGGAATTCGTATAAACACTAGACAGCAGCATTCCCAGAAATTTCTTTCGGATATTTCCATTCGACTCATAGAGATGAACATGGCCTTTCATAGAGCAGGTTTGAAACACTCTTTTTGTAGTTTGTGGAAGTGGACATTTCGATCGCCTTGACGCCTACGGTGAAAAAGGAAATATCTTCCCATAAAAAATAGACAGAAGCATTCTCAGAAACTTGTTGGTGATATGTGTCCTCAACTAACAGAGTTGAACTTTGCCATTGATAGAGAGCAGTTTTGAAACACTCTTTTTCCTGAATCTGCAAGTGGATATTTGGATAGTTTGGAGGATTTCGTTGGAAGCGGGAATTCAAATAAAAGGTAGACAGCAGCATTCTCAGAAATTTCTTTCTGATCTCTGCATTCAACTCATAGAGTTGAACATTCCGTTTCATAGGGCAGGTTTGAAATACTCTTTCTGTAGTATCTGGATGTGGACATTTGGAGCGCTTTGATGCCTACGGTGAAAAAGTAAATATCTTCCCATAAAAACGAGACAGAAGGATTCTGAGAAACAAGTTTGTGATGTGTGTACTCAGCTAACAGAGTGGAACCTCTCTTTTGATGCAGCAGTTTGGAAACACTCTTTTTGTAGAAACTGTAAGTGGATATTTGGATAGCTCTAATGATTTCGTTGGAAACGGGAATATCATCATCTAAAATCTAGACAGAAGCCCTCTCAGAAACTACTTTGTGATATCTGCATTCAAGTCACAGAGTTGAACATTCGCTTTCTTAGAGCACGTTGGAAACACTCTTTTTGTAGTGTCTGGAAGTGGACATTTGGAGCGCTTTGATGCCTTTGGTGAAAAAGGGAACGTCTTCCCATAAAAACTGGACAGAAGCATTCTCAGAAACTTGTTTGTGATGTGTGTACCCAGCTAAAGGAGTTGAACATTTCCATTGATAGAGCAGTTTTGAAACACTCTTTTTGTGGAAAATGCAAGTGGATATTTGGATAGCTTGGAGGATTTCGTTGGAAGCGGGAATTCAAATAAAAGGTAGACAGCAGCATTCTCAGAAATTTCTTTCTGATGTCTGCATTTAACTCATAGAGTTGAAGATTCCCTTTCATAGAGCAGGTTTGAAACACTCTTTCTGGAGTATCTGGATGTGGACATTTGGAGCGCTTTGATGCCTACGGTGAAAAAGTAAATATCTTCCCATAAAAACGAGACAGAAGGATTCTCAGAAAGAAGTTTGTGATGTGTGTACTCAGCTAACAGAGTGGAACCTTTCCTTTTACAGAGCAGCTTTGAAACTCTATTTTTGTGGATTCTGCAAATTGATATTTAGATTGCTTTAACGATATCGTTGGAAAAGGGAATATCGTCATACAAAATCTAGACAGAAGCATTCTCACAAACTTCTTTGTGATGTGTGTCCTCAACTAACAGAGTTGAACCTTTCTTTTGATGCAGCAATTTGGAAACACCCTTTTGGTAGAAACTGTAACTGGATATTTGGATAGCTCTAACGATTTCATTGGAAACGGGAATATCATCATCTAAAATCTAGACAGAAGCACTATTAGAAACTACTTGGTGATATCTGCATTCAAGTCACAGAGTTGAACATTCCCTTACTTTGAGCACGTTTCAAACACTCTTTTGGAAGAATCTGGAAGTGGACATTTGGAGCGCTTTGATGCCTTTGGTGAAAAGGAAACGTCTTCCAATAAAAGCCAGACAGAAGCATTCTCAGAAACTTGTTTGTGATGTGTGTACTCAACTAAAAGAGTTGAACCTTTCTATTGATAGAGCAGTTTTGAAACACTCTTTTTGTGGATTCTGCAAGTGGATATTTGGATTGCTTTGAGGATTTCGTTGGAAGCGGGAATTCGTATAAAAACTAGACAGCAGCATTCCCAGAAATTTCTTTCGGATATTTCCATTCGACTCATAGAGATGAACATGGCCTTTCATAGAGCAGGTTTGAAACACTCTTTTTGTAGTTTGTGGAAGTGGACATTTCGATCGCCTTGACGCCTACGGTGAAAAAGGAAATATCTTCCCATAAATAATAGACAGAAGCATTCTCAGAAACTTGTTGGTGATATGTGTCCTCAACTAACAGAGTTGAACTTTGCCATTGATAGAGAGCAGTTTTGAAACACTCTTTTTCCTGAATCTGCAAGTGGATATTTGGATAGCTTGGAGGATTTCGTTGGAAGCGGGAATTCAAATAAAAGTAGACAGCAGCATTCTCAGAAATTTCTTTCTGATCTCTGCATTCAACTCATAGAGTTGAACATTCCCTTTCATAGGGCAGGTTTGAAATACTCTTTCTGTAGTATCTGGATGTGGACATTTGGAGCGCTTTGATGCCTACGGTGAAAAAGTAAATATCTTCCCATAAAAACGAGACAGAAGGATTCTGAGAAACAAGTTTGTGATGTGTGTACTCAGCTAACAGAGTGGAACCTCTCTTTTGATGCAGTAGTTTGGAAACACTCTTTTTGTAGAAACTGTAAGTGGATATTTGGATAGCTCTAATGATTTCGTTGGAAACGGGAATATCATCATCTAAAATGCTAGACAGAAGCACTCTCAGAAACTACTGTGTGATATCTGCATTCAAGTCACAGCAGTTGAACATTCGCTTTCTTAGAGCACGTTTGAAACACTCTTTTTGTAGTGTCTGGAAGTGGACATTTGGAGCGCTTTGATGTCTTTGGTGAAAAAGGGAATGTCTTCCCATAAAAACTAGACAGAAGCATTCTCAGAAACTTATTTGTGATGTGTGTACCCAGCTAAAGGAGTTGAACATTTCTATTGATAGAGCAGTTTTGAAACACTCTTTTTGTGGAAAATGCAAGTGGATATTTGGATAGCTTGGAGGATTTCGTTGGAAGCGGGAATTCAAATAAAAGGTAGACAGCAGCATTCTCAGAAATTTCTTTCTGATGTCTGCATTCAACTCATAGAGTTGAAGATTCCCTTTCATAGAGCAGGTTTGAAACACTCTTTCTGGAGTATCTGGATGTGGACATTTGGAGCGCTTTGATGCCTACGGTGAAAAAGTAAATATCTTCCCATAAAAACGAGACAGAAAGGATTCTCAGAAACAAGTTTGTGATGTGTGTACTCAGCTAACAGAGTGGAACCTTTCTTTTTACAGAGCAGCTTTGAAACTCTATTTTTGTGGATTCTGCAAATGGATATTTAGATTGCTTTAATGATATCGCTGGAAAAGGGAATATGGTCATACAAAATCTAGACAGAAGCATTCTCACAAACTTCTTTGTGACGTGTGTCCTCAACTAACAGAGTTGAACCTTTCTTTTGATGCAGCAGTTTGGAAACACTGTTTTTGTAGCAACTGTAAGTGGATATTTGGATAGCTCTAACGATTTCGTTGGAAACGGGAATATCATCATCTAAAATCTAGACAGAAGCACTATTAGAAACTACTTGGTGATATCTGCATTCAAGTCACAGAGTTGAACATTCCCTTACTTTGAGCACGTTTCAAACACTCTTTTGGAAGAATCTGGAAGTGGACATTTGGAGCGCTTTGATGCCTTTGGTGAAAAGGAAACGTCTTCCAATAAAAGCCAGACAGAAGCATTCTCAGAAACTTGTTCGTGATGTGTGTACTCAACTAAAAGAGTTGACCCTTTCTATTGATGGAGCAGTTTTGAAACACTCTTTTTGTGGATTCTGCAAGTGGATATGTGGATTGCTTTGAGGATTTCGTTGGAAGCGGGAATTCGTATAACAACTAGACAGCAGCATTCCCAGAAATTTCTTTCGGATATTTCCATTCAACTCATAGAGATGAACATGGCCTTTCATAGAGCAGGTTTGAAACACTCTTTTTGTAGTTTGTGGAAGTGGACATTTCGATCGCCTTGACGCCTACGGTGAAAAAGGAAATATCTTCCCATAAAAAATAGACAGAAGCATTCTCAGAAACTTGTTGGTGATATGTGTCCTCAACTAACAGAGTTGAACTTTGCCATTGATAAAGAGCAGTTTTGAAACACTCTTTTTGTGGAATCTGCAAGTGGATATTTGGATAGCTTGGAGGATTTCGTTGGAAGCGGGAATTCAAATAAAAGGTAGACAGCAGCATTCTCACAAATTTCTTTCTGATCTCTGCATTCAACTCATAGAGTTGAACATTCCCTTTCATAGGGCAGGTTTGAAATACTCTTTCTGTAGTATCTGGATGTGGACATTTGGAGCGCTTTGATGCCTACGGTGAAAAAGTAAATATCTTCCCATAAAAACGAGACAGAAGGATTCTCAGAAACAAGTTTGTGATGTGTGTACTCAGCTAACAGAGTGGAACCTCTCTTTTGATGCAGCAGTTTGGAAACACTCTTTTTGTAGAAACCGTAAGTGGATATTTGGATAGCTCTAATGATTTCGTTGGAAACGGGAATATCATCATCTAAAATCTAGACAGAAGCCCTCTCAGAAACTACTTTGTGATATCTGCATTCAAGTCACAGAGTTGAACATTCGCTTTCTTAGAGCACGTTTGAAACACTCTTTTTGTAGTGTCTGGAAGTGGACATTTGGAGCGCTTTGATGCCTTTGGTGAAAAAGGGAATGTCTTCCCATAAAAAATAGACAGAAGCATTCTCAGAAACTTGTTTGTGATGTGTGTACCCAGCTAAAGGAGTTGAACATTTCTATTGATAGAGCAGTTTTGAAACACTCTTGTTGTGGAAAATGCAGGTGGATATTTGGATAGCTTGGAGGATTTCGTTGGAAGCGGGAATTCAAATAAAAGGTAGACAGCAGCATTCTCAGAAATTTCTTTCTGATGTCTGCATTCAACTCATAAGAGTTGAAGATTCCCTTTCATAGAGCAGGTTTGAAACACTCTTTCTGGAGTATCTGGATGTGGACATTTGGAGGGCTTTGATGCCTACGGTGAAAAAGTAAATATCTTCCCATAAAAACGAGACAGAAGGATTCTGAGAAACAAGTTTGTGATGTGTGTACTCAGCTAACAGAGTGGAACCTTTCTTTTTACAGAGCAGCTTTGAAACTCTATTTTTGTGGATTCTGCAAATGGATATTTAGATTGCTTTAATGATATCGTTGGAAAAGGGAATATCGTCATACAAAATCTAGACAGAAGCATTCTCACAAACTTCTTTGTGATGTGTGTCCTCAACTAACAGAGTTGAACCTTTCTTTTGATGCAGCAATTTGGAAACACCCTTTTGGTAGAAACTGTAACTGGATATTTGGATAGCTCTAACGATTTCGTTGGAAACGGGAATATCATCATCTAAAATCTAGACAGAAGCACTATTAGAAACTACTTGGTGATATCTGCATTCAAGTCACAGAGTAGAACATTCCCTTACTTCGAGCACGTTTGAAACACTCTTTTGGAAGAATCTGGAAGTGGACATTTGGAGCGCTTTGATGCCTTTGGTGAAAAGGAAACGTCTTCCAATAAAAGCCAGACAGAAGCATTCTCAGAAACTTGTTCATGATGTGTGTACTCAACTAAAAGAGTTGAACCTTTCTATTGATAGAGCAGTTTTGAAACACTCTTTTTGTGGATTCTGCAAGTGGATATTTGGATTGCTTTGAGGATTTCGTTGGAAGCGGGAATTCGTATAAACACTAGACAGCAGCATTCCCAGAAATTTCTTTCGGATATTTCCATTCAACTCAAAGAGATGAACATGGCCTTTCATAGAGCAGGTTTGAAACACTCTTTTTGTAGTTTGTGGAAGTGGACATTTCGATCGCCTTGACGCCTACGGTGAAAAAGGAAATATCTTCCCATAAAAAATAGACAGAAGCATTCTCAGAAACTTGTTGGTGATATGTGTCCTCAACTAACAGCAGTTGAACTTTGCCATTGATAGAGAGCAGTTTTGAAACACTCTTTTTGTGGAATCTGCAAGTGGATATTTGGATAGCTTGGAGGATTTCGTTGGAAGCGGGAATTCAAATAAAAGGTAGACAGCAGCATTCTCAGAAATTTCTTTCTGATGTTTGCATTCAACTCATAGAGTTGAACATTCCCTTTCATAGAGCAGGTTTGAAACACTCTTTCTGTACTATCTGGATGTGGACATTTGGAGCGCTTTGATGCCTACGGTGAAAAAGGAAATGTCTTCCCATAAAAAATTGAAGAAGGATTCTCAGAAACAAGTTTGTGATGTGTGTACTCAGCTAACAGAGTGGAACCTCTCTTTTGATGCAGCAGTTTGGAAACACTCTTTTTGTAGAAACTGTAAGTGGATATTTGGATAGCTCTAATGATTTCGTTGGAAACGGGAATATAATCATCTAAAATCTAGACAGAAGCCCTCTCAGAAACTACTTTGTGATATGTGCATTCAAGTCACAGAGTTGAACATTCGCTTTCTTAGAGCACGTTTGAAACACTCTTTTTGTAGTGTCTGGAAGTGGACATTTGGAGCGCTTTGATGCCTTTGGTGAAAAAGGGGAACGTCTACCCATAAAAACTAGACAGAAGCATTCTCAGAAACTTGTTTGTGATGTGTGTACCCAGCTAAAGGAGTTGAACATTTCTATTGATAGAGCAGTTTTGAAACACTCTTTTTGTGGAAAATGCAAGTGGATATTTGCATAGCTTGGAGGATTTCGTTGGAAGCGGGAGTTCAAATAAAAGGTAGACAGCAGCATTCTCAGAAATTTCTTTCTGATGTCTGCATTCAACTCATAGAGTTGAAGATTCCCTTTCATAGAGCAGGTTTGAAACACTCTTTCTGGAGTATCTGGATGTGGACATTTGGAGCGCTTTGATGCCTACGGTGAAAAAGTAAATATCTTCCCATAAAAACGAGACAGAAGGATTCTCAGAAACAAGTTTGTGATGTGTGTACTCAGCTAACAGAGTGGAACCTTTCTTTTTACAGAGCAGCTTTGAAACTCTATTTTTGTGGATTCTGCAAATTGATATTTAGATTGCTTTAACGATATCGTTGGAAAAGGGAATATGGTCATACAAAATACTAGACAGAAAGCATTCTCACAAACTTCTTTGTGACGTGTGTCCTCAACTAACAGAGTTGAACCTTTCTTTTGATGCAGCAGTTTGGAAACACTGTTTTTGTAGCAACTGTAAGTGGATATTTGGATAGCTCTAACGATTTCGTTGGAAACGGGAATATCATCATCTAAAATCTAGACAGAGCACTATTAGAAACTACTTGGTGATATCTGCATTCAAGTCACAGAGTTGAACATTCCCTTACTTTGAGCACGTTTCAAACACTCTTTTGGAAGAATCTGGAAGTGGACATTTGGAGCGCTTTGATGCCTTTGGTGAAAAGGAAACGTCTTCCAATAAAAGCCAGACAGAAGCATTCTCAGAAACTTGTTTGTGATGTGTGCACTCAACTAAAAGAGTTGAACCTTTCTATTGATAGAGCAGTTTTGAAACACTCTTTTTGTGGATTCTGCAAGTGGATATTTGGATTGCTTTGAGGATTTCGTTGGAAGCGGGAATTCGTATAAAAACTAGACAGCAGCATTCCCAGAAATTTCTTTCGGATATTTCCATTCGACTCATAGAGATGAACATGGCCTTTCATAGAGCAGGTTTGAAACACTCTTTTTGTAGTTTGTGGAAGTGGACATTTCGATCGCCTTGACGCCTACGGTGAAAAAGGAAATATCTTCCCATAAAAAATAGACAGAAGCATTCTCAGAAACTTGTTGGTGATATGTGTCCTCAACTAACAGAGTTGAACTTTGCCATTGATAGAGAGCAGTTTTGAAACACTCTTTTTGTGGAATCTGCAAGTGGATATTTGCATAGCTTAGAGGATTTCGTTGGAAGCGGGAATTCAAATAAAAGGTAGACAGCAGCATTCTCAGAAATTTCTTTCTGATGTCTGCATTCAACTCATAGAGTTGAAGATTCCCTTTCATAGAGCAGGTTTGAAACACTCTTTCTGGAGTATCTGGATGTGGACATTTGGAGCGCTTTGATGCCTACGGTGAGAAAGTAAATATCTTCCCATAAAAACGAGACAGAAGGATTCTCAGAAACAAGTTTGTGATGTGTGTACTCAGCTAACAGAGTGGAACCTCTCTTTTGATGCAGCAGTTTGGAAACACTCTTTTTGTAGAAACTGTAAGTGGATATTTGGATAGCTCTAATGATTTCGTTGGAAACGGGAGTATCATCATCTAAAATCTAGACAGAAGCACTCTCAGAAACTACTTTGTGATATCTGCATTCAAGTCACAGAGTTGAACATTCGCTTTCTTAGAGCACGTTTGAAACACTCTTTTTGTAGTGTCTGGAAGTGGACATTTGGAGCGCTTTGATGCCTTTGGTGAAAAAGGGAATGTTTACCCATAAAAACTAGACAGAAGCATTCTCAGAAACTTGTTTGTGATGTGTGTACCCAGCTAAAGGAGTTGAACATTTCTGTTGATAGAGCAGTTTTGATACACTCTTTTTGTGGAAAATGCAAGTGGATATTTGGATAGCTTGGAGGATTTCGTTGGAAGCGGGAATTCAAATAAAAGGTAGACAGCAGCATTCTCAGAAATTTCTTTCTGATGTCTGCATTCAACTCATAGAGTTGAAGATTCCCTTTCATAGAGCAGGTTTGAAACACTCGTTCTGGAGTATCCGGATGTGGACATTTGGAGCGCTTTGATGCCTACGGTGGAAAAGTAAATATGTTCCCATAAAAACGAGACAGAAGGATTCTGAGAAACAAGTTTGTGATGTGTGTACTCAGCTAACAGAGTGGAACCTTTCTTTTTACAGAGCAGCTTTGAAACTCTATTTTTGTGGATTCTGCAAATGGATATTTAGATTGCTTTAACGATATCGTTGGAAAAGGGAATATCGTCATACAAAATCTAGACAGAAGCATTCTCACAAACTTGCTTTGTGATGTGTGTCCTCAACTAACAGAGTTGAACCTTTCTTTTGATGCATCAGTTTGGAAACACTCTTTTTGTAGAAACTGTAAGTGGATATTTGGATAGCTCTAACGATTTCGTTGGAAACGGGAATATCATCATCTAAAATCTAGACAGAAGCACTATTAGAAACTACTTGGTGATATCTGCATTCAAGTCACACAGTTGAACATTCCCTTACTTCGACCACGTTTGAAACACTCTTTTGGAAGAATCTGGAAGTGGACATTTGGAGCGCTTTGATGCCTTTGGTGAAAAGGAAACGTCTTCCAATAAAAGCCAGAGAGAAGCATTCTCAGAAACTTGTTTGTGATGTGTGTACTCAACTAAAAGAGTTGAACCTTTCTATTGATAGAGCAGTTTTGAAACACTCTTTTTGTGGATTCTGCAAGTGGATATTTGGATTGCTTTGAGGATTTCGTTGGAAGCGGGAATTCGTATAAAAACTAGACAGCAGCATTCCCAGAAATTTCTTTCGGATATTTCCATTCAACTCATAGAGATGAACATCGCCTTTCATAGAGCAGGTTTGAAACACTCTTTTTGTAGTTTGTGGAAGTGGACATTTCGATCGCCTTGATGCCTACGGTGAAAAAGGAAATATCTTCCCATAAAAAATAGACAGAAGCATTCTCAGAAACTTGTTGGTGATATGTGTCCTCAACTAACAGAGTTGAACTTTGCCATTGATAGAGAGCAGTTTTGAAACACTCTTTTTGTGGAATCTGCAAGTGGATATTTGGATAGCTTGGAGGATTTCGTTGGAAGCGGGAATTCAAATAAAAGGTAGACAGCAGGATTCTGAGAAACAAGTTTGTGATGTGTGTACTCAGCTAACAGAGTGGAACCTCTCTTTTGATGCAGCAGTTTGGAAACACTCTTTTTGTAGAAACTGTATGTGGATATTTGGATAGCTCTAATGATTTCGTTGGAAACGGGAATATCATCATCTAAAATCTAGACAGAAGCCCTCTCAGAAACTACTTTGTGATATCTGCATTCAAGTAACAGAGTTGAACATTCGCTTTCTTAGAGCACGTTGGAAACACTCTTTTTGTAGTGTCTGGAAGTGGACATTTGGAGCACTTTGATGCCTTTGGTGAAAAAGGGAACGTCTTCCCATAAAAACTAGACAGAAGCATTCTCAGAAACTTGTTTGTGATGTGTGTACCCAGCTAAAGGAGTTGAACATTTCTATTGATAGAGCAGTTTTGAAACACTCTTTTTGTGGAAAATGCAAGTGGATATTTGGATAGCTTGGAGGATTTCGTTGGAAGCGGGAATTCAAATAAAAGGTAGCAGGAGGCTCAGAAACAAGTTTGTGATGTGTGTACTCAGCTAACAGAGTGGATCCTTTCTTTTTACAGAGCAGCTTTGAAACTCTATTTCTGTGGATTCTGCAAATTGATATTTGGGTTGATTTAACGATATCGATGGAAAAGGGAATATCTTCATTCAAAATCTAGACAGAAAGCATTCTCACAAACTTCTTTGTGATGTGTGTCCTCAACTAACAGAGTTGAACCTTTCTTTTGATGCAGCAATTTGGAAACACCCTTTTGGTAGAAACTGTAACTGGATATTTGGATAGCTCTAACGATTTCGTTGGAAACGGGAATATCATCATCTAAAATCTAGACAGAGCACTATTAGAAACTACTTGGTGATATCTGCATTCAAGTCACAGAGTTGAACATTCCCTTACTTTGAGCACGTTTCAAACACTCTTTTGGAAGAATCTGGAAGTGGACATTTGGAGCGCTTTGATGCCTTTGGTGAAAAGGAAACGTCTTCCAATAAAAGCCAGACAGAAGCATTCTCAGAAACTTGTTCGTGATGTGTGTACTCAACTAAAAGAGTTGAACCTTTCTATTGATAGCGCAGTTTTGAAACACTCTTTTTGTGGATTCTGCAAGTGGATATTTGGATTGCTTTGAGGATTTCGTTGGAAGCGGGAATTCGTATAAACCCTAGACAGCAGCATTCCCAGAAATTTCTTTCGGATATTTCCATTCAACTCATAGAGATGAACATCGCCTTTCATAGAGCAGGTTTGAAACACTCTTTTTGTAGTTTGTGGAAGTGGACATTTCGATTGCCTTGACGCCTACGGTGAAAAAGGAAATATCTTCCCATAAAAAATAGACAGAAGCATTCTCAGAAACTTGTTGGTGATATGTGTCCTCAACTAACAGAGTTGAACTTTGCCATTGATAGAGAGCAGTTTTGAAACACTCTTTTTGTGGAATCTGCAAGTGGATATTTGGATAGCTTGGAGGATTTCGTTGGAAGCGGGAATTCAAATAAAAGGTAGACAGCAGCATTCTCAGAAATTTCTTTCTGATGTCTGCATTCAACTCATAGAGTTGAAGATTCCCTTTTCATAGAGCAGGTTTGAAACACTCTTTCTGGAGTATCTGGATGTGGACATTTGGAGCGCTTTGATGCCTACGGTGAAAAAGTAAATATCTTCCCATAAAAACGAGACAGAAGGATTCTCAGAAACAAGTTTGTGATGTGTGTACTCAGCTAACAGAGTGGAACCTCTCTTTTGATGCAGCAGTTTGGAAACACTCTTTTTGTAGAAAATGTAAGTGGATATTTGGATAGCTCTAATGATTTCGTTGGAAACGGGAATATCATCATCTAAAATCTAGACAGAAGCAGTCTCAGAAACTACTTTGTGATATCTGCATTCCAGTCACAGAGTTGAAAACTCCCTTACTTAGAGCAGGTTTGAAACACTCTTTTTGTAGAATCTGGAAGTGGACATTTGGAGCGCTTTGATGCCTTTGGTGAAAAAGGAAATGTCTTCCCTTAAAAAGTAGACAGAAGCATTCTCAGAAACTTGTTTGTGATGTGTGTACCCAGCCAAAGGGGTTGAACATTTCTATTGATAGAGCAGTTTTGAAACACTCTTTTTGTGGAAAATGCAGGTGGATATTTGGATAGCTTGGAGGATTTCGTTGGAAGCGGGAATTCAAATAAAAGGTTGACAGCAGCATTCTCAGAAATTTCTTTCTGATGTCTGCATTCAACTCATAGAGTTGAAGATTCCCTTTCATAGAGCAGGTTTGAAACACTCTTTCTGGAGTATCTGGATGTGGACATTTGGAGCGCTTTGATGCCTACGGTGAAAAAGTAAATATCTTCCCATAAAAACGAGACAGAAGGATTCTGAGAAACAAGTTTGTGATGTGTGTACTCACCTAACAGAGTGGAACCTTTCTTTTTACAGAGCAGCTTTGAAACTCTATTTTTGTGGATTCTGCAAATTGATATTTAGATTGCTTTAACGATATCGTTGGAAAAGGGAATATCGTCATACAAAATCTAGACAGAAGCATTCTCACAAACTTGCTTTGTGATGTGTGTCCTCAACTAACAGAGTTGAACCTTTCTTTTGATGCAGCAATTTGGAAACACCCTTTTGGTAGAAACTGTAACTGGATATTTGGATAGCTCTAACGATTTCGTTGGAAACGGGAATATCATCATCTAAAATCTAGACAGAAGCACTATTAGAAACTACTTGGTGATATCTGCATTCAAGTCACAGAGTTGAACATTCCCTTACTTTGAGCACGTTTGAAACACTCTTTTGGAAGAATCTGGAAGTGGACATTTGGAGCGCTTTGATGCCTTTGGTGAAAAGGAAACGTCTTCCAATAAAAGCCAGACAGAAGCATTCTCAGAAACTTGTTCGTGATGTGTGTACTCAACTAAAAGAGTTGAACCTTTCTATTGATAGAGCAGTTTTGAAACACTCTTTTTGCGGATTCTGCAAGTGGATATTTGGATTGCTTTGAGGATTTCGTTGAAAGCGGGAATTCGTATAAACACTAGACAGCAGCATTCCCAGAAATTTCTTTCGGATATTTCCATTCGACTCATAGAGATGAACATGGCCTTTCATAGAGCAGGTTTGAAACACTCTTTTTGTAGTTTGTGGAAGTGGACATTTCGATCGCCTTGACGCCTACGGTGAAAAAGGAAATATCTTCCCATAAAAAATAGACAGAAGAATTCTCAGAAACTTGTTTGTGATGTGTATCCTCAACTGACAGAGTTGAACCTTGCCATTGATAGAGCAGTTTTGAAACACTCTGTTTGTGGAATCTGCAAGTGGATATTTGGATAGCCTGGAGGAATTCGTTGGAAGCGGGAATTCAAATAAAAGGTAGACAGCAGCATTCTCAGAAATTTCTTTGTGATGCTTGCATTCAACTCATAGAGTTGAACATTCCCTTTCATAGAGCAGGTTTGAAACACTCTTTCTGTACTATCTGGATGTGGACATTTGGAACTCTTTGATGCCTACGGTGAAAAAGTAAATATCTTCCCATAAAAACTAGACAGAAAGGATTCTGAGAAACAAGTTTGTGATGTGTGTACTCAGCTAACAGAGTGGAACCTCTCTTTTGATGCAGCAGTTTGGAAACACTCTTTTTGTAGAAACTGTAAGTGGTTATTTGGATAGCTCTAATGATTTCGTTGGAAACGGGAATATCATCATCTAAAATCTAGACAGAAGCCTTCTCAGAAACTACTTTGTGATATCTGCATTCAAGTCACAGAGTTGAACATTCGCTTTCTTAGAGCACGTTGGAAACACTCTTTTTGTAGTGTCTGGAAGTGGACATTTGGAGCGCTTTGATGCCTTTGGTGAAAAAGGGAATGTCTTCCCATAAAAACTAGACAGAAGCATTCTCAGAAACTTGTTTGTGATGTGTGTACCCAGCCAAAGGAGTTGAACATTTCTATTGATAGAGCAGTTTTGAAACGCTCTTTTTGTGGAAAATGCAGGTGGATATTTGGATAGCTTGGAGGATTTCGTTGGAAGCGGGAATTCAAATAAAAGGTAGACAGCAGCATTCTCAGAAATTTCTTTCTGATGTCTGCATTCAACTCATAGAGTTGAAGATTCCCTTTCCTAGAGCAGGTTTGAAACACTCTTTCTGGAGTATCTGGATGTGGACATTTGGAGCGCTTTGATGCCTACGGTGAAAAAGTAAATATCTTCCCATAAAAACGAGACAGAAGGATTCTGAGAGACAAGTTTGTGATGTGTGTACTCAGCTAACAGAGTGGAACCTTTCTTTTTACAGAGCAGCTTTGAAACTCTATTTTTGTGGATTCTGCAAATGGATATTTAGATTGCTTTAACGATATCATTGGAAAAGGGAATATCGTCATACAAAATCTGGACAGAAGCATTCTCACAAACTTCTTTGTGATGTGTGTCCTCAACTAACAGAGTTGAACCTTTATTTTGATGCAGCAGTTTGGAAACACTCTTTTTGTAGAAACTGTAAGTGGATATTTGGATAGCTCTAACGATTTCATTGGAAACGGGAATATCATCATCTAAAATCTAGACAGAAGCACTATTAGAAACTACTTGGTGATATCAGCATTCAAGTCACAGAGTTGAACATTCCCTTACTTCGAGCACGTTTGAAACACTCTTTTGGAAGAATCTGGAAGTGGACATTTGGAGCGCTTTGATGCCTTTGGTGAAAAGGAAACGTCTTCCAATAAAAGCCAGACAGAAGCATTCTCAGAAACTTGTTGGTGATGTGTGTACTCAACTAAAAGAGTTGAACCTTTCTATTGATAGAGCAGTTTTGAAACACTCTTTTTGTGGATTCTGCAAGTGGATATTTGGATTGCTTTGAGGATTTCGTTGGAAGCGGGAATTCGTATAAACACTAGACAGCAGCATTCCCAGAAATTTCTTTCGGATATTTCCATTCGACTCATAGAGATGAACATGGCCTTTCATAGAGCAGGTTTGAAACACTCTTTTTGTAGTTTGTGGAAGTGGACATTTCGATCGCCTTGACGCCTACGGTGAAAAAGGAAATATCTTCCCATAAAAAATAGACAGAAGCATTCTCAGAAAGTTGTTGGTGATATGTGTCCTCAACTAACAGAGTTGAACTTTGCCATTGATAGAGAGCAGTTTTGAAACACTCTTTTTGTGGAATCAGCAAGTGGATATTTGGATAGCTTGAAGGATTTCGTTGGAAGCGGGAATTCAAATAAAAGGTAGACAGCAGCATTCTCAGAAATTTCTTTCTGATGTCTGCATTCAACTCATAGAGTTGAAGATTCCCTTTCATAGAGCAGGTTTGAAATACTCTTTCTGTAGTATCTGGATGTGGACATTTGGAGCGCTTTGAGGCCTACGATGAAAAAGTAAATATCTTCCCATAAAAACGAGACAGAAGGATTCTGAGAAACAAGTTTGTGATGTGTGTACTCAGCTAACAGAGTGGAACCTCTCTTCTGATGCAGCAGTTTGGAAACACTCTTTTTGTAGAAACTGTAAGTGGATATTTGGTTAGCTCTAATGATTTCGTTGGAAATGGGAATATCATCATCTAAAATCTAGACAGAAGCCCTCTCAGAAACTACTTTGTGATATCTGCATTCAAGTCACAGAGTTGAACATTCGCTTTCTTAGAGCACGTTTGAAACACTCTTTTTGTAGTGTCTGGAAGTGGACATTTGGAGTGCTTTGATGCCTTTGGTGAAAAAGGGAATGTCTTCCCATAAAAACTAGACAGAAGCATTCTCAGAAACTTGTTTGTGATGTGTGTACCCAGCTAAAGGAGTTGAACATTTCTATTGATAGAGCAGTTTTGAAACACTCTTTTTGTGGAAAATGCAAGTGGATATTTGGATAGCATGGAGGATTTCGTTGGAAGCGGGAATTCAAATAAATGGTAGACAGCAGCATTCTCAGAAATTTCTTTCTGATGTCTGCATTCAACTCATAGAGTTAAAGATTCCCTTTCATAGAGCAGGTTTGAAACACTCGTTCTGGAGTATCTGGATGTGGACATTTGGAGCGCTTTGATGCCTACGGTGGAAAAGTAAATATCTTCCCATAAAAACGAGACAGAAGGATTCTCAGAAACAAGTTTGTGATGTGTGTACTCAGCTAACAGAGTGGAACCTTTCTTTTTAAAGAGCAGCTTTGAAACTCTATTTTTGTGGATTCTGCAAATTGATATTTAGATTGCTTTAACGATATCGTTGGAAAAGGGAATATCGTCATACAAAATCTAGACAGAAGCATTCTCACAAACTTCTTTGTGATGTGTGTCCTCAACTAACAGAGTTGAACCTTTCTTTTGATGCAGCAATTTGGAAACACCCTTTTGGTAGAAACTGTAACTGGATATTTGGATAGCTCTAACGATTTCGTTGGAAACGGGAATATCATCATCTAAAATCTAGACAGAAGCACTATTAGAAACTACTTGGTGATATCTGCATTCAAGTCACAGAGTAGAATATTCCCTTACTTCGAGCACGTTTGAAACACTCTTTTGGAAGAATCTGGAAGTGGACATTTGGAGCGCTTTGATGCCTTTGGTGAAAAGGAAACGTCTTCCAATAAAAGCCAGACAGAAGCATTCTCAGAAACTTGTTTGTGATGTGTGTACTCAACTAAAAGAGTTGAACCTTTCTATTGATAGAGCAGTTTTGAAACACTCTTTTTGTGGATTCTGCAAGTGGATATTTGGATTGCTTTGAGGATTTCGTTGGAAGCGGGAATTCGTATAAAAACTAGACAGCAGCATTCCCAGAAATTTCTTTCGGATATTTCCATTCGACTCATAGAGATGAACATGGCCTTTCATAGAGCAGGTTTGAAACACTCTTTTTGTAGTTTGTGGAAGTGGACATTTCGATCGCCTTGACGCCTATGGTGAAAAAGGAAATATCTTCCCATAAAAAATAGACAGAAGCATTCTCAGAAACTTGTTGGTGATATGTGTCCTCAACTAACAGAGTTGAACTTTGCCATTGATAGAGAGCAGTTTTGAAACACTCTTTTTGTGGAATCTGCAAGTGGATATTTGGATAGCTTGGAGGATTTCGTTGGAAGCGGGAATTCAAATAAAAGGTAGACAGCAGCATTCTCAGAAATTTCTTTCTGATGTCTGCATTCAACTCGTAGAGTTGAACATTCCCTTTCATAGAGCAGGTTTGAAACACTCTTTCTGGAGTATCTGGATGTGGACATTTGGAGCGCTTTGATGCCTACGGTGAAAAAGTAAATATCTTCCCATAAAAACGAGACAGAAGGATTCTGAGAAACAAGTTTGTGATGTGTGTACTCGGCTAACAGAGTGGAACCTCTCTTTTGATGCAGCAGTTTGGAAACACTCTTTTTGTAGAAACTGTAAGTGGATATTTGGATAGCTCTAATGATTTCGTTGGAAACGGGAATATCATCATCTAAAATCTAGACAGAAGCACTCTCAGAAACTACTGTGTGATATCTGCATTCAAGTCACAGAGTTGAACATTCGCTTTCTTAGAGCACGTTTGAAACACTCTTTTTGTAGTGTCTGGAAGTGGACATTTGGAGCGCTTTGATTCCTTTGGTGAAAAAGGGAATGTCTTCCCATAAAAACTAGGCAGAAGCATTCTCAGAAACTTGTTTGTGATGTGTGTACCCAGCTAAAGGAGTTGAACATTTCTATTGACAGAGCAGTTATGAAACACTCTTTTTGTGGAAAATGCAAGTGGATATTTGGATAGCTTGGAGGATTTCGTTGGAAGCGGGAATTCAAATAAAAGGTAGACAGCAGCATTCTCAGAAATTTCTTTCTGATGTCTGCATTCAACTCATAGAGTTGAAGATTCCCTTTCATGGAGCAGGTTTGAAACACTCGTTCTGCAGTATCTGGATGTGGACATTTGGAGCGCTTTGATGCCTACGGTGGAAAAGTAAATATCTTCCCATAAAAACGAGACAGAAGGATTCTGAGGAACAAGTTTGTGATGTGTGTACTCAGCTAACAGAGTGGAACCTTTCTTTTTACAGAGCAGCTTTGAAACTCTATTTTTGTGGATTCTGCAAATGGATATTTAGATTGCTTTAATGATATCGTTGGAAAAGGGAATATCGTCATACAAAATCTAGACAGAAGCATTCTCACAAACTTCTTTGTGATGTGTGTCCTCAACTAACAGAGTTGAACCTTTCTTTTGATGCAGCAATTTGGAAACACCCTTTTGGTAGAAACTGTAACTGGATATTTGGATAGCTCTAACGATTTCGTTGGAAACGGGAATATCATCATCTAAAATGTAGACAGAAGCACTATTAGAAACTACTTGGTGATATCTGCATTCAAGTCACAGAGTTGAACATTCCCTTACTTTGAGCACGTTTGAAACACTCTTTTGGAAGAATCTGGAAGTGGACATTTGGAGCGCTTTGATGCCTTTGGTGAAAAGGAAACGTCTTCCAATAAAAGCCAGAGAGAAGCATTCTCAGAAACTTGTTTGTGATGTGTGTACTCAACTAAAAGAGTTGAACCTTTCTATTGATAGAGCAGTTTTGAAACACTCTTTTTTTGGATTCTGCAAGTGGATATTTGGATTGCTTTGAGGATTTCGTTGGAAGCGGGAATTCGTATAACAACTAGACAGCAGCATTCCCAGAAATTTCTTTCGGATATTTCCATTCAACTCATAGAGATGAACATGGCCTTTCATAGAGCAGGTTTGAAACACTCTTTTTGTAGTTTGTGGAAGTGGACATTTCGATCGCCTTGACGCCTACGGTGAAAAAGGAAATATCTTCCCATAAAAAATAGACAGAAGCATTCTCAGAAATATCTTTCTGATGTTTGCATTCAACTCATAGAGTTGAACATTCCCTTTAATAGAGCAGGTTTGAAACACTCTTTCTGTACTATCTGGATGTGGACATTTGGAGCGCTTTGACGCCTACGGTGAAAAAGGAAATGTCTTCCCATAAAAAATTGAAGAAGCATTCTCAGAAATTACTTTCTGATGTCTGCATTCAACTCATAGAGTTGAAAACTCCCTTTCATAGCGCAGGTTTGAAACACTCTTTCTGTAGTATCTGGATGTGGACATTTGGAGCGCTTTGATACCTACGGTGAAAAAGTAAATATCTTCCCATAAAAACTAGACAGAAGGATTCTGAGAAACAAGTTTGTGATGTGTGTACTCAGCTAACAGAGTGGAACCTCTCTTTTGATGCAGCAGTTTGGAAACACTCTTTTTGTAGAAACTGTAAGTGGATATTTGGATAGCTCTAATGATTTCGTTGAAAACGGGAATATCATCATGTAAAATCTAGACAGAAGCACTCTCAGAAACTACTTTGTGATATCTGCATTCAAGTCACAGAGTTGAACATTCGCTTTCTTAGAGCACGTTTGAAACACTCTTTTTGTAGTCTCTGGAAGTGGACATTTGGAGCGCTTTGATGGCTTTGGTGAAAAAGGGAACGTCTTCCCATAAAAACTAGACAGAAGCATTCTCAGAAACTTGTTTGTGATGTGTGTACCCAGCCAAAGGAGTTGAACGTTTCTATTGATAGAGCAGTTTTGAAACACTCTTGTTGTGGAAAATGCAGGTGGATATTTGGATAGCTTGGAGGATTTCGTTGGAAGCGGGAATTCAAATAAAAGGTAGACAGCAGCATTCTCAGAAATTTCTTTCTGATGTCTGCATTCAACTCATAGAGTTGAAGATTCCCTTTCATAGAGCAGGTTTGAAACACTCGTTCTGGAGTATCTGGATGTGGACATTTGGAGCGCTTTGATGCCTACGGTGGAAAAGTAAATATCTTCCCATAAAAACGAGACAGAAGGATTCTGAGAGACAAGTTTGTGATGTGTGTACTCAGCTAACAGAGTGGAACCTTTCTTTTTACAGAGCAGCTTTGAAACTCTATTTTTGTGGATTCTGCAAATGGATATTTAGATTGCTTTAATGATATCGCTGGAAAAGGGAATATGGTCATACAAAATCTAGACAGAAGCATTCTCACAAACTTCTTTGTGATGTGTGTCCTCAACTAACAGAGTTGAACTTTTCTTCTGATGCAGCAGTTTGGAAACACTGTTTTTGTAGAAACTGTAAGTGGATATTTGGATAGCTCTAACGATTTCGTTGGAAACGGGAATATCATCATCTAAAATCTAGACAGAAGCACTATTAGAAACTACTTGGTGATATCTGCATTCAAGTCACAGAGTTGAACATTCCCTTACTTTGAGCACGTTTCAAACACTCTTTTGGAAGAATCTGGAAGTGGACATTTGGAGCGCTTTGATGCCTTTGGTGAAAAGGAAACGTCTTCCAATAAAAGCCAGACAGAAGCATTCTCAGAAACTTGTTTGAGATGTGTGTACTCAACTAAAAGAGTTGAACCTTTCTATTGATAGAGCAGTTTTGAAACACTCTTTTTGTGGATTCTGCAAGTGGATATTTGGATTGCTTTGAGGATTTCGTTGGAAGCGGGAATTCGTATAACAACTAGACAGCAGCATTCCCAGAAATTTCTTTCGGATATTTCCATTCAACTCATAGAGATGAACATCGCCTTTCATAGAGCAGGTTTGAAACACTCTTTTTGTAGTTTGTGGAAGTGGACATTTCGATCGCCTTGACGCCTACGGTGAAAAAGGAAATATCTTCCCATAAAAAATAGACAGAAGCATTCTCAGAAACTTGTTGGTGATATGTGTCCTCAACTAACAGAGTTGAACTTTGCCATTGATAGAGAGCAGTTTTGAAACACTCTTTTTGTGGAATCTGCAAGTGGATATTTGGATAGCTTGGAGGATTTCGTTGGAAGCGGGAATTCAAATAAAAGGTAGACAGCCAGCATTCTCAGAAATTGCTTTCTGATGTCTGCATTCAACTCATAGAGTTGAACATTCCCTTTCATAGGGCAGGTTTGAAATACTCTTTCTGTAGTATCTGGATGTGGACATTTGGAGCGCTTTGATGCCTACGGTGAAAAAGTAAATATCTTCCCATAAAAACGAGACAGAGGATTCTGAGAAACAAGTTTGTGATGTGTGTACTCAGCTAACAGAGTGGAACCTCTGTTTTGATGCAGCAGTTTGGAAACACTCTTTTTGTAGAAACTGTAAGTGGATATTTGGATAGCTCTAATGATTTCGTTGGAAACGGGAATATCATCATCTAAAATCTAGACAGAAGCCCTCTCAGAAACTACTTTGTGATATCTGCATTCAAGTCACAGAGTTGAACATTCGGTTTCTTAGAGCACGTTTGAAACACTCTTTTTGTAGTGTCTGGAAGTGGACATTTGGAGCGCTTTGATGCCTTTGGTGAAAAAGGGAATGTCTTCCCATAAAAACTAGACAGAAGCATTCTCAGAGACTTGTTTGTGATGTGTGTACCCAGCCAAAGGAGTTGAACATTTCTATTGATAGAGCAGTTTTGAAACACTCTTGTTGTGGAAAATGCAGGTGGATATTTGGATAGTTTGGAGGATTTCGTTGGAAGCGGGAATTCAAATAAAAGGTAGACAGCAGCATTCTCAGAAATTTCTTTCTGATGTCTGCATTCAACTCATAGAGTTGAAGATTCCCTTTCATAGAGCAGGTTTGAAACACTCGTTCTGGAGTATCTGGATGTGGACATTTGGAGCGCTTTGATGCCTACGGTGGAAAAGTAAATATCTTCCCATAAAAACGAGACAGAAAGGATTCTGAGAAACAAGTTTGTGATGTGTGTACTCAGCTAACACAGTGGAACCTTTCTTTTTACAGAGCAGCTTTGAAACTCTATTTTTGTGGATTCTGCAAATTGATATTTAGATTGCTTTAACGATATCGTTGGAAAAGGGAATATCGTCATACAAAATCTAGACAGAAGCATTCTCACAAACTTCTTTGTGATGTGTGTCCTCAACTAACAGAGTTGAACCTTTCTTTTGATGCAGCAATTTGGAAACACCCTTTTGGTAGAAACTGTAACTGGATATTTGGATAGCTCTAACGATTTCGTTGGAAACGGGAATATCATCATCTAAAATCTAGACAGAAGCACTCTCAGTAAACTACTTTTTGATATCTGCATTCAAGTCACAGAGTTGAACATTCCCTTACTTTGAGCACGTTTGAAACACTCTTTTGGAAGAATCTGGAAGTGGACATTTGGAGCGCTTTGATGCCTTTGGTGAAAAGGAAACGTCTTCCAATAAAAGCCCAACAGCAGCATTCTCAGAAACTTGTTTGTGATGTGTGTACTCAACTAAAAGAGTTGAACCTTTCTATTCATAGAGCAGTTTTGAAACACTCTTTTTGTGGATTCTGCAAGTGGATATTTGGATTGATTTGAGGATTTCGTTGGAAGCGGGAATTCGTATAAAAACTAGACAGCAGCATTCCCAGTAAATTTCTTTCGGATATTTCCATTCAACTCATAGAGATGAACATCGCCTTTCATAGAGCAGGTTTGAAACACTCTTTTTGTAGTTTGTGGAAGTGGACATTTCGATCGCCTTGACGCCTACAGTGAAAAAGGAAATATCTTCCCATAAAAAATAGACAGAAGCATTCTCAGAAACTTGTTGGTGATATGTGTCCTCAACTAACAGAGTTGAACTTTGCCATTGATAGAGAGCAGTTTTGAAACACTCTTTTTGTGGAATCTGCAAGTGGATATTTGGATAGCTTGGAGGATTTCGTTGGAAGCGGGAATTCAAATAAAGGGTAGACAGCAGCATTCTCAGAAATTTCTTTCTGATGTCTGCATTCAACTCATAGAGTTGAAGATTCCCTTTCATAGAGCAGGTTTGAAACACTCTTTCTGGAGTATCTGGATGTGGACATTTGGAGCGCTTTGATGCCTACGGTGGAAAAGTAAATATCTTCCCATAAAAACGAGACAGAAGGATTCTGAGAGACAAGTTTGTGATGTGTGTACTCAGCTAACAGAGTGGAACCTTTCTTTTTACAGAGCAGCTTTGAAACTCTATTTTTGTGGATTCTGCAAATGGATATTTAGATTGCTTTAACGATATCCGTTGGAAAAGGGAATATCGTCATACAAAATCTGGACAGAAGCACTCTCAGAAACTACTTTTTAATATCTGCATTCAAGTCACAGAGTTGAACATTCGCTTTCTTAGAGCACTTTTGAAACACTCTTTTTGTAGTATCTGGAAGTGGACATTTGGAGCTCTTTGATGCCTTTGGTGAAAAAGGAAATGTCTTCCCATAAAAACTAGACAGAAGCTTTCTCAGAAACTTGTTTGTGATGTGTGTACCCAGCGAAAGGAGTTGAACATTTCTATTGATAGAGCAGTTTTGAAACACTCTTTTTGTAGAATCTGCAAGTGGATATTTGGATAGCTTGGAGGTTTTCGTTGGAAGCGGGAATTCAAATAAAAGGTAGACAGCAGCATTCTCAGAAATTTCTTTCTGATGTCTGCATTCAACTCATAGAGTTGAAGATTCCCTTTCATAGAGCAGGTTTGAAACACTCTTTCTGGAGTATCTGTATGTGGACATTTGGAGCGCTTTGATGCCTACGGTGAAAAAGTAAATATCTTCCCATAAAAACGAGACAGAAGGATTCTGAGAAACAAGTTTGTGATGTGTGTACTCAGCTAACAGAGTGGAACCTTTCTTTTTACAGAGCAGCTTTGAAACTCTATTTTTGTGGATTCTGCAAATGGATATTTAGATTGCTTTAATGATATCGCTGGAAAAGGGAATATCGTCATACAAAATCTAGACAGAAGCATGCTCACAAACTTCTTTGTGACGTGTGTCCTCAACTAACAGAGTTGAACCTTTCTTTTGATGCAGCAGTTTGGAAACACTCTTTTTGTAGAAACTGTAAGTGGATATTTGGATAGCTCTAACGATTTCGTTGGAAACGGGAATATCATCATCTAAAATCTAGACAGAAGCACTATTAGAAACTACTTGGTGATATCTGCATTCAAGTCACAGAGTTGAACATTCCCTTACTTTGAGCACGTTTGAAACACTCTTTTGGAAGAATCTGTAAGTGGACATTTGGAGCGCTTTGATGCCTTTGGTGAAAAGGAAACGTCTTCCAATAAAAGCCAGACAGAAGCATTCTGAGAAACTTGTTCGTGATGTGTGTACTCAACTAAAAGAGTTGAACCTTTCTATTGATAGAGCAGTTTTGAAACACTCTTTTTGTGGATTCTGCAAGTGGATATTTGGATTGCTTTGAGGATTTCGTTGGAAGCGGGAATTCGTATAAACACTAGACAGCAGCATTCCCAGAAATTTCTTTCGGATATTTCCATTCAACTCATAGAGATGAACATCGCCTTTCATAGAGCTGGTTTGAAACACTCTTTTTGTAGTTTGTGGAAGTGGACATTTCGATCGCCTTGACGCCTACAGTGAAAAAGGAAATATCTTCCCATAAAAAATAGACAGAAGCATTCTCAGAAACTTGTTGGTGATATGTGTCCTCAACTAACAGAGTTGAACTTTGCCATTGATAGAGAGCAGTTTTGAAACACTCTTTTTGTGGAATCTGCAAGTGGATATTTGGATAGCTTGGAGGATTTCGTTGGAAGCGGGAATTCAAATAAAAGGTAGACAGCAGCATTCTCAGTAAATTTCTTTCTGATGTCTGCATTCAACTCATAGAGTTGAAGATTCCCTTTCATAGAGCAGGTTTGAAACACTCTTTCTGGAGTATCTGGATGTGGACATTTGGAGCGCTTTGATGCCTACGGTGAAAAAGTAAATATCTTCCCAGAAAAACGAGACAGAAGGATTCTGAGAAACAAGTTTGTGATGTGTGTACTCAGCTAACAGAGTGGAACCTCTCTTTTGATGCAGCAGTTTGGAAACACTCTTTTTGTAGAAACTGTAAGTGGATATTTGGATAGCTCTAATGATTTCGTTGGAAACGGGAATATCATCATCTAAAATCTAGACAGAAGCCCTCTCAGAAACTACTTTGTGACATCTGCATTCAAGTCACAGAGTTGAACATTCGCTTTCTTAGAGAACGTTGGAAACACTCTTTTTGTAGTGTCTGGAAGTGGACATTTGGAGCGCTTTGATGCCTTTGGTGAAAAAGGGAATGTCTTCCCATAAAAACTAGACAGAAGCATTCTCAGAGACTTGTTTGTGATGTGTGTACCCAGCCAAAGGAGTTGAACATTTCTATTGATAGAGCAGTTTTGAAACACTCTTGTTGTGGAAAATGCAGGTGGATATTTGGATAGCTTGGAGGATTTCGTTGGAAGCGGGAATTCAAATAAAAGGTAGACAGCAGCATTCTCAGAAATTTCTTTCTGATGTCTGCATTCAACTCATAGAGTTGAAGATTCCCTTTCATAGAGCAGGTTTGAAACACTCGTTCTGGAGTATCTGGATGTGGACATTTGGAGCGCTTTGATGCCTACGGTGGAAAAGTAAATATCTTCCCATAAAAACGAGACAGAAGGATTCTCAGAAACAAGTTTGTGATGTGTGTACTCAGCTAACAGAGTGGAACCTTTCTTTTTACAGAGCAGCTTTGAAACTCTATTTTTGTGGATTCTGCAAATTGATATTTAGATTGCTTTAACGATATCGTTGGAAAAGGGAATATCATCATACAAAATCTAGACAGAAGCATTCTCACAAACTTCTTTGTGATGTGTGTCCTCAACTAACAGAGTTGAACCTTTCTTTTGATGCAGCAATTTGGAAACACCCTTTTGGTAGAAACTGTAACTGGATATTTGGATAGCTCTAACGATTTCGTTGGAAACGGGAATATCATCATCTAAAATGTAGACAGAAGCACTATTAGAAACTACTTGGTGATATCTGCATTCAAGTCACAGAGTTGAACATTCCCTTACTTTGAGCACGTTTGAAACACTCTTTTGGAAGAATCTGGAAGTGGACATTTGGAGCGCTTTGATGCCTTTGGTGAAAAGGGAAACGTCTTCCAATAAAAGCCAGACAGGAAGCATTCTCAGAAACTTGTTCGTGATATGTGTACTCAACTAAAAGAGTTGAACCTTTCTATTCATAGCGCAGTTTTGAAACACTCTTTTTGTGGATTCTGCAAGTGGATATTTGGATTGCTTTGAGGATTTCGTTGGAAGCGGGAATTCATATAAAAACTAGACAGCAGCATTCCCAGAAATTTCTTTCGGATATTTCCATTCGACTCATAGAGATGAACATGGCCTTTCATAGAGCAGGTTTGAAACACTCTTTTTGTAGTTTGTGGAAGTGGACATTTCGATCGCCTTGACGCCTACGGTGAAAAAGGAAATATCTTCCCATAAAAAATAGACAGAAGCATTCTCAGAAACTTGTTGGTGATATGTGTCCTCAACTAACAGGGTTGAACTTTGCCATTGATAGAGAGCAGTTTTGAAACACTCTTTTTGTGGAATCTGCAAGTGGATATTTGGATAGCTTGGAGGATTTCGTTGGAAGCGGGAATTCAAATAAAAGGTAGACAGCAGCATTCTCAGAAATTTCTTTCTGATGTCTGCATTCAACTCATAGAGTTGTAGATTCCCTTTCATAGAGCAGGTTTGAAACACTCGTTCTGGAGTATCTGGATGTGGACATTTGGAGCGCTTTGATGCCTACGGTGGAAAAGTAAATATCTTCCCATAAAAACGAGACAGAAGGATTCTGAGAAACAAGTTTGTGATGTGTGTACTCAGCTAACAGAGTGGAACCTCTCTTTTGATGCAGCAGTTTGGAAACACTCTTTTTGTAGAAACTGTAAGTGGATATTTGGATAGCTCTAATGATTTCGTTGGAAACGGGAATATCATCATCTAAAATCTAGACAGAAGCACTATTAGAAACTACTTTGTGATATCTGCATTCAAGTCACAGGAGTTGAACATTCGCTTTCTTAGAGCACGTTGGAAACACTCTTTTTGTAGTGTCTGGAAGTGGACATTTGGAGCGCTTTGATGCCTTTGGTGAAAAAGGGAATGTCTTCCCATAAAAACTAGACAGAAGCATTCTCAGAAACTTGTTTGTGATGTGTGTACCCAGCCAAAGGAGTTGAAAATTTCTATTGATAGAGCAGTTTTGAAACACTCTTGTTGTGGAAAATGCAGGTGGATATTTGGATAGCTGGGAGGATTTCGTTGGAAGCGGGAATTCAAATAAAAGGTAGACAGCAGCATTCTCAGAAATTTCTTTCTGATGTCTGCATTCAACTCATAGAGTTGAAGATTCCCTTTCATAGAGCAGGTTTGAAACACTCGTTCTGGAGTATCTGGATGTGGACATTTGGAGCGCTTTGATGCCTACGGTGGAAAAGTAAATATCTTCCCATAAAAACGAGACAGAAGGATTCTCAGAAACAAGTTTGTGATGTGTGTACTCAGCTAACAGAGTGGAACCTTTCTTTTTACAGAGCAGCTTTGAAACTCTATTTTTGTGAATTCTGCAAATTGATATTTAGATTGCTTTAACGATATCGTTGGAAAAGGGAATACCGTCATACAAAATCTAGACAGAAGCATTCTCACAAACTTCTTTGTGATGTGTGTCCTCAACTAACAGAGTTGAACCTTTCTTTTGATGCAGCAGTTTGGAGACACTCTTTTTGTAGAAACTGTAAGTGGATATTTGGATAGCTCTAACGATTTCGTTGGAAACGGGAATATCATCATCTAAAATCTAGACAGAAGCACTATTAGAAACTACTTGGTGATATCTGCATTCAAGTCACAGAGTTGAACATTCCCTTACTTTGGGCACGTTTCAAACACTCTTTTGGAAGAATCTGGAAGTGGACATTTGGAGCGCTTTGATGCCTTTGGTGAAAAGGAAACGTCTTCCAATAAAAGCCAGACAGAAGCATTCTCAGAAACTTGTTCGTGATGTGTGTACTCAACTAAAAGAGTTGAACCTTTCTATTGATAGAGCAGTTTTGAAACACTCTTTTTGTGGATTCTGCAAGTGGATATTTGGATTGCTTTGAGGATTTCATCGGAAGCGGGAATTCGTATAAACACTAGACAGCCAGCATTCCCAGAAATTTCTTTCGGATATTTCCATTCGACTCATAGAGATGAACATGGCCTTTCATAGAGCAGGTTTGAAACACTCTTTTTGTAGTTTGTGGAAGTGGACATTTCGATCGCCTTGACGCCTACGGTGAAAAAGGAAATATCTTCCCATAAAAAATAGACAGAGCATTCTCAGAAACTTGTTGGTGATATGTGTCCTCAACTAACAGAGTTGAACTTTGCCATTGATAGAGAGCAGTTTTGAAACACTCTTTTTGTGGAATCTGCAAGTGGATATTTGGATAGCTTGGAGGATTTCGTTGGAAGCGGGAATTCAAATAAAAGGTAGACAGCAGCATTCTCAGAAATTTCTTTCTGATGTCTGCAATCAACTCATAGAGTTGAAGATTCCCTTTCATAGAGCAGGTTTGAAACACTCTTTGTGGAGTATCTGGATGTGGACATTTGGAGCGCTTTGATGCCTACGGTGAAAAAGTAAATATCTTCCCATAAAAACGAGACAGAAGGATTCTGAGAAACAAGTTTGTGATGTGTGTACTCAGCTAACAGAGTGGAACCTCTCTTTTGATGCAGCAGTTTGGAAACACTCTTTTTGTAGAAACTGTAAGTGGATATTTGGATAGCTCTAATGATTTCGTTGGAAACGGGAATATCATCATCTAAAATCTAGACAGAAGCCCTCTCAGAAACTACTTTGTGATATCTGCATTCAAGTCACAGAGTTGAACATTCGCTTTCTTAGAGCACGTTGGAAACACTCTTTTTGTAGTGTCTGGAAGTGGACATTTGGAGCGCTTTGATTCCTTTGGTGAAAAAGGGAACGTCTACCCATAAAAACTAGACAGAAGCATTCTCAGAAACTTGTTTGTGATGTGTGTACCCAGCCAAAGGAGTTGAACATTTCTATTGATAGAGCAGGTTTGAAACACTCTTTTTGTGGAAAATGCAGGTGGATATTTGGATAGCTTGGAGGATTTCGTTGGAAGCGGGAATTCAAATAAAAGGTAGACAGCAGCATTCTCAGAAATTACTTTCTGATGTCTGCATTCAACTCATAGAGTTGAAGATTCCCTTTCATAGAGCAGGTTTGAAACACTCTTTCTGGAGTATCTGGATGTGGACATTTGGAGCGCTTTGATGCCTACGGTGAAAAAGTAAATATCTTCCCATAAAAACGAGACAGAAGGATTCTCAGAAACAAGTTTGTGATGTGTGTACTCAGCTAACAGAGTGGAACCTTTCTTTTTACAGAGCAGCTTTGAAACTCTATTGTTGTGGATTCTGCAAATTGATATTTAGATTGCTTTAACGATATCGTTGGAAAAGGGAATACCGTCATACAAAATCTAGACAGAAGCATTCTCACAAACTTCTTTGTGATGTGTGTCCTCAACTAACAGAGTTGAACCTTTCTTTTGATGCAGCAATTTGGAAACACCCTTTTGGTAGAAACTGTAAGTGGATATTTGGATAGCTCTAACGATTTCGTTGGAAACGGGAATATCATCATCTAAAATCTAGACAGAAGCACTATTAGAAACTACTTGGTGATATCTGCATTCAAGTGACAGAGTTGAACATTCCCTTACTTTGAGCACGTTTGAAACACTCTTTTGGAAGAATCTGGAAGTGGACATTTGGAGCGCTTTGATGCCTTTGGTGAAAAGGAAACGTCTTCCAATAAAAGCCAGACAGAAGCATTCTCAGAAACTTGTTCGTGATGTGTGTACTCAACTAAAAGAGTTGAACCTTTCTATTGATAGAGCAGTTTTGAAACACTCTTTTTGTGGATTCTGCAAGTGGATATTTGGATTGCTTTGAGGATTTTGTTGGAAGCGGGAATTCGTATAAACACTAGACAGCAGCATTCCCAGAAATTTCTTTCGGATATTTCCATTCAACTCATAGAGATGAACATGGCCTTTCATAGAACAGGTTTGAAACACTCTTTTTGTAGTTTGTGGAAGTGGACATTTCGATCGCCTTGACGCCTACGGTGAAAAAGGGAATATCTACCCATAAAAAATAGACAGAAGCATTCTCAGAAACTTGTTGGCGATATGTGTCCTCAACTAACAGAGTTGAACTTTGCTATTGATAGAGAGCAGTTTTGAAACACTCTTTTTGTGGAATCTGCAAGTGGATATTTGGATAGCTTGGAGGATTTCGTTGGAAGCGGGAATTCAAATAAAAGGTAGACAGCAGCATTCTCAGAAATTTCTTTCTGATCTCTGCATTCAACTCATAGAGTTGAACATTCCCTTTCATAGGGCAGGTTTGAAATACTCTTTCTGTAGTATCTGGATGTGGACATTTGGAGCGCTTTGATGCCTACGGTGAAAAAGTAAATATCTTCCCATAAAAACGAGACAGAAGGATTCTGAGAAACAAGTTTGTGATGTGTGTACTCAGCTAACAGAGTGGAACCTCTCTTTTGATGCAGCAGTTTGGAAACACTCTTTTTGTAGAAATTGTAAGTGGATATTTGGATAGCTCTAATGATTTCGTTGGAAACGGGAATATCATCATCTAAAATCTAGACAGAAGCACTCTCAGAAACTACTTTGTGATATCTGCATTCAAGTCACAGAGTTGAACATTCGCTTTCTTAGAGCACGTTGGAAACACTCTTTTTGTAGTGTCTGGAAGTGGACACTTGGAGCGCTTTGATGCCTTTGGTGAAAAAGGGAACGTCTTCCCATAAAAACTAGACAGAAGCATTCTCAGAAACTTGTTTGTGATGTGTGTACCCAGCTAAAGGAGTTGAACATTTCTATTGATAGAGCAGTTTTGAAACACTCTTTTTGTGGAAAATGCAAGTGGATATTTGGATAGCTTGGAGGATTTCGTTGGAAGCGGGAATTCAAATAAAAGGTAGACAGCAGCATTCTCAGAAATTTCTTTCTGATGTCTGCATTCAACTCATAGAGTTGAAGATTCCCTTTCATAGAGCAGGTTTGAAACACTCTTTCTGGAGTATCTGGATGTGGACATTTGGAGGGCTTTGATGCCTACGGTGAAAAAGTAAATATCTTCCCATAAAAACGAGACAGAAGGATTCTGAGAAACAAGTTTGTGATGTGTGTACTCAGCTAACAGAGTGGAACCTTTCTTTTTACAGAGCAGCTTTGAAACTCTATTTTTGTGGATTCTGCAAATTGATATTTAGATTGCTTTAACGATATCGTTGGAAAAGGGAATATCGTCATACAAAATCTAGACAGAAGCATTCTCACAAACTTCTTTGTGATGTGTGTCCTCAACTAACAGAGTTGAACCTTTCTTTTGATGCAGCAGTTTGGAAACACTCTTTTTGTAGAAACTGTAAGTGGATATTTGGATAACTCTAACGATTTCGTTGGAAACGGGAATATCATCATCTAAAATCTAGACAGAAGCACTATTAGAAACTACTTGGTGATATCTGCATTCAAGTCACAGAGTTGAACATTCCCTTACTTTGAGCACGTTTCAAACACTCTTTTGGAAGAATCTGGAAGTGGACATTTGGAGCGCTTTGATGCCTTTGGTGAAAAGGAAACGTCTTCCAATAAAAGCCAGACAGAAGCATTCTCAGAAACTTGTTCTTGACGTGTGTACTCAACTAAAAGAGTTGAACCTTTCTATTGATAGAGCAGTTTTGAAACACTCTTTCTGTGGATTCTGCAAGTGGATATTTGGATTGCTTTGAGGATTTCGTTGGAAGCGGTAATTCGTATAACAACTAGACAGCAGCATTCCCAGAAATTTCTTTCGGATATTTCCATTCAACTCATAGAGATGAACATGGCCTTTCATAGAGCAGGTTTGAAACACTCTTTTTGTAGTTTGTGGAAGTGGACATTTCGATCGCCTTGACGCCTACAGTGAAAAAGGAAATATCTTCCCATAAAAAATAGACAGAAGCATTCTCAGAAACTTGTTGGTGATATGTGTCCTCAACTAACAGAGTTGAACTTTGCCATTGATAGAGAGCAGTTTTGAAACACTCTTTTTGTGGAATCTGCAAGTGGATATTTGGATAGCTTGGAGGATTTCGTTGGAAGCGGGAATTCAAATAAAAGGTAGACAGCCGCATTCTCAGAAATTTCTTTCTGATGTCTGCATTCAACTCATAGAGTTGAACATTCCCTTTCATAGAGCAGGTTTGAAACACTCTTTCTGGAGTATCTGGATGTGGACATTTGGAGCGCTTTGATGCCTACGGTGAAAAAGTAAATATCTTCCCATAAAAACGAGACAGAAGGATTCTCAGAAACAAGTTTGTGATGTGTGTACTCAGCTAAAAGAGTGGAACCTCTCTTTTGATGCAGCAGTTTGGAAACACTCTTTTTGTAGAAACTGTAAGTGGATATTTGGATAGCTCTAATGATTTCGTTGGAAACGGGAATATCATCATCTAAAATCTAGACAGAAGCACTCTCAGAAACTACTTTGTGATATCTGCATTCAAGTCACAGAGTTGAACATTCGCTTTCTTAGAGCACGTTTGAAACACTCTTTTTGTAGTGGCTGGAAGTGGACATTTGGAGCGCTTTGATGCCTTTGGTGAAAAAGGGAATGTCTTCCCATAAAAACTAGGCAGAAGCATTCTCAGAAACTTGTTTGTGATGTGTGTACCCAGCCAAAGGAGTTGAACATTTCTATTGATAGAGCAGTTTTGAAACACTCTTGTTGTGGAAAATGCAAGTGGATATTTGGATAGCTTGGAGGATTTCGTTGGAAGCGGGAATTCAAATAAAAGGTAGACAGCAGCATTCTCAGAAATTTCTTTCTGATGTCTGCATTCAACTCATAGAGTTGAAGATTCCCTTTCATAGAGCAGGTTTGAAACAGTCTTTCTGGAGTTTCTGGATGTGGACATTTGGAGCGCTTTGATGCCTACGGTGAAAAAGTAAATATCTTCCCATAAAAACGAGACAGAAGGATTCTCAGAAACAAGTTTGTGATGTGTGTACTCAGCTAACAGAGTGGAACCTTTCTTTTTACAGAGCAGCTTTGAAACTCTATTTTTGTGGATTCTGCAAATGGATATTTAGATTGCTTTAACGATATCGTTGGAAAAGGGAATATCGTCATACAAAATACTGGACAGAAGCATTCTCACAAACTTCTTTGTGATGTGTTTCCTCAACTAACAGAGTTGAACCTTTCTTTTGATGCAGCAATTTGGAAACACCCTTTTGGTAGAAACTGTAACTGGATATTTGGATAGCTCTAACGATTTCGTTGGAAACGGGAATATCATCATCTAAAATCTAGACAGAAGCACTATTAGAAACTACTTGGTGATATCTGCATTCAAGTCACAGAGTAGAACATTCCCTTACTTCGAGCACGTTTGAAACACTCTTTTGGAAGAATCTGGAAGTGGACATTTGGAGCGCTTTGATGCCTTTGGTGAAAAGGAAACGTCTTCCAATAAAAGCCAGACAGAAGCATTCTCAGAAACTTGTTTGTGATGTGTGTACTCAACTAAAAGAGTTGAACCTTTCTATTGATAGAGCAGTTTTGAAACACTCTTTTTGTGGATTCTGCAAGTGGATATTTGGATTGCTTTGAGGATTTCGTTGGAAGCGGGAATTCGTATAACAACTAGACAGCAGCATTCCCAGAAATTTCTTTCGGATATTTCCATTCAACTCATAGAGATGAACATGGCCTTTCATAGAGCAGGTTTGAAACACTCTTTTTGTAGTTTGTGGAAGTGGACATTTCGATCGCCTTGACGCCTACGGTGAAAAAGTAAATATCTTCCCATAAAAAATAGAAACATTCTCAGAAACTTGTTGGTGATATGTGTCCTCAACTAACAGAGTTGAACTTTGCCATTGATAGAGAGCAGTTTTGAAACACTCTTTTTCCTGAATCTGCAAGTGGATATTTGGATAGTTTGGAGGATTTCGTTGGAAGCGGGAATTCAAATAAAAGGTAGACAGCAGCATTCTCAGAAATTTCTTTCTGATCTCTGCATTCAACTCATAGAGTTGAACATTCCCTTTCATAGGGCAGGTTTGAAATACTCTTTCTGTAGTATCTGGATGTGGACATTTGGAGCGCTTTGATGCCTACGGTGAAAAAGTAAATATCTTCCCATAAAAACGAGACAGAAGGATTCTGAGAAACAAGTTTGTGATGTGTGTACTCAGCTAACAGAGTGGAACCTCTCTTTTGATGCAGTAGTTTGGAAACACTCTTTTTGTAGAAACTGTAAGGGGATATTTGGATAGCTCTAATGATTTCGTTGGAAACGGGAATATCATCATCTAAAATCTAGAGAGAAGCCCTCTCAGAAACTACTCTGTGATATCTGCATTCAAGTCACAGAGTTGAACATTCGTTTTCTTAGAGCACGTTTGAAACACTCTTTTTGTAGTGTCTGGAAGTGGACATTTGGAGCGCTTTGATGCCTTTGGTGAAAAAGGGAATGTCTTCCCATAAAAACTAGACAGAAGCATTCTCAGAAACTTGTTTGTGATGTGTGTACCCAGCCAAAGGAGTTGAACATTTCTATTGATAGAGCAGTTTTGAAACACTCTTTTTGTGGAAAATGCAGGTGGATATTTGGATAGCTTGGAGGATTTCGTTGGAAGCGGGAATTCAAATAAAAGGTAGACAGCAGCATTCTCAGAAATTTCTTTCTGATGTCTGCATTCAACTCATAGAGTTGAAGATTCCCTTCCATAGAGCAGGTTTGAAACACTCGTTCTGGAGTATCTGGATGTGGACATTTGGAGCGCTTTGATGCCTACGGTGGAAAAGTAAATATCTTCCCATAAAAACGAGACAGAAGGATTCTCAGAAACAAGTTTGTGATGTGTGTACTCAGCTAACAGAGTGGAACCTTTCTTTTTACAGAGCAGCTTTGAAACTCTATTTTTGTGGATTCTGCAAATTGATATTTAGATTGCTTTAACGATATCGTTGGAAAAGGGAATATCGTCATACAAAATCTAGACAGAAGCATTCTCACAAACTTCTTTGTGATGTGTGTCCTCAACTAACAGAGTTGAACCTTTCTTTTGATGCAGCAGTTTGGAAACACTCTTTTTGTAGAAACTGTAAGTGGATATTTGGATAGCTCTAACGATTTCGTTGGAAACGGGAATATCATCATCTAAAATCTAAACAGAAGCACTATTAGAAACTACTTGGTGATATCTGCATTCAAGTCACAGAGTTGAACATTCCCTTACTTCGACCACGTTTGAAACGCTCTTTTGGAAGAATCTGGAAGTGGACATTTGGAGCGCTTTGATGCCTTTGGTGAAAAGGAAACGTCTTCCAATAAAAGCCAGAGAGAAGCATTCTCAGAAACTTGTTCGTGATGTGTGTACTCAACTAAAAGAGTTGAACCTTTCTATTGATAGAGCAGTTTTGAAACACTCTTTTTGTGGATTCTGCAAGTGGATATTTGGATTGCTTTGAGGATTTCATTGGAAGCGGGAATTCGTATAAACACTAGACAGCAGCATTCCCAGAAATTTCTTTCGGATATTTCCATTCGACTCATAGAGATGAACATGGCCTTTCATAGAGCAGGTTTGAAACACTCTTTTTGTAGTTTGTGGAAGTGGACATTTCGATCGCCTTGACGCCTACGGTGAAAAAGGAAATATCTTCCCATAAAAAATAGACAGAAGCATTCTCAGAAACTTGTTGGTGATATGTGTCCTCAACTAACAGAGTTGAACTTTGCCATTGATAGAGAGCAGTTTTGAAACACTCTTTTTGTGGAATCTGCAAGTGGATATTTGGATAGCTTGGAGGATTTCGTTGGAAGCGGGAATTCAAATAAAAGGTAGACAACAGCATTCTCAGAAATTTCTTTCTGATGTCTGCATTCAACTCATAGAGTTGAAGATTCCCTTTCATAGAGCAGGTTTGAAACACTCTTTCTGGAGTATCTGGATGTGGACATTTGGAGAGCTTTGATGCCTACGGTGAAAAAGTAAATATCTTCCCATAAAAACGAGACAGAAGGATTCTGAGAAACAAATTTGTGATGTGTGTACTCAGCTAACAGAGTGGAACCTCTCTTTTGATGCAGCAGTTTGGAAACACTCTTTTTGTAGAAACTGTAAGTGGATATTTGGAAGCTCTAATGATTTTGTTGGAAACGGGATTATCATCATCTAAAATCTAGACAGAAGCCCTCTCAGAAACTACTTTGTGATATGTGCATTCAAGTCACAGAGTTGAACATTCGCTTTCTTAGAGCACGTTGGAAACACTCTTTTTGTAGTGTCTGGAAGTGGACATTTGGAGCGCTTTGATGCCTTTGGTGAAAAAGGGAACGTCTTCCCATAAAAACTAGACAGAAGCATTCTCAGAAACTTGTTTGTGATGTGTGTACCCAGCCAAAGGAGTTGAACATTTCTATTGATAGAGCAGTTTTGAAACACTCTTGTTGTGGAAAATGCAGGTGGATATTTGGATAGCTTGGAGGATTTCGTTGGAAGGGGGAATTCAAATAAAAGGTAGACAGCAGCATTCTCAGAAATTTCTTTCTGATGTCTGCATTCAACTCATAGAGTTGAAGATTCCCTTTCATAGAGCAGGTTTGAAACACTCGTTCTGGAGTATCTGGATGTGGACATTTGGAGCGCTTTGATGCCTATGGTGGAAAAGTAAATATCTTCCCATAAAAACGAGACAGAAGGATTCTCAGAAACAAGTTTGTGATGTGTGTACTCAGCTAACAGAGTGGAACCTTTCTTTTTACAGAGCAGCTTTGAAACTCTATTTTTGTGGATTCTGCAAATTGATATTTAGATTGCTTTAACGATATCGTTGGAAAAGGGAATATCGTCATACAAAATCTAGACAGAAGCATTCTCACAAACTTCTTTGTGACGTGTGTCCTCAACTAACAGAGTTGAACCTTTCTTTTGATGCAGCAGTTTGGAAACACTGTTTTTGTAGCAACTGTAAGTGGATATTTGGATAGCTCTAACGATTTCGTTGGAAACGGGAATATCATCATCTAAAATCTAGACAGAAGCACTCTCAGAAACTACTTTGTGATATCTGCATTCAAGTCACAGAGTTCAACATTTGCTTTCTTAGAGCACGTTTGAAACACTCTTTTTGTAGTGTCTGGAAGTGGACATTTGGAGCGCTTTGATGCCTTTGGTGAAAAGGAAACGTCTTCCAATAAAAGCCAGACAGAAGCATTCTCAGAAACTTGTTTGTGATGTGTGTACTCAACTAAAAGAGTTGAACCTTTCTATTGATAGAGCAGTTTTGAAACACTCTTTTTGTGGATTCTGCAAGTGGATATTTGGATTGCTTTGAGGATTTCGTTGGAAGCGGGAATTCGTATAAACACTAGACAGCAGCATTCCCAGAAATTTCTTTCGGATATTTCCATTCAACTCATAGAGATGAACATCGCCTTTCATAGAGCAGGTTTGAAACACTCTTTTTGTAGTTTGTGGAAGTGGACATTTCGATCGCCTTGACGCCTACGGTGAAAAAGGAAATATCTTCCCATAAAAAATAGACAGAAGCATTCTCAGAAACTTGTTGGTGATATGTGTCCTCAACTAACAGAGTTGAACTTTGCCATTGATAGAGAGCAGTTTTGAAACACTCTTTTTGTGGAATCTGCAAGTGGATATTTGGATAGCTTGGAGGATTTCGTTGGAAGCGGGAATTCAAATAAAAGGTAGACAGCAGCATTCTCAGAAATTTCTTTCTGATGTCTGCATTCAACTCATAGAGTTGAAGATTCCCTTTCATAGAGCAGGTTTGAAACACTCTTTCTGGAGTATCTGGATGTGGACATTTGGAGCGCTTTGATGCCTACGGTGAAAAAGTAAATATCTTCCCATAAAAACGAGACTGAAGGATTCTGAGAAACAAGTTTGTGATGTGTGTACTCAGCTAACAGAGTGGAACCTCTCTTTTGAAGCAGCAGTTTGGAAACACTCTTTTTGTGGAAACTGTAAGTGGATATTTGGATAGCTCTAATGATTTCGTTGGAAACGGGAATATCATCATCTAAAATCTAGACAGAAGCCCTCTCAGAAACTACTTTGTGATATCTGCATTCAAGTCACAGAGTTGAACATTCGCTTTCTTAGAGCACGTTGGAAACACACTTTTTGTAGTGTCTGGAAGTGGACATTTGGAGCGCTTTGATGCCTTTGGTGAAAAAGGGAATGTCTTCCCATAAAAACTAGACAGAAGCATTCTCAGAAACTTGTTTGTGATGTGTGTACCCAGCCAAAGGAGTTGAACATTTCTATTGATAGAGCAGTTTTGAAACACTCTTGTTGTGGAAAATGCAGGTGGATATTTGGATAGCTTGGAGGATTTCGTTGGAAGCGGGAATTCAAATAAAAGGTAGACAGCAGCATTCTCAGAAATTTCTTTCTGATGTCTGCATTCAACTCATAGAGTTGAAGATTCCCTTTCATAGAGCAGGTTTGAAACACTCGTTCTGGAGTATCTGGATGTGGACATTTGGAGCGCTTTGATGCCTACGGTGGAAAAGTAAATATCTTCCCATAAAAACGACACAGAAGGATTCTGAGAAACAAGTTTGTGATGTGTGTACTCAGCTAACAGAGTGGAACCTTTCTTTTTACAGAGCAGCTTTGAAACTCTATTTTTGTGGATTCTGCAAATGGATATTTAGATTGCTTTAATGATATCGCTGGAAAAGGGAATATGGTCATACAAAATCTAGACAGAAGCATTCTCACAAACTTCTTTGTGACGTGTGACCTCAACTAACAGAGTTGAACCTTTCTTTTGATGCAGCAGTTTGGAAACACTGTTTTTGTAGCAACTGTAAGTGGATATTTGGATAGCTCTAACGATTTCGTTGGAAACGGGAATATCATCATCTAAAATCTAGACAGAAGCACTATTAGAAACTACTTGGTGATATCTGCATTCAAGTCACAGAGTTGAACATTCCCTTACTTTGAGCACGTTTCAAACACTCTTTTGGAAGAATCTGGAAGTGGACATTTGGAGCGCTTTGATGCCTTTGGTGAAAAGGAAACGTCTTCCAATAAAAGCCAGACCGAAGCATTCTCAGAAACTTGTTTGTGATGTGTGTACTCAACTAAAAGAGTTGAACCTTTCTATTGATAGAGCAGTTTTGAAACACTCTTTTTGTGGATTCTGCAAGTGGATATTTGGATTGCTTTGAGGATTTCGTTGGAAGCGGGAATTCGTATAAAAACTAGACAGCAGCATTCCCAGAAATTTCTTTCTGATATTTCCATTCAACTCATAGAGATGAACATGGCCTTTCATAGAGCAGGTTTGAAACACTCTTTTTGTAGTTTGTGGAAGTGGACATTTCGATCGCCTTGACGCCTACGGTGAAAAAGGAAATATCTTCCCATAAAAAATAGACAGAAGCATTCTCAGAAACTTGTTGGTGATATGTGTCCTCAACTAACAGAGTTGAACTTTGCCATTGATAGAGAGCAGTTTTGAAACACTCTTTTTGTGGAATCTGCAAGTGGATATTTGGATAGCTTGGAGGATTTCGTTGGAAGCGGGAATTCACATAAAAGGTAGACAGCAGCATTCTCAGCAAATTTCTTTCTGATGTCTGCATTCAACTCATAGAGTTGAAGATTCCCTTTCATAGAGCAGGTTTGAAACACTCTTTCTGGAGTATCTGGATGTGGACATTTGGAGCGCTTTGATGCCTACGGTGAAAAAGTATAATCTTCCCATAAAAACGAGACAGAAGGATTCTGAGAAACAAGTTTGTGATGTGTGTACTCAGCTAACAGAGTGGAACCTCTCTTTTGATGCAGCAGTTTGGAAACACTCTTTTTGTAGAAACTGTAAGTGGATATTTGGATAGCTCTAATGATTTCGTTGGAAACGGGAATATCATCATCTAAAATCTAGACAGAAGCCCTCTCAGAAACTACTTTGTGATATCTGCATTCAAGTCACAGGGTTGAACATTCGCTTTCTTAGAGCACGTTTGAAACACTCTTTTTGTAGTGTATGGAAGTGGACATTTGGAGCGCTTTGATGCCTTTGGTGAAAAAGGGAACGTCTTCCCATAAAAACTAGACAGAAGCATTCTCAGAAACTTGTTTGTGATGTGTGTACCCAGCCAAAGGAGTTGAACATTTCTATTGATAGAGCAGTTTTGAAACACTTGTTGTGGAAAATGCAGGTGGATATTTGGATAGCTTGGAGGATTTCGTTGGAAGCGTTAATTCAAATAAAAGGTAGACAGCAGCATTCTGAGAAATTTCTTTCTGATGTCTGCATTCAACTCATAGAGTTGAAGATTCCCTTTCATAGAGCAGGTTTGAAACACTCGTTCTGGAGTATCTGGATGTGGACATTTGGAGCGCTTTGATGCCTACGGTGGAAAAGTAAATATCTTCCCATAAAAACGAGACAGAAAGATTCTCAGAAACAAGTTTGTGATGTGTGTACTCAGCTAACAGAGTGGAACCTTTCTTTTTACAGAGCAGCTTTGAAACTCTATTTTTGTGGATTCTGCAAATTGATATTTAGATTGCTTTAACGATATCGTTGGAAAAGGGAATATCGTCATACAAAATCTAGACAGAAGCATTCTCACAAACTTCTTTGTGATGTGTGTCCTCAACTAACAGAGTTGAACCTTTCTTTTGATGCAGCAATTTGGAAACACCCTTTTGGTAGAAACTGTAACTGGATATTTGGATAGCTCTAACGATTTCGTTGGAAACGGGAATATCATCATCAAAAGGTAGACAGAAGCACTATTAGAAACTACTTGGTGATATCTGCATTCAAGTCACAGAGTAGAACATTCCCTTACTTCGAGCACGTTTGAAACACTCTTTTGGAAGAATCTGGAAGTGGACATTTGGAGCGCTTTGATGCCTTTGGTGAAAAGGAAACGTCTTCCAATAAAAGCCAGACAGAAGCATTCTCAGAAACTTGTTCGTGATATGTGTACTCAACTAAAAGAGTTGAACCTTTCTATTGATAGCGCAGTTTTGAAACACTCTTTTTGTGGATTCTGCAAGTGGATATTTGGATTGCTTTGAGGATTTCGTTGGAAGCGGGAATTCATATAAAAACTAGACAGCAGCATTCCCAGAAATTTCTTTCGGATATTTCCATTCAACTCATAGAGATGAACATGGCCTTTCATAGAGCAGGTTTGAAACACTCTTTTTGTAGTTTGTGGAAGTGGACGTTTCGATCGCCTTGACGCCTACGGTGAAAAAGGAAATATCTTCCCATAAAAAATAGACAGAAGCATTCTCAGAAACTTGTTGGTGATATGTGTCCTCAACTAACAGAGTTGAACTTTGCCATTGATAGAGAGCAGTTTTGAAACACTCTTTTTGTGGAATCTGCAAGTGGATATTTGGATAGCTTGGAGGATTTCGTTGGAAGCGGGAATTCAAATAAAAGGTAGACAGCAGCATTCTCAGAAATTTCTTTCTGATGTCTGCATTCAACTCATAGAGTTGAACATTCCCTTTCATAGAGCAGGTTTGAAACACTCTTTCTGGAGTATCTGGATGTGGACATTTGGAGCGCTTTGATGCCTACGGTGAAAAAGTAAATATCTTCCCATAAAAAGCGAGACAGAAGGATTCTCAGAAACAAGTTTGTGATGTGTGTACTCAGCTAACAGAGTGGAACCTCTCTTTTGATGCAGCAGTTTGGAAACACTCTTTTTGTAGAAACTGTAAGTGGATATTTGGATAGCTCTAATGATTCCGTTGGAAACGGGAATATCATCATCTAAAATCTAGACAGAAGCCCTCTCAGAAACTACTTTGTGATATCTGCATTCAAGTCACAGTAGTTGAACATTCGCTTTCTTAGGGCACGTTGGAAACACTCTTTTTGTAGTGTCTGGAAGTGGACATTTGGAGCGCTTTGATGCCTTTGGTGAAAAAGGGAACGTCTTCCCATAAAAACTAGACAGAAGCATTCTCAGAAACTTGTTTGTGATGTGTGTACCCAGCCAAAGGAGTTGAACATTTCTATTGATAGAGCAGTTTTGAAACACTCTTGTTGTGGAAAATGCAGGTGGATATTTGGATAGCTTGGAGGATTTCGTTGGAAGCGGGAATTCAAATAAAAGGTAGACAGCAGCATTCTCAGAAATTTCTTTCTAATGTCTGCATTCAACTCATAGAGTTGAAGATTCCCTTTCATAGAGCAGGTTTGAAACACTCTTTCTGGAGTATCTGGATGTGGACATTTGGAGCGCTTTGATGCCTACGGTGAAAAAGTAAATATCTTCCCATAAAAACGAGACAGAAGGATTCTGAGAAACAAGTTTGTGATGTGTGTACTCAGCTAACAGAGTGGAACCTTTCTTTTTACAGAGCAGCTTTGAAACTCTATTTTTGTGGATTCTGCAAATGGATATTTAGATTGCTTTAATGATATCGCTGGAAAAGGGAATATGGTCATACAAAATCTAGACAGAAGCATTCTCACAAACTTCTTTGTGATGTGTGTCCTCAACTAACAGAGTTGAACCTTTCTTTGGATGCAGCAGTTTGGAAACACTCTTTTTGTAGAAACTGTAAGTGGATATTTGGATAGCTCTAACGATTTCGTTGGAAACGGGAATATCATCATCTAAAATCTAGACAGAAGCACTATTAGAAACTACTTGGTGATATCTGCATTCAAGTCACAGAGTTGAACATTCCCTTACTTTGAGCACGTTTCAAACACTCTTTTGGAAGAATCTGGAAGTGGACATTTGGAGCGCTTTGATGCCTTTGGTGAAAAGGAAACGTCTTCCAATAAAAGCCAGACAGAAGCATTCTCAGAAACTTGTTCGTGATGTGTGTACTCAACTAAAAGAGTTGAACCTTTCTATTGATAGAGCAGTTTTGAAACACTCTTTTTGTGGATTCTGCAAGTGGATATTTGGATTGCTTTGAGGATTTCGTTGAAAGCGGGAATTCGTATAAACACTAGACAGCAGCATTCCCAGAAATTTCTTTCGGATATTTCCATTCAACTCATAGAGATGAACATGGCCTTTCATAGAGCAGGTTTGAAACACTCTTTTTGTAGTTTGTGGAAGTGGACATTTCGATCGCCTTGACGCCTACGGTGAAAAAGGAAATATCTTCCCATAAAAAATAGACAGAAGCATTCTCAGAAACTTGTTGGTGATATGTGTCCTCAACTAACAGAGTTGAACTTTGCCATTGATAGAGAGCAGTTTTGAAACACTCTTTTTGTGGAATCTGCAAGTGGATATTTGGATAGCTTGGAGGATTTCGTTGGAAGCGGGAATTCAAATAAAAGGTAGACAGCAGCATTCTCAGAAAATTTCTTTCTGATGTCTGCATTCAACTCATAGAGTTGAAGATTCCCTTTCATAGAGCAGGTTTGAAACACTCTTTCTGGAGTATCTGGATGTGGACATTTGGAGCGCTTTGATACCTACGGTGTAAAAGTAAATATCTTCCCATAAAAACGAGACAGAAGGATTCTGAGAAACAAGTTTGTGATGTGTGTACTCAGCTAACAGAGTGGAACCTCTCTTTTGATGCAGCAGTTTGGAAACACTCTTTTTGTAGAAACTGTAAGTGGATATTTGGATAGCTCTAATGATTTCGTTGGAAACGGGAATATCATCATCTAAAATCTAGACAGAAGCCCTCTCAGAAACTACTTTTTGATATCTGCATTCAAGTCACAGAGTTGAACATTCGCTTTCTTAGAGCACGTTTGAAACACTCTTTTTGTAGTGTCTGGAAGTGGACATTTGGAGCGCTTTGATGCCTTTGGTGAAAAAGGGAACGTCTTCCCATAAAAACTAGACAGAAGCATTCTCAGAAACTTGTTTGTGATGTGTGTACCCAGCTAAAGGAGTTGAACATTTCTATTGATAGAGCAGTTTTGAAACACTCTTTTTGTGGAAAATGCAAGTGGATATTTGGATAGCTTGGAGGATTTCGTTGGAAGCGGCAATTCAAATAAAAGGTAGACAGCAGCATTCTCAGAAATTTCTTTCTGATGTCTGCATTCAACTCATAGAGTTGAAGATTCCCTTTCATAGAGCAGGTTTGAAACACTCTTTCTGGAGTATCTGGATGTGGACATTTGGAGCGCTTTGATGCCTACGGTGAAAAAGTAAATATCTTCCCATAAAAACGAGACAGAAGGATTCTGAGAGACAAGTTTGTGATGTGTGTACTCAGCTAACAGAGTGGAACTTTTCTTTTTACAGAGCAGCTTTGAAACTCTATTTTTGTGGATTCTGCAAATGGATATTTAGATTGCTTTAACGATATCGTTGGAAAAGGGAATATCGTCATACAAAATCTGGACAGAAGCATTCTCACAAACTTCTTTGTGATGTGTGTCCTCAACTAACAGAGTTGAACCTTTCTTTTGATGCAGCAGTTTGGAAACACTCTTTTTGTAGAAACTGTAAGTGGATATTTGGATAGCTCTAACGATTTCATTGGAAACGGGAATATCATCATCTAAAATCTAGACAGAAGCACTATTAGAAACTACTTGGTGATATCTGCATTCAAGTCACAGATTTGAACATTCCCTTACTTTGAGCACGTTTGAAACACTCTTTTGGAAGAATCTGGAAGTGGACATTTGGAGCGCTTTGATGCCTTTGGTGAAAAGGAAACGTCTTCCAGTAAAAGCCAGACAGAAGCATTCTCAGAAACTTCTTTGTGATGTGTGTACTCAACTAAAAGAGTTGAACCTTTCTATTGATAGAGCAGTTTTGAAACACTCTTTTTGTGGATTCTGCAAGTGGATATTTGGATTGCTTTGAGGATTTCGTTGGAAGCGGGAATTCGTATAAAAACTAGACAGCAGCATTCCCAGAAATTTCTTTCGGATATTTCCATTCAACTCATAGAGATGAACATGGCCTTTCATAGAGCAGGTTTGAAACACACTTTTTGTAGTTTGTGGAAGTGGACATTTCGATCGCCTTGACGCCTACGGTGAAAAAGGAAATATCTTCCCATAAAAAATAGACAGAAGCATTCTCAGAAACTTGTTGGTGATATGTGTCCTCAACTAACAGAGTTGAACTTTGCCATTGATAGAGAGCAGTTTTGAAACACTCTTTTTGTGGAATCTGCAAGTGGATATTTGGATAGCTTGGAGGATTTCGTTGGAAGCGGGAATTCAAATAAAAGGTAGACAGCCAGCATTCTCAGAAATTTCTTTCTGATGTCTGCATTCAACTCATAGAGTTGAAGATTCCCTTTCATAGAGCAGGTTTGAAACACTCTTTCTGGAGTATCTGGATGTGGACATTTGGAGCGCTTTGATGCCTACGGTGAAAAAGTAAATATCTTCCCATAAAAACGAGACAGAGGATTCTGAGAAACAAGTTTGTGATGTGTGTACTCAGCTAACAGAGTGGAACCTCTCTTTTGATGCAGCAGTTTGGAAACACTCTTTTTGTAGAAACTGTAAGTGGATATTTGGATAGCTCTAATGATTTCGTTGGAAACGGGAATATCATCATCTAAAATCTAGACAGAAGCACTCTCAGAAACTACTTTGTGATATCTGCATTCAAGTCACAGAGTTGAACATTCGCTTTCTTAGAGCACGTTTGAAACACTCTTTTTGTAGTGTCTGGAAGTGGACATTTGGAGCGCTTTGATAACTTTGGTGAAAAAGGGAATGTCTTCCCATAAAAACTAGACAGAAGCATTCTCAGAAACTTGTTTGTGATGTGTGTACCCAGCCAAAGGAGTTGAACATTTCTATTGATAGAGCAGTTTTGAAACACTCTTGTTGTGGAAAATGCAAGTGGATATTTGGATAGCTTGGAGGATTTCGTTGGAAGCGGGAATTCAAATAAAAGGTAGACAGCAGCATTCTCAGAAATTTCTTTCTGATGTCTGCATTCAACTCATAGAGTTGAAGATTCCCTTTCATAGAGCAGGTTTGAAACACTCGTTCTGGAGTATCTGGATGTGGACATTTGGAGCGCTTTGATGCCTACGGTGGAAAAGTAAATCTCTTCCCATAAAAACGAGACAGAAGGATTCTGAGAAACAAGTTTGTGATGTGTGTACTCAGCTAACAGAGTGGAACCTTTCTTTTTACAGAGCAGCTTTGAAACTCTATTTTTGTGGATTCTGCAAATTGGTATTTAGATTGCTTTAACGATATCGTTGGAAAAGGGAATATCGTCATACAAAATCTAGACAGAAGCATTCTCACAAACTTCTTTGTGATGTGTGTCCTCAACTAACAGAGTTGAACCTTTCTTTTGATGCAGCAATTTGGAAGCACCCTTTTGGTAGAAACTGTAACTGGATATTTGGATAGCTACTAACGATTTCGTTGGAAACGGGAATATCATCATCTAAAATGTAGACAGAAGCACTATTAGAAACTACTTGGTGATATCTGCATTCAAGTCACAGAGTTGAACATTCCCTTACTTTGAGCACGTTTCAAACACTCTTTTGGAAGAATCTGGAAGTGGACATTTGGAGCGCTTTGATGCCTTTGGTGAAAAGGAAACGTCTTCCAATAAAAGCCAGACAGAAGCATTCTCAGAAACTTGTTTGTGATGTGTGTACTCAACTAAAAGAGTTGAACCTTTCTATTGATAGAGCAGTTTTGAAACACTCTTTTTGTGGATTCTGCAAGTGGATATTTGGATTGCTTTGAGGATTTCGTTGGAAGCGGGAATTCATATAAAAACTAGACAGCAGCATTCCCAGAAATTTCTTTCGGATATTTCCATTCAACTCATAGAGATTAACATGGCCTTTCATAGAGCAGGTTTGAAACACTCTTTTTGTAGTTTGTGGAAGTGGACATTTCGATCGCCTTGACGCCTACGGTGAAAAAGGAAATATCTTCCCATAAAAAATAGACAGAAGCATTCTCAGAAACTTGTTGGTGATATGTGTCCTCAACTAACAGAGTTGAACTTTGCCATTGAGAGAGCAGTTTTGAAACACTCTTTTTGTGGAATCTGCAAGTGGATATTTGGATAGCTTGGAGGATTTCGTTGGAAGCGGGAATTCAAATAAAAGGTAGACAGCAGCATTCTCAGAAATTTCTTTCTGATGTCTGCATTCAACTCATAGAGTTGAACATTCCCTTTCATAGAGCAGGTTTGAAACACTCTTTCTGGAGTATCTGGATGTGGACATTTGGAGCGCTTTGATGCCTACGGTGAAAAAGTAAATATCTTCCCATAAAAACGAGACAGAAGGATTCTGAGAAACAAGTTTGTGATGTGTGTACTCAGCTAACAGAGTGGAACCTCTCTTTTGATGCAGCAGTTTGGAAACACTCTTTTTGTAGAAACTGTAAGTGGATATTTGGATAGCTCTAATGATTTCCTTGGAAACGGGAATATCATCATCTAAAATCTAGACAGAAGCCCTCTCAGAAACTACTTTGTGATATCTGCATTCAAGTCACAGAGTTGAACATTCGCTTTCTTAGAGCACGTTTGAAACACTCTTTTTGTAGTGTCTGGAAGTGGACATTTGGAGCGCTTTGATGGCTTTGGTGAAAAAGGGAACGTCTTCCCATAAAAACTAGACAGAAGCATTCTCAGAAACTTGTTTGTGATGTGTGTACCCAGCCAAAGGAGTTGAACATTTCTTTTGATAGCGCAGTTTTGAAACACTCTTTTTGTGGATTCTGCAAGTGGATATTTGGATTGCTTTGAAGATTTCGTTGGAAGCGGGAATTCGTATAAACACTAGACAGCAGCATTCTCAGAAAATTTCTTTCTGATGTCTGCATTCAACTCATAGAGTTGAAGATTCCCTTTCATAGAGCAGGTTTGAAACACTCTTTCTGGAGTATCTGGATGTGGACATTTGGAGCGCTTTGATGCCTACGGTGAAAAAGTAAATATCTTCCCATAAAAACGAGACAGAAGGATTCTCAGAAACAAGTTTGTGATGTGTGTACTCAGCTAACAGAGTGGAACCTTTCTTTTTACAGAGCAGCTTTGAAACTCTATTTTTGTGGATTCTGCAAATTGATATTTAGATTGCTTTAACGATATTGTTGGAAAAGGGAATATCGTCATACAAAATCTAGACAGAAGCATTCTCACAAACTTCTTTGTGATGTGTGTCCTCAACTTACAGAGTTGAACCTTTCTTTTGATGCAGCAGTTTGGAAACACTCTTTTTGTAGAAACTGTAAGTGGATATTTGGATAGCTCTAACGATTTCGTTGGAAACGGGAATATCATCATCTAAAATCTAGACAGAAGCACTATTAGAAACTACTTGGTGATATCTGCATTCAAGTCACAGAGTAGAACATTCCCTTACTTCGACCACGTTTGAAACACTCTTTTGGAAGAATCTGGAAGTGGACATTTGGAGCGCTTTGATGCCTTTGGTGAAAAGGAAACGTCTTCCAATAAAAGCCAGACAGAAGCATTCTCAGAAACTTGTTTGTGATGTGTGTACTCAACTAAAAGAGTTGAACCTTTCTATTGATAGAGCAGTTTTGAAACACTCTTTTTGTGGATTCTGCAAGTGGATATTTGGATTGCTTTGAGGATTTCGTTGGAAGCGGGAATTCGTATAAAAACTAGACAGCAGCATTCCCAGAAATTTCTTTCGGATATTTCCATTCGACTCATAGAGATGAACATGGCCTTTCATAGAGCAGGTTTGAAACACTCTTTTTGTAGTTTGTGGAAGTGGACATTTCGATCGCCTTGACGCCTACGGTGAAAAAGGAAATATCTTCCCATAAAAAATAGACAGAAGCATTCTCAGAAACTTGTTGGTGATATGTGTCCTCAACTAACAGAGTTGAACTTTGCCATTGATAGAGAGCAGTTTTGAAACACTCTTTTTGTGGAATCTGCAAGTGGATATTTGGATAGCTTGGAGGATTTCGTTGGAAGCGGGAATTCAAATAAAAGGTAGACAGCAGCATTCTCAGGAAATTTCTTTCTGATGTCTGCATTCAACTCATAGAGTTGAAGATTCCCTTTCATAGAGCAGGTTTGAAACACTCTTTGTGGAGTATCTGGATGTGGACATTTGGAGCGCTTTGATGCCTACGGTGAAAAAGTAAATATCTTCCCATAAAAACGAGACAGAAGGATTCTGAGAAACAAGTTTGTGATGTGTGTACTCAGCTAACAGAGTGGAACCTCTGTTTTGATTCAGCAGTTTGGAAACACTCTTTTTGTAGAAACTGTAAGTGGATATTTGGATAGCTCTAATGATTTCGTTGGAAAAGGGAATATCATCATCTAAAATCTAGACAGAAGCCCTCTCAGAAACTACTTTGTGATATCTGCATTCAACTCACAGAGTTGAACATTCGGTTTCTTAGAGCACGTTTGAAACACTCTTTTTGTAGTGTCTGGAAGTGGACATTTGGAGCGCTTTGATGCCTTTGGTGAAAAAGGGAATGTCTTCCCATAAAAACTAGACAGAAGCATTCTCAGAAACTTGTTTGTGATGTGTGTACCCAGCCAAAGGAGTTGAACATTTCTATTGATAGAGCAGTTTTGAAACGCTCTTTTTGTGGAAAATGCAGGTGGATATTTGGATAGCTTGGAGGATTTCGTTGGAAGCGGGAATTCAAATAAAAGGTAGACAGCAGGATTCTCAGAAACAAGTTTGTGATGTGTGTACTCAGCTAACAGAGTGGAACCTTTCTTTTTACAGAGCAGCTTTGAAACTCTATTTTTGTGGATTCTGCAAATTGATATTTAGATTGCTTTAATGATATCGTTGGAAAAGGGAATATGGTCATACAAAATCTAGACAGAAGCATTCTCACAAACTTCTTTGTGATGTGTGTCCTCAACTAACAGAGTTGAACCTTTCTTTTGATGCAGCAGTTTGGAAACGCTCTTTTTGTAGAAACTGTAAGTGGATATTTGGATAGCTCTAACGATTTTGTTGGAAACGGGAATATCATTATCTAAAATCTAGACAGAAGCACTCTCAGAAACTACTTTTTGATATCTGCATTCAAGTCATAGAGTTGAACATTCGCTTTCTTAGAGCACTTTTGAAACACTCTTTTTGTAGTATCTGGAATTGGACATTTGGAGCTCTTTGATGCCTTTGGTGAAAAAGGAAATGTCATCCCATAAAAACTAGACAGAAGCATTCTCAGAAACTTGTTTGTGATGTGTGTACCTCAACTAAAAGAGTTGAACCTTTCTATTGATAGAGCAGTTTTGAAACACTCTTTTTGTGGATTCTGCAAGTGGATATTTGGATTGCTTTGAGGATTTCGTTGGAAGCGGGAATTCATATAAAAACTAGACAGCAGAAATCTCAGAAACTTGTTTGTGATGTGTATCCTCAACTGACAGAGTTGAACCTTGCCATTGATAGAGCAGTTTTGAAACACTCTTTTTGTGGAATCTGCAAGGGGATATTTGGATAGCCTGGAGGATTTCGTTGGAAGCGGGAATTCAAATAAAAGGTAGACAGCAGCATTCTCAGAAACTTGTTGGTGATATGTGTCCTCAACTAACAGAGTTGAACTTTGCCATTGATAGAGAGCAGTTTTGAAACACTCTTTTTGTGGAATCTGCAAGTGGATATTTGGATAGCTTGGAGGATTTCGTTGGAAGCGGGAATTCAAATAAAAGGTAGACAGCAGAGCATTCTCAGAAATTTCTTTCTGATGTCTGCATTCAACTCATAGAGTTGAAGATTCCCTTTCATAGAGCACGTTTGAAACACTCTTTCTGGAGTATCTGGATGTGGACATTTGGAGCGCTTTGATGCCTACGGTGAGAAAGTAAATATCTTCCCATAAAAACGAGACAGAAGGATTCTGAGAAACAAGTTTGTGATGTGTATACTCAGCTAACAGAGTGGAACCTCTCTTTTGATGCAGCAGTTTGGAAACACTCTTTTTGTAGAAACTGTAAGTGGATATTTGGATAGCTCTAATGATTTCGTTGGAAACGGGAATATCATCATCTAAAATCTAGACAGAAGCCCTCTCAGAAACTACTTTGTGATATCTGCATGCAAGTCACAGAGTTGAACATTCGCTTTCTTAGAGCACGTTGGAAACACTCTTTTTGTAGTGTCTGGAAGTGGACATTTGGAGCGCTTTGATGCCTTTGGTGAAAAAGGGAATGTCTTCCCATAAAAACTAGACAGAAGCATTCTCAGAAACTTGTTTGTGATGTGTGTACCCAGCCAAAGGAGTTGACCATTTCTATTGATAGAGCAGTTTTGAAACACTCTTGTTGTGGAAAATGCAGGTGGATATTTGGATAGCTTGGAGGATTTCTTTGGAAGCGGGAATTCAAATAAAAGGTACACAGCAGCATTCTCAGAAATTTCTTTCTGATGTCTGCATTCAACTCATAGAGTTGAAGATTCCCTTTCATAGAGCAGGTTTGAAACAGTCTTTCTGGAGTATCTGGATGTGGACATTTGGAGCGCTTTGATGCCTACGGTGAAAAAGTAACTATCTTCCCATAAAAACGAGACAGAAGGATTCTCAGAAACAAGTTTGTGATGTGTGTACTCAGCTAACAGAGTGGAACCTTTCTTTTTACAGAGCAGCTTTGAAACTCTATTTTTGTGGATTCTGCAAATTGATATTTAGTTTGCTTTAACGATATCGTTGGAAAAGGGAATATCGTCATACAAAATCTAGACAGAAGCATTCTCACAAACTTCTTTGTGATGTGTGTCCTCAACTAACAGAGTTGAACCTTTCTTTTGATGCAGCAGTTTGGAAACACCCTTTTGGTAGAAACTGTAACTGGATATTTGGATAGCTCTAACGATTTCGTTGGAAACGGGAATATCATCATCTAAAATCTAGACAGAAGCACTATTAGAAACTACTTGGTGATATCTGCATTCAAGTCAAAGAGTTGAACATTCCCTTACTTTGAGCACGTTTGAAACACTCTTTTGGAAGAATCTGGAAGTGGACATTTGGTGCGCTTTGATGCCTTTGGTGAAAAGGAAACGTCTTCCAATAAAAGCCAGACAGAAGCATTCTCAGAAACTTGTTCTTGATGTGTGTACTCAACTAAAAGAGTTGAACCTTTCTATTGATAGAGCAGTTTTGAAACACTCTTTTTGTGGATTCTGCAAGTGGATATTTGGATTGCTTTGAGGATTTCGTTGGAAGCGGGAATTCGTATAACAACTAGACAGCAGCATTCCCAGAAATTTCTTTCGGATATTTCCATTCAACTCATAGAGATGAACATGGCCTTTCATAGAGCAGGTTTGAAACACTCTTTTTGTAGTTTGTGGAAGTGGACATTTCGATCGCCTTGACGCCTACGGTGAAAAAGGAAATATCTTCCCATAAAAAATAGACAGAAGCATTCTCAGAAACTTGTTGGTGATATGTGTCCTCAACTAACAGAGTTGAACTTTGCCATTGATAGCAGTTTTGAAACACTCTTTTTGTGGAATCTGCAAGTGGATATTTGGATAGCTTGGAGGATTTCGTTGGAAGCGGGAATTCAAATAAAAGGTAGACAGCAGCATTCTCAGAAATTTCTTTGTGATGTTTGCATTCAACTCATAGAGTTGAACATTCCCTTTCATAGAGCAGGTTTGAAACACTCTTTCTGTACTATCTGGATGTGGACATTTGGAACGCTTTGATGCCTACGGTGAAAAAGTAAATATCTTCCCATAAAAGCTAGACAGAAGGATTCTGAGAAACAAGTTTGTGATGTGTGTACTCAGCTAACAGAGTGGAACCTCTCTTTTGATGCAGCAGTTAGGAAACACTCTTTTTGTAGAAACTGTAAGTGGATATTTGGATAGCTCTAATGATTTCGTTGGAAACGGGAATATCATCATCTAAAATCTAGACAGAAGCCCTCTCAGAAACTACTTTGTGATATCTGCATTCAAGTCACAGAGTTGAACATTCGCTTTCTTAGAGCACGTTGGAAACACTCTTTTTGTAGTGTCTGGAAGTGGACATTTGGAGCGCTTTGATGCCTTTGGTGAAAAAGGGAACGTCTTCCCATAAAAACTAGACAGAAAGCATTCTCAGAAACTTGTTTGTGATGTGTGTACCCAGCTAAAGGAGATGAACATTTCTATTGATAGAGCAGTTTTGAAACACTCTTTTTGTGGAAAATGCAAGTGGATATTTGGATAGCTTGGAGGATTTCGTTGGAAGCGGGAATTCAAATAAAAGGTAGACAGCAGCATTCTCAGAAATTTCTTTCTGATGTCTGCATTCAACTCATAGAGTTGAAGATTCCCTTTCATAGAGCAGGTTTGAAACACTGTTTCTGGAGTATCTGGATGTGGACATTTGGAGCGCTTTGATGCCTACGGTGAAAAAGTAAATATCTTCCCATAAAAACGAGACAGAAGGATTCTCAGAAACAAGTTTGTAATGTGTGTACTCAGCTAACAGAGTGGAACCTTTCTTTTTACAGAGCAGCTTTGAAACTCTATTTTTGTGGATTCTGCAAATGGATATTTAGATTGCTTTAACGATATCGTTGGAAAAGGGAATATCGTCATACAAAATCTGGACAGAAGCATTCTCACAAACTTCTTTGTGATGTGTGTCCTCAACTAACAGAGTTGAACCTTTCTTTTGATGCAGCAATTTGGAAACACCCTTTTGGTAGAAACTGTAACTGGATATTTGGATAGCTCTAACGATTTCGTTGGAAACGGGAATATCATCATCTAAAATGTAGACAGAAGCACTATTAGAAACTACTTGGTGATATCTGCATTCAAGTCACAGAGTTGAACATTCGCTTTCTTAGAGCACGTTTGAAACACTCTTTTTGTAGTGTCTGGAAGTGGACATTTGGAGCGCTTTGATGCCTTTGGTGAAAAAGGGAACGTCTTCCCATAAAAACTAGACAGAAGCATTCTCAGAAACTTGTTTGTGATGTGTGTACTCAACTAAAAGAGTTGAACCTTTCTATTGAAAGAGCAGTTTTGAAACACTCTTTTTGTGGATTCTGCAAGTGGATATTTGGATTGCTTTGAGGATTTCGTTGGAAGCGGGAATTCGTATAAAAACTAGACAGCAGCATTCCCAGGAAATTTCTTTCGGATATTTCCATTCGACTCATAGAGATGAACATGGCCTTTCATAGAGCAGGTTTGAAACACTCTTTTTGTAGTTTGTGGAAGTGGACATTTCGATCGCCTTGACGCCTACGGTGAAAAAGGAAATATCTTCCCATAAAAAATAGACAGAAGCATTCTCAGAAACTTCTTGGTGATATGTGTCCTCAACTAACAGAGTTGAACTTTGCCATTGATAGAGAGCAGTTTTGAAACACTCTTTTTGTGGAATCTGCAAGTGGATATTTGGATAGCTTGGAGGATTTCGTTGGAAGCGGGAATTCAAATTAAAGGTAGACAGCAGCATTCTCAGTAAATTTCTTTCTGATGTCTGCATTCAACTCATAGAGTTGAAGATTCCCTTTCATAGAGCAGGTTTGAAACACTCGTTCTGGAGTATCTGGATGTGGACATTTGGAGCGCTTTGATGCCTACGGTGGAAAAGTAAATATCTTCCCATAAAAACGAGACAGAAGGATTCTCAGAAACAAGTTTGTGATGTGTGTACTCAGCTAACGGAGTGGAACCTTTCTTTTTACAGAGCAGCTTTGAAACTCTATTTTTCTGGATTCTGCAAATTGATATTTAGATTGCTTTAACGATATCGTTGGAAAAGGGAATATCGTCATACAAAATCTAGACAGAAGCACTCTCAGAAACTACTTTGTGATATCTGCATTCAAGTCACAGAGTTGAACATTCGCTTTCTTAGAGCACGTTTGAAACACTCTTTTTGTAGTGTCTGGAAGTGGACATTTGGAGCGCTTTGATTCCTTTGGTGAAAAAGGGAATGTCTACCCATAAAAACTAGACAGAAGCATTCTCAGAAACTTGTTTGTGATGTGTGTACCCAGCCAAAGGAGTTGAACATTTCTATTGATAGAGCAGTTTTGAAACGCTCTTTTTGTGGAAAATGCAGGTGGATATTTGGATAGCTTGGAGGATTTCGTTGGAAGCGGGAATTCAAATAAAAGGTAGACAGGAGCATTCTCAGAAATTACTTTCTGATGTCTGCATTCAACTCATAGAGTTGAAGATTCCCTTTCATAGAGCAGGTGTGAAACACTCTTTCTGTAGTATCTGGATGTGGACATTTGTTGCGCTTTGATACCTACTGTGAAAAAGTAAATATCTTCCCATAAAAACTAGACAGAAGGATTCTCAGAAACAAGTTTGTGATGTGTGTACTCAGCTAACAGAGTGGATACTTTCTTCTTACAGAGCAGCTTTGAAACTCTATTTCTGTGGATTCTGCAAATTGATATTTGGGTTGATTTAGCGACATCGTTGGAAAAGGGAATATCTTCATACAAAATCCAGACAGAAAGCATTCTCACAAACTTCTTTGTGATGTGTGTCCTCAACTAACAGAGTTGAACTTTTCTTTTGATGCAGCAGTTTGGAAACACTGTTTTTGTAGAAACTGTAAGTGGATATTTGGATAGCTCTAACGATTTCGTTGGAAACGGGAATATCATCATCTAAAATCTAGACAGAAGCACTATTAGAAACTACTTGGTGATATCTGCATTCAAGTCACAGAGTAGAACATTCCCTTACTTCGAGCACGTTTGAAACACTCTTTTGGAAGAATCTGGAAGTGGACATTTGGAGCGCTTTGATGTCTTTGGTGAAAAGGAAACGTCTTCCAATAAAAGCCAGACAGAAGCATTCTCAGTAAACTTGTTGGTGATGTGTGTACTCAACTAAAAGAGTTGAACCTTTCTATTGATAGAGCAGTTTTGAAACACTCTTTTTGTGGATTCTGCAAGTGGATATTTGGATTGCTTTGAGGATTTCGTTGGAAGCGGGAATTCGTATAAACACTAGACAGCAGCATTCCCAGAAATTTCTTTCGGATATTTCCATTCAACTCATAGAGATGAACATGGCCTTTCATAGAGCAGGTTTGAAACACTCTTTTTGTAGTTTGTGGAAGTGGACATTTCGATCGCCTTGACGCCTACGGTGAAAAAGGAAATATCTTCCCATAAAAAATAGACAGAAGCATTCTCAGAAACTTGTTGGTGATATGTGTCCTCAACTAACAGAGTTGAACTTTGCCATTGATAGAGAGCAGTTTTGAAACACTCTTTTTGTGGAATCTGCAAGTGGATATTTGGATAGCTTGGAGGATTTCGTTGGAAGCGGGAATTCAAATAAAAGGTAGACAGCAGCATTCTCAGAAATTTCTTTCTGATGTCTGCATTCAACTCATAGAGTTGAGCATTCCCTTTCATAGGGCAGGTTTGAAATACTCTTTCTGTAGTATCTGGTTGTGGACATTTGGAGCGCTTTGATGCCTACGGTGAAAAAGTAAATATCTTCCCATAAAAACGAGACAGAAGGATTCTGAGAAACAAGTTTGTGATGTGTGTACTCAGCTAACAGAGTGGAACCTCTCTTTTGATGCAGTAGTTTGGAAACACTCTTTTTGTAGAAACTGTAAGTGGATATTTGGATAGCTCTAATGATTTCGTTGGAAACGGGAATATCATCATCTAAAATCTAGACAGAAGCACTCTCAGAAACTACTTTGTGATATCTGCATTCAAGTCACAGAGTTGAACATTCGCTTTCTTAGAGCACGTTTGAAACACTCTTTTTGTAGTGTCTGGAAGTGGACATTTGGAGTGCTTTGATTCCTTTGGTGAAAAAGGGAATGTCTACCCATAAAAACTAGACAGAAGCATTCTCAGAAACTTGTTTGTGATGTGTGTACCCAGCTAAAGGAGTTGAACGTTTCTATTGATAGAGCAGTTTTGAAACACTCTTTTTGTGGAAAATGCTAGTGGATATTTCGATAGCTTGGAGGATTTCCTTGGAAGCGGGAATTCAAATAAAAGGTAGACAGCAGCATTCTCAGAAATTTCTTTCTGATGTCTGCATTCAACTCATAGAGTTGAAGATTCCCTTTCATAGAGCAGGTTTGAAACACTCGTTCTGGAGTATCTGGATGTGGACATTTGGAGCGCTTTGATGCCTACGGTGGAAAAGTAAATATCTTCCCATAAAAACGAGACAGAAGGATTCTCAGAAACAAGTTTGTGATGTGTGTACTCAGCTAACAGAGTGGAACCTTTCTTTTTACAGAGCAGCTTTGAAACTCTATTTTTGTGGATTCTGCAAATGGATATTTAGATTGCTTTAACGATATCGTTGGAAAAGAGAATATCGTCATACAAAATCTGGACAGAAGCATTCTCACAAACTTCTTTGTGACGTGTGTCCTCAACTAACAGAGTTGAACCTTTCTTTTGATGCAGCAGTTTGGAAACACTGTTTTTGTAGCAACTGTAAGTGGATATTTGGATAGCTCTAACGATTTCGTTGGAAACGGGAATATCATCATCTAAAATCTAGACAGAAGCACTATTAGAAACTACTTGGTGATATCTGCATTCAAGTCACAGAGTGGAACATTCCCTTACTTTGAGCACGTTTCAAACACTCTTTTGGAAGAATCTGGAAGTGGACATTTGGAGCGCTTTGATGCCTTTGGTGAAAAGGAAACGTCTTCCAATAAAAGCCAGACAGAAGCATTCTCAGAAACTTGTTTGTGATGTGTGTACTCAACTAAAAGAGTTGAACCTTTCTATTGATAGAGCAGTTTTGAAACACTCTTTTTGTGGATTCTGCAAGTGGATATTTGGATTGCTTTGAGGATTTCGTTGGAAGCGGGAATTCGTATAAAAACTAGACAGCAGCATTCCCAGAAATTTCTTTCGGATATTTCCATTCAACTCATAGAGATGAACATCGCCTTTCATAGAGCACGTTTGAAACACTCTTTTTGTAGTTTGTGGAAGTGGACATTTGGATCGCCTTGACGCCTACGGTGAAAAAGGAAATATCTTCCCATAAAAAATAGACAGAAGCATTCTCAGAAACTTGTTGGTGATATGTGTCCTCAACTAACAGAGTTGAACTTTGCCATTGATAGAGAGCAGTTTTGAAACACTCTTTTTGTGGAATCTGCAAGTGGATATTTGGATAGCTTGGAGGATTTTGTTGGAAGCGGGAATTCAAATAAAAGGTAGACAGCAGCATTCTCAGAAATTTCTTTCTGATGTCTGCATTCAACTCATAGAGTTGAAGATTCCCTTTCATAGAGCAGGTTTGAAACACTCTTTCTGGAGTATCTGGATGTGGACATTTGGAGCGCTTTGATGCCTACGGTGAAAAAGTAAATATCTTCCCATAAAAACGAGACAGAAGGATTCTGAGAAACAAGTTTGTGATGTGTGTACTCAGCTAACAGAGTGGAACCTCTCTTTTGATGCAGCAGTTTGGAAACACTCTTTTTGTAGAAACTGTAAGTGGATATTTGGATAGCTCTAATGATTTCGTTGGAAACGGGAATATCATCATCTAAAATCTAGACAGAAGCCCTCTCAGAAACTACTTTGTGATATCTGCATTCAAGTCACAGAGTTGAACATTCACTTTCTTAGAGCACGTTTGAAACACTCTTTTTGTAGTGTCTGGAAGTGGACATTTGGAGCGCTTTGATGCCTTTGGTGAAAAAGGGAACGTCTTCCCATAAAAACTAGACAGAAGCATTCTCAGAAACTTGTTTGTGATGTGTGTACCCAGCCAAAGGAGTTGAACATTTCTATTGATAGAGCAGTTTTGAAACACTCTTTTTGTGGAAAATGCAGGTGGATATTTGGATAGCTTGGAGGATTTCGTTGGAAGCGGGAATTCAAATAAAAGGTAGACAGCAGCATTCTCAGAAATTTCTTTCTGATGTCTGCATTCAACTCATAGAGTTGAACATTCCCCTTTCATAGAGCAGGTTTGAAACACTCTTTCTGGAGTATCTGGATGTGGACATTTGGAGCCCTTTGATGCCTACGGTGAAAAAGTAAATATCTTCCCATAAAAACGAGACAGAAGGATTCTGAGAGACAAGTTTGTGATGTGTGTACTCAGCTAACAGAGTGGAACCTTTCTTTTTACAGAGCAGCTTTGAAACTCTATTTTTGTGGATTCTGCAAATGGATATTTAGATTGCTTTAATGATATCGTTGGAAAAGGGAATATCGTCATACAAAATCTGGACAGAAGCATTCTCACAAACTTCTTTGTGATGTGTGTCCTCAACTAACAGAGTTGAACCTTTCTTTTGATGCAGCAATTTGGAAACACCCTTTTGGTAGAAACTGTAACTGGATATTTGGATAGCTCTAACGATTTCGTTGGAAACGGGAATATCATCATCTAAAATGTAGACAGAAGCACTATTAGAAACTACTTGGTGATATCTGCATTCAAGTCACAGAGTTGAACATTCCCTTACTTTCGAGCACGTTTGAAACACTCTTTTGGAAGAATCTGGAAGTGGACATTTGGAGCGCTTTGATGCCTTTGGTGAAAAGGAAACGTCTTCCAATAAAAGCCAGACAGAAGCATTCTCAGAAACTTGTTTGTGATGTGTGTACTCAACTAAAAGAGTTGAACCTTTCTATTGATAGAGCAGTTTTGAAACACTCTTTTTGTGGATTCTGCAAGTGGATATTTGGATTGCTTTGAGGATTTCGTTGGAAGCGGGAATTCATATAATAACTAGACAGCAGCATTACCAGAAATTTCTTTCGGATATTTCCATTCAACTCATAGAGAAGAACATGGCCTTTCATAGAGCAGGTTTGAAACACTCTTTTTGTAGTTTGTGGAAGTGGACATTTCGATCACCTTGACGCCTACGGTGAAAAAGGAAATATCTTCCCATAAAAAATAGACAGAAGCATTCTCAGAAACTTGTTGGTGATATGTGTCCTCAACTAACAGAGTTGAACTTTGCCATTGATAGAGAGCAGTTTTGAAACACTCTTTTTGTGGAATATGCAAGTGGATATTTGGATAGCTTGGAGGATTTCGTTGGAAGCGGGAATTCAAATAAAAGGTAGACAGCAAGCATTCTCAGAAATTTCTTTGTGATGCTTGCATTCAACTCATAGAGTTGAACATTCCCTTTCATACAGCAGGTTTGAAACACTCTTTCTGTACTATCTGCATGTGGACATTTGGAACTCTTTGATGCCTACGGTGAAAAAGTAAATATCTTCCCATAAAAACTAGACAGAAGGATTCTGAGAAACAAGTTTGTGATGTGTGTACTCAGCTAACAGAGGTGGAACCCCTCTTTTGATGCAGCAGTTTGGAAACACTCTTTTTGTAGAAACTGTAAGTGGATATTTGGATAGCTCTAATGATTTCGTTGGAAACGGGAATATCATCATCTAAAATCTAGACAGAAGCACTATTAGAAACTACTTGGTGATATCTGCATTCAAGTCACAGAGTTGAACATTCCCTTACTTCGACCACGTTTGAAACACTCTTTTTGTAGTGTCTGGAAGTGGACATTTGGAGCGCTTTGATGCCTTTGGTGAAAAAGGGAATGTCTTCCCATAAAAACTAGACAGAAGCATTCTCAGAAACTTGTTTGTGATGTGTGTACCCAGCCAAAGGAGTTGAACATTTCTATTGATAGAGCAGTTTTGAAACACTCTTTTTGTGGAAAATGCAGGTGGATATTTGGATAGCTTGGAGGATTTCGTTGGAAGAGGGAATTCAAATAAAAGGTAGACAGCAGCATTCTCAGAAATTTCTTTCTGATGTCTGCATTCAACTCATAGAGTTGAAGATTCCCTTTCATAGAGCAGGTTTGAAACACTCTTTCTGGAGTATCTGGATGTGGACATTTGGAGCGCTTTGATGCCTACGGTGAAAAAGTAAATATCTTCCCATAAAAACGAGACAGAAGGATTCTCAGAAACAAGTTTGTGATGTGTGTACTCAGCTAACAGAGTGGAACCTTTCTTTTTACAGAGCAGCTTTGAAACTCTAGTTTTGTGGATTCTGCAAATTGATATTTAGATTGCTTTAACGATATCGTTGGAAAAGGGAATATCGTCATACAAAATCTAGACAGAAGCATTCTCACAAACTTCTTTGTGATGTGTGTCCTCAACTAACAGAGTTGAACCTTTCTTTTGATGCAGCAATTTGGAAACACCCTTTTGGTAGAAACTGTAACTGGATATTTGGATAGCTCTAACGATTTCGTTGGAAACGGGAATATCATCATCTAAAATGTAGACAGAAGCACTATTAGAAACTACTTGGTGATATCTGCATTCAAGTCACAGAGTAGAACATTCCCTTACTTCGAGCACGTTTGAAACACTCTTTTGGAAGAATCTGGAAGTGGACATTTGGAGCGCTTTGATGCCTTTGGTGAAAAGGAAACGTCTTCCAATAAAAGCCAGACAGAAGCATTCTCAGAAACTTGTTTGTGATGTGTGTACTCAACTAAAAGAGTTGAACCTTTCTATTGATAGAGCAGTTTTGAAACACTCTTTTTGTGGATTCTGCAAGTGGATATTTGGATTGCTTTGAGGATTTCGTTGGAAGCGGGAATTCGTATAAAAACTAGACAGCAGCATTCCCAGAAATTTCTTTCAGATATTTCCATTCGACTCATAGAGATGAACATGGCCTTTCATAGAGCAGGTTTGAAACACTCTTTTTGTAGTTTGTGGAAGTGGACATTTCGATCGCCTTGACGCCTACGGTGAAAAAGGAAATATCTTCCCATAAAAAATAGACAGAAGCATTCTCAGAAACTTGTTGGTGATATGTGTCCTCAACTAACAGAGTTGAACTTTGCCATTGATAGAGAGCAGTTTTGAAACACTCTTTTTCCTGAATCTGCAAGTGGATATTTGGATAGTTTGGAGGATTTCGTTGGAAGCGGGAATTCAAATAAAAGGTAGACAGCAGGATTCTGAGAAACAAGTTTGTGATGTGTGTACTCAGCTAACAGAGTGGAACCTCTGTTTTGATACAGCAGTTTGGAAACACTCTTTTTGTAGAAACTGTAAGTGGATATTTGGATAGCTCTAATGATTTCGTTGGAAAAGGGAATATCATCATCTAAAATCTAGACAGAAGCCCTCTCAGAAACTACTTTGTGATATCTGCATTCAAGTCACAGAGTTGAACATTCGCTTTCTTAGAGCACGTTGGAAACACTCTTTTTGTAGTGTCTGGAAGTGGACATTTGGAGCGCTTTGATGCCTTTGGTGAAAAAGAGAATGTCTTCCCATAAAAACTAGACAGAAGCATTCTCAGAAACTTGTTTGTGATGTGTGTACCCAGCCAAAGGAGTTGAACATTTCTATTGATAGAGCAGTTTTGAAACGCTCTTTTTGTGGAAAATGCAGGTGGATATTTGGATAGCTTGGAGGATTTCGTTGGAAGCGGGAATTCAAATAAAAGGTAGACAGCAGCATTCTCAGAAATTTCTTTCTGATGTCTGCATTCAACTCATAGAGTTGAAGATTCCCTTTCATAGAGCAGGTTTGAAACAGTCTTTCTGGAGTATCTGGATGTGGACATTTGGAGTGCTTTGATGCCTACGGTGAAAATGTAAATATCTTCCCATAAAAACGAGACAGAAGGATTCTGAGAAACAAGTTTGTGATGTGTGTACTCAGCTAACAGAGTGGAACCTTTCTTTTTACAGAGCAGCTTTGAAACTCTATTTTTGTGGATTCTGCAAATGGATATTTAGATTGCTTTAACGATATCGCTGGAAAAGGGAATATCGTCATACAAAATCTAGACAGAAGCATTCTCACAAACTTCTTTGTGATGTGTGTCCTCAACTAACAGAGTTGAACCTTTCTTTTGATGCAGCAATTTGGAAACACCCTTTTGGTAGAAACTGTAACTGGATATTTGGATAGCTCTAACGATTTCGTTGGAAACGGGAATATCATCATCTAAAATCTAGACAGAAGCACTATTAGAAACTACTTGGTGATATCTGCATTCAAGTCACAGAGTTGAACATTCCCTTACTTTGAGCACGTTTGAAACACTCTTTTGGAAGAATCTGGAAGTGGACATTTGGAGCGCTTTGATGATGCCTTTGGTGAAAAGGAAACGTCTTCCAATAAAAGCCAGACAGAAGCATTCTCAGAAACTTGTTTGTGATGTGTGTACTCAACTAAAAGAGTTGAACCTTTCTATTGATAGAGCAGTTTTGAAACACTCTTTTTGTGGATTCTGCAAGTGGATATTTGGATTGCTTTGAGGATTTCGTTGTAAGCGGGAATTCGTATAAAAACTAGACAGCAGCATTCCCAGAAATTTCTTTCGGATATTTCCATTCGACTCATAGAGATGAACATGGCCTTTCATAGAGCAGGTTTGAAACACTCTTTTTGTAGTTTGTGGAAGTGGACATTTCGATCGCCTTGACGCCTACGGTGAAAAAGGAAATATCTTCCCATAAAAAATAGACAGAAGCATTCTCAGAAACTTGTTGGTGATATGTGTCCTCAACTAACAGAGTTGAACTTTGCCATTGATAGAGAGCAGTTTTGAAACACTCTTTTTGTGGAATCTGCAAGTGGATATTTGGATAGCTTGGAGGATTTCGTTGGAAGCGGGAATTCAAATAAAAGGTAGACAGCAGGATTCTCAGAAACAAGTTTGTGATGTGTGTACTCAGCTAACAGAGTGGAACCTCTCTTTTGATGCAGCAGTTTGGAAACACTCTTTTTGTAGAAACTGTAAGTGGATATTTGGATAGCTCTAATGATTTCGTTGGAAACCGGAATATCATCATCTAAAATCTAGACAGAAGCCCTCTCAGAAACTACTTTGTGATATCTGCATTCAAGTCACAGAGTTGAACATTCGCTTTCTTAGAGCACGTTTGAAACACTCTTTTTGTAGTGTCTGGAAGTGGACATTTGGAGCGCTTTGATGTCTTTGGGGAAAAAGGGAATGTCTTCCCATAAAAACTAGACAGAAGCATTCTCAGAAACTTGTTTGTGATGTGTGTACCCAGCCAAAGGAGTTGAACATTTCTATTGATAGAGCAGTTTTGAAACACTCTTTTTGTGGAAAATGCAGGTGGATATTTGGATAGCTTGGAGGATTTCGTTGGAAGCGGGAATTCAAATAAAAGGTAGACAGCAGGATTCTCAGAAACAAGTTTGTGATGTGTGTACTCAGCTAACAGAGTGGAACCTTTCTTTTTACAGAGCAGCTTTGAAACTCTATTTTTGTGGATTCTGCAAATTGATATTTAGATTGCTTTAACGATATCGTTGGAAAAGGGAATATCGTCATACAAAATCTAGACAGAAGCATTCTCACAAACTTCTTTGTGATGTGTTTCCTCAACTAACAGAGTTGAACCTTTCTTTTGATGCAGCAATTTGGAAACACCCTTTTGGTAGAAACTGTAACTGGATATTTGGATAGCTCTAACGATTTTGTTGGAAACGGGAATATCATCATCTAAAATCTAGACAGAAGCACTATTAGAAACTACTTGGTGATATCTGCATTCAAGTCACAGAGTTGAACATTCCCTTACTTTGAGCACGTTTCAAACACTCTTTTGGAAGAATCTGGAAGTGGACATTTGGAGCGCTTTGATGCCTTTGGTGAAAAGGAAACGTCTTCCAATAAAAGCCAGACAGAAGCATTCTCAGAAACTTGTTTGTGATGTGTGTACTCAACTAAAAGAGTTGAACCTTTCTATTGATAGAGCAGTTTTGAAACACTCTTTTTGTGGATTCTGCAAGTGGATATTTGGATTGCTTTGAGGATTTCGTTGGAAGCGGGAATTCGTATAACAACTAGACAGCAGCATTCCCAGAAATTTCTTTCGGATATTTCCATTCAACTCATAGAGATGAACATGGCCTTTCATAGAGCAGGTTTGAAACACTCTTTTTTGTAGTTTGTGGAAGTGGACATTTCGATCGCCTTGACGCCTACGGTGAAAAAGGAAATATCTACCCATAAAAAATAGACAGAAGCATTCTCAGAAACTTGTTGGCGATATGTGTCCTCAACTAACAGAGTTGAACTTTGCCATTGATAGAGAGCAGTTTTGAAACACTCTTTTTCCTGAATCTGCAAGTGGATATTTGGATAGCTTGGAGGATTTCGTTGGAAGCGGGAATTCAAATAAAAGGTAGACAGCAGCATTCTCAGAAATTTCTTTCTGATGTCTGCATTCAACTCATAGAGTTGAAGATTCCCTTTCATAGAGCAGGTTTGAAACACTCTTTCTGGAGTATCTGGATGTGGACATTTGGAGCGCTTTGATGCCTACGGTGAAAAAGTAAATATCTTCCCAGAAAAACGAGACAGAAGGATTCTCAGAAACAAGTTTGTGATGTGTGTACTCAGCTAACAGAGTGGAACCTCTCTTCTGATGCAACAGTTTGGAAACACTCTTTTTGTAGAAACTGTAAGTGGATATTTGGATAGCTCTAATGATTTCGTTGGAAACGGGAATATCATCATCTAAAATCTAGACAGAAGCCCTCTCAGAAACTACTTTGTGATATCTGCATTCAAGTCACAGAGTTGAACATTCGCTTTCTTAGAGCACGTTTGAAACACTCTTTTTGCAGTGTCTGGAAGTGGACATTTGGAGCGCTTTGATGCCTTTGGTGAAAAAGGGAATGTCTTCCCATAAAAACTAGACAGAAGCATTCTCAGAAACTTGTTTGTGATGTGTGTACCCAGCCAAAGGAGTTGAACATTTCTATTGATAGAGCAGTTTTGAAACACTCTTGTTGTGGAAAATGCAGGTGGATATTTGGATAGCTTGGGGGATTTCGTTGGAAGCGGGAATTCAAATAAAAGGTAGACAGCAGCATTCTCAGAAATTTCTTTCTGATGTCTGCATTCAACTCATAGAGTTGAAGATTCCCTTTCATAGAGCAGGTTTGAAACACTCGTTCTGGAGTATCTGGATGTGGACATTTGGAGCGCTTTGATGCCTACGGTGGAAAAGTAAATATCTTCCCATAAAAACGAGACAGAAGGATTCTCAGAAACAAGTTTGTGATGTGTGTACTCAGCTAACAGAGTGGAACCTTTCTTTTTACAGAGCAGCTTTGAAACTCTATTTTTGTGGATTCTGCAAATTGATATTTAGATTGCTTTAACGATATCATTGGAAAAGGGAATATGGTCATACAAAATCTAGACAGAAGCATTCTCACAAACTTCTTTGTGATGTGTGTCCTCAACTAACAGAGTTGAACCTTTCTTTTGATGCAGCAATTTGGAAACACCCTTTTGGTAGAAACTGTAACTGGATATTTGGATAGCTCTAACGATTTCGTTGGAAACGGGAATATCATCATCTAAAATGTAGACAGAAGCACTATTAGAAACTACTTGGTGATATCTGCATTCAAGTCACAGAGTAGAACATTCCCTTACTTCGAGCACGTTTGAAACACTCTTTTGGAAGAATCTGGAAGTGGACATTTGGAGCGCTTTGATGCCTTTGGTGAAAAGGAAACGTCTTCCAATAAAAGCCAGAAAGAAGCATTCTCAGAAACTTGTTCGTGATGTGTGTACTCAACTAAAAGAGTTGAACCTTTCTATTGATAGAGCAGTTTTGAAACACTCTTTTTGTGGATTCTGCAAGTGGATATTTGGATTGCTTTGAGGATTTCGTTGGAAGCGGGAATTCGTATAAGCACTAGACAGCAGCATTCCCAGAAATTTCTTTCGGATATTTCCATTCAACTCATAGAGATGAACATGGCCTTTCATAGAGCAGGTTTGAAACACTCTTTTTGTAGTTTGTGGAAGTGGACATTTCGATCGCCTTGACGCCTACGGTGAAAAAGGAAATATCTTCCCATAAAAAATAGACAGAAGCATTCTCAGAAACTTGTTGGTGATATGTGTCCTCAACTAACAGAGTTGAACTTTGCCATTGATAGAGAGCAGTTTTGAAACACTCTTTTTGTGGAATCTGCAAGCGGATATTTGGATAGCTTGGAGGATTTCGTTGGAAGCGGGAATTCAAATAAAAGGTAGACAGCAGCATTCTCAGAAATTTCTTTCTGATGTCTGCATTCAACTCATAGAGTTGAACATTCCCTTTCATAGGGCAGGTTTGAAATACTCTTTCTGTAGTATCTGGATGTGGACATTTGGAGCGCTTTGATGCCTACGGTGAAAAAGTAAATATCTTCCCATAAAAACGAGACAGAAGGATTCTGAGAAACAAGTTTGTGATGTGTGTACTCAGCTAACAGAGTGGAACCTCTGTTTTGATGCAGCAGTTTGGAAACACTCTTTTTGTAGAAACTGTAAGTGGATATTTGGATAGCTCTAATGATTTCTTTGGAAACGGGAATATCATCATCTAAAATCTAGACAGAAGCACTCTCAGAAACTACTTTGTGATATCTGCACTCAAGTCACAGAGTTGAACATTCGCTTTCTTAGAGCACGTTTGAAACACTCTTTTTGTAGTGGCTGGAAGTGGACATTTGGAGCGCTTTGATGCCTTTGGTGAAAAAGGGAATGTCTTCCCATAAAAACTAGGCAGAAGCATTCTCAGAAACTTGTTTGTGATGTGTGTACCCAGCCAAAGGAGTTGAACATTTCTATTGATACAGCAGTTTTGAAACACTCTTGTTGTGGAAAATGCAGGTGGATATTTGGATAGCTTGGAGGATTTCGTTGGAAGCGGGAATTCAAATAAAAGCTAGACAGCAGCATTCTCAGAAATTTCTTTCTGATGTCTGCATTCAACTCATAGAGTTGAAGATTCCCTTTCATAGAGCAGGTTTGAAACACTCGTTCTGGAGTATCTGGATGTGGACATTTGGAGCGCTTTGATGCCTACGGTGGAAAAGTAAATATCTTCCCATAAAAACGAGACAGAAGGATTCTCAGAAACAAGTTTGTGATGTGTGTACTCAGCTAACAGAGTGGAACCTTTCTTTTAACAGAGCAGCTTTGAAACTCTAGTTTTGTGGATTCTGCAAATTGATATTTAGATTGCTTTAACGATATCGTTGGAAAAGGGAATATCCTCATACAAAATCTAGACAGAAGCATTCTCACAAACTTCTTTGTGATGTGTGTCCTCAACTAACAGAGTTGAACCTTTCTTTTGATGCAGCAATTTGGAAACACCCTTTTGGTAGAAACTGTAACTGGATATTTGGATAGCTCTAACGATTTCGTTGGAAACGGGAATATCATCATCTAAAATCTAGACAGAAGCACTATTAGAAACTACTTGGTGATATCTGCATTCAAGTCACAGAGTTGAACATTCCCTTACTTTGAGCACGTTTGAAACACTCTTTTGGAAGAATCTGGAAGTGGACATTTGGAGCGCTTTCATGCCTACGGTGGAAAAGTAAATATCTTCCCATAAAAACGAGACAGAAGCATTCTCAGAAACTTGTTTGTGATGTGTGTACTCAACTAAAAGAGTTGAACCTTTCTATTGATAGAGCAGTTTTGAAACACTCTTTTTGTGGATTCTGCAAGTGGATATTTGGATTGCTTTGAGGATTTCGTTGGAAGCGGGAATTCGTATAAAAACTAGACAGCAGCATTCCCAGAAATTTCTTTCGGATATTTCCATTCGACTCATAGAGATGAACATGGCCTTTCATAGAGCAGGTTTGAAACACTCTTTTTGTAGTTTGTGGAAGTGGACATTTCGATCGCCTTGACGCCTACGGTGAAAAAGGAAATTCTTCCCATAAAAAATAGACAGAAGCATTCTCAGAAACTTGTTGGTGATATGTGTCCTCAACTAACAGAGTTGAACTTTGCCATTGATAGAGAGCAGTTTTGAAACACTCTTTTTGTGGAATCTGCAAGTGGATATTTGGATAGCTTGGAGGATTTCGTTGGAAGCGGGAATTCAAATAAAAGGTAGACAGCAGCATTCTCAGAAATTTCTTTCTGATGTCTGCATTCAACTCATAGAGTTGAAGATTCCCTTTCATAGAGCAGGTTTGAAACACTCTTTCTGGAGTATCTGGATGTGGACATTTGGAGCGCTTTGATGCCTACGGTGAAAAAGTAAATATCTTCCCATAAAAACGAGAAAGAAGCATTCTCACAAACTTCTTTGTGATGTGTGTCCTCAACTAACAGAGTTGAACCTTTCTTTTGATTCAGCAGTTTGGAAACACTCTTTTTGTAGAAACTGTAAGTGGATATTTGGATAGCTCTAACGATTTCGTTGGAAACGGGAATATCATCATCTAAAATCTAGACAGAAGCACTATTAGAAACTACTTTGTGATATCTGCATTCAAGTCACAGAATTGAACATTCGCTTTCTTAGAGCACGTTGGAAACACTCTTTTTGTAGTGTCTGGAAGTGGACATTTGGAGCGCTTTGATGCCTTTGGTGAAAAAGGGAATGTCTTCCCATAAAAACTAGACAGAAGCATTCTCAGAAACTTGTTTGTGATGTGTGTACCCAGCCAAAGGAGTTGAACATTTCTATTGATAGAGCAGGTTTGAAACACTCTTTTTGTGGAAAATGCAGGTGGATATTTGGATAGCTTGGAGGATTTCGTTGGAAGCGGGAATTCAAATAAAAGGTAGACAGCAGCATTCTCAGAAATTTCTTTCTGATGTCTGCATTCAACTCATAGAGTTGAAGATTCCCTTTCATAGAGCAGGTTTGAAACACTCGTTCTGGAGTATCTGGATGTGGACATTTGGAGCGCTTTGATGCCTACGGTGGAAAAGTAAATATCTTCCCATAAAAACGAGACAGAAGGATTCTCAGAAACAAGTTTGTGATGTGTGTACTCAGCTAACAGAGTGGAACCTTTCTTTTTACAGAGCAGCTTTGAAACTCTATTTTTGTGGATTCTGCAAATTGATATTTAGGTTGCCTTAACGATATCGTTGGAAAAGGGAATATCGTCATACAAAATCTAGACAGAAGCATTCTCACAAACTTCTTTGTGATGTGTGTCCTCAACTAACAGAGTTGAACCTTTCTTTTGATGCAGCAGTTTGGAAACACTCTTTTTGTAGAAACTGTAAGTGGATATTTGGATAGCTCTAACGATTTCGTTGGAAACGGGAATATCATCATCTAAAATCTAGACAGAAGCACTATTAGAAACTACTTGGTGATATCTGCATTCAAGTCACAGAGTTGAACATTCCCTTACTTTGAGCACGTTTGAAACACTCTTTTGGAAGAATCTGGAAGTGGACATTTGGAGCGCTTTGATGCCTTTGGTGAAAAGGAAACGTCTTCCAATAAAAGCCAGACAGAAGCATTCTCAGAAACTTGTTTGTGATGTGTGTACCCAGCCAAAGGAGTTGAACATTTCTATTGATAGAACAGTTTTGAAATACTCTTTTTGTGGAAAATGCAGGTGGATATTTGGATACCTTGGAGGATTTCGTTGGAAGCGGGAATTCAAATAAAAGGTAGACAGCCAGCATTCCCAGGAAATTTCTTTCGGATATTTCCATTCAACTCATAGCAGGATGAACATGGCCTTTCATAGAGCAGGTTTGAAACACTCTTTTTGTAGTTTGTGGAAGTGGACATTTCGATCGCCTTGACGCCTACGCTGAAAAAGGAAATATCTTCCCATAAAAAATAGACAGAGCATTCTCAGAAACTTGTTGGTGATATGTGTCCTCAACTAACAGAGTTGAACTTTGCCATTGATAGAGAGCAGTTTTGAAACACTCTTTTTGTGGAATCTGCAAGTGGATATTTGGATAGCTTGGAGGATTTCGTTGGAAGCGGGAATTCAAATAAAAGGTAGACAGCAGCATTCTCAGAAATTTCTTTCTGATGTCTGCATTCAACTCATAGAGTTGAAGATTCCCTTTCATAGAGCATGTTTGAAACACTCTTTCTGGAGTATCTGGATGTGGACATTTGGAGCGCTTTGATGCCTACGGTGAAAAAGTAAATATCTTCCCATAAAAACGAGACAGAAGGATTCTGAGAAACAAGTTTGTGATGTGTGTACTCAGCTAACAGAGTGGAACCTCTCTTTTGATGCAGCAGTTTGGAAACACTCTTTTTGTAGAAACTGTAAGTGGATATTTGGATAGCTCTAATGATTTCGTTGGAAACGGGAATATCATCATCTAAAATCTAGACAGAAGCCCTCTCAGAAACTGCTTTGTGATATCTGCATTCAAGTCACAGAGTTGAACATTCGCTTTCTTAGAGCACGTTTGAAACACTCTTTTTGTAGTGTCTGGAAGTGGACATTTGGAGCGCTTTGATGCCTTTGGTGAAAAGGGGAATGTCTTCCCATAAAAACTAGACAGAAGCATTCTCAGAAACTTGTTTGTGATGTGTGTACCCAGCCAAAGGAGTTGAACATTTCTATTGATAGAGCAGTTTTGAAACGCTCTTTTTGTGGAAAATGCAGGAGGATATTTGGATAGCTTGGAGGATTTCGTTGGAAGCGGGAATTCAAATAAAATTTAGACAGCAGCATTCTCAGAAATTTCTTTCTGATGTCTGCATTCAACTCATAGAGTTGAAGATTCCCTTTCATAGAGCAGGTTTGAAACACTCTTTGTGGAGTATCTGGATGTGGACATTTGGAGCGCTTTGATGCCTACGGTGAAAAAGTAAATATCTTCCCATAAAAACGAGACAGAAGGATTCTGAGAAACAAGTTTGTGATGTGTGTACTCAGCTAACAGAGTGGAACCTTTCTTTTTACAGAGCAGCTTTGAAACTCTATTTTTGTGGATTCTGCAAATGGATATTTAGATTGCTTTAACGATATCGTTGGAAAAGGGAATATCGTCATACAAAATCTAGACAGAAGCATTCTCACAAACTTCTTTCTGATGTGTGTCCTCAACCAACAGAGTTGAACCTTTCTTTTGATGCAGCAGTTTGGAAACACTCTTTTTGTAGAAACTGTAAGTGGATATTTGGATAGCTCTAACGATTTCGTTGGAAACGGGAATATCATCATCTAAAATCTAGACAGAAGCACTATTAGAAACTACTTGGTGATATCTGCATTCAAGTCACAGAGTTGAACATTCCCTTACTTTGAGCACGTTTGAAACACTCTTTTGGAAGAATCTGGAAGTGGACATTTGGAGCGCTTTGATGCCTTTGGTGAAAAGGAAACGTCTTCCAATAAAAGCCAGACAGAAGCATTCTCAGAAACTTGTTCGTGATGTGTGTACTCAACTAAAAGAGTTGAACCTTTCTATTGATAGAGCAGTTTTGAAACACTCTTTTTGTGGATTCTGCAAGTGGATATTTGGATTGCTTTGAGGATTTCGTTGGAAGCGTGAATTCGTATAAACACTAGACAGCAGCATTCCCAGAAATTTCTTTCGGATATTTCCATTCAACTCATAGAGATGAACATGGCCTTTCATAGAGCAGGTTTGAAACACTCTTTTTGTAGTTTGTGGAAGTGGACATTTCGATCGCGTTGACGCCTACGGTGAAAAAGGAAATATCTTCCCATAAACAATAGACAGAAGCATTCTCAGAAACTTGTTGGTGATATGTGTCCTCAACTAACAGAGTTGAACTTTGCCATTGATAGAGAGCAGTTTTGAAACACTCTTTTTGTGGAATCTGCAAGTGGATATTTGGATAGCTTGGAGGATTTCGTTGGAAGCGGGAATTCAAATAAAAGGTAGACAGCAGCATTCTCAGAAATTTCTTTCTGATGTCTGCATTCAACTCATAGAGTTGAAGATTCCCTTTCATAGAGCAGGTTTGAAACACTCTTTCTGGAGTATCCGGATGTGGACATTTGGAGCGCTTTGATGCCTACGGTGAAAAAGTAAATATCTTCCCATAAAAACGAGACAGAAGGATTCTGAGAAACAAGTTTGTGATGTCTGTACTCGGCTAACAGAGTGGAACCTCTCTTTTGATGCAGCAGTTTGGAAACACTCTTTTTGTAGAAACTGTAAGTGGATATTTGGATAGCTCTAATGATTTCGTTGGAAACGGGAATATCATCATCTAAAATCTAGACAGAAGCACTCTCAGAAACCACTTTGTGATATCTGCATTCAAGTCACAGAGTTGAACATTCGCTTTCTTAGAGCACGTTTGAAACACTCTTTTTGTAGTGTCTGGAAGTGGACATTTGGAGCGCTTTGATGGCTTTGGTGAAAAAGGGAACGTCTTCCCATAAAAACTAGACAGAAGCATTCTCAGAAACTTGTTTGTGATGTGTGTACCCAGCCAAAGGAGTTGAACGTTTCTATTGATAGAGCAGTTTTGAAACACTCTTGTTGTGGAAAATGCAAGTGGATATTTGGATAGCTTGGAGGATTTCGTTGGAAGCGGGAATTCAAATAAAAGGTAGACAGCAGCATTCTCAGAAATTTCTTTCTGATGTCTGCATTCAACTCATAGAGTTGAAGATTCCCTTTCATAGAGCAGGTTTGAAACACTCTTTCTGGAGTATCTGGATGTGGACATTTGGAGCGCTTTGATGCCTACGGTGAAAAAGTAAATATCTTCCCATAAAAACGAGACAGAAGGATTCTCAGAAACAAGTTTGTGATGTGTGTACTCAGCTAAAAGAGTGGAACCTTTCTTTTTACAGAGCAGCTTTGAAACTCTATTTTTGTGGATTCTGCAAATTGATATTTAGATTGCTTTAACGATATCGTTGGAAAAGGGAATATCGTCATACAAATTCTAGACAGAAGCATTCTCACAAACTTCTTTGTGATGTGTGTCCTCAACTAACAGAGTTGAACCTTTCTTTTGATGCAGCAGTTTGGAAACACTCTTTTTGTAGAAACTGTAAGTGGATATTTGGATAGCTCTAACGATTTCGCTGGAAACGGGAATATCGTCATCTAAAATCTAGACAGAAGCACTATTAGAAACTACTTGGTGATATCTGCATTCAAGTCACAGAGTTGAACATTCCCTTACTTTGAGCACGTTTCAAACACTCTTTTGGAAGAATCTGGAAGTGGACATTTGGAGCGCTTTGATGCCTTTGGTGAAAAGGAAACGTCTTCCAATAAAAGCCAGACAGAAGCATTCTCAGAAACTTGTTGGTGATGTGTGTACTCAACTAAAAGAGTTGAACCTTTCTATTGATAGAGCAGTTTTGAAACACTCTTTTTGTGGATTCTGCAAGTGGATATTTGGATTGCTTTGAGGATTTCGTTGGAAGCGGGAATTCATATAAAAACTAGACAGCAGCATTCCCAGAAATTTCTTTCGGATATTTCCATTCAACTCATAGAGATGAACATCGCCTTTCATAGAGCAGGTTTGAAACACTCTTTTTGTAGTTTGTGGAAGTGGACATTTCGATCGCCTTGACGCCTACGGTGAAAAAGGAAATATCTTCCCATAAGAAAATAGACAGAAGCATTCTCAGAAACTTGTTGGTGATATGTGTCCTCAACTAACAGAGTTGAACTTTGCCATTGATAGAGAGCAGTTTTGAAACACTCTTTCTGTGGAATCTGCAAGTGGATATTTGGATAGCTTGGAGGATTTCGTTGGAAGTGGGAATTCAAATAAAAGGTAGACAGCAGCATTCTCAGAAATTTCTTTCTGATGTCTGCATTCAACTCATAGAGTTGAAGATTCCCTTTCATAGAGCAGGTTTGAAACACTCTTTCTCGAGTATCTGGATGTGGACATTTGGAGCGCTTTGGTACCTTCGGTGAGAAAGTAAATATCTTCCCATAAAACCGAGACAGAAGGATTCTGAGAAACAAGTTTGTGATGTGTGTACTCAGCTAACAGAGTGGAACCTCTCTTTTGATGCAGCAGTTTGGAAACACTCTTTTTGTAGAAACTGTAAGTGGATATTTGGATAGCTCTAATGATTTCGTTGGAAACGGGAATATCATCATCTAAAATCTAGACAGAAGCCCTTTCAGAAACTACTTTGTGATATCTGCATTCAAGTCACAGAGTTGAACATTCGGTTTCTTAGAGCACGTTTGAAACACTCTTTTTGTAGTGTCTGGAAGTGGACATTTGGAGCGCTTTGATGCCTTTGGTGAAAAAGGGAATGTCTTCCCATAAAAACTAGACAGAAGCATTCTCAGAAACTTCTTTGTGATGTGTGTACCCAGCCAAAGGAGTTGAACATTTCTATTGATAGAGCAGTTTTGAAACACTCTTGTTGTGGAAAATGCAGGTGGATATTTGGATAGCTTGGAGGATTTCGTTGGAAGCGGGAATTCAAATAAAAGGTAGACAGCAGCATTCTCAGAAATTTCTTTCTGATGTCTGCATTCAACTCATAGAGTTGAAGATTCCCTTTCATAGAGCAGGTTTGAAACACTCGTTCTGGAGTATCTGGATGTGGACATTTGGAGCGCTTTGATGCCTACGGTGGAAAAGTAAATATCTTCCCATAAAAACGAGACAGAAGGATTCTGAGAAACAAGTTTGTGATGTGTGTACTCAGCTAACAGAGTGGAACCTTTCTTTTTACAGAGCAGCTTTGAAACTCTATTTTTGTGGATTCTGCAAATGGATATTTAGATTGCTTTAACGATATCGTTGGAAAAGGGAATATCGTCATACAAAATCTGGACAGAAGCATTCTCACAAACTTCTTTGTGATGTGTGTCCTCAACTAACAGAGTTGAACCTTTCTTTTGATGCAGCAATTTGGAAACACCCTTTTGGTAGAAACTGTAACTGGATATTTGGATAGCTCTAACGATTTCGTTGGAAACGGGAATATCATCATCTAAAATCTAGACAGAAGCACTATTAGAAACTACTTGGTGATATCTGCATTCAAGTCACAGAGTAGAACATTCCCTTACTTCGACCACGTTTGAAACACTCTTTTAGAAGAATCTGGAAGTGGACATTTGGAGCGCTTTGATGCCTTTGGTGAAAAGGAAACGTCTTCCAATAAAAGCCAGACAGAAGCATTCTCAGAAACTTGTTTCTGATGTGTGTACTCAACTAAAAGAGTTGAACCTTTCTATTGATAGAGCAGTTTTGAAACACTCTTTTTGTGGATTCTGCAAGTGGATATTTGGATTGCTTTGAGGATTTCGTTGGAAGCGGGAATTCGTATAAAAACTAGACAGCAGCATTCCCAGAAATTTCTTTCGGATATTTCCATTCAACTCATAGAGATGAACATGGCCTTTCATAGAGCAGGTTTGAAACACTCTTTTTGTAGTTTGTGGAAGTGGACATTTCGATCGCCTTGACGCCTACGGTGAAAAAGGAAATATCTTCCCATAAAAAATAGACAGAAGCATTCTCAGAAACTTGTTTGTGATATGTGTCCTCAACTAACAGAGTTGAACTTTGCCATTGATAGAGAGCAGTTTTGAAACACTCTTTTTGTGGAATCTGCAAGTGGATATTTGGATAGCTTGGAGGATTTCGTTGGAAGCGGGAATTCAAATAAAAGGTAGACAGCAGCATTCTCAGAAATTTCTTTCTGATGTCTGCATTCAACTCATAGAGTTGAAGATTCCCTTTCATAGAGCAGGTTTGAAACACTCTTTCTGGAGTATCTGGATGTGGACATTTGGAGCGCTTTGAGGCCTACGGTGAGAAAGTAAATATCTTCCAATAAAAACGAGAGAGAAGGATTCTGAGAAACAAGTTTGTGATGTGTGTACTCAGCTAACAGAGTGGAACCTCTCTTTTGATGCAGCAGTTTGGAAACACTCTTTTTGTAGAAACTGTAAGTGGATATTTGGATAGCTCTAATGATTTCGTTGGAAACGGGAATATCATCATCTAAAATCTAGACAGAAGCCCTCTCAGAAACTACTTTGTGATATCTGCATTCAAGTCACAGAGTTGAACATTCGCTTTCTTAGAGCACGTTTGAAACACTCTTTTTGTAGTGTCTGGAAGTGGACATTTGGAGCGCTTTGATGTCTTTGGTGAAAAAGGGAATGTCTACCCATAAAAACTAGACAGAAGCATTCTCAGAAACTTGTTTGTGATGTGTGTACCCAGCCAAAGGAGTTGAACATTTCTATTGATAGAGCAGTTTTGAAACACTCTTGTTGTGGAAAATGCAGGTGGATATTTGGATAGCTTGGAGGATTTCGTTGGAAGCGGGAATTCAAATAAAAGGTAGACAGCAGCATTCTCAGAAATTTCTTTCTGATGTCTGCATTCAACTCATAGAGTTGAAGATTCCCTTTCATAGAGCAGGTTTGAAACACTCGTTCTGGAGTATCTCGATGTGGACATTTGGAGCGCTTTGATGCCTACGGTGGAAAAGTAAATATCTTCCCATAAAAACGAGACAGAAAGGATTCTCAGAAACAAGTTTGTAATGTGTGTACTCAGCTAACAGAGTGGAACCTTTCTTTTTACAGAGCAGCTTTGAAACTCTATTGTTGTGGATTCTGCAAATTGATATTTAGATTGCTTTAACGATATCGTTGGAAAAGGGAATACCGTCATACAAAATCTAGACAGAAGCATTCTCACAAACAGCTTTGAGATGTGTGTCCTCAACTAACAGAGTTGAACTTTTCTTTTGATGCAGCAGTTTCGAAACACCCTTTTGGTAGAAACTGTAAGTGGATATTTGGATAGCTCTAACGATTTCGTTGGAAACGGGAATATCATCATCTAAAATCTAGACAGAAGCACTATTAGAAACTACTTGGTGATATCTGCATTCAAGTCACAGAGTTGAACATTCCCTTACTTTGAGCACGTTTGAAACACTCTTTTGGAAGAATCTGGAAGTGGACATTTGGAGCGCTTTGATGCCTTTGGTGAAAAGGAAACGTCTTCCAATAAAAGCCAGACAGAAGCATTCTCAGAAACTTGTTCGTGATGTGTGTACTCAACTAAAAGAGTTGAACCTTTCTATTGATAGAGCAGTTTTGAAACACTCTTTTTGTGGATTCTGCAAGTGGATATTTGGATTGCTTTGAGGATTTCGTTGGAATCGGGAATTCGTATAAAAACTAGACAGCAGCATTGCCAGAAATTTCTTTCGGATATTTCCATTCAACTCATAGAGATGAACATGGCCTTTCATAGAGCAGGTTTGAAACACTCTTTTTGTAGTTTGTGGAAGTGGACATTTCGATCGCCTTGACGCCTACGGTGAAAAAGGAAATATCTTCCCATAAAAAATAGACAGAAGCATTCTCAGAAACTTGTTGGTGATATGTGTCCTCAACTAACAGAGTTGAACTTTGCCATTGATAGAGAGCAGTTTTGAAACACTCTTTTTGTGGAATCTGCAAGTGGATATTTGGATAGCTTGGAGGATTTCGTTGGAAGCGGGAATTCAAATAAAAGGTAGACAGCAGCATTCTCAGAAATTTCTTTGTGATGTTTGCATTCAACTCATAGAGTTGAACATTCCCTGTCATAGAGCAGGTTTGAAACACTCTTTCTGTACTATCTGGATGTGGACATTTGGAACGCTTTGATGCCTACGGTGAAAAAGTAAATATCTTCCCATAAAAGCTAGACAGAAGGATTCTGAGAAACAAGTTTGTGATGTGTGTACTCAGCTAACAGAGTGGAACCTCTCTTTTGATGCAGCAGTTTGGAAACACTCTTTTTGTAGAAACTGTAAGTGGATATTTGGATAGCTCTAATGATTTCGTTGGAAACCGGAATATCATCATCTAAAATCTAGACAGAAGCCCTCTCAGAAACTACTTTGTGATATCTGCATTCAAGTCACAGAGTTGAACATTCGCTTTCTTAGAGCACGTTGGAAACACTCTTTTTGTAGTGTCTGGAAGTGGACATTTGGAGCGCTTTGATGCCTTTGGTGAGAAAGGGAACGTCTTCCCATAAAAACTAGACAGAAGCATTCTCAGAAACTTGTTTGTGATGTGTGTACCCAGCCAAAGGAGTTGAACATTTCTATTGATAGAGCAGGTTTGAAACACTCTTTTTGTGGAAAATGCAAGTGGATATTTGGATAGCTTGGAGGATTTCGTTGGAAGCGGGAATTCAAATAAAAGGTAGACAGCAGCATTCTCAGAAATTTCTTTCTGATGTCTGCATTCAACTCATAGAGTTGAAGATTCCCTTTCATAGAGCAGGTTTGAAACACTCGTTCTGGAGTATCTGGATGTGGACATTTGGAGCGCTTTGATGCCTACGGTGGAAAAGTAAATATCTTCCCATAAAAACGAGACAGAAGGATTCTCAGAAACAAGTTTGTGATGTGTGTACTCAGCTAACAGAGTGGAACCTTTATTTTTACAGAGCAGCTTTGAAACTCTATTTTCGTGGATTCTGCAAATTGATATTTAGATTGCTTTAACGATATCGTTGGAAAAGGGAATATCGTCATACAAAATCTAGACAGAAGCATTCTCACAAACTTCTTTGTGATGTGTGTCCTCAACTAACAGAGTTGAACCTTTCTTTTGATGCAGCAATTTGGAAACACCCTTTTGGTAGAAACTGTAACTGGATATTTGCTTAGCTCTAACGATTTCGTTGGAAACGGGAATATCATCATCTGAAATCTAGACAGAAGCACTATTAGAAACTACTTGGTGATATCTGCATTCAAGTCACGGAGTTGAACATTCCCTTACTTTGAGCACGTTTCAAACACTCTTTTGGAAGAATCTGGAAGTGGACATTTGGAGCGCTTTGATGCCTTTGGTGAAAAGGAAACATCTTCCAATAAAAGCCAGACAGAAGCATTCTCAGAAACTTGTTTGTGATGTGTGTACTCAACTAAAAGAGTTGAACCTTTCTATTGATAGAGCAGTTTTGAAACACTCTTTTTGTGGATTCTGCAAGTGGATATTTGGATTGCTTTGAGGATTTCGTTGGAAGCGGGAATTCGTATAAAAACTAGACAGCAGCATTCCCAGAAATTTCTTTCGGATATTTCCATTCGACTCATAGAGATGAACATGGCCTTTCATAGAGCAGGTTTGAAACACTCTTTTTGTAGTTTGTGGAAGTGGACATTTCGATCGCCTTGACGCCTACGGTGAAAAAGGAAATATCCTTCCCATAAAAAATAGACAGAAGCATTCTCAGAAACTTGTTAGTGATATGTGTCCTCAACTAACAGAGTTGAACTTTGCCATTGATAGAGAGCAGTTTTGAAACACTCTTTTTGTGGAATCTGCAAGTGGATATTTGGATAGCTTGGAGGATTTCGTTGGAAGCGGGAATTCAAATAAAAGGTAGACAGCAGCATTCTCAGAAATTTCTTTCTGATGTCTGTATTCAACTCATAGAGTTGAACATTCCCTTTCATAGGGCAGGTTTGAAATACTCTTTCTGTAGTATCTGGATGTGGACATTTGGAGCGCTTTGAGGCCTACGATGAAAAAGTAAATATCTTCCCATAAAAACGAGACAGAAAGGATTCTGAGAAACAAGTTTGTGATGTGTGTACTCAGCTAACAGAGTGGAACCTCTCTTTTGATGCAGCAGTTTGGAAACACTCTTTTTGTAGAAACTGTAAGTGGATATTTGGATAGCTCTAATGATTTCGTTGGAAACGGGAATATCATCATCTAAAATCTAGACAGAGCCCTCTCAGAAACTACTTTGTGATATCTGCATTCAAGTCACAGAGTTGAACATTCGCTTTCTTAGAGCACGTTTGAAACACTCTTTTTATAGTGTCTGGAAGTGGACATTTGGAGCGCTTTGATGCCTTTGGTGAAAAAGGGAATGTCTTCCCATAAAAAATAGACAGAAGCATTCTCAGAAACTTGTTTGTGATGTGTGTACCCAGCTAAAGGAGTTGAACATTTCTATTGATAGAGCAGTTTTGAAACACTCTTTTTGTGGAAAATGCAAGTTGATATTTGGATAGCTTGGAGGATTTCGTTGGAAGCGGGAATTCAAATAAAAGGTAGACAGCAGCATTCTCAGAAATTTCTTTCTGATGTCTGCATTCAACTCATAGAGTTGAAGATTCCCTTTCATAGAGCAGGTTTGAAACACTCGTTCTGGAGTATCTGGATGTGGACATTTGGAGCGCTTTGATGCCTACGGTGGAAAAGTAAGTATCTTCCCATAAAAACGAGACAGAAGGATTCTGAGAAACAAGTTTGTGATGTGTGTACTCAGCTAACAGAGTGGAACCTTTCTTTTTACAGAGCAGCTTTGAAACTCTATTTTTGTGGATTCTGCAAATGGATATTTAGATTGCTTTAACGATATCGCTGGAAAAGGGAATATGGTCATACAAAATCTAGACAGAAGCATTCTCACAAACTTCTTTGTGATGTGTGTCCTCAACTAACAGAGTTGAACCTTTCTTTTGATGCAGCAGTTTGGAAACACTGTTTTTGTAGAAACTGTAAGTGGATATTTGGATAGCTCTAACGATTTCGTTGGAAACGGGAATATCATCATCTAAAATCTAGACAGAAGCACTATTAGAAACTACTTGGTGATATCTGCATTCAAGTCACAGAGTTGAAGATTCCCTTACTTTGAGCACGTTTGAAACACTCTTTTGGAAGAATCTGGAAGTGGACATTTGGAGCGCTTTGATGCCTTTGGTGAAAAGGAAACGTCTTCCAATAAAAGCCAGACAGAAGCATTCTCAGAAAGTTGTTTGTGATGTGTGTACTCAACTAAAAGAGTTGAACCTTTCTATTGATAGAGCTGTTTTGAAACACTCTTTTTGTGGAATCTGCAAGTGGATATTTGGATTGCTTTGAGCATTTCGTTGGAAGCGGGATTTCATATAAAAACTAGACAGCAGCATTCCCAGAAATTTCTTTCGGATATTTCCATTCAACTCATAGAGATGAACATGGCCTTTCATAGAGCAGGTTTGAAACACTCTTTTTGTAGTTTGTGGAAGTGGACATTTCGATCGCCTTGACTCCTACGCTGAAAAAGGAAATATCTTCCCATAAAAAATAGACAGAAGCATTCTCAGAAACTCGTTGGTGATATGTGTCCTCAACTAACAGAGTTGAACTTTGCCATTGATAGAGAGCAGTTTTGAAACACTCTTTTTGTGGAATCTGCAAGTGGATATTTGGATAGCTTGGAGGATTTCGTTGGAAGCGGGAATTCAAATAAAAGGTAGACAGCAGCATTCTCAGAAATTTCTTTCTGATGTCTGCATTCAACTCATAGAGTTGAACATTCCCTTTCATAGAGCAGGTTTGAAATACTCTTTCTGTGGTATCTGGATGTGGACATTTGGAGCGCTTTGAGGCCTACGGTGAAAAAGTAAATATCTTCCCATAAAAACGAGACAGAAGGATTCTGAGAAACAAGTTTGTGATGTGTGTACTCAGCTAACAGAGTGGAACCTCTCTTTTGATGCAGCAGTTTGGAAACACTCTTTTTGTAGAAACTGTAAGTGGATATTTGGATAGCTCTAATGATTTCGTTGGAAACGGGAATATCATCATCTAAAATCTAGACAGAAGCCGTCTCAGAAACTACTTTGTGATATCTGCATTCAAGTCACAGAGTTGAACATTCGGTTTCTTAGAGCACGTTTGAAACACTCTTTTTGTAGTGTCTGGAAGAGGACATTTGGAGCGCTTTGATGCCTTTGGTGAAAAAGGGAATGTCTTCCCATAAAAACTAGACAGAAGCATTCTCAGAAACTTGTTTGTGATGTGTGTACCCAGCCAAAGGAGTTGAACATTTCTATTGATAGAGCAGTTTTGAAACACTCTTTTTGTGGAAAATGCAGGTGGATATTTGGATAGCTTGGAGGATTTCGTTGGAAGCGGGAATTCAAATAAAAGGTAGACAGCAGCATTCTCAGAAATTTCTTTCTGATGTCTGCATTCAACTCATAGAGTTGAAGATTCCCTTTCATAGAGCAGGTTTGAAACACTCGTTCTGGAGTATCTGGATGTGGACATTTGGAGCACTTTGATGCCTACGGTGGAAAAGTAAATATCTTCCCATAAAAACGAGACAGAAGGATTCTCAGAAACAAGTTTGTGATGTGTGTACTCAGCTAACAGAGTGGAACCTTTCTTTTTACAGAGCAGCTTTGAAACTCTATTTTTGTGGATTCTGCAAATTGATATTTAGATTGCTTTAACGATATCGTTGGAAAAGGGAATATCGTCATACAAAATCTAGACAGAAGCATTCTCACAAACTTCTTTGTGATGTGTGTCCTCAACTAACAGAGTTGAACCTTTCTTTTGATGCAGCAATTTGGAAACACCCTTTTGGTAGAAACTGTAACTGGATATTTGGATAGCTCTAACGATTTCGTTGGAAACGGGAATATCATCATCTAAAATGTAGAGAGAAGCACTATTAGAAACTACTTGGTGATATCTGCATTCAAGTCACAGAGTTGAACATTCCCTTACTTTGAGGACGTTTGAAACACTCTTTTGGAAGAATCTGGAAGTGGACATTTGGAGCGCTTTGATGCCTTTGGTGAAAAGGAAACGTCTTCCAATAAAAGCCAGACAGAAGCATTCTCAGAAACTTGTTCGTGATGTGTGTACTCAACTAAAAGAGTTGAACCTTTCTATTGATAGAGTAGTTTTGAAACACTCTTTTTGTGGATTCTGCAAGTGGATATTTGGATTGCTTTGAGGATTTCGTTGGAAGCGGGAATTCGTATAAACACTAGACAGCAGCATTCCCAGAAATTTCTTTCGGATATTTCCATTCAACTCATAGAGATGAACATGGCCTTTCATAGAGCAGGTTTGAAACACTCTTTTTGTAGTTTGTGGAAGTGGACATTTCGATCGCCTTGACGCCTACGGTGAAAAAGGAAATATCTTCCCATAAAAAATAGACAGAAGCATTCTCAGAAACTTGTTGGTGATATGTGTCCTCAACTAACAGAGTTGAACTTTGCCATTGGTAGAGAGCAGTTTTGAAACACTCTTTTTGTGGAATCTGCAAGTGGATATTTGGATAGCTTGGAGGATTTCGTTGGAAGCGGGAATTCAAATAAAAGGTAGACAGCAGCATTCTCAGAAATTTCTTTCTGATGTCTGCATTCAACTCATAGAGTTGAACATTCCCTTTCATAGAGCAGGTTTGAAACACTCTTTCTGGAGTATCTGGATGTGGACATTTGGAGCGCTTTGATGCCTACGGTGAAAAAGTAAATATCTTCCCATAAAAACGAGACAGAAGGATTCTGAGAAACAAGTTTGTGATGTGTGTACTCAGCTAACAGAGTGGAACCTCTCTTTTGATGCAGCAGTTTGGAAACACTCTTTTTGTAGAAACTGTAAGTGGATATTTGGATAGCTCTAACGATTTCGTTGGAAACGGGAATATCATCATCTAAAATCTAGACAGAAGCACTATTAGAAACTACTTGGTGTTATCTGCATTCATGTCACAGAGTAGAACATTCCCTTACTTCGAGCACGTTTGAAACACTCTTTTGGAAGAATCTGGAAGTGGACATTTGGAGCGCTTTGATGCCTTTGGTGAAAAGGAAACGTCTTCCAATAAAAGCCAGACAGAAGCATTCTCAGAAACTTGTTTGTGATGTGTGTACCCAGCAAAAGGAGTTGAACATTTCTATTGATAGAGCAGTTTTGAAACACTCTTTTTGTGGAAAATGCAGGTGGATATTTGGATAGCTTGGAGGATTTCGTTGGAAGCGGGAATTCAAATAAAAGGTAGACAGCAGCATTCTCAGAAATTTCTTTCTGATGTCTGCATTCAACTCATAGAGTTGAAGATTCCCTTTCATAGAGCAGGTTTGAAACACTCGTTCTGGAGTATCTGGATGTGGACATTTGGAGCGCTTTGATGCCTACGGTGGAAAAGTAAATATCTTCCCATAAAAACGAGACAGAAGGATTCTCAGAAACAAGTTTGTGATGTGTGTACTCAGCTAACAGAGTGGAACCTTTCTTTTAACAGAGCAGCTTTGAAACTCTAGTTTTGTGGATTCTGCAAATTGATATTTAGATTGCTTTAACGATATCGTTGGAAAAGGGAATATCGTCATACAAAATCTAGACAGAAGCATTCTCACAAACTTCTTTGTGATGTGTGTCCTCAACTAACAGAGTTGAACCTTTCTTTTGATGCAGCAATTTGGAAACACCCTTTTGGTAGAAACTGTAACTGGATATTTGGATAGCTCTAACGATTTCGTTGGAAACGGGAATATCATCATCTAAAATCTAGACAGAAGCACTATTAGAAACTACTTGGTGATATCTGCATTCAAGTCACAGAGTTGAACATTCCCTTACTTTGAGCACGTTTCAAACACTCTTTTGGAAGAATCTGGAAGTGGACATTTGGAGCTGCTTTGATGCCTTTGGTGAAAAGGAAACGTCTTCCAATAAAAGCCAGACAGAAGCATTCTCAGAAACTTGTTTGTGATGTGTGTACTCAACTAAAAGAGTTGAACCTTTCTATTGATAGAGCAGTTTTGAAACACTCTTTTTGTGGATTCTGCAAGTGGATATTTGGATTGCTTTGAGGATTTCGTTGGAAGCGGGAATTCGTATAAAAACTAGACAGCAGCATTCCCAGGAATTTCTTTCGGATATTTCCATTCAACTCATAGAGATGAACATGGCCTTTCATAGAGCAGGTTTGAAACACACTTTTTGTAGTTTGTGGAAGTGGACATTTCAATCGCCTTGATGCCTACGGTGAAAAAGGAAATATCTTCCCATAAAAAATAGAGAGAAGCATTCTCAGAAACTTGTTGGTGATATGTGTCCTCAACTAACAGAGTTGAACTTCGCCATTGATAGAGAGCAGTTTTGAGACACTCTTTTTGTGGAATCTGCAAGTGGATATTTGGATAGCTTGGAGGATTTCGTTGGAAGCAGGAATTCAAATAAAAGGTAGACAGCCAGCATTCTCAGAAATTTCTTTCTGATGTCTGCATTCAACTCATAGAGTTGAACATTCTCTTTCATAGAGCAGGTTTGAAACACTCTTTCTGGAGTATCTGGATGTGGACATTTGGAGCGCTTTGATGCCTACGGTGAAAAAGTAAATATCTTCCCATAAAAACGAGACAGTAAGGATTCTCAGAATCAAGTTTGTGATGTGTGTACTCAGCTAACAGAGTGGAACCTCTCTTTTGATGCAGCAGTTTGGAAACACTCTTTTTGTAGAAACTGTAAGTGGATATTTAGATAGCTCTAATGATTTCGTTGGAAACGGGAATATCATCATCTAAAATCTAGACAGAAGCACTATTAGAAACTACTTTGTGATATCTGCATTCAAGTCACAGAGTTGAACATTCGCTTTCTTAGAGCACGTTGGAAACACTCATTTTGTAGTGTCTGGAAGTGGACATTTGGAGCGCTTTGATGCCTTTGGTGAAAAAGGAAACGTCTTCCAATAAAAGCCAGACAGAAGCATTCTCAGAAACTTGTTTGTGATGTGTGTACCCAGCCAAAGGAGTTGAACATTTCTATTGATAGAGCAGTTTTGAAACGCTCTTTTTGTGGAAAATGCAGGTGGATATTTGGATAGCTTGGAGGATTTCGTTGGAAGCGGGAATTCAAATAAAAGGTAGACAGCAGCATTCTCAGAAATTTCTTTCTCATGTCTGCATTCAACTCATAGAGTTGAAGATTCCCTTTCATAGAGCAGGTTTGAAACACTCTTTCTGGAGTATCTGGATGTGGACATTTGGAGCGCTTTGATGCCTACGGTGAAAAAGTAAATATCTTCCCATAAAAACGAGACAGAAGGATTCTGAGAGACAAGTTTGTGATGTGTGTACTCAGCTAACAGAGTGGAACCTTTCTTTTTACAGAGCAGCTTTGAAACTCTATTTTTGTGGATTCTGCAAATGGATATTTAGATTGCTTTAATGATATCGTTGGAAAAGGGAATATCGTCATACAAAATCTGGACAGAAGCATTCTCACAAACTTCTTTGTGATGTGTGTCCTCAACTAACAGAGTTGAAACTTTCTTTTGATGCAGCAGTTTGGAAACACTCTTTTTGTAGAAACTGTAAGTGGATATTTGGATAGCTCTAACGATTTCGTTGGAAACGGGAATATCATCATCTAAAATCTAGACAGAAGCACTATTAGAAACTACTTGGTGATATCTGCATTCAAGTCACAGAGTTGAACATTCCCTTACTTTGAGCACGTTTGAAACACTCTTTTGGAAGAATCTGGAAGTGGACATTTGGAGCGCTTTGATGCCTTTGGTGAAAAGGAAACGTCTTCCAATAAAAGCCAGACAGAAGCATTCTCAGAAACTTGTTCGTGGTGTGTGTACTCAACTAAAAGAGTTGAACCTTTCTATTGATAGAGCAGTTTTGAAACACTCTTTTTGTGGATTCTGCAAGTGGATATTTGGATTGCTTTGAGGATTTCGTTGGAAGCGGGAATTCGTATAAACACTAGACAGCAGCATTCCCAGAATTTTCTTTCGGATATTTCCATTCAACTCATAGAGATGAACATGGCCTTTCATATTGAAACACTCTTTTTGTAGTTTGTGGAAGTGGACAGTTCGATCGCCTTGACGCCTACGGTGAAAAAGGAAATATCTTCCCATAAAAAATAGACAGAAGCATTCTCAGAAACTTGTTGGTGATATGTGTCCTCAACTAACAGAGTTGAACTTTGCCATTGATAGAGAGCAGTTTTGAAACACTCTTTTTGTGGAATCTGCAAGTGGATATTTGGATAGCTTGGAGGATTTCGTTGGAAGCGGGAATTCAAATAAAAGGTAGACAGCAGGATTCTGAGAAACAAGTTTGTGATGTGTGTACTCAGCTAACAGAGTGGAACCTCTCTTTTGATGCAGCAGTTTGGAAACACTCTTTTTGTAGAAACTGTAAGTGGATATTTGGATAGCTCTAATTATTTCGTTGGAAACGGGAATATCATCATCTAAAATCTAGACAGAAAGCACTCTCAGGAAACTACTTTGTGATATCTGCATTCAAGTCACAGAGTTGAACATTCGCTTTCTTAGAGCACGTTTGAAACACTCTTTTTGTAGTGTCTGGAAGTGGACATTTGGAGCGCTTTGATGGCTTTGGTGAAAAAGGGAACGTCTTCCCATAAAAACTAGACAGAAGCATTCTCAGAAACTTGTTTGTGATGTGTGTACCCAGCCAAAGGAGTTGAACGTTTCTATTGATAGAGCAGTTTTGAAACACTCTTGTTGTGGAAAATGCAAGTGGATATTTGGATAGCTTGGAGGATTTCGTTGGAAGCGGGAATTCAAATAAAAGGTAGACAGCAGCATTCTCAGAAATTTCTTTCTGATGTCTGCATTCAACTCATAGAGTTGAAGATTCCCTTTCATAGAGCAGGTTTGAAACACTCGTTCTGGAGTATCTGGATGTGGACATTTGGAGCGCTTTCGATGCCTACGGTGGAAAAGTAAATATCTTCCCATAAAAACGAGACAGAAGGATTCTCAGAAACAAGTTTGTGATGTGTGTACTCAGCTAACAGAGTGGAACCTTTCTTTTTACAGAGCAGCTTTGAAACTCTATTTTTGTGGATTCTGCAAATTGATATTTAGATTGCTTTAACGATATCGTTGGAAAAGGGAATATGGTCATACAAAATCTAGACAGAAGCATTCTCACAAACTTCTTTGTGATGTGTGTCCTCAACTAACAGAGTTGAACCTTTCTTTTGATGCAGCAATTTGGAAACACCCTTTTGGTAGAAACTGTAAGTGGATATTTGGATAGCTCTAACGATTTCGTTGGAAACGGGAATATCATCATCTAAAATCTAGACAGAAGCACTATTAGAAACTACTTGGTGATATCTGCATTCAAGTCTCAGAGTTGAACATTCCCTTACTTCGAACACGTTTGAAACACTCTTTTGGAAGAATCTGGAAGTGGACATTTGGAGCGCTTTGATGCCTTTGGTGAAAAGGAAACGTCTTCCAATAAAAGCCAGACAGAAGCATTCTCAGAAACTTGTTTGTGATGTGTGTACTCAACTAAAAGAGTTGAACCTTTCTATTGATAGAGCAGTTTTGAAACACTCTTTTTGTGGATTCTGCAAGTGGATATTTGGATTGCTTTGAGGATTTCGTTGGAAGCGGGAATTCGTATAAAAACTAGACAGCAGCATTCCCAGAAATTTCTTTCGGATATTTCCATTCGACTCATAGAGATGAACATGGCCTTTCATAGAGCAGGTTTGAAACACTCTTTTTGTAGTTTGTGGAAGTGGACATTTCGATCGCCTTGACGCCTACGGTGAAGAAGGAAATATCTTCCCATAAAAAATAGACAGAAGCATTCTCAGAAACTTGTTGGTGATATGTGTCCTCAACTAACAGAGTTGAACTTTGCCATTGATAGAGAGCAGTTTTGAAACACTCTTTTTGTGGAATCTGCAAGTGGATATTTGGATAGCTTGGAGGATTTCGTTGGAAGCGGGAATTCAAATAAAAGGTAGACAGCAGCATTCTCAGAAATTTCTTTCTGATGTCTGCATTCAACTCATAGAGTTGAAGATTCCCTTTCATAGAGCAGGTTTGAAACACTCTTTCTGGAGTATCTGGATGTGGACATTTGGAGCGCTTTGATGCCTACGGTGAAAAAGTAAATATCTTCCAATAAAAACGAGACAGAAGGATTCTGAGAAACAAGTTTGTGATGTGTGTACTCAGCTAACAGAGTGGAACCTCTCTTTTGATGCAGCAGTTTGGAAACACTCTTTTTGTAGAAACTGTAAGTGGATATTTGGATAGCTCTAATGATTTCGTTGGAAACGGGAATATCATCATCTAAAATCTAGACAGAGGCACTCTCAGAAACTACTGTGTGATATCTGCATTCAAGTCACAGAGTTGAACATTCGCTTTCTTAGAGCACGTTTGAAACACTCTTTTTGTAGTGTCTGGAAGTGGACATTTGGAGCGCTTTGATTCCTTTGGTGAAAAAGGGAATGTCTACCCATAAAAACTAGACAGAAGCATTCTCAGAAACTTGTTTGTGATGTGTGTACCCAGCCAAAGGAGTTGAACATTTCTATTGATAGAGCAGTTTTGAAACACTCTTGTTGTGGAAAATGCAGGTGGATATTTGGATAGCTTGGAGGATTTCGTTGGAAGCGGGAATTCAAATAAAAGGTAGACAGCAGCATTATCAGAAATTTCTTTCTGATGTCTGCATTCAACTCATAGAGTTGAAGATTCCCTTTCATAGAGCAGGTTTGAAACACTCGTTCTGGAGTATCTGGATGTGGACATTTGGAGCGCTTTGATGCCTACGGTGGAAAAGTAAATATCTTCCCATAAAAACGAGACAGAAGGATTCTGAGAGACAAGTTTGTGATGTGTGTACTCAGCTAACAGAGTGGAACCTTTCTTTTTACAGAGCAGCTTTGAAACTCTATTTTTGTGGATTCTGCAAATGGATATTTAGATTGCTTTAACGATATCGTTGGAAAAGGGAATATCGTCATACAAAATCTGGACAGAAGCATTCTCACAAACTTCTTTGTGATGTGTGTCCTCAACTAACAGAGTTGAACCTTTCTTTTGATGCAGCAGTTTGGAATCACCCTTTTGGTAGAAACTGTAACTTGATATTTGGATAGCTCTAACGATTTCGTTGGAAACGGGAATATCATCATCTAAAATCTAGACAGAAGCACTATTAGAAACTACTTGGTGATATCTGCATTCAAGTCACAGAGTTGAACATTCCCTTACTTTGAGCACGTTTCAAACACTCTTTTGGAAGAATCTGGAAGTGGACATTTGGAGCGCTTTGATGCCTTTGGTGAAAAGGAAACGTCTTCCAATAAAAGCCAGACAGAAGCATTCTCAGGAAACTTGTTTGTGATGTGTGTACTCAACTAAAAGAGTTGAACCTTTCTATTGATAGAGCAGTTTTGAAACACTCTTTTTGTGGATTCTGCAAGTGGATATTTGGATTGCTTTGAGGATTTCGTTGGAAGCGGGAATTCGTATAACAACTAGACAGCAGCATTCCCAGAAATTTCTTTCGGATATTTCCATTCAACTCATAGAGATGAACATGGCCTTTCATAGAGCAGGTTTGAAACACTCTTTTTGTAGTTTGTGGAAGTGGACATTTCGATCGCCTTGACGCCTACGGTGAAAAAGGAAATATCTTCCCATAAAAAATAGACAGAAGCATTCTCAGAAACTTGTTGGTGATATGTGTCCTCAACTAACAGAGTTGAACTTTGCCATTGATAGAGAGCAGTTTAGAAACACTCTTTTTGTGGAATCTGCAAGTGGATATTTGGATAGCTTGGAGGATTTCGTTGGAAGCGGGAATTCAAATAAAAGGTAGACAGCAGCATTCTCAGAAATTTCTTTCTGATGTCTGCATTCAACTCATAGAGTTGAAGATTCCCTTTCATAGAGCAGGTTTGAAACACTCTGGAGTATCTGGATGTGGACATTTGGAGCGCTTTGATGCCTACGGTGAAAAAGTAAATATCTTCCCATAAAAACGACACAGAAGGATTCTCAGAAACAAGTTTGTGATGTGTGTACTCAGCTAACAGAGTGGAACCTCTCTTTTGATGCAGCAGTTTGGAAACACTCTTTTTGTAGAAACTGTAAGTGGATATTTGGATAGCTCTAATGATTTCGTTGGAAACGGGAATATCATCATCTAAAATCTAGACAGAAGCACTCTCAGAAACTACTTTGTGATATCTGCATTCAAGTCACAGAGTTGAACGTTCGCTTTCTTAGAGCACGTTTGAAACACTCTTTTTGTAGTGTCTGGAAGTGGACATTTGGAGTGCTTTGATTCCTTTGGTGAAAAAGGGAATGTCTACCCATAAAAACTAGACAGAAGCATTCTCAGAAACTTGTTTGTGATGTGTGTACCCAGCCAAAGGAGTTGAACATTTCTATTGATAGAGCAGTTTTGAAACACTCTTGTTGTGGAAAATGCAGGTGGATATTTGGATAGCTTGGAGGATTTCGTTGGAAGCGCGAATTCAAATAAAAGGTAGACAGCAGCATTCTCAGAAATTTCTTTCTGATGTCTGCATTCAACTCATAGAGTTGAAGATTCCCTTTCATAGAGCAGGTTTGAAACACTCGTTCTGGAGTATCTGGATGTGGACATTTGGAGCGTTTGATGCCTACGGTGGAAAAGTAAATATCTTCCCATAAAAACGAGACAGAAGGATTCTGAGAAACAAGTTTGTGATGTGTGTACTCAGCTAACAGAGTGGAACCTTTCTTTTTACAGAGCAGCTTTGAAACTCTATTTTTGTGGATTCTGCAAATGGATATTTAGATTGCTTTAACGATATCGTTGGAAAAGGGAATATCGTCATACAAAATCTAGACAGAAGCATTCTCACAAACTTCTTTGTGATGTGTGTCCTCAACTAACAGAGTTGAACCTTTCTTTTGATGCAGCAGTTTGGAAACACTCTTTTTGTAGAAACTGTAAGTGGATATTTGGATAGCTCTAACGATTTCGTTGGAAACGGGAATATCATCATCTAAAATCTAGACAGAAGCACTATTAGAAACTACTTGGTGATATCTGCATTCAAGTCACAGAGTTGAACATTCCCTTACTTTGAGCACGATTGAAACACTCTTTTGGAAGAATCTGGAAGTGGACATTTGGAGCGCTTTGATGCCTTTGGTGAAAAGGAAACGTCTTCCAATAAAAGCCAGACAGAAGCATTCTCAGAAACTTGATCGTGATGTGTGTACTCAACTAAAAGAGTTGAACCTTTCTATTGATAGAGCAGTTTTGAAACACTCTTTTTGTGGATTCTGCAAGTGGATATTTGGATTGCTTTGAGGATTTTGTTGGAAGCGGGAATTCGTATAAACACTAGACAGCAGCATTCCCAGAAATTTCTTTTGGATATTTCCATTCAACTCATAGAGATGAACATGGCCTTTCATATTGAAACACTCTTTTTGTAGTTTGTGGAAGTGGACATTTCGATCGCCTTGACGCCTACGGTGAAAAAGGAAATATCTTCCCATAAAAAATAGACAGAAGCATTCTCAGAAACTTGTTGGTGATATGTGTCCTCAACTAACAGAGTTGAACTTTGCCATTGATAGAGAGCAGTTTTGAAACACTCTTTTTGTGGAAAATGCAGGTGGATATTTGGATAGCTTGGAGGATTTCGTTGGAAGCGGGAATTCAAATAAAAGGTAGACAGCAGCATTCTCAGAAATTTCTTTCTGATGTCTGCATTCAACACATAGAGTTGAAGATTCCCTTTCATAGAGCAGGTTTGAAACACTCTTTCTGGAGTATCTGGATGTGGACATTTGGAGCGCTTTGATGCCTACGGTGAAAAAGTAAATATCTTCCCATAAAAACGAGACAGAAGGATTCTGAGAAACAAGTTTGTGATGTGTGTACTCAGCTAACAGAGTGGAACCTCTCTTTTGATGCAGCAGTTTGGAAACACTCTTTTTGTAGAAACTGTAAGTGGATATTTGGATAGCTCTAATGATTTCGTTGGAAACGGGAATATCATCATCTAAAATCTAGACAGAAGCCCTCTCAGGAAACTACTTTGTGATATCTGCATTCAAGTCACAGAGTTGAACATTCACTTTCTTAGAGCACGTTTGAAACACTCTTTTTGTAGTGTCTGGAATTGGACATTTGGAGCGCTTTGATGCCTTTGGTGAAAAAGGGAACGTCTTCCCATAAAAACTAGACAGAAGCATTCTCAGAAACTTGTTTGTGATGTGTGTACCCAGCCAAAGGAGTTGAACATTTCTATTGATAGAGCAGTTTTGAAACACTCTTTTTGTGGAAAATGCAGGTGGATATTTGGATAGCTTGGAGGATTTCGTTGGAAGCGGGAATTCAAACAAAAGGTAGACAGCAGCATTCTCAGAAATTTCTTTCTGATGTCTGCATTCAACTCATAGAGTTGAAGATTCCCTTTCATAGAGCAGGTTTGAAACACTCTTTCTGGAGTATCTGGATGTGGACATTTGGAGCGCTTTGATGCCTACGGTGAAAAAGTAAATATCTTCCCATAAAAACGAGACAGAAGGATTCTGAGAGACAAGTTTGTGATGTGTGTACTCAGCTAACAGAGTGGAACCTTTCTTTTTACAGAGCAGCTTTGAAACTCTATTTTTGTGGATTCTGCAAATGGATATTTAGATTGCTTTAACGATATCGTTGGAAAAGGGAATATCGTCATACAAAATGCTGGACAGAAGCATTCTCACAAACTTCTTTGTGACGTGTGTCCTCAACTAACAGAGTTGAACCTTTCTTTTGATGCAGCAGTTTGGAAACACTGTTTTTGTAGCAACTGTAAGTGGATATTTGGATAGCTCTAACGATTTCGTTGGAAACGGGAATATCATCATCTAAAATCTAGACAGAAGCACTATTAGAAACTACTTGGTGATATCTGCATTCAAGTCACAGAGTAGAACATTCCCTTACTTCGAGCACGTTTGAAACACTCTTTTGGAAGAATCTGGAAGTGGACATTTGGAGCGCTTTGATGCCTTTGGTGAAAAGGAAACGTCTTCCAATAAAAGCCAGACAGAAGCATTCTCAGAAACTTGTTTGTGATGTGTGTACTCAACTAAAAGAGTTGAACCTTTCTATTGATAGAGCAGTTTTGAAACACTCTTTTTGTGGATTCTGCAAGTGGATATTTGGATTGCTTTGAGGATTTCGTTGGAAGCGGGAATTCGTATAAACACTAGACAGCAGCATTCCCAGAAATTTCTTTCGGATATTTCCATTCAACTCATAGAGATGAACATGGCCTTTCATAGAGCAGGTTTGAAACACTCTTTTTGTAGTTTGTGGAAGTGGACATTTCGATCGCCTTGACGCCTACGGTGAAAAAGGAAATATCTTCCCATAAAAATAGACAGAAGCATTCTCAGAAACTTGTTGGTGATATGTGTCCTCAACTAACAGAGTTGAACTTTGCCATTGATAGAGAGCAGTTTTGAAACACTCTTTTTGTGGAATCTGCAAGTGGATATTTGGATAGCTTGGAGGATTTCGTTGGAAGCGGGAATTCAAATAAAAGGTAGACAGCAGCATTCTCAGAAATTTCTTTGTGATGTCTGCATTCAACTCATAGAGTTGAAGATTCCCTTTCATAGAGCAGGTTTGAAACACTCGTTCTGGAGTATCTGGATGTGGACATTTGGAGCGCTTTGATGCCTACGGTGGAAAAGTAAATATCTTCCCATAAAAACGAGACAGAAGGATTCTGAGAAACAAGTTTGTGATGTGTGTACTCAGCTAACAGAGTGGAACCTCTCTTCTGATGCAGCAGTTTGGAAACACTCTTTTTGTAGAAACTGTAAGTGGATATTTGGATAGCTCTAATGATTTCGTTGGAAATGGGAATATCATCAACTAAAATCTAGACAGAAGCCCTCTCAGAAACTACTTTGTGATATCTGCATTCAAGTCACAGAGTTGAACATTCGCTTTCTTAGAGCACGTTGGAAACACTCTTTTTATAGTGTCTGGAAGTGGACATTTGGAGCGCTTTGATGCCTTTGGTGAAAAAGGGAATGTCTTCCCATAAAAACTAGACAGAAGCATTCTCAGAAACTTGTTTGTGATGTGTGTACCCAGCCAAAGGAGTTGAACATTTCTATTGATAGAGCAGTTTTGAAACACTCTTTTTGTGGAAAATGCAGGTGGATATTTGGATAGCTTGGAGGATTTCGTTGGAAGCGGGAATTCAAATAAAAGGTAGACAGCAGCATTCTCAGAAATTTCTTTCTGATGTCTGCATTCAACTCATAGAGTTGAAGATTCCCTTTCATAGAGCAGGTTTGAAACACTCTTTCTGGAGTATCTGGATGTGGACATTTGGAGCGCTTTGATGCCTACGGTGAAAAAGTAAATATCTTCCCATAAAAACGAGACAGAAGGATTCTCAGAAACAAGTTTGTGATGTGTGTACTCAGCTAACAGAGTGGAACCTTTCTTTTTACAGAGCAGCTTTGAAACCCTATTTTTGTGGATTCTGCAAATGGATATTTAGATTGCTTTAATGATATCGCTGGAAAAGGGAATATGGTCATACAAAATCTAGACAGAAGCATTCTCACAAACTTCTTTGTGATGTGTGTCCTCAACTAACAGAGTTGAACCTTTCTTTTGATGCAGCAATTTGGAAACACCCTTTTGGTAGAAACTGTAACTGGATATTTGGATAGCTCTAACGATTTCGTTGGAAACGGGAATATCATCATCAAAAGGTAGACAGAAGCACTATTAGAAACTACTTGGTGATATCTGCATTCAAGTCACAGAGTTGAACATTCCCTTACTTTGAGCACGTTTCAAACACTCTTTTGGAAGAATCTGGAAGTGGACATTTGGAGCGCTTTGATGCCTTTGGTGAAAAGGAAACGTCTTCCAATAAAAGCCAGACAGAAGCATTCTCAGAAACTTGTTTGTGATGTGTGTACTCAACTAAAAGAGTTGAACCTTTCTATTGATAGAGCAGTTTTGTAACACTCTTTTTGTGGATTCTGCAAGTGGATATTTGGATTGCTTTGAGGATTTCGTTGGAAGCGGGAATTCGTATAAAAACTAGACAGCCAGCATTCCCAGAAATTTCTTTCGGATATTTCCATTCAACTCATAGAGATGAACATGGCCTTTCATAGAGCAGGTTTGAAACACTCTTTTTGTAGTTTGTGGAAGTGGACATTTCGATCGCCTTGACGCCTACGGTGAAAAAGGAAATATCTTCCCATAAAAAATAGACAGAAGCATTCTCAGAAACTTGTTGGTGATATGTGTCCTCAACTAACAGAGTTGAACTTTGCCATTGATAGAGAGCAGTTTTGAAACACTCTGTTTGTGGAATCTGCAAGTGGATATTTGGATAGCTTGGAGGATTTCGTTGGAAGCGGGAATTCAAATAAAAGGTAGACAGCAGCATTCTCAGAAATTTCCTTCTGATGTCTGCATTCAACTCATAGAGTTGAAGATTCCCTTTCATAGAGCAGGTTTGAAACACTCTTTCTGGAGTATCTGGATGTGGACATTTGGAGCGCTTTGATGCCTACGGTGAAAAAGTAAATATCTTCCCAGAAAAACGAGACAGAAGGATTCTGAGAAACAAGTTTGTGATGTGTGTACTCAGCTAACAGAGTGGAACCTCTCTTTTGATGCAGCAGTTTGGAAACACTCTTTTTGTAGAAACTGTAAGTGGATATTTGGATAGCTCTAATGATTTCGTTGGAAACGGGAATATCATCATCTAAAATCTAGACAGAAGCCCTCTCAGAAACTACTTTGTGATATCTGCATTCAAGTCACAGAGTTGAACATTCGCTTTCTTAGAGCACGTTGGAAACACTCTTTTTGTAGTGTCTGGAAGTGGACATTTGGAGTGCTTTGATGCCTTTGGTGAAAAAGGGAATGTCTTCCCATAAAAACTAGACAGAAGCATTCTCAGAAACTTGTCTGCGATGTGTGTACCCAGCTAAAGGAGTTGAACATTTCTATTGATAGAGCAGTTTTGAAACACTCTTTTTGTGAAAAATGCAAGTGGATATTTGGATAGCTTGGAGGATTTCGTTGGAAGCGGGAATTCAAATAAAAGGTAGACAGCAGCATTCTCAGAAAATTTCTTTCTGATGTCTGCATTCAACTCATAGAGTTGAAGATTCCCTTTCATAGAGCAGGTTTGAAACACTCTTTCTGGAGTATCTGGATGTGGACATTTGGAGCGCTTTGATGCCTACGGTGAAAAAGTAAATATCTTCCCATAAAAACGAGACAGAAGGATTCTGAGAAACAAGTTTGTGATGTGTGTACTCAGCTAACAGAGTGGAACCTTTCTTTTTACAGAGCAGCTTTGAAACTCTATTTTTGTGGATTCTGCAAATTGATATTTAGATTGCTTTAACGATATCGTTGGAAAAGGGAATATCGTCATACAAAATCTAGACAGAAGCATTCTCACAAACTTCTTTGTGATGTGTGTCCTCAACTAACAGAGTTGAACCTTTCTTTTGATGCAGCAGTTTGGAAACACTCTTTTTGTAGAAACTAAGTGGATATTTGGATAGCTCTAACGATTTCGTTGGAAACGGGAATATCATCATCTAAAATCTAGACAGAAGCACTATTAGAAACTACTTGGTGATATCTGCATTCAAGTCACAGAGTTGAACATTCCCTTACTTTGAGCACGTTTCAAACACTCTTTTGGAAGAATCTGGAAGTGGACATTTGGAGCGCTTTGATGCCTTTGGTGAAAAGGAAACGTCTTCCAATAAAAGCCAGACAGAAGCATTCTCAGAAACTTGTTTGTGATGTGTGTACTCAACTAAAAGAGTTGAACCTTTCTATTGATAGAGCAGTTTTGAAACACTCTTTTTGTGGATTCTGCAAGTGGATATTTGGATTGCTTTGAGGATTTCGTTGGAAGCGGGAATTCGTATAAAAACTAGACAGCAAGCATTCCCAGAAATTTCTTTCGGATATTTCCATTCAACTCATAGAGATGAACATCGCCTTTCATAGAGCAGGTTTGAAACACTCTTTTTGTAGTTTGTGGAAGTGGACATTTCGATCGCCTTGACGCCTATGGTGAAAAAGGAAATATCTTCCCATAAAAAATAGACAGAAGCATTCTCAGAAACTTGTTGGTGATATGTGTTCTCAACTAACAGAGTTGAACTTTGCCATTGATAGAGAGCAGTTTTGAAACACTCTTTTTGTGGAATCTGCAAGTGGATATTTGGATAGCTTGGAGGATTTCGTTGGAAGCGGGAATTCAAATAAAAGGTAGACAGCAGCATTCTCAGAAATTTCTTTCTGATGTCTGCATTCAACTCATAGAGTTGAAGATTCCCTTTCATAGAGCAGGTTTGAAACACTCTTTCTGGAGTATCTGGATGTGGACATTTGGAGCGCTTTGATGCCTACGGTGGAAAAGTAAATATCTTCCCATAAAAACGAGACAGAAGGATTCTCAGAAACAAGTTTGTGATGTGTGTACTCAGCTAACAGAGTGGAACCTCTCTTCTGATGCAGAAGTTTGGAAACACTCTTTTTGTAGAAACTGTAAGTGGATATTTGGATAGCTCTAATGATTTCGTTGGAAACGGGAATATCATCATCTAAAATCTAGACAGAAGCCCTCTCAGAAACTACTTTGTGATATCTGCATTCAAGTCACAGAGTTGAACATTCGCTTTCTTAGAGCACGTTTGAAACACTCTTTTTGTAGTGTCTGGAAGTGGACATTTGGAGCGCTTTGATTCCTTTTGTGAAAAAGGGAATGTCTACCCATAAAAACTAGACAGAAGCATTCTCAGAAACTTGTTTGTGATGTGTGTACCCAGCCAAAGGAGTTGAACATTTCTATTGATAGAGCAGTTTTGAAACACTCTTGTTGTGGAAAATGCAGGTGGATATTTGGATAGCTTGGAGGATTTCGTTGGAAGCGGGAATTCAAATAAAAGGTAGACAGCAGCATTCTCAGAAATTTCTTTCTGATGTCTGCATTCAACTCATAGAGTTGAAGATTCCCTTTCCTAGAGCAGGTTTGAAACACTCTTTCTGGAGTATCTGGATGTGGACATTTGGAGCGCTTTGATGCCTACGGTGAAAAAGTAAATATCTTCCCATAAAAACGAGACAGAAGGATTCTCAGAAACAAGTTTGTGATGTGTATACTCAGCTAACAGAGTGGAACCTTTCTTTTTACAGAGCAGCTTTGAAACTCTATTTTTGTGGATTCTGCAAATTGATATTTAGATTGCTTTAACGATATCGTTGGAAAAGGGAATATCGTCATACAAAATCTAGACAGAAGCATTCTCAGAAACTTCTTTGTGATGTGTGTCCTCAACTAACAGAGTTGAACCTTTCTTTTGATGCAGCAGTTTGGAAACACTCTTTTTGTAGAAACTGTAAGTGGATATTTGGATAGCTCTAACGATTTCATTTGAAACGGGAATATCATCATCTAAAATCTAGACAGAAGCAGTATTAGCAACTACTTGGTGATATCTGCATTCAAGTCAGAGAGTAGAACGTTACCATAGTTTGAGCACGTTTGAAACACTCTTTTTGTAGAATCTGGAATTGGACATTTGGAGCGCTTTGATGCCATTGGTGAAAAGGAAACGTCTTCCCATAAAAGCTAGACAGAAGCATTCTCAGAAACTTGTTTGTGATGTGTGTACTCAACTAAAAGAGTGGAACCTTTCTATTGATAGAGCAGTTTTGAAACACTCTTTTTGTGGATTCTGCAAGTGGATATTTGGATTGCTTTGAGGATTTCGTTGGAAGCGGGAATTCGTATAAAAACTAGACAGCAGCATTCCCAGAAATTTCTTTCGGATATTTCCATTCAACTCATAGAGATGAACATGGCCTTTCATAGAGCAGGTTTGAAACACTCTTTTTGTAGTTTGTGGAAGTGGACATTTCGATCGCCTTGACGCCTACGGTGAAAAAGGAAATATCTTCCCATAAAAAATAGACAGAAGCATTCTCAGAAACTTGTTGGTGATATGTGTCCTCAACTAACAGAGTTGAACTTTGCCATTGATAGAGAGCAGTTTTGAAACACTCTTTTTGTGGAATCTGCAAGTGGATATTTGGATAGCTTGGAGGATTTCGTTGGAAGCGGGAATTCAAATAAAAGGTAGACAGCAGCATTCTCAGAAATTTCTTTCTGATGTCTGCATTCAACTCATAGAGTTGAAGATTCCCTTTCATAGAGCAGGTTTGAAACACTCTTTCTGGAGTATCTGGATGTGGACATTTGGAGCGCTTTGATGCCTACGGTGAAAAAGTAAATATCTTCCCATAGAAACGAGACAGAAGGATTCTGAGAAACAAGTTTGTGATGTGTGTACTCAGCTAACAGAGTGGAACCTCTCTTTTGATGCAGCAGTTTGGAAACACTCTTTTTGTAGAAACTGTAAGTGGATATTTGGATAGCTCTAATGATTTCGTTGGAAACGGGAATATCATCATCTAAAATCTAGACAGAAGTCCTCTCAGAAACTACTTTGTGATATCTGCATTCAAGTCACAGAGTTGAACATTCGCTTTCTTAGAGCACGTTGGAAACACTCTTTTTGTAGTGTCTGGAAGTGGACATTTGGAGCGCTTTGATGCCTTTGGTGAAAAAGGGAATGTCTTCCCATAAAAACTAGACAGAAGGATTCTCAGAAACTTGTTTGTGATGTGTGTACCCAGCTAAAGGAGTTGAACATTTCTATTGATAGAGCAGTTTTGAAACACTCTTTTTGTGGAAAATGCAAGTGGATATTTGGATAGGTTGGAGGATTTCGTTGGAAGCGGGAATTCAAATAAAAGGTAGACAGCAGCATTCTCAGAAATTTCTTTCTGATGTCTGCATTCAACTCATAGAGTTGAAGATTCCCTTTCATAGAGCAGGTTTGAAACACTCTTTCTGGAGTATCTGGATGTGGACATTTGGAGCGCTTTGATGCCTACGGTGAAAAAGTAAATATCTTCCCATAAAAACGAGACAGAAGGATTCTGAGAGACAAGTTTGTGATGTGTGTACTCAGCTAACAGAGTGGAACCTTTCTTTTTACAGAGCAGCTTTGAAACTCTATTTTTGTGGATTCTGCAAATGGATATTTAGATTGCTTTAATGATATCGCTGGAAAAGGGAATATGGTCATACAAAATCTAGACAGAAGCATTCTCACAAACTTCTTTGTGATGTGTGTCCTCAACTAACAGAGTTGAACCTTTCTTTTGATGCAGCAGTTTGGAAACACTCTTTTTGTAGAAACTGTAAGTGGATATTTGGATAGCTCTAACGATTTCGTTGGAAACGGGAATATCATCATCTAAAATCTAGACAGAAGCACTATTAGAAACTACTTGGTGATATCTGCATTCAAGTCACAGAGTTGAACATTCCCTTACGTTGAGCACGTTTGAAACACTCTTTTGGAAGAATCTGGAAGTGGACATTTGGAGCGCTTTGATGCCTTTGGTGAAAAGGAAACGTCTTCCAATAAAAGCCAGACAGAAGCATTCTCAGAAACTTGTTTGTGATGTGTGTACTCAACTAAAAGAGTTGAACCTTTCTATTGATAGAGCAGTTTTGAAACACTCTTTTTGTGGATTCTGCAAGTGGATATTTGGATTGCTTTGAGGATTTCGTTGGAAGCGGGAATTCGTATAAAAACTAGACAGCAGCATTCCCAGAAATTTCTTTCGGATATTTCCATTCGACTCATAGAGATGAACATGGCCTTTCATAGCAGCAGGTTTGAAACACTCTTTTTGTAGTTTGTGGAAGTGGACATTTCGATCGCCTTGACGCCTACGGTGAAAAAGGAAATATCTTCCCATAAAAAATAGACAGAAGCATTCTCAGAAACTTGTTTGTGATGTGTGTACCCAGCCAAAGGAGTTGAACATTTCTATTGATAGAGCAGTTTTGAAACACTCTTGTTGTGGAAAATGCAGGTGGATATTTGGATAGCTTGGAGGATTTCGTTGTAAGCGGGAATTCAAATAAAAGGTAGACAGCAGCATTCTCAGAAATTTCTTTCTGATGTCTGCATTCAACTCATAGAGTTGAACATTCCCTTTCATAGAGCAGGTTTGAAACAGTCTTTCTGGAGTATCTGGATGTGGACATTTGGAGCGCTTTGATGCCTACGGTGAAAAAGTAAATATCTTCCCATAAAAACGAGACAGAAGGATTCTGAGAAACAAGTTTGTGATGTGTGTACTCAGCTAACAGAGTGGAACCTCTCTTTTGATGCAGCAGTTTGGAAACACTCTTTTTGTAGAAACTGTAATTGGATATTTGGATAGCTCTAATGATTTCGTTGGAAACGGGAATATCATCATCTAAAATCTAGACAGAAGCCCTCTCAGAAACTACTTTGTGATATCTGCATTCAAGTCACAGAGTTGAACATTCGCTTTCTTAGGGCACGTTGGAAACACTCTTTTTGTAGTGTCTGGAAGTGGACATTTGGAGCGCTTTGATGCCTTTGGTGAAAAAGGGAACGTCTTCCCATAAAAACTAGACAGAAGCATTCTCAGAAACTTGTTTGTGATGTGTGTACCCAGCTAAAGGAGTTGAACATTTCTATTGATAGAGCAGTTTTGAAACACTCTTTTTGTGGAAAATGCAAGTGGATATTTGGATAGCTTGGAGGATTTCGTTGGAAGCGGGAATTCAAATAAAAGGTAGACAGCAGGATTCTCAGAAACAAGTTTGTGATGTGTGAACTCAGCTAACAGAGTGGAACCTTTCTTTTTACAGAGCAGCTTTGAAACTCTATTTTTGTGGATTCTGCAAATTGATATTTAGATTGCTTTAACGATATCGTTGGAAAAGGGAATATGGTCATACAAAATCTAGACAGAAGCATTCTCACAAACTTCTTTGTGATGTGTGTCCTCAACTAACAGAGTTGAACCTTTCTTTTGATGCAGCAATTTGGAAACACCCTTTTGGTAGAAACTGTAACTGGACATTTGGATAGCTCTAACGATTTCGTTGGAAACGGGAATATCATCATCTAAAATCTAGACAGAAGCACTATTAGAAACTACTTGGTGATATCTGCATTCAAGTCACAGAGTAGAACATTCCCTTACTTCGAGCACGTTTGAAACACTCTTTTGGAAGAATCTGGAAGTGGACATTTGGAGCGCTTTGATGCCTTTGGTGAAAAGGAAACGTCTTCCAATAAAAGCCAGACAGAAGCATTCTCAGAAACTTGTTTGTGATGTGTGTACCCAGCCAAAGGAGTTGAACATTTCTATTGATAGAGCAGTTTTGAAACACTCTTGTTTTGGAAAATGCAGGTGGATATTTGGATAGCTTGGAGGATTTCGTTGGAAGCGGGAATTCAAATAAAAGGTAGACAGCAGCATTCCCAGAAATTTCTTTCGGATATTTCCATTCGACTCATAGAGATGAACATGGCCTTTCATAGAGCAGGTTTGAAACACTCTTTTTGTAGTTTGTGGAAGTGGACATTTCGATCGCCTTGACGCCTACGGTGAAAAAGGAAATATCTTCCCATAAAAAATAGACAGAAGCATTCTCAGAAACTTGTTGGTGATATGTGTCCTCAACTAACAGAGTTGAACTTTGCCATTGATAGAGAGCAGTTTTGAAACACTCTTTTTGTGGAATCTGCAAGTGGATATTTGGATAGCTTGGAGGATTTCGTTGGAAGCGGGAATTCAAATAAAAGGTAGACAGCAGCATTCTCAGAAATTTCTTTCTGATCTCTGCATTCAACTCATAGAGTTGAAGATTCCCTTTCATAGAGCAGGTTTGAAACACTCTTTCTGGAGTATCTGGATGTGGACATTTGGAGCGCTTTGATGCCTACGGTGAAAAAGTAAATATCTTCCCATAAAAACGAGACAGAAGGATTCTGAGAAACAAGTTTGTGATGTGTGTACTCAGCTAACAGAGTGGAACCTCTCTTTTGATGCAGCAGTTTGCAAACACTCTTTTTGTAGAAACTGTAAGTGGATATTTGGATAGCTCTAATGATTTCGTTGGAAACGGGAATATCATCATCTAAAATCTAGACAGAAGCACTCTCAGAAACTACTGTGTGATATCTGCATTCAAGTCACAGAGTTGAACATTCGCTTTCTTAGAGCACGTTTGAAACACTCTTTTTGTAGTGTCTGGAAGTGGACATTTGGAGCGCTTTGATGCCTTTGGTGAAAAAGGGAATGTCTACCCATAAAAACTAGACAGAAGCATTCTCAGAAACTTGTTTGTGATGTGTGTACCCAGCCAAAGGAGTTGAACATTTCTATTGATAGAGCAGTTTTGAAACACTCTTGTTGTGGAAAATGCAGGTGGATATTTGGATAGCTTGGAGGATTTCGTTGGAAGCGGGAATTCAAATAAAAGGTTGACAGCGGCATTCTCAGAAATTTCTTTCTGATGTCTGCATTCAACTCATAGAGTTGAAGATTCCCTTTCATAGAGCAGGTTTGAAACACTCTTTCTGGAGTATCTGGATGTGGACATTTGGAGCGCTTTGATGCCTACGGTGAAAAAGTAAATATCTTCCCATAAAAACGAGACAGAAGGATTCTGAGAAACAAGTTTGTGATGTGTGTACTCAGCTAACAGAGTGGAACCTTTCTTTTTACAGAGCAGCTTTGAAACTCTATTTTTGTGGATTCTGCAAATGGATATTTAGATTGCTTTAATGATATCGCTGGAAAAGGGAATATGGTCATACAAAATCTAGACAGAAGCACTCTCACAAACTTCTTTGTGATGTGTGTCCTCAACTAACAGAGTTGAACCTTTCTTTTGATGCAGCAATTTGGAAACACCCTTTTGGTAGAAACTGTAACTGGATATTTGGATAGCTCTAACGATTTCGTTGGAAACGGGAATATCATCATCTAAAATGTAGACAGAAGCACTATTAGAAACTACTTGGTGATATCTGCATTCAAGTCACAGAGTTGAACATTCCCTTACTTCGAGCACGTTTGAAACACTCTTTTGGAAGAATCTGGAAGTGGACATTTGGAGCGCTTTGATGCCTTTGGTGAAAAGGAAACGTCTTCCAATAAAAGCCAGACAGAAGCATTCTCAGAAACTTGTTCGTGATGTGTGTACTCAACTAAAAGAGTTGAACCTTTCTATTGATAGAGCAGTTTTGAAACACTCTTTTTGTGGATTCTGCAAGTGGATATTTGGATTGCTTTGAGGATTTCGTTGGAAGCGGGAATTCATATAAAAACTAGACAGCAGCATTCCCAGAAATTTCTTTCGGATATTTCCATTCAACTCATAGAGATGAACATGGCCTTTCATAGAGCAGGTTTGAAACACTCTTTTTGTAGTTTGTGGAAGTGGACATTTCGATCGCCTTGACGGCTACGGTGAAAAAGGAAATATCTTCCCATAAAAAATAGACAGAAGCATTCTCAGAAACTTGTTGGTGATATGTGTCCTCAACTAACAGAGTTGAACTTTGCCATTGATAGAGAGCAGTTTTGAAACACTCTTTTTGTGGAATCTGCAAGTGGATATTTGGATAGCTTGGAGGATTTCGTTGGAAGCGGGAATTCAAATAAAAGGTAGACAGCAGGATTCTGAGAAACAAGTTTGTGATGTGTGTACTCAGCTAACAGAGTGGAACCTCTCTTTTGATGCAGCAGTTTGGAAACACTCTTTTTGTAGAAACTGTAAGTGGATATTTGGATAGCTCTAATGATTTCGTTGGAAACGGGAATATCATCATCTAAAATCTAGACAGAAGCCCTCTCAGAAACTACTTTGTGATATCTGCATTCAAGTCACAGAGTTGAACATTCGCTTTCTTAGAGCACGTTTGAAACACTCTTTTTGTAGTGTCTGGAAGTGGACATTTGGAGCGCTTTGATGCCTTTGTGAAAAAGGGAACGTCTTCCCATAAAAACTAGACAGAAGCATTCTCAGAAACCTGTTTGTGATGTGTGTACCCAGCCAAAGGAGTTGAACATTTCTATTGATAGAGCAGTTTTGAAACGCTCTTTTTGTGGAAAATGCAGGTGGATATTTGGATAGCTTGGAGGATTTCGTTGGAAGCGGGAATTCAAATAAAAGGTAGACAGCAGCATTCTCAGAAATTTCTTTCTGATGTCTGCATTCAACTCATAGAGTTGAAGATTCCCTTTCATAGAGCAGGTTTGAAACACTCTTTCTGGAGTATCTGGATGTGGACATTTGGAGCGCTTTGATGCCTACGGTGAAAAAGTAAATATCTTCCCATAAAAACGAGACAGAAGGATTCTGAGAGACAAGTTTGTGATGTGTGTACTCAGCTAACAGAGTGGAACCTTTCTTTTTACAGAGCAGCTTTGAAACTCTATTTTTGTGGATTCTGCAAATGGATATTTAGATTGCTTTAATGATATCGTTGGAAAAGGGAATATGGTCATACAAAATCTAGACAGGATAAGCATTCTCACAAACTTCTTTGTGATGTGTGTCCTCAACTAACAGAGTTGAACCTTTCTTTTGATGCAGCAATTTGGAAACACCCTTTTGGTAGAAACTGTAACTGGATATTTGGATAGCTCTAACGATTTCGTTGGAAACGGGAATATCATCATCTAAAATCTAGACAGAAGCACTATTAGAAACTACTTGGTGATATCTGCATTCAAGTCACAGAGTTGAACATTCCCTTACTTCGACCACGTTTGAAACACTCTTTTGGAAGAATCTGGAAGTGGACATTTGGAGCGCTTTGATGCCTTTGGTGAAAAGGAAACGTCTTCCAATAAAAGCCAGACAGAAGCATTCTCAGAAACTTGTTCGTGATGTGTGTACTCAACTAAAAGAGTTGAACCTTTCTATTGATAGAGCAGTTTTGAAACACTCTTTTTGTGGATTCTGCAAGTGGATATTTGGATTGCTTTGAGGATTTCCGTTGGAAGCGGGAATTCGTATAAACACTAGACAGCAGCATTCCCAGAAATTTCTTTCGGATATTTCCATTCAACTCATAGAGATGAACATGGCTTTTCATAGAGCAGGTTTGAAACACTCTTTTTGTAGTTTGTGGAAGTGGACATTTCGATCGCCTTGACGCCTACGCTGAAAAAGGAAATATCTTCCCATAAAAAATAGACAGAAGCATTCTCAGAAACTTGTTGGTGATATGTGTCCTCAACTAACAGAGTTGAACTTTGCCATTGATAGAGAGCAGTTTTGAAACACTCTTTTTGTGGAATCTGCAAGTGGATATTTGGATAGCTTGGAGGATTTCGTTGGAAGCGGGAATTCAAATAAAGGGTAGACAGCAGGATTCTGAGAAACAAGTTTGTGATGTGTGTACTCAGCTAACAGAGTGGAACCTCTCTTTTGATGCAGCAGTTTGGAAACACTCTTTTTGTAGAAACTGTAAGTGGATATTTGGATAGCTCTAATGATTTCGTTGGAAACGGGAATATCATCATCTAAAATCTAGACAGAAGCCCTCTCAGAAACTACTTTGTGATATCTGCATTCAAGTCACAGAGTTGAACATTCGCTTTCTTAGAGCACGTTTGAAACACTCTTTTTGTAGTGTCTGGAAGTGGACATTTGGAGCGCTTTGATGACTTTGGTGAAAAAGGGAACGTCTTCCCATAAAAACTAGACAGAAGCATTCTCAGAAACTTGTTTGTGATGTGTGTACCCAGCCAAAGGAGTTGAACATTTCTATTGATAGAGCAGTTTTCAAACACTCTTTTTGTGGAAAATGCAGGTGGATATTTGGATAGCTTGGAGGATTTCGTTGGAAGCGGGAATTCAAATAAAAGGTAGACAGCAGCATTCTCAGAAATTTCTTTCTGATGTCTGCATTCAACTCATAGCAGTTGAAGATTCCCTTTCATAGAGCAGGTTTGAAACACTCTTTCTGGAGTATCTGGATGTGGACATTTGGAGCGCTTTGATGCCTACGGTGAAAAAGTAAATATCTTCCCATAAAAACGAGACAGAAGGATTCTCAGAAACAAGTTTGTGATGTGTGTACTCAGCTAAAAGAGTGGAACCTTTCTTTTTACAGAGCAGCTTTGAAACTCTATTTTTGTGGATTCTGCAAATTGATATTTAGATTGCTTTAACGATATCGTTGGAAAAGGGAATATCGTCATACAAAATCTAGACAGAAGCATTCTCACAAACTTCTTTGTGATGTGTGTCCTCAACTAACAGAGTTGAACCTTTCTTTTGATGCAGCAGTTTGGAAACACTCTTTTTGTAGAAACTGTAAGTGGACATTTGGATAGCTCTAACGATTTCGTTGGAAACGGGAATATCATCATCTAAAATCTAGACAGAAGCATTCTCAGAAACTTGTTGGTGATGTGTGTACTCAACTAAAAGAGTTGAACCTTTCTATTGATAGAGCAGTTTTGAAACACTCTTTTTGTGGATTCTGCAAGTGGATATTTGGATTGCTTTGAGGATTTCGTTGGAAGCGGGAATTCATATAAACACTAGACAGCAGCATTCCCAGAAATTTCTTTCGGATATTTCCATTCAACTCATAGAGATGAACATCGCCTTTCATAGAGCAGGTTTGAAACACTCTTTTTGTAGTTTGTGGAAGTGGACATTTCGATCGCCTTGACGCCTACGGTGAAAAAGGAAATATCTTCCCATAAAAAATAGACAGAAGCATTCTCAGAAACTTGTTGGTGATATGTGTCCTCAACTAACAGAGTTGAACTTTGCCATTGATAGAGAGCAGTTTTGAAACACTCTTTTTGTGGAATCTGCAAGTGGATATTTGGATAGCTTGGAGGATTTCGTTGGAAGCGGGAATTCAAATAAAAGGTAGACAGCAGCATTCTCAGGAATTTCTTTCTGATGTCTGCATTCAACTCATAGAGTTGAAGATTCCCTTTCATAGAGCAGGTTTGAAACACTCTTTCTGGAGTATCTGGATGTGGACATTTGGAGCGCTTTGATGCCTACGGTGAAAAAGTAAATCTCTTCCCATAAAAACGAGACAGAGGATTCTGAGAAACAAGTTTGTGATGTGTGTACTCAGCTAACAGAGTGGAACCTCTCTTTTGATGCAGCAGTTTGGAAACACTCTTTTTGTAGAAACTGTAAGTGGATATTTGGATAGCTCTAATGATTTCGTTGGAAACGGGAATATCATCATCTAAAATCTAGACAGAAGCCCTCTCAGAAACTACTTTGTGATATCTGCATTCAAGTCACAGAGTTGAACATTCGCTTTCTTAGAGCACGTTTGAAACACTCTTTTTGTAGTGTCTGGAAGTGGACATTTGGAGCGCTTTGATGCCTTTGGTGAAAAAGGGAACGTCTTCCCATAAAAACTAGACAGAAGCATTCTCAGAAACTTGTTTGTGATGTGTGTACCCAGCCAAAGGAGTTGAACATTTCTATTGATAGAGCAGTTTTGAAACACTCTTTTTGTGGAAAATGCAAGTGGATATTTGGATAGCTTGGAGGTTTTCGTTGGAAGCGGGAATTCAAATAAAAGGTAGACAGCAGCATTCTCAGAAATTTCTTTCTGATGTCTGCATTCAGCTCATAGAGTTGAAGATTCCCTTTCATAGAGCAGGTTTGAAACACTCTTTCTGGAGTATCTGGTTGTGGACATTTGGAGCGCTTTGATGCCTACGGTGAAAAAGTAAATATCTTCCCATAAAAACGAGACAGAAGGATTCTGAGAAACAAGTTTGTGATGTGTGTACTCAGCTAACAGAGTGGAACCTTTCTTTTTACAGAGCAGCTTTGAAACTCTATTTTTGTGGATTCTGCAAATGGATATTTAGATTGCTTTAATGATATCGCTGGAAAAGGGAATATGGTCATACAAAATCTAGACAGAAGCATTCTCACAAACTTCTTTGTGATGTGTGTCCTCAACTAACAGAGTTGAACCTTTCTTTTGATGCAGCAGTTTGGAAACACTCTTTTTGTAGAAACTGTAAGTGGATATTTGGATAGCTCTAACGATTTCGTTGGAAACGGGAATATCATCATCTAAAATCTAGACAGAAGCACTATTAGAAACTACTTGGTGATATCTGCATTCAAGTCACAGAGTAGAACATTCCCTTACTTCGAGCACGTTTGAAACACTCTTTTGGAAGAATCTGGAAGTGGACATTTGGAGCGCTTTGATGCCTTTGGTGAAAAGGAAACGTCTTCCAATAAAAGCCAGACAGAAGCATTCTCAGAAACTTGTTCGTGATGTGTGTACTCAACTAAAAGAGTTGAACCTTTCTATTGATAGCGCAGTTTTGAAACACTCTTTTTGTGGATTCTGCAAGTGGATATTTGGATTGCTTTGAGGATTTCGTTGGAAGCGGGAATTCATATAAAAACTAGACAGCAGCATTCCCAGAAATTTCTTTCGGATATTTCCATTCAACTCATAGAGATGAACATGGCCTTTCATAGAGCAGGTTTGAAACACTCTTTTTGTAGTTTGTGGAAGTGGACATTTCGATCGCCTTGACGCCTACGGTGAAAAAGGAAATATCTTCCCATAAAAAATAGACAGAAGCATTCTCAGAAACTTGTTGGTGATATGTGTCCTCAACTAACAGAGTTGAACTTTGCGATTGATAGAGAGCAGTTTTGAAACACTCTTTTTGTGGAATCTGCAAGTGGATATTTGGATAGCTTGGAGGATTTCGTTGGAAGCGGGAATTCAAATAAAAGGTAGACAGCAGCATTCTCAGAAATTTCTTTCTGATGTCTGCATTCAACTCATAGAGTTGAAGATTCCCTTTCATAGAGGAGGTTTGAAACACTCTTTCTGGAGTATCTGGACGTGGACATTTGGAGCGCTTTGATGCCTATGGTGAAAAAGTAAATATCTTCCCATAAAAACGAGACAGAAGGATTCTCAGAAACAAGTTTGTGATGTGTGTACTCAGCTAACAGAGTGGAACCTCTCTTTTGATGCAGCAGTTTGGAAATACTCTTTTTGTAGAAACTGTAAGTGGATATTTGGATAGCTCTAATGATTTCGTTGGAAACGGGAATATCATCATCTAAAATCTAGACAGAAGCACTCTCAGAAACTACTTTGTGATATCTGCATTCAAGTCACAGAGTTGAACATTCGCTTTCTTAGAGCACGTTGGAAACACTCTTTTTGTAGTGTCTGGAAGTGGACATTTGGAGCGCTTTGATGCCTTTGGTGAAAAAGGGAATGTCTTCCCATAAAAACTAGACAGAAGCATTCTCAGAAACTTGTTTGTGATGTGTGTACCCAGCTAAAGGAGTTGAACATTTCTATTGATAGAGCAGTTTTGAAACACTCTTTTTGTGGAAAATGCAAGTGGATATTTGGATAGCTTGGAGGATTTCGTTGGAAGCGGGATTTCAAATAAAAGGTAGACAGCAGCATTCTCAGAAATTTCTTTCTGATGTCTGCATTCAACTCATAGAGTTGAAGATTCCCTTTCATAGAGCAGGTTTGAAACACTCTTTCTGGAGTATCTGGATGTGGACATTTGGAGCGCTTTGATGCCTACGGTGAAAAAGTAAATATCTTCCCATAAAAACGAGAGAGAAGGATTCTCAGAAACAAGTTTGCGATGTGTGTACTCAGCTAAAAGAGTGGAACCTTTCTTTTTACAGAGCAGCTTTGAAACTCTATTGTTGTGGATTCTGCAAATTGATATTTAGATTGCTTTAACGATATCGTTGGAAAAGGGAATACCGTCATACAAAATCTAGACAGAAGCATTCTCACAAACTTCTTTGTGATGTGTGTCCTCAACTAACAGAGTTGAACCTTTCTTTTGATGCAGCAATTTGGAAACACCCTTTTGGTAGAAACTGTAAGTGGATATTTGGATAGCTCTAACGATTTCGTTGGAAACGGGAATATCATCATCTAAAATCTAGACAGAAGCACTATTAGAAACTACTTGGTGATATCTGCATTCAAGTCACAGAGTTGAACATTCCCTTACTTTGAGCACGTTTGAAACACTCTTTTGGAAGAATCTGGAAGTGGACATTTGGAGCGCTTTGATGCCTTTGGTGAAAAGGAAACGTCTTCCAATAAAAGCCAGACAGAAGCATTCTCAGAAACTTGTTGGTGATGTATGTACTCAACTAAAAGAGTTGAACCTTTCTATTGATAGAGCAGTTTTGAAACACTCTTTTTGTGGATTCTGCAAGTGGATATTTGGATTGCTTTGAGGATTTCGTTGGAAGCGGGAATTCATATAAAAACAAGACAGCAGCATTCCCAGAAATTTCTTTCGGATATTTCCATTCAACTCATTGAGATGAACATCGCCTTTCATAGAGCAGGTTTGAAACACTCTTTTTGTAGTTTGTGGAAGTGGACATTTCGATCGCCTTGACGCCTACAGTGAAAAAGGAAATATCTTCCCATAAAAAATAGACAGAAGCATTCTCAGAAACTTGTTGGTGATATGTGTCCTCAACTAACAGAGTTGAACTTTGCCATTGATAGAGAGCAGTTTTGAAACACTCTTTTTGTGGAATCTGCAAGTGGATATTTGGATAGCTTGGAGGATTTCGTTGGAAGCGGGAATTCAAATAAAAGGTAGACAGCAGCATTCTCAGAAATTTCTTTCTGATGTCTGCATTCAACTCATAGAGTTGAAGATTCCCTTTCATAGAGCAGGTTTGAAACACTCTTTCTGGAGTATCTGGATGTGGACATTTGGAGCGCTTTGATGTCTACGGTGGAAACGTAAATATCTTCCCATAAAAACGAGACAGAAGGATTCTGAGAAACAAGTTTGTGATGTGTGTACTCAGCTAACAGAGTGGAACCTCTCTTTTGATGCAGCAGTTTGGAAACACTCTTTTTGTAGAAACTGTAAGTGGATATTTGGATAGCTCTAATGATTTCGTTGGAAACGGGAATATCATCATCTAAAATCTAGACAGAAGCCCTCTCAGAAACTACTTTGTGATATCTGCATTCAAGTCACAGAGTTGAACATTCGCTTTCTTAGAGCACGTTGGAAACACTCTTTTTGTAGTGTCTGGAAGTGGACATTTGGAGCGCTTTGTTGCCTTTGGTGAAAAAGGGAACGTCTTCCCATAAAAACTAGACAGAAGCATTCTCAGAAACTTGTTTGTGATGTGTGTACCCAGCCAAAGGGAGTTGAACATTTCTATTGATAGAGCAGTTTTGAAACACTCTTTTTGTGGAAAATGCAAGTGGATATTTGGATAGCTTGGAGGATTTCGTTGGAAGCGGGAATTCAAATAAAAGGTAGACAGCAGCATTCTCAGAAATTTCTTTCTGATGTCTGCATTCAACTCATAGAGTTGAAGATTCCCTTTCATAGAGCAGGTTTGAAACACTCTTTCTGGAGTATCTGGATGTGGACATTTGGAGCGCTTTGATGCCTACGGTGAAAAAGTAAATATCTTCCCATAAAAACGAGACAGAAGGATTCTGAGAAACAAGTTTGTGATGTGTGTACTCAGCTAACAGAGTGGAACCTTTCTTTTTACAGAGCAGCTTTGAAACTCTATTTTTGTGGATTCTGCAAATGGATATTTAGATTGCTTTAATGATATCGTTGGAAAAGGGAATATCGTCATACAAAATACTAGACAGAAGCATTCTCACAAACTTACTTTGTGATGTGTGTCCTCAACTAACAGAGTTGAACCTTTCTTTTGATGCAGCAATTTGGAAACACCCTTTTGGTAGAAACTGTAACTGGATATTTGGATAGCTCTAACGATTTCGTTGGAAAAGGGAATATCATCATCTAAAATGTAGACAGAAAGCACTATTAGAAACTACTTGGTGATATCTGCATTCAAGTCACAGAGTTGAACATTCCCTTACTTTGAGCACGTTTGAAACACTCTTTTGGAAGAATCTGGAAGTGGACATTTGGAGCGCTTTGATGATGCCTTTGGTGAAAAGGAAACGTCTTCCAATAAAAGCCAGACAGAAGCATTCTCAGAAACTTGTTTGTGATGTGTGTACTCAACTAAAAGAGTTGAACCTTTCTATTGATAGAGCAGTTTTGAAACACTCTTTTTGTGGATTCTGCAAGTGGATATTTGGATTGCTTTGAGGATTTCGTTGGAAGCGGGAATTCGTATAAAAACTAGACAGCAGCATTCCCAGAAATTTCTTTCGTATATTTCCATTCAACTCATAGAGATGAACATGGCCTTTCATAGAGCAGGTTTGAAACACTCTTTTTGTAGTTTGTGGAAGTGGACATTTCGATCGCCTTGACGCCTACGGTGAAAAAGGAAATATCTTCCCATAAAAAATAGACAGAAGCATTCTCAGAAACTTGTTGGTGATATGTGTCCTCAACTAACAGAGTTGAACTTTGCCATTGATAGAGAGCAGTTTTGAAACACTCTTTTTGTGGAATCTGCAAGTGGATATTTGGATAGCTTGGAGGATTTCGTTGGAAGCGGGAATTCAAATAAAAGGTAGACAGCAGCATTCTCAGAAATTTCTTTCTGATGTCTGCATTCAACTCATAGAGTTGAAGATTCCCTTTCATAAAGCAGGTTTGAAACACTCTTTCTGGAGTATCTGGATGTGGACATTTGGAGCGCTTTGAGGCCTAAGGTGAGAAAGTAAATATCTTCCCATAAAAACGAGACAGAAAGGATTCTCAGAAACAAGTTTGTGATGTGTGTACTCAGCTAACAGAGTGGAACCTCTCTTTTGATGCAGCAGTTTGGAAACACTCTTTTTGTAGAAACCGTAAGTGGATATTTGGATAGCTCTAATGATTTCGTTGGAAACGGGAATATCATCATCTAAAATCTAGACAGAAGCCCTCTCAGAAACTACTTTGTGATTTCTGCCTTCAAGTCACAGAGTTGAACATTCGCTTTCTTAGAGCACGTTGGAAACACTCTTTTTGTAGTGTCTGGAAGTGGACATTTGGAGCGCTTTGATTCCTTTGGTGAAAAAGGGAATGTCTACCCATAAAAACTAGACAGAAGCATTCTCAGAAACTTGTTTGTGATGTGTGCACCCAGCTAAAGGAGTTGAACATTTCTATTGATAGAGCAGTTTTGAAGCACTCTTTTTGTGGAAAATGCAAGTGGATATTTGGATAGCTTGGAAGATTTCGTTGGAAGCGGGAGTTCAAATAAAAGGTAGACAGCAGCATTCTCAGAAATTTCTTTCTGATTCTGCATTCAACTCATAGAGTTGAAGATTCCTTTTCATAGAGCAGGTTTGAAACACTCGTTCTGGAGTATCTGGATGTGGACATTTGGAGCGCTTTGATGCCTACAGTGGAAAAGTAAATATCTTCCCATAAAAACGAGACAGAAGGTTTCTCAGAAACAAGTTTGTGATGTGTGTACTCAGCTAACAGAGTGGAACCTTTCTTTTTACAGAGCAGCTTTGAAACTCTATTTTTGTGGATTCTGCAAATTGATATTTAGATTGCTTTAACGATATCGTTGGAAAAGGGAATATCGTCATACAAAATCTAGACAGAAGCATTCTCACAAACTTCTTTGTGATGTGTGTCCTCAACTAACAGAGTTGAACCTTTCTTTTGATGCAGCAATTTGGAAACACCCTTTTGGTAGAAACTGTAACTGGATATTTGGATAGCTCTAACGATTTTGTTGGAAACGGGAATATCATCATCTAAAATGTAGACAGAAGCACTATTAGAAACTACTTGGTGATATCTGCATTCAAGTCACAGCAGTTGAACATTCCCTTACTTTGAGCACGTTTGAAACACTCTTTTGGAAGAATCTGGAAGTGGACATTTGGAGCGCTTTGATGCCTTTGGTGAAAAGGAAACGTCTTCCAATACAAGCCAGACAGAAGCATTCTCAGAAACTTGTTTGTGATGTGTGTACTCAACTAAAAGAGTTGAACCTTTCTATTGATAGAGCAGTTTTGAAACACTCTTTTTGTGGATTCTGCAAGTGGATATTTGGATTCCTTTGAGGATTTCGTTGGAAGCGGGAATTCGTATAAAAACTAGACAGCAGCATTCCCAGAAATTTCTTTCGGATATTTCCATTCAACTCATAGAGATGAACATCGCCTTTCATAGAGCAGGTTTGAAACACTCTTTTTGTAGTTTGTGGAAGTGGACATTTCGATCGCCTTGACGCCTACGGTGAAAAAGGAAATATCTTCCCATAAAAAATAGACAGAAGCATTCTCAGAAACTTGTTGGTGATATGTGTCCTCAACTAACAGAGTTGAACTTTGCCATTGATAGAGAGCAGTTTTGAAACACTCTTTTTGTGGAATCTGCAAGTGGATATTTGGATAGCTTGGAGGATTTCGTTGGAAGCGGGAATTCAAATAAAAGGTAGACAGCAGCATTCTCAGAAATTTCTTTCTGATGTCTGCATTCAACTCATAGAGTTGAAGATTCCCTTTCATAGAGCAGGTTTGAAACACTCTTTCTGGAGTATCTGGATGTGGACATTTGGAGTGCTTTGATGCCTACGGTGAAAAAGTAAATATCTTCCCATAAAAACGAGACAGAAGGATTCTGAGAAACAAGTTTGTGATGTGTGTACTCAGCTAACAGAGTGGAACCTCTCTTTTGATGCAGCAGTTTGGAAACACTCTTTTTGTAGAAACTGTAAGTGGATATTTGGATAGCTCTAATGATTTCGTTGGAAACGGGAATATCATCATCTAAAATCTAGACAGAAGCCCTCTCAGAAACTACTTTGTGATATCTGCATTCAAGTCACAGAGTTGAACATTCGCTTTCTTAGAGCACGTTGGAAACACTCTTTTTGTAGTGTCTGGAAGTGGACATTTGGAGCGCTTTGATGCCTTTGGTGAAAAAGGGAATGTCTTCCCATAAAAACCAGACAGAAGCATTCTCAGAAACTTGTTTGTGATGTGTGCACCCAGCTAAAGGAGTTGAACATTTATTGATAGAGCAGTTTTGAAGCACTCTTTTTGTGGAAAATGCAAGTGGATATTTGGATAGCTTGGAGGATTTCGTTGGAAGCGGGAGTTCAAATAAAAGGTAGACAGCAGGATTCTGAGAAACAAGTTTGTGATGTGTGTACTCAGCTAACGGAGTGGAACCTTTCTTTTTACAGAGCAGCTTTGAAACTCTATTTTTGTGGATTCTGCAAATTGATATTTAGATTGCTTTAACGATATCATTGGAAAAGGGAATATCGTCATACAAAATCTAGACAGAAGCATTCTCACAAACTTCTTTGTGATGTGTGTCCTCAACTAACAGTAGTTGAACCTTTCTTTTGATGCAGCAATTTGGAAACACCCTTTTGGTAGAAACTGTAACTGGATATTTGCTTAGCTCTAACGATTTCGTTGGAAACGGGAATATCATCATCTAAAATCTAGACAGAAGCACTATTAGAAACTACTTGGTGATATCTGCATTCAAGTCACAGAGTTGAACATTCCCTTACTTTGAGCACGTTTGAAACACTCTTTTGGAAGAATCTGGAAGTGGACATTTGGAGCGCTTTGATGCCTTTGGTGAAAAGGAAACGTCTTCCAATAAAAGCCAGACAGAAGCATTCTCAGAAACTTGTTTGTGATGTGTGTACTCAACTAAAAGAGTTGAACCTTTCTATTGATAGAGCAGTTTTGAAACACTCTTTTTGTGGATTCTGCAAGTGGATATTTGGATTGGTTGAGGATTTCGTTGGAAGCGGGAATTCGTATAAACACTAGACAGCAGCATTCCCAGAAATTTCTTTCGGATATTTCCATTCGACTCATAGAGATGAACATGGCCTTTCATAGAGCAGGTTTGAAACACTCTTTTTGTAGTTTGTGGAAGTGGACATTTCGATCGCCTTGACGCCTACGGTGAAAAAGGAAATATCTTCCCATAAAAAATAGACAGAAGCATTCTCAGAAACTTGTTGGTGATATGTGTCCTCAACTAACAGAGTTGAACTTTGCCATTGATAGAGAGCAGTTTTGAAACACTCTTTTTGTGGAATCTGCAAGTGGATATTTGGATAGCTTGGAGGATTTCGTTGGAAGCGGGAATTCAAATAAAGGGTAGACAGCAGCATTCTCAGAAATTTCTTTCTGATCTCTGCATTCAACTCATAGAGTTGAACATTCCCTTTCATAGGGCAGGTTTGAAATACTCTTTCTGTAGTATCTGGATGTGGACATTTGGAGCGCTTTGATGCCTACGGTGAAAAAGTAAATATCTTCCCATAAAAACGAGACAGAAGGATTCTGAGAAACAAGTTTGTGATGTGTGTACTCAGCTAACAGAGTGGAACCTCTCTTTTGATGCAGCAGTTTGGAAACACTCTTTTTGTAGAAACTGTAAGTGGATATTTGGATAGCTCTAATGATTTCGTTGGAAACGGGAATATCATCATCTAAAATCTAGACAGAAGCCCTCTCAGAAACTACTTTGTGATATCTGCATTCAAGTCACAGAGTTGAACATTCGCTTTCTTAGAGCACGTTTGAAACACTCTTTTTGTAGTGTCTGGAAGTGGACATTTGGAGGGCTTTGATTCCTTTGGTGAAAAAGGGAATGTCTACCCATAAAAACTAGACAGAAGCATTCTCAGAAACTTGTTTGTGATGTGTGTACCCAGCCAAAGGAGTTGAACATTTCTATTGATAGAGCAGTTTTGAAACACTCTTTTTGTGGAAAATGCAGGTGGATATTTGGATAGCTTGGAGGATTTCGTTGGAAGCGGGAATTCAAATAAAAGGTAGACAGCAGCATTCTCAGAAATTTCTTTCTGATGTCTGCATTCAACTCATAGAGTTGAAGATTCCCTTTCATAGAGCAGGTTTGAAACACTCTTTCTGGAGTATCTGGATGTGGACATTTGGAGCGCTTTGATGCCTACGGTGAAAAAGTAAATATCTTCCCATAAAAACGAGACAGAGGATTCTGAGAGACAAGTTTGTGATGTGTGTACTCAGCTAACAGAGTGGAACCTTTCTTTTTACAGCAGCAGCTTTGAAACTCTATTTTTGTGGATTCTGCAAATGGATATTTAGATTGCTTTAATGATATCGCTGGAAAAGGGAATATGGTCATACAAAATCTAGACAGAAGCATTCTCACAAACTTCTTTGTGATGTGTGTCCTCAACTAACAGAGTTGAACCTTTCTTTTGATGCAGCAGTTTGGAAACACTCTTTTTGTAGAAACTGTAAGTGGATATTTGGATAGCTCTAACGATTTCGTTGGAAACGGGAATATCATCATCTAAAATCTAGACAGAAGCACTATTAGAAACTACTTGGTGATATCTGCATTCAAGTCACAGAGTTGAACATTCCCTTACTTTGGGCACGTTTCAAACACTCTTTTGGAAGAATCTGGAAGTGGACATTTGGAGCGCTTTGATGCCTTTGGTGAAAAGGAAACGTCTTCCAATAAAAGCCAGACTGAAGCATTCTCAGAAACTTGTTCGTGATGTGTGTACTCAACTAAAAGAGTTGAACCTTTCTTTGGATAGCGCAGTTTTGAAACACTCTTTTTGTGGATTCTGCAAGTGGATATTTGGATTGCTTTGAGGATTTCGTTGGAAGCGGGAATTCGTATAAACACTAGACAGCAGCATTCCCAGAAATTTCTTTCGGATATTTCCATTCAACTCATAGAGATGAACATGGCCTTTCATAGAGCAGGTTTGAAACACTCTTTTTGTAGTTTGTGGAAGTGGACATTTCGATCGCCTTGACGCCTACGGTGAAAAAGGAAATATCTTCCCATAAAAAATAGACAGAAGCATTCTCAGAAACTTGTTGGTGATATGTGTCCTCAACTAACAGAGTTGAACTTTGCCATTGATAGAGAGCAGTTTTGAAACACTCTTTTTGTGGAATCTGCAAGTGGATATTTGGATAGCTTGGAGGATTTCGTTGGAAGCGGGAATTCAAATAAAAAGTAGACAGCAGCATTCTCAGAAATTTCTTTCTGATGTCTGCATTCAACTCATAGAGTTGAAGATTCCCTTTCATAGAGCAGGTTTGAAACACTCTTTCTGGAGTATCTGGATGTGGACATTTGGAGCGCTTTGATGCCTACGGTGAAAAAGTAAATATCTTCCCATAAAAACGACACAGAAGGATTCTGAGAAACAAGTTTGTGATGTGTGTACTCAGCTAACAGAGTGGAACCTCTCTTTTGATGCAGCAGTTTGGAAACACTCTTTTTGTAGAAACTGTAAGTGGATATTTGGATAGCTCTAATGATTTCGTTGGAAACGGGAATATCATCATCTAAAATCTAGAAAGAAGCCCTCTCAGAAACTACTTTGTGATATCTGCATTCAAGTCACAGAGTTGAACATTCGCTTTCTTAGAGCACGTTGGAAACACTCTTTTTGTAGTGTCTGGAAGTGGACATTTGGAGCGCTTTGATGCCTTTGGTGAAAAAGGGAATGTCTTCCCATAAAAAGTAGACAGAAGCATTCTCAGAAACTTGTTTGTGATGTGTGTACCCAGCTAAAGGAGTTGAACATTTCTATTGATAGAGCAGTTTTGAAACACTCTTTTTGTGGAAAATGCAAGTGGATATTTGGATAGCTTGGAGGATTTCGTTGGAAGCGGGAATTCAAATAAAAGGTAGACAGCAGCATTCTCAGAAATTTCTTTCTGATGTCTGCATTCAACTCACAGAGTTGAAGATTCCCTTTCATAGAGCAGGTTTGAAACACTCTTTCTGGAGTATCTGGATGTGGACATTTGGAGCGCTTTGATGCCTACGGTGAAAAAGTAAATATCTTCCCAGAAAAACGAGACAGAAGGATTCTGAGAAACAAGTTTGTGATGTGTGTACTCAGCTAACAGAGTGGAACCTTTCTTTTTACAGAGCAGCTTTGAAACTCTATTTTTGTGGATTCTGCAAATGGATATTTAGATTGCTTTAACGATATCGTTGGAAAAGGGAATATCGTCATACAAAATCTAGACAGAAGCATTCTCACAAACTTCTTTGTGATGTGTGTCCTCAACTAACAGAGTTGAACCTTTCTTTTGATGCAGCAGTTTGGAAACACCCTTTTGGTAGAAACTGTAAGTGGATATTTTGATAGCTCTAACGATTTCGTTGGAAACGGGAATATCATCATCTAAAATCTAGACAGAAGCACTATTAGAAACTACTTGGTGATATCTGCATTCAAGTCAAAGAGTTGAACATTCCCTTACTTTGAGCACGTTTGAAACACTCTTTTGGAAGAATCTGGAAGTGGACATTTGGAGCGCTTTGATGCCTTTGGTGAAAAGGAAACGTCTTCCAATAAAAGCCAGACAGAAGCATTCTCAGAAACTTGTTGGTGATGTGTGTACTCAACTAAAAGAGTTGAACCTTTCTATTGATAGAGCAGTTTTGAAACACTCTTTTTGTGGATTCTGCAAGTGGATATTTGGATTGCTTTGAGGCTTTCGTTGGAAGCGGGAATTCATATAAAAACTAGACAGCAGCATTCCCAGAAATTTCTTTCGGATATTTCCATTCGACTCATAGAGATGAACATGGCCTTTCATAGAGCAGGTTTGAAACACTCTTTTTGTAGTTTGTGGAAGTGGACATTTCGATCGCCTTGACGCCTACGGTGAAAAAGGAAATATCTTCCCATAAAAAATAGACAGAAGCATTCTCAGAAACTTGTTGGTGATATGTGTCCTCAACTAACAGAGTTGAACTTTGCCATTGATAGAGAGCAGTTTTGAAACACTCTTTTTCCTGAATCTGCAAGTGGATATTTGGATAGCTTGGAGGATTTCGTTGGAAGCGGGAATTCAAATAAAAGGTAGACAGCAGCATTCTCAGAAATTTCTTTCTGATGTCTGCATTCAACTCATAGAGTTGAACATTCCCTTTCATAGAGCAGGTTTGAAACACTCGTTCTGGAGTATCTGGATGTGGACATTTGGAGCGCTTTGATGCCTACGGTGAAAAAGTAAATATCTTCCCATAAAAACGAGACAGAAGGATTCTCAGAAACAAGTTTGTGATGTGTGTACTCAGCTAACAGAGTGGAACCTCTCTTTTGATGCAGCAGTTTGGAAACACTCTTTTTGTGGAAACTGTAAGTGGATATTTGGATAGCTCTAATGATTTCGTTGGAAACGGGAATATCATCATCTAAAATCTAGACAGAAGCACTCTCAGAAACTACTTTGTGATATCTGCATTCAAGTCACAGAGTTGAACATTTGCTTTCTTAGAGCACGTTTGAAACACTCTTTTTGTAGTGTCTGGAAGTGGACATTTGGAGCGCTTTGATGCCTTTGGTGAAAAAGGGAACGTCTTCCCATAAAAACTAGACAGAAGCATTCTCAGAAACTTGTTTGTGATGTGTGTACCCAGCTAAAGGAGTTGAACATTTCTATTGATAGAGCAGTTTTGAAACACTCTTTTTGTGGAAAATGCAAGTGGATATTTGGATAGCTTGGAGGATTTCGTTGGAAGCGGGATTTCAAATAAAAGGTAGACAACAGCATTCTCAGAAATTTCTTTCTGATGTCTGCATTCAACTCATAGAGTTGAAGATTCCCTTTCATAGAGCAGGTTTGAAACACTCTTTCTGGAGTATCTGGATGTGGACATTTGGAGCGCTTTGATGCCTAAGGTGAAAAAGTAAATATCTTCCCATAAAAACGAGACAGAAGGATTCTCAGAAACAAGTTTGTGATGTGTGTACTCAGCTAACAGAGTGGAACCATTCTTTTTACAGAGCAGCTTTGAAACTCTATTTTTGTGGATTCTGCAAATGGATATTTAGATTGCTTTAACGATATCGTTGGAAAAGGGAATATCGTCATACAAAATCTGGACAGAAGCATTCTCACAAACTTCTTTGTGATGTGTGTCCTCAACTAACAGAGTTGAACCTTTCTTTTGATGCAGCAGTTTGGAAACACTCTTTTTGTAGAAACTGTAAGTGGATATTTGGATAGCTCTAACGATTTCGTTGGAAACGGGAATATCATCATCTAAAATCTAGACAGAAGCACTATTAGAAACTACTTGGTGATATCTGCATTCAAGTCAAAGAGTTGAACATTCCCTTACTTTGAGCACGTTTGAAACACTCTTTTGGAAGAATCTGGAAGTGGACATTTGGAGCGCTTTGATGCCTTTGGTGAAAAGGAAACGTCTTCCAATAAAAGCCAGACAGAAGCATTCTCAGAAACTTGTTTGTGATGTGTGTACTCAACTAAAAGAGTTGAACCTTTCTATTGATAGAGCAGTTTTGAAACCCTCTTTTTGTGGATTCTGCAAGTGGATATTTGGATTGCCTTGAGGATTTCGTTGGAAGCGGGAATTCGTATAAACACTAGACAGCAGCATTCCCAGAAATTTCTTTCGGATATTTCCATTCAACTCATAGAGATGAACATGGCCTTTCATATTGAAACACTCTTTTTGTAGTTTGTGGAAGTGGACATTTCGATCGCCTTGACGCCTACGGTGAAAAAGGAAATATCTTCCCATAAAAAATAGACAGAAGCATTCTCAGAAACTTGTTTGTGATGTGTGTACCCAGCTAAAGGAGTTGAACGTTTCTATTGATAGAGCAGTTTTGAAACACTCTTTTTGTGGAAAATGCAAGTGGATATTTGAATAGCTTGGAGGATTTCGTTGGAAGCGGGAATTCAAATAAAAGGTAGACAGCAGGATTCTGAGAAACAAGTTTGTGATGTGTGTACTCAGCTAACAGAGTGGAACCTGTCTTTTGATGCAGCAGTTTGGAAACACTCTTTTTGTAGAAACTGTATGTGGATATTTGGATAGCTCTAATGATTTCGTTGGAAACGGGAATATCATCATCTAAAATCTAGACAGAAGCCCTCTCAGAAACTACTTTGTGATATCTGCATTCAAGTAACAGAGTTGAACATTCGCTTTCTTAGAGCACGTTGGAAACACTCTTTTTGTAGTGTCTGGAAGTGGACATTTGGAGCACTTTGATGCCTTTGGTGAAAAAGGGAACGTCTTCCCATAAAAAGTAGACAGAAGCATTCTCAGAAACTTGTTTGTGATGTGTGTACCCAGCCAAAGGAGTTGAACATTTCTATTGATAGAGCAGTTTTGAAACGCTCTTTTTGTGGAAAATGCAGGTGGATATTTGGATAGCTTGGAGGATTTCGTTGGAAGCGGGAATTCAAATAAAAGGTAGACAGCAGCATTCTCAGAAATTTCTTTCTGATGTCTGCATTCAACTCATAGAGTTCAAGATTCCCTTTCATAGAGCAGGTTTGAAACACTCTTTCTGGAGTATCTGGATGTGGACATTTGGAGCGCTTTGATGCCTACGGTGAAAAAGTAAATATCTTCCCATAAAAACGAGACAGAAGGATTCTCAGAAACAAGTTTGTGATGTGTGTACTCAGCTAACAGAGTGGAACCTTTCTTTTTACAGAGCAGCTTTGAAACTCTATTTTTGTGGATTCTGCAAATGGATATTTAGATTGCTTTAATGATATCGCTGGAAAAGGGAATATGGTCATACAAAATCTAGACAGAAGCATTCTCACAAACTTCTTTGTGATGTGTGTCCTCAACTAACAGAGTTGAACCTTTCTTTTGATGCAGCAGTTTGGAAACACTCTTTTTGTAGAAACTGTAAGTGGATATTTGGATAGCTCTAACGATTTCGTTGGAAACGGGAATATCATCATCTAAAATCTAGACAGAAGCACTATTAGAAACTACTTGGTGATATCTGCATTCAAGTCACAGAGTTGAACATTCCCTTACTTCGAGCACGTTTGAAACACTCTTTTGGAAGAATCTGGAAGTGGACATTTGGAGCGCTTTGATGCCTTTGGTGAAAAGGAAACGTCTTCCAATAAAAGCCAGACAGAGCATTCTCAGTAAACTTGTTTGTGATGTGTGTACTCAACTAAAAGAGTTGAACCTTTCTATTGATAGAGCAGTTTTGAAACACTCTTTTTGTGGATTCTGCAAGTGGATATTTGGATTGCTTTGAGGATTTCGTTGGAAGCGGCAATTCGTATAAAAACTAGACAGCAGCATTCCCAGAAATTTCTTTCGGATAATTCCCATTCGACTCATAGAGATGAACATGGCCTTTCATAGAGCAGGTTTGAAACACTCTTTTTGTAGTTTGTGGAAGTGGACATTTCGATCGCCTTGACGCCTACGGTGAAAAAGGAAATATCTTCCCATAAAAAATAGACAGAAGCATTCTCAGAAACTTGTTGGTGATATGTGTCCTCAACTAACAGAGTTGAACTTTGCCATTGATAGAGAGCAGTTTTGAAACACTCTTTTTGTGGAATCTGCAAGTGGATATTTGGATAGCTTGGAGGATTTCGTTGGAAGCGGGAATTCAAATAAAAGGTAGACAGCAGCATTCTCAGAAATTTCTTTCTGATGTCTGATTCAGCTCATAGAGTTGAAGATTCCCTTTCATAGAGCAGGTTTGAAACACTCTTTCTGGAGTATCTGGATGTGGACATTTGGAGCGCTTTGAGGCCTACGGTGAGAAAGTAAATATCTTCCCATAAAAACGAGACAGAAGGATTCTGAGAAACAAGTTTGTGTTGTGTGTACTCAGCTAACAGAGTGGAACCTCTCTTTTGATGCAGCAGTTTGGAAACACTCTTTTTGTAGAAACTGTAAGTGGATATTTGGATAGCTCTAATGATTTCGTTGGAAACGGGAATATCATCATCTAAAATCTAGACAGAAGCCCTCTCAGAAACTACTTTGTGATATCTGCATTCAAGTCACAGAGTTGAACATTCGCTTTCTTAGAGCACGTTTGAAACACTCTTTTTGTAGTGTCTGGAAGTGGACATTTGGAGCGCTTTGATGCCTTTGGTAAAAAAGGGAATGTCTTCCCATAAAAACTAGACAGAAGCATTCTCAGAAACTTGTTTGTGATGTGTGTACCCAGCTAAAGGAGTTGAACATTTCTATTGATAGAGCAGTTTTGAAACACTCTTTTTGTGGAAAATGCAAGTGGATATTTGGATAGCTTGGAGGATTTCGTTGGAAGCGGGAATTCAAATAAAAGGTAGACAGCAGCATTCTCAGAAATTTCTTTCTGATGTCTGCATTCAACTCATAGAGTTGAAGATTCCCTTTCATAGAGCAGGTTTGAAACACTCTTTCTGGAGTATCTGGATGTGGACATTTGGAGGGCTTTGATGCCTACGGTGAAAAAGTAAATATCCTCCCATAAAAACGAGACAGACAAGGATTCTGAGAAACAAGTTTGTGATGTGTGTACTCAGCTAACAGAGTGGAACCTCTCTTTTGATGCAGCAGTTTGGAAACACTCTTTTTGTAGAAACTGTAAGTGGATATTTGGATAGCTCTAATGATTTCGTTGGAAACGGGAATATCATCATCTAAAATCTACACAGAAGCATTCTCACAAACTTCTTTGTGATGTGTGTCCTCAACTAACAGAGTTGAACCTTTCTTTTGATGCAGCAGTTTGGAAACACTCTTTTTGTAGAAACTGTAAGTGGATAATTGGATAGCTGTAACGATTTCGTTGGAAACGGGAATATCGTCATCTAAAATTTAGACAGAAGCACTATTAGAAACTACTTGGTGATATCTGCATTCAAGTCACAGAGTTGAACATTCCCTTACTTTGAGCACGTTTCAAACACTCTTTTGGAAGAATCTGGAAGTGGACATTTGGAGCGCTTTGATGCCTTTGGTGAAAAGGAAACGTCTTCCAATAAAAGCCAGACAGAAGCATTCTCAGAAACTTGTTCGTGATGTGTGTACTCAACTAAAAGAGTTGAACCTTTCTATTGATAGAGCAGTTTTGAAACACTCTTTTTGTGGATTCTGCAAGTGGATATTTGGATTGCTTTGAGGATTTCGTTGTAAGCGGGAATTCGTATAAAAACTAGACAGCCAGCATTCCCAGAAATTTCTTTCGGATATTTCCATTCGACTCATAGAGATGAACATGGCCTTTCATAGAGCAGGTTTGAAACACTCTTTTTGTAGTTTGTGGAAGTGGACATTTCGATCGCCTTGACGCCTACGGTGAAAAAGGAAATATCTTCCCATAAAAAATAGACAGAGCATTCTCAGAAACTTGTTGGTGATATGTGTCCTCAACTAACAGAGTTGAACTTTGCCATTGATAGAGAGCAGTTTTGAAACACTCTTTTTGTGGAATCTGCAAGTGGATATTTGGATAGCTTGGAGGATTTCGTTGGAAGCGGGAATTCAAATAAAAGGTAGACAGCCAGCATTCTCAGAAATTTCTTTCTGATGTCTGCATTCAACTCATAGAGTTGAACATTCCCTTTCATAGAGCAGGTTTGAAATACTCTTTCTGTAGTATCTGGATGTGGACATTTGGAGCGCTTTGATGCCTACGGTGAAAAAGTAAATATCTTCCCATAAAAACGAGACAGAAGGATTCTGAGAAACAAGTTTGTGATGTGTGTACTCAGCTAACAGAGTGGAACCTCTCTTTTGATGCAGCAGTTTGGAAACACTCTTTTTGTAGAAACTGTAAGTGGATATTTGGATAGCTCTAATGATTTTGTTGGAAACGGGAATATCATCATCTAAAATCTAGACAGAAGCCCTCTCAGAAACTACTTTGTGATATCTGCATTCAAGTCACAGAGTTGAATATTCGCTTTCTTAGAGCACGTTGGAAACACTCTTTTTGTAGTGTCTGGAAGTGGACATTTGGAGCGCTTTGATGCCTTTGGTGAAAAAGAGAACGTCTTCCCATAAAAACTAGACAGAAGCATTCTCAGAAACTTGTTTGTGATGTGTGTACCCAGCCAAAGGAGTTGAACATTTCTATTGATAGAGCAGTTTTGAAACACTCTTGTTGTGGAAAATGCAGGTGGATATTTGGATAGCTTGGAGGATTTCGTTGGAAGCGGGAATTCAAATAAAAGGTACACAGCAGCATTCTCAGAAATTTCTTTCTGATGTCTGCATTCAACTCATAGAGTTGAAGATTCCCTTTCATAGAGCAGGTTTGAAACACTCTTTCTGGAGTATCTGGATGTGGACATTTGGAGCGCTTTGATGCCTACGGTGAAAAAGTAAATATCTTCCCATAAAAACGAGACAGAAGGATTCTCAGAATCAAGTTTGTGATGTGTGTACTCAGCTAACAGAGTGGAACCTTTCTTTTTACAGAGCAGCTTTGAAACTCTATTTTTGTGGATTCTGCAAATTGATATTTAGATTGCTTTAACGATATCGTTGGAAAAGGGAATATCGTCATACAAAATCTAGACAGAAGCATTCTCACAAACTTCTTTGTGACGTGTGTCCTCAACTAACAGAGTTGAACCTTTCTTTTGATGCAGCAGTTTGGAAACACTGTTTTTGTAGCAACTGTAAGTGGATATTTGGATAGCTCTAACGATTTCGTTGGAAACGGGAATATCATCATCTAAAATCTAGACAGAAGCACTATTAGAAACTACTTGGTGATATCTGCATTCAAGTCAAAGAGTTGAACATTCCCTTACTTTGAGCACGTTTGAAACACTCTTTTGGAAGAATCTGGAAGTGGACATTTGGAGCGCTTTGATGCCTTTGGTGAAAAGGAAACGTCTTCCAATAAAAGCCAGACAGAAGCATTCTCAGAAACTTGTTTGTGATGTGTGTACTCAACTAAAAGAGTTGAACCTTTCTATTGATAGAGCAGTTTTGAAACACTCTTTTTGTGGATTCTGCAATTGGATATTTGGATTGCTTTGAGGATTTCGTTGGAAGCGGGAATTCGTATAAAAACTAGACAGCAGCATTCCCAGAAATTTCTTTCGGATATTTCCATTCGACTCATAGAGATGAACATGGCCGTTCATAGAGCAGGTTTGAAACACTCTTTTTGTAGTTTGTGGAAGTGGACATTTCGATCGCCTTGACGCCTACGGTGAAAAAGGAAATATCTTCCCATAAAAAATAGACAGAAGCATTCTCAGAAACTTGTTGGTGATATGTGTCCTTAACTAACAGAGTTGAACTTTGCCATTGATAGAGAGCAGTTTTGAAACACTCTTTTTGTGGAATCTGCAAGTGGATATTTGGATAGCTTGGAGGATTTCGTTGGAAGCGGGAATTCAAATAAAAGGTAGACAGCAGCAGTCTCAGAAATTTCTTTCTGATGTCTGCATTCAACTCATAGAGTTGAACATTCCCTTTCATAGAGCAGGTTTGAAACACTCTTTCTGGAGTATCTGGATGTGGACATTTGGAGCGCTTTGATGCCTACGGTGAAAAAGTAAATATCTTCCCATAAAAACGAGACAGAAGGATTCTGAGAAACAAGTTTGTGATGTGTGTACTCAGCTAACAGAGTGGAGCCTCTCTTTTGATGCAGCAGTTTGGAAACACTCTTTTTGTAGAAACTGTAAGTGGATATTTGGATAGCTCTAATGATTTCGTTGGAAACGGGAATATCATCATCTAAAATCTAGACAGAAGCCCTCTCAGAAACTACTTTGTGATATCTGCATTCAAGTCACAGAGTTGAACATTCGCTTTCTTAGAGCACGTTGGAAACACTCTTTTTGTAGTGTCTGGAAGTGGACATTTGGAGCGCTTTGATTCCTTTGGTGAAAAAGGGAATGTCTACCCATAAAAACTAGACAGAAGCATTCTCAGAAACTTGTTTGTGATGTGTGTACCCAGCCAAAGGAGTTGAACATTTCTATTGATAGAGCAGGTTTGAAACACTCTTTTTGTGGAAAATGCAGGTGGATATTTGGATAGCTTGGTGGATTTCGTTGGAAGCGGGAATTCAAATAAAAGGTAGACAGCAGCATTCTCAGAAATTTCTTTCTGATGTCTGCATTCAACTCATAGAGTTGAAGATTCCCTTTCATAGAGCAGGTTTGAAACACTCGTTCTGGAGTATCTGGATGTGGACATTTGGAGCGCTTTGATGCCTACGGTGGAAAAGTAAATATCTTCCCATAAAAACGAGACAGAAGGATTCTGAGAAACAAGTTTGTGATGTGTGTACTCAGCTAACGGAGTGGAACCTTTCTTTTTACAGAGCAGCTTTGAAAGTCTATTTTTGTGGATTCTGCAAATTGATATTTAGATTGCTTTAACGATATCGTTGGAAAAGGGAATATCCTCATACAAAATCTAGACAGAAGCATTCTCACAAACTTCTTTGTGACGTGTGTCCTCAACTAACAGAGTTGAACCTTTCTTTTGATGCAGCAGTTTGGAAACACTGTTTTTGTAGCAACTGTAAGTGGATATTTGGATAGCTCTAACGATTTCGTTGGAAACGGGAATATCATCATCTAAAATCTAGACAGAAGCACTATTAGAAACTACTTGGTGATATCTGCATTCAAGTCACAGAGTTGAACATTCCCTTACTTTGAGCACGTTTGAAACACTCTTTTGGAAGTATCTGGAAGTGGACATTTGGAGCGCTTTGATGCCTTTGGTGAAAAGGAAACGTCTTCCAATAAAAGCCAGACAGAAGCATTCTCAGAAACTTGTTCGTGATGTGTGTACTCAACTAAAAGAGTTGAACCTTTCTATTGATAGAGCAGTTTTGAAACACTCTTTTTGTGGATTCTGCAAGTGGATATTTGGATTGCTTTGAGGATTTCGTTGGAAGCGGGAATTCGTATAAACACTAGACAGCAGCATTCCCAGAAATTTCTTTCGGATATTTCCATTCAACTCATAGAGATGAACATGGGCTTTCATAGAGCAGGTTTGAAACACTCTTTTTGTAGTTTGTGGAAGTGGACATTTCGATCGCCTTGACGCCTACGGTGATAAAGGAAATATCTTCCCATAAAAAATAGACAGAAGCATTCTCAGAAACTTGTTGGTGATATGTGTCCTCAACTAACAGAGTTGAACTTTGCCATTGATAGAGAGCAGTTTTGAAACACTCTTTTTGTGGAATCTGCAAGTGGATATTTGGATAGCTTGGAGGATTTCGTTGGAAGCGGGAATTCAAATAAAAGGTAGACAGCAGCATTCTCAGAAATTTCTTTCTGATGTCTGCATTCAACTCATAGAGTTGAAGATTCCCTTTCATAGAGCAGGTTTGAAACACTCTTTCTGGAGTATCTGGATGTGGACATTTGGAGCGCTTTGATGCCTACGGTGAGAAAGTAAATATCTTCCCATAAAAACGAGACAGAAGGATTCTGAGAAACAAGTTTGTGATGTGTGTACTCAGCTAACAGATTGGAACCTCTCCTTTGATGCAGCAGTTTGGAAACACTCTTTTTGTAGAAACTGTAAGTGGATATTTGGATAGCTCTAATGATTTCGTTGGAAACGGGAATATCATCATCTAAAATCTAGACAGAAGCACTCTCAGAAACTACTTTGTGATATCTGCATTCAAGTCACAGAGTTGAACATTCGCTTTCTTAGAGCACGTTTGAAACACTCTTTTTGTAGTGTCTGGAAGTGGACTTTTGGAGCGCTTTGATTCCTTTGGTGAAAAAGGGAATGTCTACCCATAAAAACTAGACAGAAGCATTCTCAGAAACTTGTTTGTGATGTGTGTACCCAGCCAAAGGAGTTGAACATTTCTATTGATAGAGCAGTTTTGAAACACTCTTTTTGTGGAAAATGCAGGTGGATATTTGGATAGCTTGGAGGATTTCGTTGGAAGCGGGAATTCAAATAAAAGGTAGACAGCAGCATTCTCAGAAATTTCTTTCTGATGTCTGCATTCAACTCATAGAGTTGAACATTCCCTTTCATAGAGCAGGTTTGAAACACTCTTTCTGGAGTATCTGGATGTGGACATTTGGAGCCCTTTGATGCCTACGGTGAAAAAGTAAATATCTTCCCATAAAAACGAGACAGAAGGATTCTCAGAAACAAGTTTGTGATGTGTGTACTCAGCTAACAGAGTGGAACCTTTCTTTTTACAGAGCAGCTTTGAAACTCTATTTTTGTGGATTCTGCAAATGGATATTTAGATTGCTTTAACGATATCGTTGGAAAAGGGAATATCGTCATACAAAATCTAGACAGAAGCATTCTCACAAACTTCTTTGTGATGTGTGTCCTCAACTAACAGAGTTGAACCTTTCTTTTGATGCAGCAGTTTGGAAACACCCTTTTGGTAGAAACTGTAACTGGATATTTGGATAGCTCTAACGATTTCGTTGGAAACGGGAATATCATCATCTAAAATCTAGACAGGAGCACTATTAGAAACTACTTGGTGATATCTGCATTCAAGTCACAGAGTTGAACATTCCCTTACTTTGAGCACGTTTCAAACACTCTTTTGGAAGAATCTGGAAGTGGACATTTGGAGCGCTTTGATGCCTTTGGTGAAAAGGAAACGTCTTCCAATAAAAGCCAGACAGAAGCATTCTCAGAAACTTGTTTGTGATGTGTGTACTCAACTAAAAGAGTTGAACCTTTCTATTAATAGAGCAGTTTTGAAACACTCTTTTTGTGGATTCTGCAAGTGGATATTTGGATTGCTTTGAGGATTTCGTTGGAAGCGGGAATTCGTATAAAAACTAGACAGCAGCATTCCCAGAAATTTCTTTCGGATATTTCCATTCAACTCATAGAGATGAACATGGCCTTTCATAGAGCAGGTTTGAAACACTCTTTTTGTAGTTTGTGGAAGTGGACATTTCGATCGCCTTGACGCCTACGGTGAAAAAGGAAATATCTTCCCATAAAAAATAGACAGAAGCATTCTCAGAAACTTGTTTGTGATGTGTGTACCCAGCTAAAGGACTTGAACATTTCTATTGATAGAGCAGTTTTGAAACACTCTTTTTGTGGAATCTGCAGGTGGATATTTGGATAGCTTGGAGGATTTCGTTGGAAGCGGGAATTCAAATAAAAGGTAGACAGCAGCATTCTCAGAAATTTCTTTCTGATGTCTGCATTCAACTCATAGAGTTGAAGATTCCCTTTCATAGAGCAGGTTTGAAACACTCTTTCTGGAGTATCTGGATGTGGACATTTGTAGCGCTTTGATGCCTACGGTGAAAAGGTAAATATCTTCCCATAAAAACGAGACAGAAGGATTCTCAGAAACAAGTTTGTGATGTGTGTACTCAGCTAACAGAGTGGAACCTCTCTTTTGACACAGCAGTTTGGAAACACTCTTTTTGTAGAAACTGTAAGTGCACATTTGGATAGCTCTAATGACTTCGTTGGAAACGGGAATATCATCATCTAAAATCTAGACAGAAGCACTCTCAGAAACTACTTTGTGATATCTGCATTCAAGTCACAGAGTTGAACATTCGCTTTCTTACAGCACTTTTGAAACACACTTTTTGTAGTATCTGGAAGTGGACATTTGGAGCGCTTTGATGCCTTTGGTGAAAAAGGAAATGTCTTCCCATAAAAACTAGACAGAAGCATTCTCAGAAACTTGTTTGTGATGTGTGTACCCAGCCAAAGGAGTTGAACATTTCTATTGATAGAGCAGTTTTGAAACACTCTTTTTGTGGAAAATGCAAGTGGATATTTGGATAGCTTGGAGGATTTCGTTGGAAGCGGGAATTCAAATAAAAGGTAGACAGCCAGCATTCTCAGAAATTTCTTTCTGATGTCTGCATTCAACTCATAGAGTTGAAGATTCCCTTTCATAGGAGCAGGTTTGAAACACTCTTTCTGGAGTATCTGGATGTGGACATTTGGAGCGCTTTGATGCCTACGGTGAAAAAGTAAATATCTTCCCAGAAAAACGAGACAGAGGATTCTGAGAAACAAGTTTGTGATGTGTGTACTCAGCTAACAGAGTGGAACCTCTCTTTGGATGCAGCAGTTTGGAAACACACTTTTTGTAGAAACTGTAAGTGGATATTTGGATAGCTCTAATGATTTCGTTGGAAACGGGAATATCATCATCTAAAATCTAGACAGAAGCATTCTCACAAACTTCTTTGTGATGTGTGTCCTCAACTAACAGAGTTGAACCTTTCTTTTGATGCAGCAATTTGGAAACACCCTTTTGGTAGAAACTGTAACTGGATATTTGCTTAGCTCTAACGATTTCGTTGGAAACGGGAATATCATCATCTAAAATGTAGACAGAAGCACTATTAGAAACTACTTGGTGATATCTGCATTCAAGTCACAGAGTTGAACATTCCCTTACTTTGAGCACGTTTGAAACACTCTTTTGGAAGAATCTGGAAGTGGACATTTGGAGCGCTTTGATGCCTTTGGTGAAAAGGAAACGTCTTCCAATAAAAGCCAGACAGAAGCATTCTCAGAAACTTGTTGGTGATGTGTGTACTCAACTAAAAGAGTTGAACCTTTCTATTGATAGAGCAGTTTTGAAACACTCTTTTTGTGGATTCTGCAAGTGGATATTTGGATTGCTTTGAGGATTTCGTTGGAAGCGGGAATTCGTATAAACACTAGACAGCCAGCATTCCCAGGAAATTTCTTTCGGATATTTCCATTCAACTCATAGCAGGATGAACATGGCCTTTCATAGAGCAGGTTTGAAACACTCTTTTTGTAGTTTGTGGAAGTGGACATTTCGATCGCCTTGACGCCTACGCTGAAAAAGGAAATATCTTCCCATAAAAAATAGACAGAGCATTCTCAGAAACTTGTTGGTGATATGTGTCCTCAACTAACAGAGTTGAACTTTGCCATTGATAGAGAGCAGTTTTGAAACACTCTTTTTGTGGAATCTGCAAGTGGATATTTGGATAGCTTGGAGGATTTCGTTGGAAGCGGGAATTCGTATAAAAACTAGACAGCAGCATTCTCAGAAATTTCTTTCTGATGTCTGCATTCAACTCATAGAGTTGAAGATTCCCTTTCATAGAGCAGGTTTGAAACACTCTTTCTGGAGTATCTGGATGTGGACATTTGGAGCGCTTTGATGCCTATGGTGAAAAAGTATAATCTTCCCATAAAAACGAGACAGAAGGATTCTGAGAAACAAGTTTGTGATGTGTGTACTCAGCTAACAGAGTGGAACCTCTCTTTTGATGCAGCAGTTTGGAAACACTCTTTTTGTAGAAACTGTAAGTGGATATTTGGATAGCTCTAATGATTTCGTTGGAAACGGGAATATCATCATCTAAAATCTAGACAGAAGCACTCTCAGAAACTACTGTGTGATATCTGCATTCAAGTCACAGAGTTGAACATTCCCTTTCTTAGAGCACGTTTGAAACACTCTTTTTGTAGTGTCTGGAAGTGGACATTTGGAGCGCTTTGATTCCTTTGGTGAAAAAGGGAATGTCTACCCATAAAAACTAGACAGAAGCATTCTCAGAAACTTGTTGGTGATATGTGTCCTCAACTAACAGAGTTGAACTTTGCCATTGATAGAGAGCAGTTTTGAAACACTCTTTTTGTTGAATCTGCAAGTGGATATTTGGATAGCCTGGAGGATTTCGTTGGAAGCGGGAATTCAAATAAAAGGTAGACAGCAGCATTCTCAGAAATTTCTTTCTGATGTCTGCATTCAACTCATAGAGTTGAAGATTCCCTTTCATAGAGCAGGTTTGAAACACTCTTTCTGGAGTATCTGGATGTGGACATTTGGAGCAGCTTTGATGCCTACAGTGAAAAAGTAAATATCTTCCCATAAAAACCGAGACAGAAGGATTCTCAGAAACAAGTTTGTGATGTGTGTACTCAGCTAACAGAGTGGATCCTTTCTTTTTACAGAGCAGCTTTGAAACTCTATTTCTGTGGATTCTGCAAATTGATATTTGGGTTGATTTAACGATATCGATGGAAAAGGGAATATCTTCATTCAAAATCTAGACAGAAGCATTCTCACAAACTTCTTTGTGATGTGTGTCCTCAACTAACAGTAGTTGAACCTTTCTTTTGATGCAGCAGTTTGGAAACACTCTTTTTGTAGAAACTGTAAGTGGATATTTGGATAGCTCTAACGATTTCGTTGGAAACGGGAATATCATCATCTAAAATCTAGACAGAAGCACTATTAGAAACTACTTGGTGATATCTGCATTCAAGTCACAGAGTTGAACATTCCCTTACATTGAGCACGTTTGCAACACTCTTTTGGAAGAATCTGGAAGTGGACATTTGGAGCGCTTTGATGCCTTTGGTGAAAAGGAAACGTATTCCAATAAAAGCCAGACAGAAGCATTCTCAGAAACTTGTTTGTGAAGTGTGTACTCAACTAAAAGAGTTGAACCTTTCTATTGATAGAGCAGTTTTGAAACACTCTTTTTGTGGATTCTGCAAGTGGATATTTGGATTGCTTTGAGGATTTCGTTGGAAGCGGGAATTCGTATAAAAACTAGACAGCAGCATTCCCAGAAATTTCTTTCGGATATTTCCATTCAACTCATAGAGATGAACATGGCCTTTCATAGAGCAGGTTTGAAACACTCTTTTTGTAGTTTGTGGAAGTGGACATTTCGATCGCCTTGACGCCTACGGTGAAAAAGGAAATATCTTCCCATAAAAAATAGACAGAAAGCATTCTCAGAAACTTGTTTGTGATGTGTGTACCCAGCTAAAGGACTTGAACGTTTCTATTGATAGAGCAGTTTTGAAACACTCTTTTTGTGGAAAATGCAAGTGGATGTTTGGATAGCTTGGAGGATTTCGTTGGAAGCGGGAATTCAAATAAAAGGTAGACAGCAGCATTCTCAGAAATTTCTTTCTGATGTCTGCATTCAACTCATAGAGTTGAACATTCCCTTTCATAGAGCAGGTTTGAAATACTCTTTCTGTAGTATCTGGATGTGGACATTTGGAGCGCTTTGAGGCCTACGATGAAAAAGTAAATATCTTCCCATAAAAACGAGACAGAAGGATTCTGAGAAACAAGTTTGTGATGTGTGTACTCAGCTAACAGAGTGGAACCTCTCTTTTGATGCAGCAGTTTGGAAACACTCTTTTTGTAGAAACTGTAAGTGGATATTTGGATATCTCTAATGATTTCGTTGGAAACGGGAATATCATCATCTAAAATCTAGACAGAAGCCCTCTCAGAAACTACTTTGTGATATCTGCATTCAAGTCACAGAGTTGAACATTCGCTTTCTTAGGGCACGTTGGAAACACTCTTTTTGTAGTGTCTGGAAGTGGACATTTGGAGCGCTTTGATGCCTTTGGTGAAAAAGGGAACGTCTTCCCATAAAAACTAGACAGAAAGCATTCTCAGAAACTTGTTTGTGATGTGTGTACCCAGCCAAAGGAGTTGAACATTTCTATTGATAGAGCAGTTTTGAAACACTCTTTTTGTGGAAAATGCAAGTGGATATTTGGATAGCTTGGAGGATTTCGTTGGAAGCGGGAATTCAAATAAAAGGTAGACAGCAGCATTCTCAGAAATTTCTTTCTGATGTCTGCATTCAACTCATAGAGTTGAAGATTCCCTTTCATAGAGCAGGTTTGAAACACTCGTTCTGGAGTATCCGGATGTGGACATTTGGAGCGCTTTGATGCCTACGGTGGAAAAGTAAATATCTTCCCATAAAAACGAGACAGAAGGATTCTCAGAAACAAGTTTTTGATGTGTGTACTCAGCCAAAAGAGTGGAACCTTTCTTTTTACAGAGCAGCTTTGAAACTGTATTTTTGTGGATTCTGCAAATTTATATTTAGATTGTTTTAACGATATCGTTGGAAAAGGGAATATCGTCATACAAAATCTAGAGAGAAGCATTCTCACAAACTTCTTTCTGATGTGTGTCCTCAACCAACAGAGTTGAACCTTTCTTTTGATGCAGCAGTTTGGAAACACTCTTTTTGTAGAAACTGTAACTGGATATTTGGATAGCTCTAACGATTTCGTTGGAAACGGGAATATCATCATCTAAAATCTAGACAGAAGCACTATTAGAAACTACTTGGTGATATCTGCATTCAAGTCACAGAGTTGAACATTCCCTTACTTTGAGCACGTTTGAAACACTCTTTTGGAAGAATCTGGAAGTGGACATTTGGAGCGAATTGATGCCTTTGGTGAAAAGGAAACGTCTTCCAATAAAAGCCAGACAGAAGCATTCTCAGAAACTTGTTCGTGATGTGTGTACTCAACTAAAAGAGTTGAACCTTTCTATTGATAGAGCAGTTTAGAAACACTCTTTTTGTGGATTCTGCAAGTGGATATTTAGATTGCTTTGAGGATTTCGTTGGAAGCGGGAATTCGTATAAACACTAGACAGCAGCATTCCCAGAAATTTCTTTCGGATATTTCCATTCGACTCATAGAGATGAACATGGCCTTTCATAGAGCAGGTTTGAAACACTCTTTTTGTAGTTTGTGGAAGTGGACATTTCGATCGCCTTGACGCCTACGGTGAAAAAGGAAATATCTTCCCATAAAAAATAGACAGAAGCATTCTCAGAAACTTGTTGGTGATATGTGTCCTCAACTAACAGAGTTGAACTTTGCCATTGATAGAGAGCAGTTTTGAAACACTCTTTTTGTCGAATCTGCAAGTGGATATTTGGATAGCTTGGAGGATTTCGTTGGAAGCGGGAATTCAAATAAAAGGTAGACAGCAGCATTCTCAGAAATTTCTTTGTGATGTTTGCATTCAACTCATAGAGTTGAACATTCCCTTTAATAGAGCAGGTTTGAAACACTCTTTCTGTACTATCTGGATGTGGACATTTGGAGCACTTTGAGGCCTACGGTGAAAAAGGAAATGTCTTCCCATAAAAAATTGAAGAAGGATTCTGAGAAACAAGTTTGTGATGTGTGTACTCAGCTAACAGTGGAACCTCTCTTTTGATGCAGCAGTTTGGAAACACTCTTTTTGTAGAAACTGTAAGTGGATATTTGGATAGCTCTAATGATTTCGTTGGAAACGGGAATATCATCATCTAAAATCTAGACAGAAGCCCTCTCAGAAACTACTTTGTGATATCTGCATTCAAGTCACAGAGTTGAACATTCGCTTTCTTTGAGCACGTTGGAAACACTCTTTTTGTAGTGTCTGGAAGTGGACTTTTGGAGCGCTTTGATGCCTTTGGTGAAAAAGGGAACGTCTTCCCATAAAAACTAGACAGAAGCATTCTCAGAAACTTGTTTGTGATGTGTGTACCCAGCCAAAGGAGTTGAACATTTCTATTGATAGAGCAGTTTTGAAACGCTCTTTTTCTGGAAAATGCAGGTGGATATTTGGATAGCTTGGAGGATTTCGTTGGAAGCGGGAATTCAAATAAAAGGTAGACAGCAGGATTCTCAGAAACAAGTTTGTGATGTGTGTACTCAGCTAACAGAGTGGAACCTTTCTTTTTACAGAGCAGCTTTGAAACTCTATTGTTGTGGATTCTGCAAATTGATATTTAGATTGCTTTAACGATATCGTTGGAAAAGGGAATACCGTCATACAAAATCTAGACAGAAGCATTCTCACAAACTTCTTTGTGACGTGTGTCCTCAACTAACAGAGTTGAACCTTTCTTTTGATGCAGCAGTTTGGAAACACTGTTTTTGTAGCAACTGTAAGTGGATATTTGGATAGCTCTAACGATTTCGTTGGAAACGGGAATATCATCATCTAAAATCTAGACAGAAGCACTATTAGAAACTACTTGGTGATATCTGCATTCAAGTCACAGAGTTGAACATTCCCTTACTTTGAGCACGTTTGAAACACTCTTTTGGAAGAATCTGGAAGTGGACATTTGGAGCGCTTTGATGCCTTTGGTGAAAAGGGAAACGTCTTCCAATAAAAGCCAGACAGAAGCATTCTCAGAAACTTGTTCGTGATGTGTGTACTCAACTAAAAGAGTTGAACCTTTCTATTGATAGAGCAGTTTTGAAACACTCTTTTTGTGGATTCTGCAAGTGGATATTTGGATTGCTTTGAGGATTTCGTTGGAAGCGGGAATTCGTATAAACACTAGACAGCAGCATTCCCAGAAATTTCTTTCGGATATTTCCATTCGACTCATAGAGATGAACATGGCCTTTCATAGAGCAGGTTTGAAACACTCTTTTTGTAGTTTGTGGAAGTGGACATTTCGATCGCCTTGACGCCTACGGTGAAAAAGGAAATATCTTCCCATAAAAAATAGACAGAAGCATTCTCAGAAACTTGTTGGTGATATGTGTCCTCAACTAACAGAGTTGAACTTTGCCATTAATAGAGAGCAGTTTTGAAACACTCTTTTTGTGGAATCTGCAAGTGGATATTTGGATAGCTTGGAGGATTTCGTTGGAAGCGGGAATTCAAATAAAAGGTAGACAGCAGCATTCTCAGAAATTTCTTTCTGATGTCTGCATTCAACTCATAGAGTTGAACATTCCCTTTCATAGAGCAGGTTTGAAACACTCTTTCTGGAGTATCTGGATGTGGACATTTGGAGCGCTTTGATGCCTACGGTGAAAAAGTAAATATCTTCCCATAAAAACGAGACAGAAGGATTCTGAGAAACAAGTTTGTGATGTGTGTACTCAGCTAACAGAGTGGAACCTCTCTTTTGATGCAGCAGTTTGGAAGCACTCTTTTTGTAGAAACTGTAAGTGGATATTTGGAAGCTCTAATGATTTTGTTGGAAACGGGAATATCATCATCTAAAATCTAGACAGAAGCACTCTCAGAAACTACTTTGTGATATCTGCATTCAAGTCACAGAGTTGAACATTCGCTTTCTTAGAGCACGTTTGAAACACTCTTTTTGTAGTGTCTGGAAGTGGACATTTGGAGCGCTTTGATTCCTTTGGTGAAAAAGGGAATGTCTACCCATAAAAACTAGACAGAAGCATTCTCAGAAACTTGTTTGTGATGTGTGTACCCAGCCAAAGGAGTTGAACATTTCTATTGATAGAGCAGTTTTGAAACGCTCTTTTTGTGGAAAATGCAGGTGGATATTTGGATAGCTTGGAGGATTTCGTTGGAAGCGGGAATTCAAATAAAAGGTAGACAGCAGAATTCTCAGAAATTTCTTTCTGATGTCTTCATTCAACTCATAGAGTTGAAGATTCCCTTTCATAGAGCAGGTTTGAAACACTCTTTCTGGAGTATCTGGATGTGGACATTTGGAGCGCTTTGATGCCTACGGTGGAAAAGTAAATATCTTCCCATAAAAACGAGACAGAAGGATTCTCAGAAACAAGTTTGTGATGTGTGTACTCAGCTAACAGAGTGGATCCTTTCTTTTTACAGAGCAGCTTTGAAACTCTATTTCTGTGGATTCTGCAAATTGATATTTGTGTTGATTTAACGATATCGTTGGAAAAGGGAATATCTTCATACAAAATCTAGACAGAAGCTTTCTCAGAAACTTCTTTGTGATGTGTGTCCTCAACTAACAGAGTTGAACCTTTCTTTTGATGCAGCAGTTTGGAAACACTCTTTTTGTAGAAACTGTAAGTGGATATTTGGATAGGTCTAACGATATCGTTGGAAACGGGAATATCTTCATCTAAAGTATACACAGAAGCACTATTAGAAACTACTTGGTGATATCTGCATTCAAGTCACAGAGTTGAACATTCCCTTACTTTGAGCACGTTTCAAACACTCTTTTGGAAGAATCTGGAAGTGGACATTTGGAGCGCTTTGATGCCTTTGGTGAAAAGGAAACGTCTTCCAATAAAAGCCAGACAGAAGCATTCTCAGAAACTTGTTTGTGATGTGTGTACTCAACTAAAAGAGTTGAACCTTTCTATTGATAGCGCAGTTTTGAAACACTCTTTTTGTGGATTCTGCAAGTGGATATTTGGATTGCTTTGAGGATTTCGTTGGAAGCGGGAATTCGTATAAAAATTAGACAGCAGCATTCCCAGAAATTTCTTTCGGATATTTCCATTCAACTCATAGAGATGAACATGGCCTTTCATAGAGCAGGTTTGAAACACTCTTTTTGTAGTTTGTGGAAGTGGACATTTCGATCGCCTTGACACCTACGCTGAAAAAGGAAATATCTTCCCATAAAAAATAGACAGAAGCATTCTCAGAAACTTGTTGGTGATATGTGTCCTCAACTAACAGAGTTGAACTTTGCCATTGATAGAGAGCAGTTTTGAAACACTCTTTTTGTGGAATCTGCAAGTGGATATTTGGATAGCTTGGAGGATTTCGTTGGAAGCGGGAATTCAAATAAAAGGTAGACAGCAGCATTCTCAGAAATTTCTTTCTGATGTCTGCATTCAACTCATAGATTTGAAGATTCCCTTTCATAGAGCAGGTTTGAAACACTCTTTCTGGAGTATCTGGATGTGGACATTTGGAGCGCTTTGATGCCTACGGTGAGAAAGTAAATATCTTCCCATAAAAACGAGACAGAAGGATTCTGAGAAACAAGTTTGTGATGTGTGTACTCAGCTAACAGAGTGGAACCTCTGTTTTGATGCAGCAGTTTGGAAACACTCTTTTTGTAGAAACTGTAAGTGGATATTTGGATAGCTCTAATGATTTCGTTGGAAACGGGAATATCATCATCTAAAATCTAGACAGAAGCACTCTCAGAAACTACTTTGTGATATCTGCATTCAAGTCACAGAGTTGAACATTCGCTTTCTTAGAGCACGTTTGAAACACTCTTTTTGTAGTGTCTGGAAGTGGACATTTGGAGCGCTTTGATTCCTTTGGTGAAAAAGGGAATGTCTACCCATAAAAACTAGACAGAAGCATTCTCAGAAACTTGTTTGTGATGTGTGTACCCAGCCAAAGGAGTTGAACATTTCTATTGATAGAGCAGTTTTGAAACACTCTTTTTGTGGAAAATGCAGGTGGATATATGGATAGCTTGGAGGATTTCGTTGGAAGCGGGAATTCAAATAAAAGGTAGACAGCAGCATTCTCAGAAATTTCTTTCTGATGTCTGCATTCAACTCATAGAGTTGAAGATTCCCTTTCATAGAGCAGGTTTGAAACACTCTTTCTGGAGTATCTGGATGTGTACATTTGGAGCGCTTTGATGCCTACGGTGAAAAAGTAAATATCTTCCCATAAAAACGAGACAGAAGGATTCTGAGAAACAAGTTTGTGATGTGTGTACTCAGCTAACAGAGTGGAACCTTTCTTTTTACAGAGCAGCTTTGAAACTCTATTTTTGTGGATTCTGCAAATGGATATTTAGATTGCTTTAATGATATCGCTGGAAAAGGGAATATGGTCATACAAAATCTAGACAGAAGCATTCTCACAAACTTCTTTGTGATGTGTGTCCTCAACTAACAGAGTTGAACCTTTCTTTTGATGCAGCAGTTTGGAAACACTCTTTTTGTAGAAACTGTAAGTGGATATTTGGATAGCTCTAACAATTTCGTTGGAAACGGGAATATCATCATCTAAAATCTAGACAGAAGCACTATTAGAAACTACTTGGTGATATCTGCATTCAAGTCACAGAGTTGAACATTCCCTTACTTTGAGCACGTTTCAAACACTCTTTTGGAAGAATCTGGAAGTGGACATTTGGAGCGCTTTGATGCCTTTGGTGAAAAGGAAACGTCTTCCAATAAAAGCCAGACAGAAGCATTCTCAGAAACTTGTTCTTGATGTGTATACTCAACTAAAAGAGTTGAACCTTTCTATTGATAGAGCAGTTTTGAAACACTCTTTTTGTGGATTCTGCAAGTGGATATTTGGATTGCTTTGAGGATTTCGTTGGAAGCGGGAATTCGTATAACAACTAGACAGCAACATTCCCAGAAATTTCTTTCGGATATTTCCATTCAACTCATAGAGATGAACATGGCCTTTCATAGAGCAGGTTTGAAACACTCTTTTTGTAGTTTGTGGAAGTGGACATTTCGATCGCCTTGACGCCTACGGTGAAAAAGGAAATATCTTCCCATAAAAAATAGACAGAAGAATTCTCAGAAACTTGTTTGTGATGTGTATCCTCAACTGACAGAGTTGAACCTTGCCATTGATAGAGCAGTTTAGAAACACTCTTTTTGTGGAATCTGCAAGTGGATATTTGGATAGCCTGGAGGATTTCGTTGGAAGCGGGAATTCAAATGAAAGGTAGACAGCAGCATTCTCAGAAATTTCTTTGTGACGTTTGCATTCAACTCATAGAGTTGAACATTCCCTTTCATAGAGCAGGTTTGAAACGCTCTTTCTGTACTATCTGGATGTGGACATTTGGAACGCTTTGATGCCTACGGTGAAAAAGAAAATATCTTCCCATAAAAGCTAGACAGAAGGATTCTGAGAAACAAGTTTGTGATGTGTGTACTCAGCTAACAGAGTGGAACCTCTCTTTTGATGCAGCAGTTTGGAAACACTCTTTTTGTAGAAACTGTAAGTGGATATTTGGATAGCTCTAATGATTTCTTTGGAAACGGGGAATATCATCATCTAAAATCTAGACAGAAGCACTATTAGAAACTACTTTGTGATATCTGCATTCAAGTCACAGAGTTGAACATTCGCTTTCTTAGAGCACGTTGGAAACACTCTTTTTGTAGTGTCTGGAAGTGGACATTTGGAGCGCTTTGATGCCTTTGGTGAAAAAGGGAATGTATTCCCATAAAAACTAGACAGAAGCATTCTCAGAAACTTGTTTGTGATGTGTGTACCCAGCTAAAGGAGTTGAACATTTCTATTGATAGAGCAGTTTTGAAACACTCTTTTTGTGGAAAATGCAAGTTGATATTTGGATAGCTTGGAGGATTTCGTTGGAAGCGGGAATTCAAATAAAAGGTAGACAGCAGCATTCTCAGAAATTTCTTTCTGATGTCTGCATTCAACTCATAGAGTTGAAGATTCCCTTTCATAGAGCAGGTTTGAAACACTCGTTCTGGAGTATCTGGATGTGGACATTTGGAGCGCTTTGATGCCTACCGTGGAAAAGTAAATATCTTCCCATAAAAACGAGACAGAAGGATTCTCAGAAACAAGTTTGTGATGTGTGTACTCAGCTAGCAGAGTGGAACCTTTCTTTTTACAGAGCAGCTTTGAAACTCTATTGTTGTGGATTCTGCAAATTGATATTTAGATTGCTTTAACGATATCGTTGGAAAAGGGAATACCGTCATACAAAATCTAGACAGAAGCATTCTCACAAACTTCTTTGTGACGTGTGTCCTCAACTAACAGAGTTGAACCTTTCTTTTGATGCAGCAGTTTGGAAACACTGTTTTTGTAGCAACTGTAAGTGGATATTTGGATAGCTCTAACGATTTCGTTGGAAACCGGGAATATCATCATCTAAAATCTAGACAGAAGCACTATTAGAAACTACTTGGTGATATCTGCATTCAAGTCACAGAGTTGAACATTCCCTTACTTTGAGCACGTTTCAAACACTCTTTTGGAAGAATCTGGAAGTGGACATTTGGAGCGCTTTGATGCCTTTGGTGAAAAGGAAACGTCTTCCAATAAAAGCCAGACAGAAACATTCTCAGAAACTTGTTTGTGATGTGTGTACTCAACTAAAAGAGTTGAACCTTTCTATTGATAGAGCAGTTTTGAAACACTCTTTTTGTGGATTCTGCAAGTGGATATTTGGATTGCTTTGAGGATTTCGTTGGAAGCGGGAATTCATATAAAAACTAGACAGCAGCATTCCCAGAAATTTCTTTCGGATATTTCCATTCAACTCATAGAGATGAACATCGCCTTTCATAGAGCAGGTTTGAAACACTCTTTTTGTAGTTTGTGGAAGTGGACATTTCGATCGCCTTGACGCCTACGGTGAAAAAGGAAATATCTTCCCATAAAAAATAGACAGAAGCATTCTCAGAAACTTGTTGGTGATATGTGTCCTCAACTAACAGAGTTGAACTTTGCCATTGATAGAGAGCAGTTTTGAAACACTCTTTTTGTGGAATCTGCAAGTGGATATTTGGATAGCTTGGAGGATTTCGTTGGAAGCGGGAATTCAAATAAAAGGTAGACAGCAGCATTCTCAGAAATTTCTTTCTGATCTCTGCATTCAACTCATAGAGTTGAAGATTCCGTTTCATAGGGCAGGTTTGAAATACTCTTTCTGTAGTATCTGGATGTGGACATTTGGAGCGCTTTGATGCCTACGGTGAAAAAGTAAATATCTTCCCATAAAAACGAGACAGAAGGATTCTCAGAAACAAGTTTGTGATGTGTGTACTCAGCTAACAGAGTGGAACCTCTCTTTTGATGCAGCAGTTTGGAAACACTCTTTTTGTAGAAAGTGTAAGTGGATATTTGGATAGCTCTAATGATTTCGTTGGAAACGGGAATATCATCATCTAAAATCTAGACAGAAGCACTCTCAGAAACTACTGTGTGATATCTGCATTCAAGTCACAGAGTTGAACATTCGCTTTCTTAGAGCACGTTTGAAACACTCTTTTTGTAGTGTCTGGAAGTGGACATTTGGAGCGCTTTGATTCCTTTGGTGAAAAAGGGAATGTCTACCCATAAAAACTAGACAGAAGCATTCTCAGGAAACTTGTTTGTGATGTGTGTACCCAGCCAAAGGAGTTGAACATTTCTATTGATAGAGCAGTTTTGAAACGCTCTTTTTGTGGAAAATGCAGGTGGATATTTGGATAGCTTGGAGGATTTCGTTGGAAGCGGGAATTCAAATAAAAGGTAGACAGCAGCATTCTCAGAAATTTCTTTCTGATGTCTGCATTCAACTCATAGAGTTGAAGATTCCCTTTCATAGAGCAGGTTTGAAACACTCGTTCTGGAGTATCTGGATGTGGACATTTGGAGCGCTTTGATGCCTACGGTGGAAAAGTAAATATCTTCCCATAAAAACGAGACAGAAGGATTCTCAGAAACAAGTTTGTGATGTGTGTACTCAGCTAACAGAGTGGAACCTTTCTTTTTACAGAGCAGTTTTGAAACTCTATTTTTGTGGATTCTGCAAATTGATATTTAGATTGCTTTAACGATATCGTTGTAAAAGGGAATATCGTCATACAAAATCTAGACAGAAGCATTCTCACAAACTTCTTTGTGATGTGTGTCCTCAACTAACAGAGTTGAACCTTTCTTTTGATGCAGCAGTTTGGAAACACTCTTTTTGTAGAAACTGTAAGTGGATATTTGGATAGCTGTAACGATTTCGTTGGAAACGGGAATATCATCATCTAAAATCTAGACAGAAGCACTATTAGAAACTACTTGGTGATATCTGCATTCAAGTCACAGAGTTGAACATTCCCTTACTTTGAGCACGTTTGAAACACTCTTTTGGAAGAATCTGGAAGTGGACATTTGGAGCGCTTTGATGCCTTTGGTGAAAAGGGAAACGTCTTCCAATAAAAGCCAGACAGGAAGCATTCTCAGAAACTTGTTCGTGATGTGTGTACTCAACTAAAAGAGTTGAACCTTTCTATTGATAGCGCAGTTTTGAAACACTCTTTTTGTGGATTCTGCAAGTGGATATTTGGATTGCTTTGAGGATTTCGTTGCAAGCGGGAATTCATATAAAAACTAGACAGCAGCATTCCCAGAAATTTCTTTCGGATATTTCCATTCAACTCATAGAGATGAACATGGCCTTTCATAGAGCAGGTTTGAAACACTCTTTTTGTTGTTTGTGGAAGTGGACATTTCGATCGCTTTGACGCATACGGTGAAAAAGGAAATATCTTCCCATAAAAATTAGACAGAAGCATTCTCAGAAACTTGTTGGTGATATGTGTCCTCAACTAACAGAGTTGAACTTTGCCATTGATAGAGAGCAGTTTTGAAACACTCTTTTTGTGGAATCTGCAAGTGGATATTTGGATAGCTTGGAGGATTTCGTTGGAAGCGGGAATTCAAATAAAAGGTAGACAGCAGCATTCTCAGAAATTTCTTTCTGATGTCTGCATTCAACTCATAGAGTTGAAGATTCCCTTTCATAGAGCAGGTTTGAAACACTCTTTCTGGAGTATCTGGATGTGGACATTTGGAGCGCTTTGATGCCTACGGTGAAAAAGCAAATATCTTCCCATAAAAACGAGACAGAAGGATTCTGAAAAACAAGTTTGTGATGTGTGTACTCAGCTAACAGAGTGGAACCTCTCTTTTGATGCAGCAGTTTGGAAACACTCTTTTTGTAGAAACTGTAAGTGGATATTTGGATAGCTCTAATGATTTCGTTGGAAACGGGAATATCATCATCTAAAATCTAGACAGAAGCACTCTCAGAAACTACTGTGTGATATCTGCATTCAAGTCACAGAGTTGAACATTCGCTTTCTTAGAGCACGTTTGAAACACTCTTTTTGTAGTGTCTGGAAGTGGACATTTGGAGCGCTTTGATTCCTTTGGTGAAAAAGGGAATGTCTACCCATAAAAACTACACAGAAGCATTCTCAGAAACTTGTTTGTGATGTGTGTACCCAGCCAAAGGAGTTGAACATTTCTATTGATAGAGCAGTTTTGAAACACTCTTTTTGTGGAAAATGCAGGTGGATATTTGGATAGCTTGGAGGATTTCGTTGGAAGCGGGAATTCAAATAAAAGGTTGACAGCAGCATTCTCAGAAATTTCTTTCTGATGTCTGCATTCAACTCATAGAGTTGAAGATTCCCTTTCATAGAGCAGGTTTGAAACACTCGTTCTGGAGTATCTGGATGTGGACATTTGGAGCGCTTTGATGCCTACGGTGGAAAAGTAAATATCTTCCCATAAAAACGAGACAGAAGGATTCTCAGAAACAAGTTTGTGATGTGTGTACTCAGCTAACAGAGTGGAACCTTTCTTTTTACAGAGCAGCTTTGAAACTCTATTGTTGTGGATTCTGCAAATTGATATTTAGATTGCTTTAACGATATCGTTGGAAAAGGGAATATCGTCATACAAAATCTAGACAGAAGCATTCTCACAAACTTCTTTGTGATGTGTGTCCTCAACTAACAGAGTTGAACCTTTCTTTTGATGCAGCAGTTTGGAAACACCCTTTTGGTAGAAACTGTAAGTGGATATTTGGATAGCTCTAACGAATTCGTTGGAAACGGGAATATCATCATCTAAAATCTAGACAGAAGCACTATTAGAAACTACTTGGTGATATCTGCATTCAAGTCACAGAGTTGAACATTCCCTTACTTTGAGCACGTTTGAAACACTCTTTTGGAAGAATCTGGAAGTGGACATTTGGAGCGTTTTGATGCCTTTGGTGAAAAGGAAACGTCTTCCAATAAAAGCCAGACAGAAGCATTCTCAGAAACTTGTTTGTGATGTGTGTACTCAACTAAAAGAGTTGAACCTTTCTATTGATAGAGCAGTTTTGAAACACTCTTTTTGTGGATTCTGCAAGTGGATATTTGGATTGCTTTGAGGATTTCGTTGGAAGCGGGAATTCGTATAACAACTACACAGCAGCATTCCCAGAAATTTCTTTCGGATATTTCCATTCAACTCATAGAGATGAACATGGCCTTTCATAGAGCAGGTTTGAAACACTCTTTTTGTAGTTTGTGGAAGTGGACATTTCGATCGCCTTGATGCCTACGGTGAAAAAGGAAATATCTTCCCATAAAAAATAGACAGAAGCATTCTCAGAAACTTGTTGGTGATATGTGTCCTCAACTAACAGAGTTGAACTTTGTCATTGATAGAGAGCAGTTTTGAAACACTCTTTTTGTGGAATCTGCAAGTGGATATTTGGATAGCTTGGAGGATTTCGTTGGAAGCGGGAATTCAAATAAAAGGTAGACAGCAGCATTCTCAGAAATTTCTTTCTGATGTCTGCATTCAACTCATAGAGTTGAAGATTCCCTTTCATAGAGCAGGTTTGAAACACTCTTTCTGTAGTATCTGGATGTGGACATTTGGAGCGCATTGATGCCTACGGTGAAAAAGTATAATCTTCCCATAAAAACGAGACAGAAGGATTCTGAGAAACAAGTTTGTGATGTGTGTACTCAGCTAACAGAGTGGAACCTCTCTTTTGATGCAGCAGTTTGGAAACACTCTTTTTGTAGAAACTGTAAGTGGATATTTGGATAGCTCTAATGATTTCGTTGGAAACGGGAATATCATCATCTAAAATCTAGACAGAAGCCCTCTCAGAAACTACTTTGTGATATCTGCATTCAAGTCACAGAGTCGAACATTCGGTTTCTTAGAGCACGTTGGAAACACTCTTTTTGTAGTGTCTGGAAGTGGACATTTGGAGCGCTTTGATGCCTTTGGTGAAAAAGGGAATGTCTTCCCATAAAAACTAGACAGAAGCATTCTCAGAAACTTGTTTGTGATGTGTGCACCCAGCTAAAGGAGTTGAACATTTATTGATAGAGCAGTTTTGAAGCACTCTTTTTGTGGAAAATGCAAGTGGATATTTGGATAGCTTGGAGGATTTCGTTGGAAGCGGGAGTTCAAATAAAAGGTAGACAGCAGCATTCTCAGAAATTTCTTTCTGATTCTGCATTCAACTCATAGAGTTGAAGATTCCCTTTCATAGAGCAGGTTTGAAACACTCGTTCTGGAGTATCTGGATGTGGACATTTGGAGCGCTTTGATGCCTACAGTGGAAAAGTAAATATCTTCCCATAAAAACGAGACAGAAGGTTTCTCAGAAACAAGTTTGTGATGTGTGTACTCAGCTAACAGAGTGGAACCTTTCTTTTTACAGAGCAACTTTGAAACTCTATTTTTGTGGATTCTGCAAATTGATATTTAGATTGCTTTAACGATATCGTTGGAAAAGGGAATATCGTCATACAAAATCTAGACAGAAGCATTCTCACAAACTTCTTTGTGATGTGTGTCCTCAACTAACAGAGTTGAACCTTTCTTTTGATGCAGCAATTTGGAAACACCCTTTTGGTAGAAACTGTAACTGGATATTTGGATAGCTCTAACGATTTCGTTGGAAACGGGAATATCATCACCTAAAATCTAGACAGAAGCACTATTAGAAACTACTTGGTGATATCTGCATTCAAGTCACAGAGTAGAACATTCCCTTACTTCGACCACGTTTGAAACACTCTTTTGGAAGAATCTGGAAGTGGACATTTGGAGCGCTTTGATGCCTTTGGTGAAAAAGGGAATGTCTTCCCATAAAAACTAGACAGAAGCATTCTCAGAAACTTGTTCGTGATGTGTGTACTCAACTAAAAGAGTTGAACCTTTCTATTGATAGAGCAGTTTTGAAACACTCTTTTTGTGGATTCTGCAAGTGGATATTTGAATTGCTTTGAGGATTTCGTTGGAAGCGGGAATTCGTATAAGCACTAGACAGCAGCATTCCCAGAAATTTCTTTCGGATATTTCCATTCAACTCATAGAGATGAACATGGCCTTTCATAGAGCAGGTTTGAAACACTCTTTTTGTAGTTTGTGGAAGTGGACATTTCGATCGCCTTGACGCCTACGGTGAAAAAGGAAATATCTTCCCATAAACAATAGACAGAAGCATTCTCAGAAACTTGTTGGTGATATGTGTCCTCAACTAACAGAGTTGAACTTTGCCATTGATAGAGAGCAGTTTTGAAACACTCTTTTTGTGGAATCTGCAAGTGGATATTTGGATAGCTTGGAGGATTTCGTTGGAAGCGGGAATTCAAATAAAAGGTAGACAGCAGCATTCTCAGAAATTTCTTTCTGATGTCTGCATTCAACTCATAGAGTTGAAGATTCCCTTTCATAGAGCTGGTTTGAAACACTCTTTCTGGAGTATCTGGATGTGGACATTTGGAGCGCTTTGATGCCTACGGTGAAAAAGTAAATATCTTCCCATAAAAACGAGACAGAAGCATTCTCACAAACTTCTTTGTGATGTGTGTCCTAAACTAACAGAGTTGAACCTTTCTTTTGATGCAGCAGTTTGGAAACACTCTTTTTGTAGAAACTGTAAGTGGATATTTGGATAGCTCTAATGATTTCGTTGGAAATGGGAATATCATCATCTAAAATCTAGACAGAAGCCCTCTCAGAAACTACTTTGTGATATCTGCATTCAAGTCACAGAGTTGAACATTCGCTTTCTTAGAGCACGTTTGAAACACTCTTTTTGTAGTGTCTGGAAGTGGACATTTGGAGCGCTTTGATGCCTTTGGTGAAAAAGGGAATGTCTTCCCATAAAAACTAGACAGAAGCATTCTCAGAAACTTGTTTGTGATGTGTGTACCCAGCCAAAGGAGTTAAACATTTCTATTGATAGAGCAGTTTTGAAACACTCTTTTTGTGGAAAATGCAGGTGGATATTTGGATAGCTTGGAGGATTTCGTTGGAAGCGGGAATTCAAATAAAAGGTAGACAGCAGCATTCTCAGAAATTTCTTTCTGATGTCTGCATTCAACTCATAGAGTTGAAGATTCCCTTTCATAGAGCAGGTTTGAAACACTCGTTCTGGAGTATCTGGATGTGGACATTTGGAGCGCTTTGATGCCTACGGTGGAAAAGTAAATATCTTCCCATAAAAACGAGACAGAAGGATTCTCAGAAACAAGTTTGTGATGTGTGTACTCAGCTAACAGAGTGGAACCTTTCTTTTTACAGAGCAGCTTTGAAACTCTATTTTTGTGGAATCTGCAAATTGATATTTAGATTGCTTTAACGATATCGTTGGAAAAGGGAATATCGTCATACAAAATCTAGACAGAAGCATTCTCACAAACTTCTTTGTGATGTGTGTCCTCAACTAACAGAGTTGAACCTTTCTTTTGATGCAGCAGTTTGGAAACACTCTTTTTGTAGAAACTGTAAGTGGATATTTGGATAGCTCTAACGATTTCGTTGGAAACGGGAATATCATCATCTAAAATCTAGACAGAAGCACTATTAGAAACTACTTAGTGATATCTGCATTCAAGTCACAGAGTTGAACATTCCCTTACTTTGAGCACGTTTCAAACACTCTTTTGGAAGAATCTGGAAGTGGACATTTGGAGCGCTTTGATGCCTTTGGTGAAAAGGAAACGTCTTCCAATAAAAGCCAGACAGAAGCATTCTCAGAAACTTGTTTGTGATGTGTGTACTCAACTAAAAGAGTTGAACCTTTCTATTGATAGAGCAGTTTTGAAACACTCTTTTTGTGGATTCTGCAAGTGGATATTTGGATTGCTTTGAGGATTTCGTTGGAAGCGGGAATTCGTATAAAAACTAGACAGCAGCATTCCCAGAAATTTCTTTCGGATATTTCCATTCAACTCATAGAGATGAACATGGCCTTTCATAGAGCAGTTTTGAATCACTCTTTTTGTAGTTTGTGGAAGTGGACATTTCGATCGCCTTGACGCATACGGTGAAAAAGGAAATATCTTCCCATAAAAAATAGACAGAAACATTCTCAGAAACTTGTTGGTGATATGTGTCCTCAACTAACAGAGTTGAACTTTGCCATTGATAGAGAGCAGTTTTGAAACACTCTTTTTGTGGAATCTGCAAGTGGATATTTGGATAGCTTGGAGGATTTCGTTGGAAGCGGGAATTCAAATAAAAGGTAGACAGCAGCATTCTCAGAAATTTCTTTCTGATGTCTGCATTCAACTCATAGAGTTGAAGATTCCCTTTCATAGAGCAAGTTTGAAACACTCTTTCTGGAGTATCTGGATATGGACATTTGGAGCGCTTTGATGCCTACGGTGAAAAAGTAAATATCTTCCCATAAAAACGAGACAGAAGGATTCTGAGAAACAAGTTTGTGATGTGTGTACTCAGCTAACAGAGTGGAACCTCTCTTTTGATGCAGCAGTTTGGAAACACTCTTTTTGTAGAAACTGTAAGTGGATATTTGGATAGCTCTAATGATTTCGTTGGAAACGGGAATATCATCAACTAAAATCTAGACAGAAGCCCTCTCAGAAACCACTTTGTGATATCTGCATTCAAGTCACAGAGTTGAACATTCGCTTTCTTAGAGCACGTTTGAAACACTCTTTTTGTAGTGTCTGGAAGTGGACATTTGGAGCGCTTTGATGCCTTTGGTGAAAAAGGGAACGTCTTCCCATAAAAACTAGACAGAAGCATTCTCAGAAACTTGTTTGTGATGTGTGTACCCAGCCAAAGGAGTTGAACATTTCTATTGATAGAGCAGTTTTGAAACACTCTTGTTGTGGAAAATGCAGGTGGATATTTGGATAGCTTGGAGGATTTCGTTGGAAGCGGGAATTCAAATAAAAGGTAGACAGCAGCATTCTCAGAAATTTCTTTCTGATGTCTGCATTCAACTCATAGAGTTGAAGATTCCCTTTCATAGAGCAGGTTTGAAACACTCTTTCTGGAGTATCTGGATGTGGACATTTGGAGCGCTTTGATGCCTACGGTGAAAAAGTAAATATCTTCCCATAAAAACGAGACAGAAGGATTCTCAGAAACAAGTTTGTGATGTGTGTACTCAGCTAACAGAGTGGAACCTTTCTTTTTACAGAGCAGCTTTGAAACTCTATTTTTGTGGATTCTGCAAATTGATATTTAGATTGCTTTAAGGATATCGTTGGAAAAGGGAATATCGTCATACAAAATCTAGACAGAAGCATTCTCACAAACTTCTTTGTGATGTGTGTCCTCAACTAACAGAGTTGAACCTTTCTTTTGATGCAGCAGTTTGGAAACACTCTTTTTGTAGAAACTGTAAGTGGATATTTGGATAGCTCTAACGATTTCGTTGGAAACGGGAATATCATCATCTAAAATCTAGACAGAAGCACTATTAGAAACTACTTGGTGATATCTGCATTCAAGTCACAGAGTTGAACATTCCCTTACTTCGACCACGTTTGAAACACTCTTTTGGAAGAATCTGGAAGTGGACACTTGGAGCGCTTTGATGCCTTTGGTGAAAAGGAAACGTCTTCCAATAAAAGCCAGACAGAAGCATTCTCAGAAACTTGTTTGTGATGTGTGTACTCAACTAAAAGAGTTGAACCTTTCTATTGATAGTGCAGTTTTGAAACACTCTTTTTGTGAATTCTGCAAGTGGATATTTGGATTGCTTTGAGGATTTCGTTGGAAGCGGGAATTCGTATAAACACTAGACAGCAGCATTCCCAGAAATTTCTTTCGGATATTTCCATTCGACTCATAGAGATGAACATGGCCTTTCATAGAGCAGGTTTGAAACACTCTTTTTGTAGTTTGTGGAAGTGGACATTTCGATCGCCTTGACGCCTACGGTGAAAAAGGAAATATCTTCCCATAAAAAATAGACAGAAGCATTCTCAGAAACTTGTTGGTGATATGTGTCCTCAACTAACAGAGTTGAACTTTGCCATTGATAGAGAGCAGTTTTGAAACACTCTTTTTGTGGAATCTGCAAGTGGATATTTGGATAGCTTGGAGGATTTCGTTGGAAGCGGGAATTCAAATAAAAGGTAGACAGCAGGATTCTGAGAAACAAGTTTGTGATGTGTGTACTCAGCTAACAGAGTGGAACCTCTCTTTTGATGCAGTAGTTTGGAAACACTCTTTTTGTAGAAACTGGAAGTGGATATTTGGATAGCTCTAATGATTTCGTTGGAAACGGGAATATCATCATCTAAAATCTAGACAGAAGCACTCTCAGAAACTACTGTGTGATATCTGCATTCAAGTCACAGAGTTGAACATTCGCTTTCTTAGAGCACGTTTGAAACACTCTTTTTGTAGTGTCTGGATGTGGACATTTGGAGCGCTTTGATTCCTTTGGTGAAAAAGGGAATGTCTACCCATAAAAACTAGACAGAAGCATTCTCAGAAACTTGTTTGTGATGTGTGTACCCAGCCAAAGGAGTTGAACATTTCTATTGATAGAGCAGTTTTGAAACACTCTTGTTGTGGAAAATGCAGGTGGATATTTGGATAGCTTGGAGGATTTCGTTGGAAGCGGGAATTCAAATGAAAGGTAGACAGCAGGATTCTGAGAGACAAGTTTGTGATGTGTGTACTCAGCTAACAGAGTGGAACCTTTCTTTTTACAGAGCAGCTTTGAAACTCTATTTTTGTGGATTCTGCAAATGGATATTTAGATTGCTTTAACGATATCGTTGGAAAAGGGAATATCGTCATACAAAATCTGGACAGAAGCATTCTCACAAACTTCTTTGTGACGTGTGTCCTCAACTAACAGAGTTGAACCTTTCTTTTGATGCAGCAGTTTGGAAACACTGTTTTTGTAGCAACTGTAAGTGGATATTTGGATAGCTCTAACGATTTCGTTGGAAACGGGAATATCATCATCTAAAATCTAGACAGAAGCACTATTAGAAACTTCTTGGTGATATCTGCATTCAAGTCACAGAGTAGAACATTCCCTTACTTCGAGCACGTTTGAAACACTCTTTTGGAAGAATCTGGAAGTGGACATTTGGAGCGCTTTGATGCCTTTGGTGAAAAGGAAACGTCTTCCAATAAAAGCCAGACAGAAGCATTCTCAGAAACTTGTTTGTGATGTGTGTACTCAACTAAAAGAGTTGAACCTTTCTATTGATAGAGCAGTTTTGAAACCCTCTTTTTGTGGATTCTGCAAGTGGATATTTGGATTGCTTTGAGGATTTCGTTGGAAGCGGGAATTCGTATAAACACTAGACAGCAGCATTCCCAGAAATTTCTTTCGGATCTTTCCATTCAACTCATAGAGATGAACATGGCCTTTCATATTGAAACACTCTTTTTGTAGTTTGTGGAAGTGGACATTTCGATCGCCTTGACGCCTACGGTGAAAAAGGAAATATCTTCCCATAAAAAATAGACAGAAGCATTCTCAGAAACTTGTTGGTGATATGTGTCCTCAACTAACAGAGTTGAACTTTGCCATTGATAGAGAGCAGTTTTGAAACACTCTTTTTGTGGAATCTGCAAGTGGATATTTGGATAGCTTGGAGGATTTCGTTGGAAGCGGGAATTCAAATAAAAGGTAGACAGCAGCATTCTCAGAAATTTCTTTCTGATGTCTGCATTCAACTCATAGAGTTGAAGATTCCCTTTCATAGAGCAGGTTTGAAACACTCTTTCTGGAGTATCTGGATGTGGACATTTGGAGCGCTTTGATGCCTACGGTGAAAAAGTAAATATCTTACCCAGAAAAACGAGACAGAAGGATTCTGAGAAACAAGTTTGTGATGTGTGTACTCAGCTAACAGAGTGGAACCTCTCTTTTGATGCAGCAGTTTGGAAACACTCTTTTTGTAGAAACTGTAAGTGGATATTTGGATAGCTCTAATGATTTCGTTGGAAAAGGGAATATCATCATCTAAAATCTAGACAGAAGCCCTCTCAGAAACTACTTTGTGATATCTGCATTCAAGTCACAGAGTTGAACATTCGCTTTCTTAGGGCACGTTGGAAACACTCTTTTTGTAGTGTCTGGAAGTGGACATTTGGAGTGCTTTGATGCCTTTGGTGAAAAAGGGAATGTCTTCCCATAAAAACTAGACAGAAGCATTCTCAGAAACTTGTTTGTGATGTGTGTACCCAGCTAAAGGAGTTGAACATTTCTATTGATAGAGCAGTTTTGAAACACTCTTTTTGTGGAAAATGCAAGTGGATATTTGGATAGCTTGGAGGATTTCGTTGGAAGCGGGAATTCAAATAAAAGTAGACAGCAGCATTCTCAGAAATTTCTTTCTGATGTCTGCATTCAACTCATAGAGTTGAAGATTCCCTTTCATAGAGCAGGTTTGAAACACTCGTTCTGGAGTATCTGGATGTGGACATTTGGAGCGCTTTGATGCCTACGGTGGAAAAGTAAATATCTTCCCATAAAAACGAGACAGAAGGATTCTGAGAAACAAGTTTGTGATGTGTGTACTCAGCTAACAGAGTGGAACCTTTCTTTTTACAGAGCAGCTTTGAAACTCTATTTTTGTGGATTCTGCAAATGGATATTTAGATTCCTTTAACGATATCGTTGGAAAAGGGAATATCGTCATACAAAATCTAGACAGAAGCATTCTCACAAACTTCTTTGTGACGTGTGTCCTCAACTAACAGAGTTGAACCTTTCTTTTGATGCAGCAGTTTGGAAACACTGTTTTTGTAGCAACTGTAAGTGGATATTTGGATAGCTCTAACGATTTCGTTGGAAACGGGAATATCATCATCTAAAATCTAGACAGAAGCACTATTAGAAACTACTTGGTGATATCTGCATTCAAGTCACAGAGTAGAACATTCCCTTACTTCGAGCACGTTTGAAACACTCTTTTGGAAGAATCTGGAAGTGGACATTTGGAGCGCTTTGATGCCTTTGGTGAAAAGGAAACGTCTTCCAATAAAAGCCAGACAGAAGCATTCTCAGAAACTTGTTTGTGATGTGTGTACTCAACTAAAGAGTTGAACCTTTCTATTGATAGAGCAGTTTTGAAACCCTCTTTTTGTGGATTCTGCAAGTGGATATTTGGATTGCTTTGAGGATTTCGTTGGAAGCGGGAATTCGTATAAACACTAGACAGCAGCATTCCCAGAAATTTCTTTCGGATATTTCCATTCGACTCATAGAGATGAACATGGCCTTTCATAGAGCAGGTTTGAAACACTCTTTTTGTAGTTTGTGGAAGTGGACATTTCGATCGCCTTGACGCCTACGGTGAAAAAGGAAATATCTTCCCATAAAAAATAGACAGAAGCATTCTCAGAAACTTGTTGGTGATATGTGTCCTCAACTAACAGAGTTGAACTTTGCCATTGATAGAGAGCAGTTTTGAAACACTCTTTTTGTGGAATCTGCAAGTGGATATTTGGATAGCTTGGAGGATTTCATTGGAAGCGGGAATTCAAATAAAAGGTAGACAGCAGCATTCTCAGAAATTTCTTTCTGATGTCTGCATTCAACTCATAGAGTTGAAGATTCCCTTTCATAGAGCAGGTTTGAAACACTCTTTCTGGAGTATCTGGATGTGGACATTTGGAGCGCTTTGATGCCTACGGTGAAAAAGTAAATATCTTCCCATAAAAACGATACAGAAGGATTCTAAGAAACAAGTTTGTGATGTGTGTACTCAGCTAACAGAGTGGAACCTCTCTTTTGATGCAGCAGTTTGGAAACACTCTTTTTGTAGAAACTGTATGTGGATATTTGGATAGCTCTAATGATTTCGTTGGAAACGGGAATATCATCATCTAAAATCTAGACAGAAGCCCTCTCAGAAACTACTTTGTGATATCTGCATTCAAGTCACAGGGTTGAACATTCGCTTTCTTAGAGCACGTTTGAAACACTCTTTTTGTAGTGTCTGGAAGTGGACATTTGGAGCGCTTTGATGCCTTTGGTGAAAAAGGGAATGTCTTCCCATAAAAACTAGACAGAAGCATTCTCAGAAACTTGTTTGTGATGTGTGTACCCAGCCAAAGGAGTTGAACATTTCTATTGATAGAGCAGTTTTGAAACACTCTTTTTGTGGAAAATGCAAGTGGATATTTGGATAGCTTGGAGGATTTCGTTGGAAGCGGGAATTCAAATAAAAGGTAGACAGCAGCATTCTCAGAAATTTCTTTCTGATGTCTGCATTCAACTCATAGAGTTGAACATTCCCTTTCATAGAGCAGGTTTGAAACACTCGTTCTGGAGTATCTGGATGTGGACATTTGGAGCGCTTTGATGCCTACGGTGGAAAAGTAAATATCTTCCCATAAAAACGAGACAGAAGGATTCTCAGAAACAAGTTTGTGATGTGTGTACTCAGCTAACAGAGTGGAACCTTTCTTTTTACAGAGCAGCTTTGAAACTCTATTTTTGTGGATTCTGCAAATTGATATTTAGATTGCTTTAACGATATCGTTGGAAAAGGGATATCGTCATACAAAATCTAGACAGAAGCATTCTCACAAACTTCTTTGTGCTGTGTGTCCTCAACTAACAGAGTTGAACCTTTCTTTTGATGCAGCAATTTGGAAACACCCTTTTGGTAGAAACTGTAACTGGATATTTGGATAGCTCTAACGATTTCGTTGGAAACGGGAATATCATCATCAAAAGGTAGACAGAAGCACTATTAGAAACTACTTGGTGATATCTGCATTCAAGTCACAGAGTTGAACATTCCCTTACTTTGAGCAGGTTTGAAACACTCTTTTGGAAGAATCTGGAAGTGGACATTTGGAGCGCTTTGATGCCTTTGGTGAAAAGGAAACGTCTTCCAATAAAAGCCAGACAGAAGCATTCTCAGAAACTTGTTTGTGATGTGTGTACTCAACTAAAAGAGTTGAACCTTTCTATTGATAGAGCAGTTTTGAAACACTCTTTTTGTGGATTCTGCAAGTGGATATTTGGATTGCTTTGAGGATTTCGTTGGAAGCGGGAATTCGTATAACAACTAGACAGCAGCATTCCCAGAAATTTCTTTCGGATATTTCCATTCAACTCATAGAGATGAACATGGCCTTTCATAGAGCAGGTTTGAAACACTCTTTTTGTAGTTTGTGGAAGTGGACATTTCGATCGCCTTGACACCTACGGTGAAAAAGGAAATATCTTCCCATAAAAAATAGACAGAAGCATTCTCAGAAACTTGTTGGTGATATGTGTCCTCAACTAACAGAGTTGAACTTTGCCATTGATAGAGAGCAGTTTTGAAACACTCTTTTTCCTGAATCTGCAAGTGGATATTTGGATAGTTTGGAGGATTTCGTTGGAAGCGGGAATTCAAATAAAAGGTAGACAGCAGGATTCTGAGAAACAAGTTTGTGATGTGTGTACTCAGCTAACAGAGTGGAAGCTCTCTTTTGATGCAGCAGTTTGGAAACACTCTTTTTGTAGAAACTGTAAGTGGATATTTGGATAGCTCTAATGATTTCGTTGGAAACGGGAATATCATCATCTAAAATCTAGACAGAAGCACTCTCAGAAACTACTTTGTGATATCTGCATTCAAGTCACAGAGTTGAACATTCGCTTTCTTAGAGCACTTTTTAAACACTCTTTTTGTAGTATCTGGAAGTGGACATTTGGAGCTCTTTGATGCCTTTGGTGAAATAGGAAATGTCTTCCCATAAAAACTAGACAGACAAGCATTCTCAGAAACTTGTTTGTGATGTGTGCACCCAGCTAAAGGAGTTGAACATTTATTGATAGAGCAGTTTTGAAGCACTCTTTTTGTGGAAAATGCAAGTGGATATTTGGATAGCTTGGAGGATTTCGTTGGAAGCGGGAGTTCAAATAAAAGGTAGACAGCAGCATTCTCAGAAATTTCTTTCTGATGTCTGCATTCAACTCATAGAGTTGAAGATTCCCTTTCATAGAGCAGGTTTGAAACACTCTTTCTGGAGTATCTGGATGTGGACATTTGGAGCGCTTTGATGCCTACGGTGAAAAAGTAAATATCTTCCCATAAAAACGAGACAGAAGGATTCTGAGAGACAAGTTTGTGATGTGTGTACTCAGCTAACAGAGTGGAACCTTTCTTTTTACAGAGCAGCTTTGAAACTCTATTTTTGTGGATTCTGCAAATGGATATTTAGATTGCTTTAATGATATCGTTGGAAAAGGGAATAACGTCATACAAAATCTGGACAGAAGCATTCTCACAAACTTCTTTGTGATGTGTGTCCTCAACTAGCAGAGTTGAACCTTTCTTTTGATGCAGCAATTTGGAAACACCCTTTTGGTAGAAACTGTAACTGGATATTTGGATAGCTCTAACGATTTCGTTGGAAACGGGAATATCATCATCTAAAATGTAGACAGAAGCACTATTAGAAACTACTTGGTGATATCTGCATTCAAGTCACAGAGTTGAACATTCCCTTACTTTGAGCACGTTTGAAACACTCTTTTGGAAGAATCTGGAAGTGGACATTTGGAGCGCTTTGATGCCTTTGGTGAAAAGGAAACGTCTTCCAATAAAAGCCAGACAGAAGCATTCTCAGAAACTTGTTTGTGATGTGTGTACTCAACTAAAAGAGTTGAACCTTTCTATTGATAGAGCAGTTTTGAAACACTCTTTTTGTGGATTCTGCAAGTGGATATTAGGATTGTTTTGAGGATTTCGTTGGAAGCGGGAATTCGTATAAAATCTAGACAGCAGCATTCCCAGAAATTTCTTTCGGATATTTCCATTCGACTCATAGAGATGAACATGGCCTTTCATAGAGCAGGTTTGAAACACTCTTTTTGTAGTTTGTGGAAGTGGACATTTCGATCGCCTTGACGCCTACGGTGAAAAAGGAAATATCTTCCCATAAAAAATAGACAGAAGAATTCTCAGAAACTTGTTTGTGATGTGTATCCTCAACTGACAGAGTTGAACCTTGCCATTGATAGAGCAGTTTAGAAACACTCTTTTTGTGGAAAATGCAAGTGGATATTTGGATAGCTTGGAGGATTTCGTTGGAAGCGGGAATTCAAATAAAAGGTAGACAGCAGGATTCTGAGAAACAAGTTTGTGATGTGTGTACTCAGCTAACAGAGTGGAACCTCTGTTTTGATGCAGCAGTTTGGAAACACTCTTTTTGTAGAAACTGTAAGTGGATATTTGGATAGCTCTAATGATTTCGTTGGAAACGGGAATATCATCATCTAAAATCTAGACAGAAGCCCTCTCAGAAACTACTTTGTGATATCTGCATTCAAGTCACAGAGTTGAACATTCGCTTTCTTAGAGCACGTTGGAAACACTCTTTTTGTAGTGTCTGGAAGTGGACATTTGGAGCGCTTTGATGCCTTTGGTGAAAAAGGGAATGTCTTCCCATAAAAACTAGACAGAAGCATTCTCAGAAACTTGTTTGTGATGTGTGCACCCAGCTAAAGGAGTTGAACATTTCTATTGATAGAGCAGTTTTCAAACACTCTTTTTGTGGAAAATGCAAGTGGATATTTGGATAGCTTGGAGGATTTCGTTGGAAGCGGGAGTTCAAATAAAAGGTAGACAGCAGCATTCTCAGAAATTTCTTTCTGATGTCTGCATTCAACTCATAGCAGTTGAAGATTCCCTTTCATAGAGCAGGTTTGAAACACTCTTTCTGGAGTATCTGGATGTGGACATTTGGAGCGCTTTGATGCCTACGGTGAAAAAGTAAATATCTTCCCATAAAAACGAGACAGAAGGATTCTCAGAAACAAGTTTGTGATGTGTGTACTCAGCTAACAGAGTGGAACCTTTCTTTTTACAGAGCAGCTTTGAAACTCTATTTTTGTGGATTCTGCAAATGGATATTTAGATTGCTTTAATGATATCGCTGGAAAAGGGAATATGGTCATACAAAATCTAGACAGATGCATTCTCACAAACTTCTTTGTGATGTGTGTCCTCAACTAACAGAGTTGAACCTTTCTTTTGATGCAGCAATTTGGAAACACCCTTTTGGTAGAAACTGTAACTGGATATTTGGATAGCTCTAACGATTTCGTTGGAAACGGGAATATCATCATCTAAAATCTAGACAGAAGCACTATTAGAAACTACTTGGTGATATCTGCATTCAAGTCAAAGAGTTGAACATTCCCTTACTTTGAGCACGTTTGAAACACTCTTTTGGAAGAATCTGGAAGTGGACATTTGGAGCGCTTTGATGCCTTTGGTGAAAAGGAAACGCCTTCCAATAAAAGCCAGACAGAAGCATTCTCAGAAACTTGTTTGTGATGTGTGTACTCAACTAAAAGAGTTGAACCTTTCTATTGATAGAGCAGTTTTGAAACACTCTTTTTGTGGATTCTGCAAGTGGATATTTGGATTGCTTTGAGGATTTCGTTGGAAGCGGGAATTCGTATAAAAACTAGACAGCAGCATTCCCAGAAATTTCTTTCGGATATTTCCATTCACCTCATAGAGATGAACATGGCCTTTCATAGAGCAGGTTTGAAACACTCTTTTTGTAGTTTGTGGAAGTGGACATTTCGATCGCCTTGACGCCTACGGTGAAAAAGGAAATATCTTCCCATAAAAAATAGACAGAAGCATTCTCAGAAACTTGTTGGTGATATGTGTCCTCAACTAACAGAGTTGAACTTTGCCATTGATAGAGAGCAGTTTTGAAACACTCTTTTTGTGGAATCTGCAAGTGGATATTTGGATAGCTTGGAGGATTTCGTTGGAAGCGGGAATTCAAATAAAAGGTAGACAGCAGCATTCTCAGAAATTTCTTTCTGATGTCTGCATTCAACTCATAGAGTTGAAGATTCCCTTTCATAGAGCAGGTTTGAAGCACTCTTTCTGGAGTATCTGGATGTGGACATTTGGAGCGCTTTGATGCCTACGGTGAAAAAGTAAATATCTTCCCATAAAAACGAGACAGAAGGATTCTGAGAAACAAGTTTGTGATGTGTGTACTCAGCTAACAGAGTGGAACCTCTCTTTTGATGCAGCAGTTTGGAAACACTCTTTTTGTAGAAACTGTAAGTGGATATTTGGATAGCTCTAATGATTTCGTTGGAAACGGGAATATCATCATCTAAAATCTAGACAGAAGCCCTCTCAGAAACTACTTTGTGATATCTGCATTCAAGTCACAGAGTTGAACATTCGCTTTCTTAGAGCACGTTTGAAACACCCTTTTTGTAGTGTCTGGAAGTGGACATTTGGAGCGCTTTGATGCCTTTGGTGAAAAAGGGAATGTCTTCCCATAAAAACTAGACAGAAGCATTCTCAGAAACTTGTTTGTGATGTGTGTACCCAGCCAAAGGAGTTGAACATTTCTATTGATAGAGCAGTTTTGAAACACTCTTTTTGTGGAAAATGCAGGTGGATATTTGGATAGCTTGGAGGATTTCGTTGGAAGCTGGAATTCAAATAAAAGGTAGACAGCAGCATTCTCAGAAATTTCTTTCTGATGTCTGCATTCAACTCATAGAGTTGAAGATTCCCTTTCATAGAGCAGGTTTGAAACACTCTTTCTGGAGTATCTGGATGTGGACATTTGGAGCGCTTTGATGCCTACGGTGAGAAAGTAAATATCTTCCCATAAAAACGAGACAGAAGGATTCTGAGAAACAAGTTTGTGATGTGTGTACTCAGCTAACAGAGTGGAACCTTTCTTTTTACAGAGCAGCTTTGAAACTCTATTTTTGTGGATTCTGCAAATGGATATTTAGATTGCTTTAATGATATCGCTGGAAAAGGGAATATGGTCATACAAAATCTAGACAGAAGCATTCTCACAAACTTCTTTGTGATGTGTGTCCTCAACTAACAGAGTTGAACCTTTCTTTTGATGCAGCAGTTTGGAAACACTGTTTTTGTAGCAACTGTAAGTGGATATTTGGATAGCTCTAACGATTTCGTTGGAAACGGGAATATCATCATCTAAAATCTAGACAGAAGCACTATTAGAAACTACTTGGTGATATCTGCATTCAAGTCACAGAGTTGAACATTCCCTTACTTTGAGCACGTTTGAAACACTCTTTTGGAAGAATCTGGAAGTGGACATTTGGAGCACTTTGATGCCTTTGGTGAAAAGGAAACGTCTTCCAATAAAAGCCAGACAGAAGCATTCTCAGAAACTTGTTCGTGATGTGTGTACTCAACTAAAAGAGTTGAACCTTTCTATTGATAGAGCAGTTTTGAAACACTCTTTTTGTGGATTCTGCAAGTGGATATTTGGATTGCTTTGAGGATTTCGTTGGAAGCGGGAATTCGTATAAACACTAGACAGCAGCATTCCCAGAAATTTCTTTCGGATATTTCCATTCAACTCATAGAGATGAACATGGCCTTTCATAGAGCAGGTTTGAAACACTCTTTTTGTAGTTTGTGGAAGTGGACATTTCGATCGCCTTGACGCCTACGGTGAAAAAGGAAATATCTTCCCATAAAAAGTAGACAGAAGCATTCTCAGAAACTTGTTGGTGATATGTGTCCTCAACTAACAGAGTTGAACTTTGCCATTGATAGAGAGCAGTTTTGAAACACTCTTTTTGTGGAATCTGCAAGTGGATATTTGGATAGCTTGGAGGATTTCGTTGGAAGCGGGAATTCAAATAAAAGGTAGACAGCAGCATTCTCAGAAATTTCTTTCTGATGTCTGCATTCAACTCGTAGAGTTGAACATTCCCTTTCATAGAGCAGGTTTGAAACACTCTTTCTGGAGTATCTGGATGTGGACATTTGGAGCGCTTTGATGCCTACGGTGAAAAAGTAAATAACTTCCCATAAAAACGAGACAGAAGGATTCTGAGAAACAAGTTTGTGATGTGTGTACTCAGCTAACAGAGTGGAACCTCTCTTTTGATGCAGCAGTTTGGAAACACTCTTTTTGTAGAAACTGTAAGTGGATATTTGGATAGCTCTAATGATTTCGTTGGAAACGGGAATATCATCATCTAAAATCTAGACAGAAGCCCTCTCAGAAACTACTTTGTGATATCTGCATTCAAGTCACAGAGTTGAACATTCGCTTTCTTAGAGTACGTTGGAAACACTCTTTTTGTAGTGTCTGGAAGTGGACATTTGGAGCGCTTTGATGCCTTTGGTGAAAAAGGGAACGTCTTCCCATAAAAACTAGACTGAAGCATTCTCAGAAACTTGTTTGTGATGTGTGTACCCAGCCAAAGGAGTTGAACATTTCTATTGATAGAGCAGTTTTGAAGCGCTCTTTTTGTGGAAAATGCAGGTGGATATTTGGATAGCTTGGAGGATTTCGTTGGAAGCGGGAGTTCAAATAAAAGGTAGACAGCAGCATTCTCAGAAATTTCTTTCTGATGTCTGCATTCAACTCATAGAGTTGAATATTCCCTTTCATAGAGCAGGTTTGAAACACTCTTTCTGGAGTATCTGGATGTGGACATTTGGAGCGCTTTGATGCCTACGGTGGAAAAGTAAATATCTTCCCATAAAAACGAGACAGAAGGATTCTGAGAAACAAGTTTGTGATGTGTGTACTCAGCTAACAGAGTGGAACCTTTCTTTTTACACAGCAGCTTTGAAACTCTATTTTTGTGGATTCTGCAAATGGATATTTAGATTGCTTTAATGATATCGCTGGAAAAGGGAATATGGTCATACAAAATCTAGACAGAAGCATTCTCACAAACTTCTTTGTGATGTGTGTCCTCAACTAACAGAGTTGAACCTTTCTTTTGATGCAGCAGTTTGGAAACACTCTTTTTGTAGAAACTGTAAGTGGATATTTGGATAGCTCTAACGATTTCGTTGGAAACGGGAATATCATCATCTAAAATCTAGACAGAAGCACTATTAGAGACTACTTGGTGATATCTGCATTCAAGTCACAGAGTTGAACATTCCCTTACTTTGAGCACGTTTGAAACACTCTTTTGGAAGAATCTGGAAGTGGACATTTGGAGCGCTATGATGCCTTTGGTGAAAAGGAAACGTCTTCCAATAAAAGCCAGACAGAAGCATTCTCAGAAACTTGTTTGTGATGTGTGTACTCAACTAAAAGAGTTGAACCTTTCTATTGATAGAGCAGTTTTGAAACACTCTTTTTGTGGATTCTGCAAGTGGATATTTGGATTGCTTTGAGGATTTTGTTGGAAGCGGGAATTCGTATAAAAACTAGACAGCAGCATTCCCAGAAATTTCTTTCGGATATTTCCATTCAACTCATAGAGATGAACATGGCCTTTCATAGAGAAGGTTTGAAACACTCTTTTTGTAGTTTGTGGAAGTGGACATTTCGATCGCCTTGACGCATACGGTGAAAAAGGAAATATCTTCCCATAAAAAATAGACAGAAGCATTCTCAGAAACTTGTTGGTGATATGTGTCCTCAACTAACAGAGTTGAACTTTGCCATTGATAGAGAGCAGTTTTGAAACACTCTTTTTCCTGAATCTGCAAGTGGATATTTGTATAGCTTGGAGGATTTCGTTGGAAGCGGGAATTCAAATAAAAGGTAGACAGCAGCATTCTCAGAAATTTCTTTCTGATGTCTGCATTCAACTCATAGAGTTGAACATTCCCTTTCATAGGACAGGTTTGAAATACTCTTTCTGTAGTATCTGGATGTGGACATGTGGAGCGCTTTGATGCCTACAGTGAAAAAGTAAATATCTTCCCATAAAAACGAGACAGAAGGATTCTGAGAAACAAGTTTGTGATGTGTGTACTCAGCTAACAGAGTGGAACCTCTCTTTTGATGCAGCAGTTTGGAAACACTCTTTTTGTAGAAACTGTAAGTGGATATTTGGATAGCTCTAATGATTTCGTTGGAAACGGGAATATCATCATCTAAAATCTAGACAGAAGCCCTCTCAGAAACTACTTTGTGATATCTGCATTCAAGTCACAGAGTTGAACATTTGCTTTCTTAGAGCACGTTGGAAACACTCTTTTTGTAGTGTCTGGAAGTGGACATTTGGAGCGCTTTGATGCCTTTGGTGAAAAAGGGAATGTCTTCCCATAAAAACTAGACAGAAGCATTCTCAGAAACTTGTTTGTGATGTGTGTACCTAGCTAAAGGAGTTGAACATTTCTATTGATAGAGCAGTTTTGAAACACTCTTTTTGTGGAAAATGCAGGTGGATATTTGGATAGGTTGGAAGATTTCGTTGGAAGCGGGAATTCAAATAAATGGTAGACAGCAGCATTCTCAGAAATTTCTTTCTGATGTCTGCATTCAACTCATAGAGTTGAAGATTCCCTTTCATAGAGCAGGTTTGAAACATTCTTTCTGGAGTATCTGGATGTGGACATTTGGAGCGCTTTGATGCCTACGGTGAAAAAGTAAATATCTTCCCATAAAAACGAGACAGAAGGATTCTCAGAAACAAGTTTGTGATGTGTGTACTCAGCTAACAGAGTGGAACCTTTCTTTTCACAGAGCAGCTTTGAAACTCTATTTTTGTGGATTCTGCAAATGGATATTTAGATTGCTTTAACGATATCATTGGAAAAGGGAATATCGTCATACAAAATCTGGACAGAAGCATTCTCACAAACTTCTTTGTGACGTGTGTCCTCAACTAACAGAGTTGAACCTTTCTTTTGATGCAGCAGTTTGGAAACACTGTTTTTGTAGCAACTGTAAGTGGATATTTGGATAGCTCTAACGATTTCGTTGGAAACGGGAATATCATCATCTAAAATCTAGACAGAAGCACTATTAGAAACTACTTGGTGATATCTGCATTCAAGTCACAGAGTTGAACATTCCCTTACTTTGAGCACGTTTGAAACACTCTTCTGGAAGAATCTGGAAGTGGACATTTGGAGCGCTTTGATGCCTTTGGTGAAAAGGAAACGTCTTCCAATAAAAGCCAGACAGAAGCATTCTCAGAAACTTGTTCGTGATGTGTGTACTCAACTAAAAGAGTTGAACCTTTCTATTGATAGAGCAGTTTTGAAACACTCTTTTTGTGGATTCTGCAAGTGGATATTTGGATTGCTTTGAGGATTTCGTTGGAAGCGGGAATTCGTATAAACACTAGACAGCAGCATTCCCAGAAATTTCTTTCGGATATTTCCATTCAACTCATAGAGATGAACATGGCCTTTCATAGAGCAGGTTTGAAACACTCTTTTTGTAGTTTGTGGAAGTGGACATTTCGATCGCCTTGACGCCTACGGTGAAAAAGGAAATATCTTCCCTTAAAAAATAGACAGAAACATTCTCAGAAACTTGTTGATGATATGTGTCCTCAACTAACAGAGTTGAACTTTGCCATTGATAGAGAGCAGTTTTGAAACACTCTTTTTGTGGAATCTGCAAGTGGATATTTGGATAGCTTGGAGGATTTCGTTGGAAGCGGGAATTCAAATAAAAGGTAGACAGCAGGATTCTTGAGAAACAAGTTTGTGATGTGTGTACTCAGCTAACAGAGTGGAACCTCTCTTTTGATGCAGCAGTTTGGAAACACTCTTTTTGTAGAAACTGTAAGTGGATATTTGGATAGCTCTAATGATTTCGTTGGAAACGGGAATATCATCATCTAAAATCTAGACAGAAGCCCTCTCAAAAACTACTTTGTGATATCTGCATTCAAGTCACAGAGTTGAACATTCGCTTTCTTAGAGCACGTTTGAAACACTCTTTTTGTAGTGTCTGGAAGTGGACATTTGGAGCGCTTTGATGCCTTTGGTGAAAAAGGGAATATCTTCCCATAAAAACTAGACAGAAGCATTCTCAGAAACTTGTTTGTGATGTGTGTACCCAGCTAAAGGAGTTGAACATTTCTATTGATACAGCAGTTTTGAAACACTCTTTTTGTGGAAAATGCAAGTGGATATTTGGATAGCTTGGAGGATTTCGTTGGAAGCGGGAATTCAAATAAAAGGTAGACAGCAGCATTCTCAGAAATTTCTTTCTGATGTCTGCATTCAACTCATAGAGTTGAAGATTCCCTTTCATAGAGCAGGTTTGAAACACTTTCTGGAGTATCTGGATGTGGACATTTGGAGCGCTTTGATGCCTACGGTGAAAAAGTAAATATCTTCCCATAAAAACGAGACAGAAGGATTCTCAGAAACAAGTTTGTGATGTGTGTACTCAGCTAACAGAGTGGAACCTTTCTTTTTACAGAGCAGCTTTGAAACTCTATTTTTGTGGATTCTGCAAATGGATATTTAGATTGCTTTAACGATATCGCTGGAAAAGGGAATATGGTCATACAAAATCTAGACAGAAGCATTCTCACAAACTTCTTTGTGATGTGTGTCCTCAACTAACAGAGTTGAACCTTTCTTTTGATGCAGCAGTTTGGAAACACTCTTTTTGTAGAAACTGTAAGTGGATATTTGGATAGCTCTAACGATTTCGTTGGAAACGGGAATATCGTCATCTAAAATCTAGACAGAAGCACTATTAGAAACTACTTGGTGATATCTGCATTCAAGTCAAAGAGTTGAACATTCCCTTACTTTGAGCACGTTTGAAACACTCTTTTGGAAGAATCTGGAAGTGGACATTTGGAGCGCTTTGATGCCTTTGGTGAAAAGGAAACGTCTTCCAATAAAAGCCAGACAGAAGCATTCTCAGAAACTTGTTTGTGATGTGTGTACTCAACTAAAAGAGTTGAACCTTTCTATTGATAGAGCAGTTTTGAAACACTCTTTTTGTGGATTCTGCAAGTGGATATTTGGATTGCTTTGAGGATTTCGTTGGAAGCGTGAATTCGTATAAAAACTAGACAGCAGCATTCCCAGAAATTTCTTTCGGATATTTCCATTCAACTCATAGAGATGAACATGGCCTTTCATAGAGCAGGTTTGAAACACTCTTTTTGTAGTTTGTGGAAGTGGACATTTCGATCGCCTTGACGCCTACGGTGAAAAAGGAAATATCTTCCCATAAAAAATAGACAGAAGCATTCTCAGAAACTTGTTGGTGATATGTGTCCTCAACTAACAGAGTTGAACTTTGCCATTGATAGAGAGCAGTTTTGAAACACTCTTTTTGTGGAATCTGCAAGTGGATATTTGGATAGCTTGGAGGATTTCGTTGGAAGCGGGAATTCAAATAAAAGGTAGACAGCAGCATTCTCAGAAATTTCTTTCTGATGTCTGCATTCAACTCATAGAGTTGAACATTCCCTTTCGTAGAGCAGGTTTGAAACACTCTTTCTGGAGTATCTGGATGTGGACATTTGGAGCGCTTTGATGCCTACGGTGAAAAAGTAAATATCTTCCCATAAAAACGAGACAGAAGGATTCTCAGAAACAAGTTTGTGATGTGTGTACTCAGCTAACAGAGTGGAACCTCTCTTTTGACGCAGCAGTTTGGAAACACTCTTTTTGTAGAAACTGTAAGTGGATATTTGGATAGCTCTAATGATTTCGTTGGAAACGGGAATATCATCATCTAAAATCTAGACAGAAGCGCTCTCAGAAACTACTTTGCGATATCTGCATTCAAGTCACAGAGTTGAACATTCGCTTTCTTACAGCACTTTTGAAACACACTTTTTGTAGTATCTGGAAGTGGACATTTGGAGCTCTTTGATGCCTTTGGCGAAAAAGGAAATGTCTTCCCATAAAAACTAGACAGAAGCATTCTCAGAAACTTGTTTGTGATGTGTGTACCCAGCTAAAGGAGTTGAACATTTCCATTGATAGAGCAGTTTTGAAACACTCTTTTTGTGGAAAATGCAAGTGGATATTTGGATAGCTTGGAGGATTTCGTTGGAAGCGGGAATTCAAATAAAAGGTAGACAGCAGGATTCTGAGAAACAAGTTTGTGATGTGTGTACTCAGCTAACAGAGTGGAACCTTTCTTTTTACAGAGCAGCTTTGAAACTCTATTTTTGTGGATTCTGCAAATTGATATTTAGATTGCTTTAACGATATCGTTGGAAAAGGGAATATCGTCATACAAAATCCTAGACAGAGAGCATTCTCACAAACTTCTTTGTGATGTGTGTCCTCAACTAACAGAGTTGAACCTTTCTTTTGATGCAGCAGTTTGGAAACACTGTTTTTGTAGCAACTGTAAGTGGATATTTGGATAGCTCTAACGATTTCGTTGGAAACGGGAATATCATCATCTAAAATCTAGACAGAGCACTATTAGAAACTACTTGGTGATATCAGCATTCAAGTCACAGAGTTGAACACTCCCTTACTTCGACCACGTTTGAAACACTCTTTTGGAAGAATCTGGAAGTGGACATTTGGAGCGCTTTGATGCCTTTGGTGAAAAGGAAACGTCTTCCAATAAAAGCCAGACAGAAGCATTCTCAGAAACTTGTTCGTGATGTGTGTACTCAACTAAAAGAGTTGAACCTTTCTATTGATAGCACAGTTTTGAAACACTCTTTTTGTGGATTCTGCAAGTGGATATTTGGATTGCTTTGAGGATTTCGTTGGAAGCGGGAATTCATATAAAAACTAGACAGCAGCATTCCCAGAAATTTCTTTCGGATATTTCCATTCAACTCATAGAGATGAACATGGCCTTTCATAGAGCAGGTTTGAAACACTCTTTTTGTAGTTTGTGGAAGTGGACATTTCGATCGCCTTGACGCCTACGGTGAAAAAGGAAATATCTTCCCATAAAAAATAGACAAAAGCATTCTCAGAAACTTGTTTGTGATGTGTGTACCTAGCTAAAGGAGTTGAACATTTCTATTGATAGAGCAGTGTTGAAACACTCTTTTTGTGGAAAATGCAAGTGGATATTTGGATAGCTTGGAGGATTTCGTTGGAAGCGGGAATTCAAATAAAAGGTAGACAGCAGGATTCTCAGAAACAAGTTTGTGATGTGTGTACTCAGCTAACAGAGTGGAACCTCTGTTTTGATGCAGCAGTTTGGAAACACTCTTTTTGTAGAAACTGTAAGTGGATATTTGGATAGCTATCATGATTTCGTTGGAAACGGGAATATCATCATCTAAAATCTAGACAGAAGCCCTCTCAGAAACTACTTTGTGATATCTGCATTCAACTCACAGAGTTGAACATTCGGTTTCTTAGAGCACGTTTGAAACACTCTTTTCGTAGTGTCTGGAAGTGGACATTTGGAGCGCTTTGATGCCTTTGGTGAAAAAGGGAATGTCTTCCCATAAAAACTAGACAGAAGCGTTCTCAGAAACTTGTTTGTGATGTGTGTACCCAGCTAAAGGAGTTGAACGTTTCTATTGATAGAGCAGTTTTGAAACACTCTTTTTGTGGAAAATGCAAGTGGATGTTTGGATAGCTAGGAGGATTTCGTTGGAAGCGGGAATTCAAATAAAAGGTAGACAGCAGCATTCTCAGAAATTTCTTTCTGATGTCTGCATTCAACTCATAGAGTTGAAGATTCCCTTTCATAGAGCAGGTTTGAAACACTCTTTCTGGAGTATCTGGATGTGGACATTTGGAGCGCTTTGATGCCTACGGTGGAAAAGTAAATATTTTCCCATAAAAACGAGACAGAAGGATTCTCAGAAACAAGTTTGTGATGTGTGTACTCAGCTAACAGAGTGGAACCTTTATTTTTACAGAGCAGCTTTGAAACTCTATTTTTGTGGATTCTGCAAATTGATATTTAGATTGCTTTAACGATATCGTTGGAAAAGGGAATATCGTCATACAAAATACTAGACAGAAGCATTCTCACAAACTTCTTTGTGATGTGTGTCCTCAACTAACAGAGTTGAACCTTTCTTTTGATGCAGCAATTTGGAAACACCCTTTTGGTAGAAACTGTAAGTGGATATTTGGATAGCTCTAACGATTTCGTTGGAAACGGGAATATCATCATCTAAAATCTAGACAGAAGCACTATTAGAAACTACTTGGTGATATCTGCATTCAAGTCACAGAGTAGAACATTCCCTTACTTCGAGCACGTTTGAAACACTCTTTTGGAAGAATCTGGAAGTGGACATTTGGAGCGCTTTGATGCCTTTGGTGAAAAGGAAACGTCTTCCAATAAAAGCCAGACAGAAGCCTTCTCAGAAACTTGTTCGTGATGTGTGTACTCAACTAAAAGAGTTGAACCTTTCTATTGATAGAGCAGTTTTGAAACACTCTTTTTGTGGATTCTGCAAGTGGATATTTCGATTGCTTTGAGGATTTCGTTGGAAGCGGGAATTCGTATAAACACTAGACAGCAGCATTCCCAGAAATTTCTTTCGGATATTTCCATTCAACTCATAGAGATGAACATGGCCTTTCATAGAGCAGGTTTGAAACACTCTTTTTGTAGTTTGTGGAAGTGGACATTTCGATCGCCTTGACGCCTACGCTGAAAAAGGAAATATCTTCCCATAAAAAATAGACAGAAGCATTCTCAGAAACTTGTTGGTGATATGTGTCCTCAACTAACAGAGTTGAACTTTGCCATTGATAGAGAGCAGTTTTGAAACACTCTTTTTGTGGAATCTGCAAGTGGATATTTGGATAGCTTGGAGGATTTCGTTGGAAGCGGGAATTCAAATAAAAGGTAGACAGCAGCATTCTCAGAAATTTCTTTCTGATGTCTGCATTCAACTCATAGAGTTGAACATTCCCTTTCATAGAGCAGGTTTGAAACACTCTTTCTGGAGTATCTGGATGTGGACATTTGGAGCGCTTTGATGCCTACGGTGAAAAAGTATAATCTTCCCATAAAAACGAGACAGAAGCATTCTCACAAACTTCTTTGTGATGTGTGTCCTCAACTAACAGAGTTGAACCTTTCTTTTGAAGCAGCAGTTTGGAAACACTCTTTTTGTAGAAACTGTAAGTGGATGTTTGGATAGCTCTAATGATTTCGTTGGAAACGGGAATATCATCATCTAAAATCTAGACAGAAGCCCTCTCAGAAACTACTTTGTGATATCTGCATTCAAGTCACAGAGTTGAACATTCGCTTTCTTAGAGCACGTTGGAAACACTCTTTTTGTAGTGTCTGGAAGTGGACATTTGGAGCGCTTTGATGCCTTTGGTGAAAAAGGGAATGTCTTCCCATAAAAACTAGACAGAAGCATTCTCAGAAACTTGTTTGTGATGTGTGTACCCAGCTAAAGGAGTTGAACATTTCTATTGATAGAGCAGTTTTGAAACACTCTTTTTGTGGAAAATGCAGGTGGATATTTGGATAGCTTGGAGGATTTCGTTGGAAGCGGGAATTCAAATAAAAGGTAGACAGCAGCATTCTCAGAAATTTCTTTCTGATGTCTGCATTCAACTCATAGAGTTGAAGATTCCCTTTCATAGAGCAGGTTTGAAACACTCGTTCTGGAGTATCTGGATGTGGACATTTGGAGCGCTTTGATGCCTACGGTGGAAAAGTAAATATCTTCCCATAAAAACGAGACAGAAGGATTCTGAGAAACAAGTTTGTGATGTGTGTACTCAGCTAACAGAGTGGAACCTTTCTTTTTACAGAGCAGCTTTGAAACTCTATTTTTGTGGATTCTGCAAATTGATATTTAGATTGCTTTAACGATATCGTTGGAAAAGGGAATATCGTCATACAAAATCTAGACAGAAGCATTCTCACAAACTTCTTTGTGACGTGTGTCCTCAACTAACAGAGTTGAACCTTTCTTTTGATGCAGCAGTTTGGAAACACTGTTTTTGTAGCAACTGTAAGTGGATATTTGGATAGCTCTAACGATTTCGTTGGAAACGGGAATATCATCATCTAAAATCTAGACAGAAGCAAGTATTAGAAACTACTTGGTGATATCTGCATTCAAGTCACAGAGTTGAACATTCCCTTACTTTGAGCACGTTTCAAACACTCTTTTGGAAGAATCTGGAAGTGGACATTTGGAGCGCTTTGATGATGCCTTTGGTGAAAAGGAAACGTCTTCTAATAAAAGCCAGACAGAAGCATTCTCAGTAAACTTGTTTGTGATGTGTGTACTCAACTAAAAGAGTTGAACCTTTCTATTGATAGAGCAGTTTTGAAACACTCTTTTTGTGGATTCTGCAAGTGGATATTTGGATTGCTTTGAGGATTTCGTTGGAAGCGGGAATTCATATAAAAACTAGACAGCAGCATTCCCAGAAATTTCTTTCGGATATTTCCATTCAACTCATAGAGATGAACATCGCCTTTCATAGAGCAGGTTTGAAACACTCTTTTTGTAGTTTGTGGAAGTGGACATTTCGATCGCCGTGACGCCTACAGTGAAAAAGGAAATATCTTCCCATAAACAATAGACAGAAGCATTCTCAGAAACTTGTTGGTGATATGTGTCCTCAACTAACAGAGTTGAACTTTGCCATTGATAGAGAGCAGTTTTGAAACACTCTTTTTGTGGAATCTGCAAGTGGATATTTGGATAGCTTGGAGGATTTCGTTGGAAGCAGGAATTCAAATAAAAGGTAGACAGCAGCATTCTCAGAAATTTCTTTCTGATGTCTGCATTCAACTCATAGAGTTGAAGATTCCCTTTCATAGAGCAGGTTTGAAACACTCTTTCTGGAGTATCTGGATGTGGACATTTGGAGCGCTTGGATGCCTACGGTGAAAAAGTAAATATCTTCCCATAAAAACGAGACAGAAGGATTCTGAGAAACAAGTTTGTGATGTGTGTACTCAGCTAACAGAGTGGAACCTCTCTTTTGATGCAGCAGTTTGGAAACACTCTTTTTGTAGAAACTGTAAGTGGATATTTGGATAGCTCTAATGATTTCGTTGGAAACGGGAATATCATCATCTAAAATCTAGACAGAAGCCTTCTGAGAAACTACTTTGTGATATCTGCATTCAAGTCACAGAGTTGAACATTCGCTTTCTTAGAGCACGTTGGAAACACTCTTTTTGTAGTGTCTGGAAGTGGACATTTGGAGCGCTTTGATGCCTTTGGTGAAAAAGGGAATGTCTTCCCATAAAAACTAGACAGAAGCATTCTCAGAAACTTGTTTGTGATGTGTGTACCCAGCCAAAGGAGTTGAACATTTCTATTGATAGAGCAGTTTTGAAACACTCTTTTTGTGGAAAATGCAAGTGGATATTTGGATAGCTTGGAGGATTTCGTTGGAAGCGGGAATTCAAATAAAAGGTAGACAGCAGCATTCTCAGAAATTTCTTTCTGATGTCTGCATTCAACTCATAAAGTTGAAGATTCCCTTTCATAGAGCAGGTTTGAAACACTCTTTCTGGAGTATCTGGATGTGGACATTTGGAGCGCTTTGATGCCTACGGTGAAAAAGTAAATATCTTCCCATAAAAACGAGACAGACAAGGATTCTGAGAGACAAGTTTGTGATGTGTGTACTCAGCTAACAGAGTGGAACCTTTCTTTTTACAGAGCAGCTTTGAAACTCTATTTTTGTGGATTCTGCAAATGGATATTTAGATTGCTTTAACGATATCGTTGGAAAAGGGAATATCGTCATACAAAATCTGGACAGAAGCATTCTCACAAACTTCTTTGTGATGTGTGTCCTCAACTAACAGAGTTGAACCTTTCTTTTGATGCAGCAGTTTGGAAACACTCTTTTTGTAGAAACTGTAAGTGGATATTTGGATAGCTCTAACGATTTCGTTGGAAACGGGAATATCATCATCTAAAATCTAGACAGAAGCACTATTAGAAACTACTTGGTGATATCTGCGTTCAAGTCACAGAGTTGAACATTCCCTTACTTTGAGCACGTTTGAAACACTCTTTTGGAAGAATCTGGAAGTGGACATTTGGAGCGCTTTGATGCCTTTGGTGAAAAGGAAACGTCTTCCAATAAAAGCCAGACAGAAGCATTCTCAGAAACTTGTTCATGATGTGTGTACTCAACTAAAAGATTTGAACCTTTCTATTGATAGAGCAGTTTTGAAACACTCTTTTTGTGGATTCTGCAAGTGGATATTTGGATTGCTTTGAGGATTTCGTTGGAAGCGGTAATTCGTATAAAAACTAGACAGCAGCATTCCCAGAAATTTCTTTCGGATATTTCCATTCAACTCATAGAGATGAACATGGCCTTTCATAGAGCAGGTTTGAAACACTCTTTTTGTAGTTTGTGGAAGTGGACATTTCGATCGCCTTGACGCCTACGGTGAAAAAGGAAATATCTTCCCATAAAAAATAGACAGAAGCATTCTCAGAAACTTGTTGGTGATATGTGTCCTCAACTAACAGAGTTGAACTTTGCCATTGATAGAGAGCAGTTTTGAAACACTCTTTTTGTGGAATCTGCAAGTGTATATTTGGATAGCATGGAGGATTTCGTTGGAAGCGGGAATTCAAATAAAAGGTAGACAGCAACATTCTCAGAAATTTCTTTCTGATGTCTGCATTCAACTCATAGAGTTGAAGATTCCCTTTCATAGAGCAGGTTTGAAACACTCTTTCTGGAGTATCTGGATGTGGACATTTGGAGCGCTTTGATGCCTACGGTGAAAAAGTAAATATCTTCCCATAAAAACGAGACAGAAGGATTCTGAGAAACAAGTTTGTGATGTGTGTACTCAGCTAACAGAGTGGAACCTCTGTTTTGATGCAGCAGTTTGGAAACACTCTTTTTGTAGAAACTGTAAGTGGATATTTGAATAGCTCTAATGATTTCGTTGGAAACGGGAATATCATCATCTAAAATCTAGACAGAAAGCCCTCTCAGCAAACTACTTTGTGATATCTGCATTCAAGTCACAGAGTTGAACATTCGCTTTCTTAGAGCACGTTTGAAACACTCTTTTTGTAGTGTCTGGAAGTGGACATTTGGAGCGCTTTGATGCCTTTGGTGAAAAAGGGAACGTCTTCCCATAAAAACTAGACAGAAGCATTCTCAGAAACTTGTTTGTGATGTGTGTACCCAGCTAAAGGAGTTGAACATTTCTATTGATAGAGCAGTTTTGAAACACTCTTTTTGTGGAAAATGCAAGTGGATATTTGGATAGCTTGGAGGATTTCGTTGGAAGCGGGAATTCAAATAAAAGGTAGACAGCAGCATTCTCAGAAATTTCTTTCTGATGTCTGCATTCAACTCATAGAGTTGAAGATTCCCTTTCATAGAGCAGGTTTGAAACACTCGTTCTGGAGCATCTGGATGTGGACATTTGGAGCGCTTTGATGCCTACGGTGGAAAAGTAAATATCTTCCCATAAAAACGAGACAGAAGGATTCTCAGAATCAAGTTTGTGATGTGTGTACTCAGCTAACAGAGTGGAACCTTTCTTTTTACAGAGCAGCTTTGAAACTCTATTTTTGTGGATTCTGCAAATTGATATTTAGATTGCTTTAACGATATCGTTGGAAAAGGGAATATCGTCATACAAAATCTAGACAGAAGCATTCTCACAAACTTCTTTGTGGTGTGTGTCCTCAACTAACAGAGTTGAACCTTTCTTTTGATGCAGCAATTTGGAAACACCCTTTTTGTAGAAACTGTAACTGGATATTTGCTTAGCTCTAACGATTTCGTTGGAAACGGGAATATCATCATCTAAAATCTAGACAGAAGCACTATTAGAAACTACTTGGTGATATCTGCATTCAAGTCACAGAGTTGAACATTCCCTTACTTTGAGCACGTTTGAAACACTCTTTTGGAAGAATCTGGAAGTGGACATTTGTAGCGCTTTGATGATGCCTTTGGTGAAAAGAAAACGTCTTCCAATAAAAGCCAGACAGAAGCATTCTCAGAAACTTGTTCGTGATGTGTGTACTCAACTAAAAGAGATGAACCTTTCTATTGATAGAGCAGTTTTGAAACACTCTTTTTGTGGATTCTGCAAGTGGATATTTGGATTGCTTTGAGGATTTCGTTGGAAGCGGGAATTCGTATAAACACTAGACAGCAGCATTCCCAGAAATTTCTTTCGGATATTTCCATTCAACTCATAGAGATGAACATGGCCTTTCATAGAGCAGGTTTGAAACACTCTTTTTGTAGTTTGTGGAAGTGGACATTTCGATCGCCTTGACGCCTACGGTGAAAAAGGAAATATCTTCCCATAAAAAATAGACAGAAGCATTCTCAGAAACTTGTTGGTGATATGTGTCCTCAACTAACAGAGTTGAACTTTGCCATTGATAGAGAGCAGTTTTGAAACACTCTTTTTGTGGAATCTGCAAGTGGATATTTGGATAGCTTGGAGGATTTCGTTGGAAGCGGGAATTCAAATAAAAGGTAGACAGCAGCATTCTCAGAAATTTCTTTCTGATGTCTGCATTCAACTCATAGAGTTGAACATTCCCTTTCATAGAGCAGGTTTGAAACACTCTTTCTGGAGTATCTGGATGTGGACATTTGGAGCGCTTTGATGCCTACGATGAAAAAGTAAATATCTTCCCATAAAAACGAGACAGAAGGATTCTGAGAAACAAGTTTGTGATGTGTGTACTCAGCTAACAGAGTGGAACCTCTCTTTTGATGCAGCAGTTTGGAAACACTCTTTTTGTAGAAACTGTAAGTGGATATTTGGATAGCTCTAATGATTTCGTTGGAAACGGGAATATCATCATCTAAAATCTAGACAGAAGCCCTCTCAGAAACTACTTTGTGATATCTGCATTCAAGTCACAGCAGTTGAACATTCGCTTTCTTAGAGCACGTTGGAAACACTCTTTTTGTAGTGTCTGGAAGTGGACATTTGGAGCGCTTTGATGCCTTTGGTGAAAAAGGGAATGTCTTCCCATAAAAACTAGACAGAAGCATTCTCAGAAACTTGTTTGTGATGTGTGTACCCAGCCAAAGGAGTTGAACATTTCTATTGATAGAGCAGTTTTGAAACACTCTTTTTGTGGAAAATGCAGGTGGATATTTGGATAGCTTGGAGGATTTCGTTGGAAGCGGGAATTCAAATAAAAGTTAGACAGCAGCATTCTCAGAAATTTCTTTCTTATGTCTGCATTCAACTCATAGAGTTGAAGATTCCCTTTCATAGAGCAGGTTTGAAACACTCGTTCTGGAGTATCTGGATGTGGACATTTGGAGCGCTTTGATGTCTACGGTGGAAAAGTAAATATCTTCCCATAAAAACGAGACAGACAAGGATTCTCAGAAACAAGTTTGTGATGTGTGTACTCAGCTAACAGAGTGGAACCTTTCTTTTTACAGAGCAGCTTTGAAACTCTATTTTTGTGGATTCTGCAAATTGATATTTAGATTGCTTTAACGATATCGTTGGAAAAGGGAATATCGTCATACAAAATCTAGACAGAAGCATTCTCACAAACTTCTTTGTGGTGTGTGTCCTCAACTAACCGAGTTGAACCTTTCTTTTGATGCAGCAATTTGGAAACACCCTTTTTGTAGAAACTGTAACTGGATATTTGCTTAGCTCTAACGATTTCGTTGGAAACGGGAATATCATCATCTAAAATCTAGACAGATAAGCACTATTAGAAACTACTTGGTGATATCTGCATTCAAGTCACAGAGTAGAACATTCCCTTACTTCGAGCACGTTTGAAACACTCCTTTGGAAGAATCTGGAAGTGGACATTTGGAGCGCTTTGATGCCTTTGGTGAAAAGGAAACGTCTTCCAATAAAAGCCAGACAGAAGCATTCTCAGAAACTTGTTGGTGATGTGTGTACTCAACTAAAAGAGTTGAACCTTTCTATTGATAGAGCAGTTTTGAAACACTCTTTTTGTGGATTCTGCAAGTGGATATTTGGATTGCTTTGAGGATTTCGTTGGAAGCGGGAATTCATATAAAAACTAGACAGCAGCATTCCCAGAAATTTCTTTCGGATATTTCCATTCAACTCATAGAGATGAACATGGCCTTTCATAGAGCAGGTTTGAAACACTCTTTTTGTAGTTTGTGGAAGTGGACATTTCGATCGCCTTGACGCCTACGCTGAAAAAGGAATTATCTTCCCATAAAAAATAGACAGAAGCATTCTCAGAAACTTGTTGGTGATATGTGTCCTCAACTAACAGAGTTGAACTTTGCCATTGATAGAGAGCAGTTTTGAAACACTCTTGTTGTGGAAAATGCAGGTGGATATTTGGATAGCTTGGAGGATTTCGTTGGAAGCGGGAATTCAAATAAAAGGTAGACAGCAGCATTCTCAGAAATTTCTTTCTGATGTCTGCATTCAACTCATAGAGTTGAACATTCCCTTTCATAGAGCAGGTTTGAAACACTCTTTCTGGAGTATCTGGATGTGGACATTTGGAGCGCTTTGATGCCTACGGTGAAAAAGTAAATATCTTCCCATAAAAACGAGACAGAAGGATTCTGAGAAACTAGTTTGTGATGTGTGTACTCAGCTAACAGAGTGGAACCTCTGTTTTGATGCAGCAGTTTGGAAACACTCTTTTTGTAGAAACTGTAAGTGGATATTTGGATAGCTCTAATGATTTCGTTGGAAACGGGAATATCATCATCTAAAATCTAGACAGAAGCCCTCTCAGAAACTACTTTGTGATATCTGCATGCAAGTCACAGAGTTGAACATTCGCTTTCTTAGAGCACGTTGGAAACACTCTTTTTGTAGTGTCTGGAAGTGGACATTTGGAGCGCTTTGATGCCTTTGGTGAAAAAGGGAATGGTCTTCCCATAAAAACTAGACAGAAGCATTCTCAGAAACTTGTTTGTGATGTGTGTACCCAGCTAAAGGAGTTGAACATTTCTATTGATAGAGCAGTTTTGAAACACTCTTTTTGTGGAAAATGCAAGTGGATATTTGGATAGCTTGGAGGATTTCGTTGGAAGCGGGAATTCAAATAAAAGGTAGACAGGAGCATTCTCAGAAATTTCTTTGTGATGTCTGCATTCAACTCATAGAGTTGAAGATTCCCTTTCATAGAGCAGGTTTGAAACACTCTTTCTGGAGTATCTGGATGTGGACATTTGGAGCGCTTTGATGCCTACGGTGGAAAAGTAAATATCTTCCCATAAAAACGAGACAGAAGGATTCTGAGAGACAAGTATGTGATGTGTGTACTCAGCTAACAGAGTGGAACCTTTCTTTTTACAGAGCAGCTTTGAAACTCTATTTTTGTGGATTCTGCAAATGGATATTTAGATTGCTTTAATGATATCGTTGGAAAAGGGAATATCGTCATACAAAATCTGGACAGAAGCATTCTCACAAACTTCTTTGTGATGTGTGTCCTCAACTAACAGAGTTGAACCTTTCTTTTGATGCAGCAGTTTGGAAACACTCTTTTTGTAGAAACTGTAAGTGGATAATTGGATAGCTGTAACGATTTCGTTGGAAACGGGAATATCGTCATCTAAAATTTAGACAGAAGCACTATTAGAAACTACTTGGTGATATCTGCATTCAAGTCACAGAGTTGAACATTCCCTTACTTTGAGCACGTTTGAAACACTCTTTTGGAAGAATCTGGAAGTGGACATTTGGAGCGCTTTGATGCCTTTGGTGAAAAGGAAACGTCTTCCAATAAAAGCCAGACAGAAGCATTCTCAGAAACTTGTTTGTGATGTGTGTACTCAACTAAAAGAGTTGAACCTTTCTATTGATAGAGCAGTTTTGAAACACTCTTTTTGTGGATTCTGCAAGTGGATATTTGGATTGCTTTGAGGATTTCGTTGGAAGCGGGAATTCGTATAAAAACTAGACAGCAGCATTCCCAGAAATTTCTTTCGGATATTTCCATTCGACTCATAGAGATGAACATGGCCTTTCATAGAGCAGGTTTGAAACACTCTTTTTGTAGTTTGTGGAAGTGGACATTTCGATCGCCTTGACGCCTACGGTGAAAAAGGAAATATCTTCCCATAAAAAATAGACAGAAGCATTCTCAGAAACTTGTTGGTGATATGTGTCCTCAACTAACAGAGTTGAACTTTGCCATTGATAGAGAGCAGTTTTGAAACACTCTTTTTGTGGAATCTGCAAGTGGATATTTGGATAGCTTGGAGGATTTCGTTGGAAGCGGGAATTCAAATAAAAGGTAGACAGCAGCATTCTCAGAAATTTCTTTCTGATGTCTGCATTCAACTCATAGAGTTGAAGATTCCGTTTCATAGAGCAGGTTTGAAACACTCTTTCTGGAGTATCTGGATGTGGACATTTGGAGCGCTTTGATGCCTACGGTGAAAAAGTAAATATCTTCCCATAAAAACGAGACAGAAGGATTCTGAGAAACAAGTTTGTGCTGTGTGTACTCAGCTAACAGAGTGGAACCTCTCTTTTGATGCAGCAGTTTGGAAACACTCTTTTTGTAGAAACTGTAAGTGGATATTTGGATAGCTCTAATGATTTCGTTGGAAACGGGAATATCATCATCTAAAATCTAGACAGAAGCCCTCTCAGAAAACTACTCTGTGATATCTGCATTCAAGTCACAGAGTTGAACATTCGTTTTCTTAGAGCACGTTTGAAACACTCTTTTTGTAGTGTCTGGAAGTGGACATTTGGAGCGCTTTGATGCCTTTGGTGAAAAAGGGAATGTCTTCCCATAAAAACTAGACAGAAGCATGCTCAGAAACTTGTTTGTGATGTGTGTACCCAGCCAAAGGAGTTGAACATTTCTATTGATAGAGCAGTTTTGAAACACTCTTTTTGTGGAAAATGCAGGTGGATATTTGGATAGCTTGGAGGATTTCGTTGGAAGCGGGAATTCAAATAAAAGGTAGACAGCAGGATTCTGAGAAACAAGTTTGTGATGTGTGTACTCAGCTAACAGAGTGGAACCTTTCTTTTTACAGAGCAGCTTTGAAACTCTATTTTTGTGGATTCTGCAAATTGATATTTAGATTGCTTTAACGATATCGTTGGAAAAGGGAATATCGTCATACAAAATCTAGACAGAAGCATTCTCACAAACTTCTTTGTGATGTGTGTCCTCAACTAACAGAGTTGAACCTTTCTTTTGATGCAGCAATTTGGAAACACCCTTTTGGTAGAAACTAACTGGATATTTGGATAGCTCTAACGATTTCGTTGGAAACGGGAATATCATCATCAAAATGTAGACAGAAGCACTATTAGAAACTACTTGGTGATATCTGCATTCAAGTCACAGCAGTTGAACATTCCCTTACTTTGAGCACGTTTCAAACACTCTTTTGGAAGAATCTGGAAGTGGACATTTGGAGCGCTTTGATGCCTTTGGTGAAAAGGAAACGTCTTCCAATAAAAGCCAGACAGAAGCATTCTCAGAAACTTGTTTGTGATGTGTGTACTCAACTAAAAGAGTTGAACCTTTCTATTGATAGAGCAGTTTTGAAACACTCTTTTTGTGGATTCTGCAAGTGGATATTTGGATTGCTTTGAGGATTTCGTTGGAAGCGGGAATTCGTATAAAAACTAGACAGCAGCATTCCCAGAAATTTCTTTCGGATATTTCCATTCGACTCATAGAGATGAACATGGCCTTTCATAGAGCAGGTTTGAAACACTCTTTTTGTAGTTTGTGGAAGTGGACATTTCGATTGCCTTGACGCCTACGGTGAAAAAGGATATATCTTCCCATAAAAAATAGACAGAAGCATTCTCAGAAACTTGTTGGTGATATGTGTCCTCAACTAACAGAGTTGAACTTTGCCATTGATAGAGAGCAGTTTTGAAACACTATTTTTGTGGAATCTGCAAGTGGATATTTGGATAGCTTGGAGGATTTCGTTGGAAGCGGGAATTCAAATAAAAGGTAGACAGCAGGACTCTGAGAAACAAGTTTGTGATGTGTGTACTCAGCTAACAGAGTGGAACCTCTCTTTTGATGCAGCAGTTTGGAAACACTCTTTTTGTAGAAACTGTAAGTGGATATTTGGATAGCTCTAATGATTTCGTTGGAAACGGGAATATCATCATCTAAAATCTAGACAGAAGCACTCTCAGAAACCACTTTGTGATATCTGCATTCAAGTCACAGAGTTGAACATTCGCTTTCTTAGAGCACGTTTGAAACACTCTTTTTGTAGTGTCTGGAAGTGGACATTTGGAGCGCTTTGATGCCTTTGGTGAAAAAGGGAACGTCTTCCCATAAAAACTAGACAGAAGCATTCTCAGAAACTTGTTTGTGATGTGTGTACCCAGCCAAAGGAGTTGAACATTTCTATTGATAGAGCAGTTTTGAAACACTCTTGTTGTGGAAAATGCAGGTGGATATTTGGATAGCTTGGAGGATTTCGTTGGAAGCGGGAATTCAAATAAAAGGTAGACAGCAGCATTCTCAGAAATTTCTTTCTGATGTCTGCATTCAACTCATAGAGTTGAACATTCCCTTTCATAGAGCAGGTTTGAAACACTCTTTCTGGAGTATCTGGATGTGGACATTTGGAGCGCTTTGATGCCTACGGTGGAAAAGTAAATATCTTCCCATAAAAACGAGACAGAAGGATTCTCAGAAACAAGTTTGTAATGTGTGTACTCAGCTAACAGAGTGGAACCTTTCTTTTTACAGAGCAGCTTTGAAACTCTATTGTTGTGGATTCTGCAAATTGATATTTAGATTGCTTTAACGATATCGTTGGAAAAGGGAATACCGTCATACAAAATCTAGACAGAAGCATTCTCACAAACTTCTTTGTGATGTGTGTCCTCAACTAACAGAGTTGAACCTTTCTTTTGATGCAGCAATTTGGAAACACCCTTTTGGTAGAAACTGTAACTGGATATTTGGATAGCTCTAACGATTTCGTTGGAAACGGGAATATCATCATCTAAAATCTAGACAGAAGCACTATTAGAAACTACTTGGTGATATCTGCATTCAAGTCACAGAGTTGAACATTCCCTTACTTTGAGCACGTTTGAAACACTCTTTTGGAAGAATCTGGAAGTGGACATTTGGAGCGCTTTGATGCCTTTGGTGAAAAGGAAACGTCTTCCAATAAAAGCCCGACAGAAGCATTCTCAGAAACTTGTTTGTGATGTGTGTACTCAACTAAAAGAGTTGAACCTTTCTATTGATAGAGCAGTTTTGAAACACTCTTTTTGTGGATTCTGCAAGTGGATATTTGGATTGCTTTGAGGATTTCGTTGGAAGCGGGAATTCGTATAAAAACTAGACAGCAGCATTACCAGAAATTTCTTTCGGATATTTCCATTCAACTCATAGAGAAGAACATGACCTTTCATAGAGCAGGTTTGAAACACTCTTTTTGTAGTTTGTGGAAGTGGACATTTCGATCACCTTGACGCCTACGGTGAAAAAGGAAATATCTTCCCATAAAAAATAGACAGAAGCATTCTCAGAAACTTGTTGGTGATATGTGTCCTCAACTAACAGAGTTGAACTTTGCCATTGATAGAGAGCAGTTTTGAAACACTCTTTTTGTGGAATCTGCAAGTGGATATTTGGATAGCTTGGAGGATTTCGTTGGAAGTGGGAATTCAAATAAAAGGTAGACAGCAGCATTCTCAGAAATTTCTTTCTGATGTCTGCATTCAACTCATAGAGTTGAAGATTCCCTTTCATAGAGCAGGTTTGAAACACTCTTTCTGGAGTATCTGGATGTGGACATTTGGAGCGCTTTGAGGCCTATGGTGAGAAAGTAAATATCTTCCCATAAAAACGAGACAGAAGGATTCTGAGAAACTAGTTTGTGATGTGTGTACTCAGCTAACAGAGTGGAACCTCTCTTTTGATGCAGCAGTTTGGAAACACTCTTTTTGTAGAAACTGTAAGTGGATATTTGGATAGCTCTAATGATTTCGTTGGAAACGGGAATATCATCATCTAAAATCTAGACAGAAGCCCTCTCAGAAACTACTTTGTGATATCTGCATTCAAGTCACAGAGTTGAACATTCGCTTTCTTAGAGCACGTTTGAAACACTCTTTTTGTAGTGTCTGGAAGTGGACATTTGGAGCGCTTTGATGCCTTTGGTGAAAAAGGGAATGTCTTCCCATAAAAACTAGACAGAAGCATTCTCAGAAACTTGTTTGTGATGTGTGTACCCAGCTAAAGGAGTTGAACATTTCTATTGATAGAGCAGTTTTGAAACACTCTTTTTGTGGAAAATGCAAGTGGATATTTGGATAGCTTGGAGGATTTCGTTGGAAGCGTGAATTCAAATAAAAGGTAGACAGCAGCATTCTCAGAAATTTCTTTCTGATGTCTGCATTCAACTCATAGAGTTGAACATTCCCTTTCATAGAGCAGGTTTGAAATACTCTTTCTGTAGTATCTGGATGTGGACATTTGGAGCGCTTTGATGCCTACGGTGAAAAAGTAAATATCTTCCCATAAAAACGAGACAGAAGGATTCTGAGAAACAAGTTTGTGATGTGTGTACTCAGCTAACAGAGTGGAACCTTTCTTTTCACAGAGCAGCTTTGAAACTCTATTTTTGTGGATTCTGCAAATGGATATTTAGATTGCTTTAACGATATCGTTGGAAAAGGGAATATCGTCATACAAAATCTAGACAGAAGCATTCTCACAAACTTTTTTGTGATGTGTGTCCTCAACTAACAGAGTTGAATCTTTCTTTTGATGCAGCAGTTTGGAAACACCCTTTTGGTAGAAACTGTAAGTGGATATTTGGATAGCTCTAACGATTTCGTTGGAAACGGGAATATCATCATCTAAAATCTAGACAGAAGCACTATTAGAAACTACTTGGTGATATCTGCATTCAAGTCACAGAGTTGAACATTCCCTTACTTTGAGCACGTTTGAAACACTCTTTTGGAAGAATCTGGAAGTGGACATTTGGAGCGCTTTGATGCCTTTGGTGAAAAGGAAACGTCTTCCAATAAAAGCCAGACAGAAGCATTCTCAGAAACTTGTTCGTGATGTGTGTACTCAACTAAAAGAGTTGAACCTTTCTATTGATAGAGCAGTTTAGAAACACTCTTTTTGTGGATTCTGCAAGTGGATATTTGGATTGCTTTGAGGATTTCGTTGGAAGCGGGAATTCGTATAAACACTAGACAGCAGCATTCCCAGAAATTTCTTTCGGATATTTCCATTCAACTCATAGAGATGAACATGGCCTTTCATAGAGCAGGTTTGAAACACTCTTTTTGTATTTTGTGGAAGTGGACATTTCGATCGCCTTGACGCCTACGGTGAAAAAGGAAATATCTTCCCATAAAAAATAGACAGAAGCATTCTCAGAAACTTGTTGGTGATATGTGTCCTGAACTAACAGAGTTGAACTTTGCCATTGATAGAGAGCAGTTTTGAAACACTCTTTTTGTGGAATCTGCAAGTGGATATTTGGATAGTTTGGAGGATTTCGTTGGAAGCGGGAATTCAAATAAAAGGTAGACAGCAGCATTCTCAGAAATTTCTTTCTGATGTCTGCATTCAACTCATAGAGTTGAAGATTCCCTTTCATAGAGCAGGTTTGAAACACTCTTTCTGGAGTATCTGGATGTGGACATTTGGAGCGCTTTGATGCCTACGGTGAGAAAGTAAATATCTTCCCATAAAAACGAGACAGAAGGATTCTGAGAAACTAGTTTGTGATGTGTGTACTCAGCTAACAGAGTGGAACCTCTCTTTTGATGCAGCAGTTTGGAAACACTCTTTTTGTAGAAACTGTAAGTGGATATTTGTATAGCTCTAATGATTTCGTTGGAAACGGGAATATCATCATCTAAAATCTAGACAGAAGCACTCTCAGAAACTACTTTGTGATATCTGCATTCAAGTCACAGAGTTGAACATTCGCTTTCTTAGAGCACGTTTGAAACACTCTTTTTGTAGTGTCTGGAAGTGGACATTTGGAGCGCTTTGATGGCTTTGGTGAAAAAGGGAACGTCTTCCCATAAAAACTAGACAGAAGCATTCTCAGAAACTTGTTTGTGATGTGTGTACCCAGCCAAAGGAGTTGAACATTTCTATTGATAGAGCAGTTTTGAAACACTCTTTTTGTGGAAAATGCAGGTGGATATTTGGATAGCTTGGAGGATTTCGTTGGAAGCGGGAATTCTAATAAAAGGTAGACAGCAGCATTCTCAGAAATTTCTTTCTGATGTCTGCATTCAACTCATAGAGTTGAAGATTCCCTTTCATAGAGCAGGTTTGAAACACTCTTTCTGGAGTATCTGGATGTGGACATTTGGAGCGCTTTGATGCCTACAGTGAAAAAGTAAATATCTTCCCATAAAAACGAGACAGAAGGATTCTCAGAAACAAGTTTGTGATGTGTGTACTCAGCTAACAGAGTGGAACCTTTCTTTTTACAGAGCAGCTTTGAAACTCTATTTTTGTGGATTCTGCAAATGGATATTTAGATTGCTTTAACGATATCGTTGGAAAAGGGAATATCGTCATACAAAATCTAGACAGAAGCATTCTCACAAACTTCTTTGTGATGTGTGTCCTCAACTAACAGAGTTGAACTTTTCTTTTGATGCAGCAATTTGGAAACACCCTTTTGGTAGAAACTGTAACTGGATATTTGGATAGCTCTAGCGATTTCGTTGGAAACGGGAATATCATCATCTAAAATGTAGACAGAAGCACTATTAGAAACTACTTGGTGATATCTGCATTCAAGTCACAGAGTTGAAATTCCCTTACTTTGAGCACGTTTGAATCACTCTTTTGGAAGAATCTGGAAGTGGACATTTGGAGCGCTTTGATGCCTTTGGTGAAAAGGAAACGTCTTCCAATAAAAGCCAGACAGAAGCATTCTCAGAAACTTGTTTGTGATGTGTGAACTCAACTAAAAGAGTTGAACCTTTCTATTGATAGAGCAGTTTTGAAACACTCTTTTTGTGGATTCTGCAAGTGGATATTTGGATTGCTTTGAGGATTTCGTTGGAAGCGGGAATTCGTATAAAAACTAGACAGCAGCATTCCCAGAAATTTCTTTCGGATATTTCCATTCAACTCATAGAGATGAACATGGCCTTTCATAGAGCAGGTTTGAAGCACTCCTTTTGTAGTTTGTGGAAGTGGACATTTCGATCGCCTTGACGCCTACGGTGAAAAAGGAAATATCTTCCCATAAAAAATAGACAGAAGCATTCTCAGACAAACCTTTGTTGGTGATATGTGTCCTCAACTAACAGAGTTGAACTTTGCCATTGATAGAGAGCAGTTTTGAAACACTCTTTTTGTGGAATCTGCAAGTGGATATTTGGATAGCTTGGAGGATTTCGTTGGAAGCGGGAATTCAAATAAAAGGTAGACAGCAGCATTCTCAGAAATTTCTTTCTGATGTCTGCATTCAACTCATAGAGTTGAAGATTCCCTTTCATAGAGCAGGTTTGAAACACTCGTTCTGGAGTATCTGGATGTGGACATTTGGAGCGCTTTGATGCCTACGGTGGAAAAGTAAATATCTTCCCATAAAAAACGAGACAGAAGGATTCTGAGAAACAAGTTTGTGATGTGTGTACTCAGCTAACAGAGTGGAACCTCTCTTTTGATGCAGCAGTTTGGAAACTCTCTTTTTGTAGAAACTGTAAGTGGATATTTGGATAGCTCTAATGATTTCGTTGGAAACGGGAATATCATCATCTAAAATCTAGACAGAAGCCCTCTCAGAAACTACTTTGTGATATCTGCATTCAACTCACAGAGTTGAACATTCGCTTTCTTAGAGCACGTTTGAAACACTCTTTTTGTAGTGTCTGGAAGTGGACATTTGGAGCGCTTTGATGCCTTTGGTGAAAAAGGGAATGTCTTCCCATAAAAACTAGACAGAAGCATTCTCAGAAACTTGTTTGTGATGTGTGTACCCAGCTAAAGGAGTTGAACATTTCTATTGATAGAGCAGTTTTGAAACACTCTTTTTGTGGAAAATGCAAGTGGATATTTGGATAGCTTGGAGGATTTCGTTGGAAGCGGGAATTCAAATAAAAGGTAGACAGCAGCATTCTCAGAAATTTCTTTCTGATGTCTGCATTCAACTCATAGAGTTGAACATTCCCTTTCATAGGACAGGTTTGAAATACTCTTTCTGTAGTATCTGGATGTGGACATGTGGAGCGCTTTGATGCCTACAGTGAAAAAGTAAATATCTTCCCATAAAAACGAGACAGAAGGATTCTCAGAAACAAGTTTGTGATGTGTGTACTCAGCTAACAGAGTGGAACCTTTCTTTTTACAGAGCAGCTTTGAAACTCTATTTTTGTGGATTCTGCAAATTGATATTTAGATTGCTTTAACGATATCGTTGGAAAAGGGAATATCGTCATACAAAATCTGGACAGAAGCATTCTCACAAACAGCTTTGTGACGTGTGTCCTCAACTAACAGAGTTGAACCTTTCTTTTGATGCAGCAGTTTGGAAACACCCTTTTGGTAGAAACTGTAAGTGGATATTTGGATAGCTCTAACGATTTCGTTGGAAACGGGAATATCATCATCTAAAATCTAGACAGAAGCACTATTAGAAACTACTTGGTGATATCTGCATTCAAGTCACAGAGTTGAACATTCCCTTACTTTGAGCACGTTTCAAACACTCTTTTGGAAGAATCTGGAAGTGGACATTTGGAGCGCTTTGATGCCTTTGGTGAAAAGGAAACGTCTTCCAATAAAAGCCAGACAGAAGCATTCTCAGAAACTTGTTGGTGATGTGTGTACTCAACTAAAAGAGTTGAACCTTTCTATTGATAGAGCAGTTTTGAAACACTCTTTTTGTGGATTCTGCAAGTGGATATTTGGATTGCTTTGAGGATTTCGTTGGAAGCGGGAATTCGTATAAACACTAGACAGCAGCATTCCCAGAAATTTCTTTCGGATATTTCCATTCAACTCATAGAGATGAACATGGCCTTTCATAGAGCAGGTTTCAAACACTCTTTTTGTAGTTTGTGGAAGTGGACATTTCGATCGCCTTGACGCCTACGGTGAAAAAGGAAATATCTTCCCATAAAAAATAGACAGAAGCATCCTCAGAAACTTGTTGCTGATATGTGTCCTCAACTAACAGAGTTGAACTTTGCCATTGATAGAGAGCAGTTTTGAAACACTCTTTTTGTGGAATCTGCAAGTGGATATTTGGATAGCTTGGAGGATTTCGTTGGAAGCGGGAATTCAAATAAAAGGTAGACAGCAGCATTCTCAGAAATTACTTTCTGATGTCTGCATTCAACTCATTGAGTTGAAGATTCCCTTTCATAGAGCAGGTTTGAAACACTCTTTCTGTAGTATCTGGATGTGGTCATTTGGAGCGCTTTGATACCTACGGTGAAAAAGTAAATATCTTCCCATGAAAACTAGACAGAAGGATTCTGAGAAACAAGTTTGTGATGTGTGTACTCAGCTAACAGAGTGGAACCTCTCTTTTGATGCAGCAGTTTGGAAACACTCTTTTTGTAGAAACTGTAAGTGGATATTTGGATAGCTCTAATGATTTCGTTGGAAACGGGAATATCATCATCTAAAATCTAGACAGAAGCCCTCTCAGAAACTACTTGGTGATATCTGCATTCAAGTCACAGAGTTGAACATTCGCTTTCTTAGAGCACGTTTGAAACACTCTTTTTGTAGTGTCTGGAAGTGGACATTTGGAGCGCTTTGATGCCTTTGGTGAAAAAGGGAATGTCTTCCCACAAAAACTAGACAGAAGCATTCTCAGAAACTTGTTTGTGATGTGTGCACCCAGCTAAAGGAGTTGAACATTTCTATTGATAGAGCAGTTTTGAAGCACTCTTTTTGTGGAAAATGCAAGTGGATATTTGGATAGCTTGGAGGATTTCGTTGGAAGCGGGAGTTCAAATAAAAGGTAGACAGCAGCATTCTCAGAAATTTCTTTCTGATGTCTGCATTCAACTCATAGAGTTGAAGATTCCCTTTCATAGAGCAGGTTTGAAACACTCTTTCTGGAGTATCTGGATGTGGACATTTGGAGCGCTTTGATGCCTACGGTGAAAAAGTAAATATCTTCCCATAAAAACGAGACAGAAGGATTCTCAGAAACAAGTTTGTGATGTGTGTACTCAGCTAACAGAGTGGAACCTTTCTTTTTTGCAGAGCAGCTTTGAAACTCTATTTTTGTGGATTCTGCAAATTGATATTTAGATTGCTTTAACGATATCGTTGGAAAAGGGAATATCGTCATACAAAATCTAGACAGAAGCATTCTCACAAACTTCTTTGTGACGTGTGTCCTCAACTAACAGAGTTGAACCTTTCTTTTGATGCAGCAATTTGGAAACACCCTTTTGGTAGAAACTGTAACTGGATATTTGGATAGCTCTAGCGATTTCGTTGGAAACGGGAATATCATCATCTAAAATCTAGACAGAAGCACTATTAGAAACTACTTGGTGATATCTGCATTCAAGTCACAGAGTTGAACATTCCCTTACTATGAGCACGTTTGAAACACTCTTTTGGTAGAATCTGGAAGTGGACATTTGGAGCACTTTGATGCCTTTGGTGAAAAGGAAACGTCTTCCAATAAAAGCCAGACAGAAGCATTCTCAGAAACTTGTTCGTGATGTGTGTACTCAACTAAAAGAGTTGAACCTTTCTATTGATAGAGCAGTTTTGAAACACTCTTTTTGTGGATTCTGCAAGTGGATATTTGGATTGCTTTGAGGATTTCGTTGGAAGCGGGAATTCGTATAAACACTAGACAGCAGCATTCCCAGAAATTTCTTTCGGATATTTCCATTCAACTCATAGAGATGAACATGGCCTTTCATAGAGCAGGTTTGAAACACTCTTTTTGTAGTTTGTGGAAGTGGACATTTCGGATCGCCTTGACGCCTACGCTGAAAAAGGAAATATCTTCCCATAAAAAATAGACAGAAAGCATTCTCAGAAACTTGTTGGTGATATGTGTCCTCAACTAACAGAGTTGAACTTTGCCATTGATAGAGAGCAGTTTTGAAACACTCTTTTTGTGGAATCTGCAAGTGGATATTTGGATAGCTTGGAGGATTTTGTTGGAAGCGGGAATTCAAATAAAAGGTAGACAGCAGCATTCTCAGAAATTTCTTTCTGATGTCTGCATTCAACTCATAGAGTTGAAGATTCCCTTTCATAGAGCAGGTTTGAAACACTCTTTCTGGAGTATCTGATTGTGGACATTTGGAGCGCTTTGATGCCTACGGTGAAAAAGTAAATATCTTCCCATAAAAACGAGACAGAAGGATTCTGAGAAACAAGTTTGTGATGTGTGTACTCAGCTAACAGAGTGGAACCTCTCTTTTGATGCAGCAGTTTGGAAACACTCTTTTTGTAGAAACTGTAAGTGGATATTTGGATAGCTCTAATGATTTCGTTGGAAACGGGAATATCATCATCTAAAATCTAGACAGAAGCCCTCTCAGAAACTACTTTGTGATATCTGCATTCAAGTCACAGAGTTGAACATTCGCTTTCTTAGAGCACGTTTGAAACACTCTTTTTGTAGTGTCTGGAAGTGGACATTTGGAGCGCTTTGATTCCTTTGGTGAAAAAGGGAATGTCTACCCATAAAAACTAGACAGAAGCATTCTCAGAAACTTGTTTGTGATGTGTGTACCCAGCCAAAGGAGTTGAACATTTCTATTGATAGAGCAGTTTTGAAACATTCTTTTTGTGGAAAATGCAAGTGGATATTTGGATAGCTTGGAGGATTTCGTTGGAAGCGGGAATTCAAATAAAAGGTAGACAGCAGCATTCTCAGAAATTTCTTTCTGATGTCTGCATTCAACTCATAGAGTTGAAGATTCCCTTTCATAGAGCAGGTTTGAAACACTGTTTCTGGAGTATCTGGATGTGGACATTTGGAGCGCTTTGATGCCTACGGTGAAAAAGTAAATGTCTTCCCATAAAAACGAGACAGAAAGGATTCTGAGAGACAAGTTTGTGATGTGTGTACTCAGCTAACAGAGTGGAACCTTTCTTTTTACAGAGCAGCTTTGAAACTCTATTTTTGTGGATTCTGCAAATGGATATTTAGATTGCTTTAACGATATCGTTGGAAAAGGGAATATCGTCATACAAAATCTGGACAGAAGCATTCTCACAAACTTCTTTGTGATGTGTGTCCTCAACTAACAGAGTTGAACCTTTCTTTTGATGCAGCAGTTTGGAAACACTCTTTTTGTAGAAACTGTAAGTGGATATTTGGATAGCTCTAACGATTTCGTTGGAAACGGGAATATCATCATCTAAAATCTAGACAGAAGCACTATTAGAAACTACTTGGTGATATCTGCATTCAAGTCACAGAGTTGAACATTCCCTTACTTTGAGCACGTTTCAAACACTCTTTTGGAAGAATCTGGAAGTGGACATTTGGAGCGCTTTGATGCCTTTGGTGAAAAGGAAACGTCTTCCAATAAAAGCCAGACAGAAGCATTCTCAGAAACTTGTTCGTGATGTGTGTACCTCAACTAAAAGAGTTGAACCTTTCTATTGATAGAGCAGTTTTGAAACACTCTTTTTGTGGATTCTGCAAGTGGATATTTGGATTGCTTTGAGGATTTCGTTGGAAGCGGGAATTCGTATAAACACTAGACAGCAGCATTCCCAGAAATTTCTTTCGGATATTTCCATTCAACTCATAGAGATGAACATGGCCTTTCATAGAGCAGGTTTGAAACACTCTTTTTGTAGTTTGTGGAAGTGGACATTTCGATCGCCTTGACGCCTACGGTGAAAAAGGAAATATCTTCCCATAAAAAATAGACAGAAGCATTCTCAGAAACTTGTTGGTGATATGTGTCCTCAACTAACAGAGTTGAACTTTGCCATTGATAGAGAGCAGTTTTGAAACACTCTTTTTGTGGAATGTGCAAGTGGATATTTGGATAGCTTGGAGGATTTCGTTGGAAGCGGGAATTCAAATTAAAGGTAGACAGCAGCATTCTCAGTAAATTTCTTTCTGATGTCTGCATTCAACTCATAGAGTTGAAGATTCCCTTTCATAGAGCAGGTTTGAAACACTCTTTCTGGAGTATCTGGATGTGGACATTTGGAGCGCTTTGATGCCTACGGTGAAAAAGTAAATATCTTCCCATAAAAACGAGACAGACGGATTCTCAGAAACAAGTTTGTGATGTGTGTACTCAGCTAACAGAGTGGAACCTCTCTTTTGATGCAGCAGTTTGGAAACACTCTTTTTGTAGAAACTGTAAGTGGATATTTGGATAGCTCTAATGATTTCGTTGGAAACGGGAATATCATCATCTAAAATCTAGACAGAAGCCCTCTCAGAAACTACTTTGTGATATCTGCATTCAAGTCACAGAGTTGAACATTCGCTTTCTTAGAGCACGTTTGAAACACTCTTTTTGTAGTGTCTGGAAGTGGACATTTGGAGCGCTTTGATGCCTTTGGTGAAAAAGGGAATGTCTTCCCATAAAAACTAGACAGAAGCATTCTCAGAAACTTGTTTGTGATGTGTGTACCCAGCCAAAGGAATTGAACATTTCTATTGATAGAGCAGTTTTGAAACACTCTTTTTGTGGAAAATGCAGGTGGATATTTGGATAGCTTGGAGGATTTCGTTGGAAGCGGGAATTCAAATAAAAGTTAGACAGCAGCATTCTCAGAAATTTCTTTCTGATGTCTGCATTCAACTCATAGAGTTGAAGATTCCCTTTCATAGAGCAGGTTTGAAACTGGATGTGGACATTTGGAGCGCTTTGATGCCTACGGTGAAAAAGTAAATATCTTCCCAGAAAAACGAGACAGAAGGATTCTGAGAAACAAGTTTGTGATGTGTGTACTCAGCTAACAGAGTGGAACCTTTCTTTTTACAGAGCAGCTTTGAAACTCTATTTTTGTGGATTCTGCAAATGGATATTTAGATTGCTTTAACGATATCGTTGGAAAAGGGAATATCGTCATACAAAATCTAGACAGAAGCATTCTCACAAACTTCCTTTGTGATGTGTGTCCTCAACTAACAGAGTTGAACCTTTCTTTTGATGCAGCAGTTTGGAAACACCCTTTTGGTAGAAACTGTAAGTGGATATTTGGATAGCTCTAACGATTTCGTTGGAAACGGGAATATCATCATCTAAAATCTAGACAGAAGCACTATTAGAAACTACTTGGTGATATCTGCATTCAAGTCACAGAATTGAACATTCCCTTATTTTGAGCACGTTTGAAACACTCTTTTGGAAGAATCTGGAAGTGGACATTTGGAGCGCTTTGATGCCTTTGGTGAAAAGGAAACGTCTTCCAATAAAAGCCAGACAGAAGCATTCTCAGAAACTTGTTCGTGATGTGTGTACTCAACTAAAAGATTTGAACCTTTCTATTGATAGAGCAGTTTTGAAACACTCTTTTTGTGGATTCTGCAAGTGGATATTTGGATTGCTTTGAGGATTTCGTTGGAAGCGGGAATTCGTATAAAAACTAGACAGCAGCATTCCCAGAAATTTCTTTCGGATATTTCCATTCAACTTATAGAGATGAACATCGCCTTTCATAGAGCAGGTTTGAAACACTCTTTTTGTAGTTTGTGGAAGTGGACATTTCGATCGCCTTGATGCCTACGGTGAAAAAGGAAATATCTTCCCATAAAAAATAGACAGAAGCATTCTCAGAAACTTGTTGGTGATATGTGTCCTCAACTAACAGAGTTGAACTTTGCCATTGATAGAGAGCAGTTTTGAAACACTCTTTTTGTGGAATCTGCAAGTGGATATTTGGATAGCTTGGAGGATTTCGTTGGAAGCGGGAATTCAAATAAAAGGTAGACAGCAGGATTCTCAGAAACAAGTTTGTGATGTGTGTACTCAGCTAACAGAGTGGAACCTTTCTTTTTACAGAGCAGCTTTGAAACTCTATTTTTGTGGATTCTGCAAATGGATATTTAGATTGCTTTAACGATATCGTTGGAAAAGGGAGTATCGTCATACAAAATCTGGACAGAAGCCCTCTCAGAAACTACTTTGTGATATCTGCATTCAACTCACAGAGTTGAACATTCGCTTTCTTAGAGCACGTTTGAAACACTCTTTTTGTAGTGTCTGGAAGTGGACATTTGGAGCGCTTTGATGCCTTTGGTGAAAAAGGGAACGTCTTCCCATAAAAACTAGACAGAAGCATTCTCAGAAACTTGTTTGTGATGTGTGTACCCAGCCAAAGGAGTTGAACATTTCTATTGATAGAGCAGTTTTGAAACACTCTTTTTGTTGAAAATGCAGGTGGATATTTGGATAGCTTGGAGGATTTCGTTGGAAGCGGGAACTCAAATAAAAGGTAGACAGCAGGATTCTCAGAAACAAGTTTGTGATGTGTGTACTCAGCTAACAGCAGTGGAACCTTTCTTTTTACAGAGCAGCTTTGAAACTCTATTTTTGTGGATTCTGCAAATTGATATTTAGATTGCTTTAACGATATCGTTGGAAAAGGGAATATCGTCATACAAAATCTAGACAGAAGCATTATCACAAACTTCTTTGTGATGTGTGTCCTCAACTAACAGAGTTGAACCTTTCTTTTGATGCAGCAGTTTGGAAACACTCTTTTTGTAGAAACTGTAAGTGGATATTTGGATAGCTCTAACGATTTCGTTGGAAACGGGAATATCATCATCTAAAATCTAGACAGAAGCACTATTAGAAACTACTTGGTGATATCTGCATTCAAGTCACAGAGTTGAACATTCCCTTACTTTGAGCACGTTTCAAACACTCTTTTGGAAGAATCTGGAAGTGGACATTTGGAGCGCTTTGATGCCTTTGGTGAAAAGGAAACGTCTTCCAATAAAAGCCAGACAGAAGCATTCTCAGAAACTTGTTCGTGATGTGTGTACTCAACTAAAAGAGTTGAACCTTTCTATTGATAGAGCAGTTTTGAAACACTCTTTTTGTGGATTCTGCAAGTGGATATTTGGATTGCTTTGAGGATTTCGTTGGAAGTGGGAATTCGTATAAACACTAGACAGCAGCATTCCCAGAAATTTCTTTCGGATATTTCCATTCAACTCATAGAGATGAACATCGCCTTTCATAGAGCAGGTTTGAAACACTCTTTTTGTAGTTTGTGGAAGTGGACATTTCGATCGCCTTGACGCCTACGGTGAAAAAGGAAATATCTTCTCATAAAAAATAGACAGAAGCATTCTCAGAAACTTGTTGGTGATATGTGTCCTCAACTAACAGAGTTGAACTTTGCCATTGATAGAGAGCAGTTTTGAAACACTCTTTTTGTGGAATCTGCAAGTGGATATTTGGATAGCTTGGAGGATTTCGTTGGAAGCGGGAATTCAAATAAAAGGTAGACAGCAGCATTCTCAGAAATTTCTTTCTGATGTCTGCATTCAACTCATAGAGTTGAAGATTCCCTTTCATAGAGCAGGTTTGAAACACTCTTTCTGTAGTATCTGGATGTGGACATTTGGAGCGCTTTGATGCCTACGGTGAAAAAGTATAATCTTCCCATAAAAACGAGACAGAAGGATTCTGAGAAACAAGTTTGTGATGTGTGTACTCAGCTAACAGAGTGGAACGTCTCTTTTGATGCAGCAGTTTGGAAACACTCTTTTTGTAGAAACTGTAAGTGGATATTTGGATAGCTCTAATGATTTCGTTGGAAACGGGAATATCATCATCTAAAATCTAGACAGAAGCCCTCTCAGAAACTACTTTGTGATATCTGCATTCAAGTCACAGAGTTGAACATTCGCTTTCTTAGAGCACGTTGGAAACACTCTTTTTGTAGTGTCTTGAAGTGGACATTTGGAGCGCTTTGATGCCTTTGGTGAAAAAGGGAACGTCTTCCCATAAAAACTAGACAGAAGCATTCTCAGAAACTTGTTTGTGATGTGTGTACCCAGCCAAAGGAGTTGAACATTTCTATTGATAGAGCAGTTTTGAAACACTCTTTTTGTGGAAAATGCAAGTGGATATTTGGATAGCTTGGAGGATTTCGTTGGAAGCGGGAATTCAAATAAAAGGTAGACAGCAAGCATTCTCAGAAATTTCCTTCTGATGTCTGCATTCAACTCATAGAGTTGAAGATTCCCTTTCATAGAGCAGGTTTGAAACACTCTTTCTGGAGTATCTGGATGTGGACATTTGGAGCGCTTTGATGCCTGCGGTGAAAAAGTAAATATCTTCCCATAAAAACGAGACAGAAGGATTCTCAGAAACAAGTTTGTGATGTGTGTACTCAGCTAACAGAGTGGAACCTTTCTTTTTACAGAGCAGCTTTGAAACTCTATTTTTGTGGATTCTGCAAATTGATATTTAGATTGCTTTAACGATATCGTTGGAAAAGGGAATATCGTCATACAAAATCTAGACAGAAGCATTCTCACAAACTTCTTTGTGATGTGTGTCCTCAACTAACAGAGTTGAACCTTTCTTTTGATGCAGCAATTTGGAAACACCCTTTTGGTAGAAACTGTAACTGGATATTTGGATAGCTCTAACGATTTCTTTGGAAACGGGAATATCATCATCTAAAATGAGACAGAATCACTATTAGAAACTACTTGGTGATATCTGCATTCAAGTCACAGAGTTGAACATTCCCTTACTTTGAGCACGTTTCAAACACTCTTTTGGAAGAATCTGGAAGTGGACATTTGGAGCGCTTTGATGCCTTTGGTGAAAAGGAAACGTCTTCCAATAAAAGCCAGACAGAAGCATTCTCAGAAACTTGTTTGTGATGTGTGTACTCAACTAAAAGAGTTGAACCTTTCTATTGATAGAGCAGTTTTGAAACACTCTTTTTGTGGATTCTGCAAGTGGATATTTGGATTGCTTTGAGGATTTCGTTGGAAGCGGGAATTCGTATAAAAACTAGACAGCAGCATTCCCAGAAATTTCTTTCGGATATATCCATTCAACTCATAGAGATGAACATGGCCTTTCATAGAGCAGGTTTGAAACACTCTTTTTGTAGTTTGTGAAAGTGGACATTTCGATCGCCTTGACGCCTACGGTGAAAAAGGGAATATCTTCCCTTAAAAAATAGACAGAAGCATTCTCAGAAACTTGTTGGTGATATGTGTCCTCAACTAACAGAGTTGAACTTTGCCATTGATAGAGAGCAGTTTTGAAACACTCTTTTTGTGGAATCTGCAAGTGGATATTTGGATAGCTTGGAGGATTTCGTTGGAAGCGGGAATTCAAATAAAAGGTAGACAGCAGCATTCTCAGAAATTTCTTTCTGATGTCTGCATTCAACTCATAGAGTTGAAGATTCCCTTTCATAGAGCAGGTTTGAAACACTCTTTCTGTAGTATCTGGATGTGGACATTTGGAGCGCTTTGATGCCTACGGTGAAAAAGTAAATATCTTCCCATAAAAACGAGACAGAAGGATTCTGAGAAACAAGTTTGTGATGTGTGTACTCAGCTAACAGAGTGGAACCTCTCTTTTGATGCAGCAGTTTGGAAACACTCTTTTTGTAGAAACTGTAAGTGGATATTTGGATAGCTCTAATGATTTCGTTGGAAACGGGAATATCATCATCTAAAATCTAGACAGAAGCACTCTCAGAAACTACTGTGTGATATCTGCATTCAAGTCACAGAGTTGAACATTCGCTTTCTTAGAGCACGTTTGAAACACTCTTTTTGTAGTGGCTGGAAGTGGACATTTGGAGCGCTTTGATTCCTTTGGTGAAAAAGGGAATGTCTACCCATAAAAACTAGACAGAAGCATTCTCAGAAACTTGTTTGTGATGTGTGTACCCAGCCAAAGGAGTTGAACATTTCTATTGATAGAGCAGTTTTGAAACGCTCTTTTTGTGGAAAATGCAGGTGGATATTTGGATAGCTTGGAGGATTTCGTTGGAAGCGGGAATTCAAATAAAAGGTAGACAGCAGGATTCTCAGAAACAAGTTTGTGATGTGTGTACTCAGCTAACAGAGTGGAACCTTTCTTTTTACAGAGCAGCTTTGAAACTCTATTTTTGTGGATTCTGCAAATTGATATTTAGATTGCTTTAACGATATCGTTGGAAAAGGGAATATCGTCATACAAAATCTAGACAGAAGCATTCTCACAAACTTCTTTGTGATGTGTGTCCTCAACTAACAGAGTTGAACCTTTCTTTTGATGCAGCAATTTGGAAACACCCTTTTGGTAGAAACTGTAACTGGATATTTGGATACCTCTAACGATTTCGTTGGAAACGGGAATATCATCATCTAAAATGTAGACAGAAGCACTATTAGAAACTACTTGGTGATATCTGCATTCAAGTCACAGAGTTGAACATTCCCTTACTTTGAGCACGTTTGAAACACTCTTTTGGAAGAATCTGGAAGTGGACATTTGGAGCGCTTTGATGCCTTTGGTGAAAAGGAAACGTCTTCCAATAAAAGCCAGACAGAAGCATTCTCAGAAACTTGTTCGTGATGTGTGTACTCATCTAAAAGAGTTGAACCTTTCTATTGATAGAGCAGTTTTGAAACACTCTTTTTGTGGATTCTGCAAGTGGATATTTGGATTGCTTTGAGGATTTCGTTGGAAGCGGGAATTCGTATAAACACTAGACAGCAGCATTCCCAGAAATTTCTTTCGGATATTTCCATTCAACTCATAGAGGTGAACATGGCCTTTCATAGAGCAGGTTTGAAACACTCTTTTTGTAGTTTGTGGAAGTGGACATTTCGATCGCCTTGACGCCTACGGTGAAAAAGGAAATATCTTCCCATAAAAAATAGACAGAAGCATTCTCAGAAACTTGTTGGTGATATGTGTCCTCAACTAACAGAGTTGAACTTTGCCATTGATAGAGAGCAGTTTTGAAACACTCTTTTTGTGGAATCTGCAAGTGGATATTTGGATAGCTTGGAGGATTTCGTTGGAAGCGGGAATTCAAATAAAAGGTAGACAGCCGGATTCTGAGAAACAAGTTTGTGATGTGTGTACTCAGCTAACAGAGTGGAACCTCTCTTTTGATGCAGCAGTTTGGAAACACTCTTTTTGTAGAAACTGTAAGTGGATATTTGGATAGCTCTAATGATTTCGTTGGAAACGGGAATATCATCATCTAAAATCTAGACAGAAGCCCTCTCAGAAACTACTTTGTGATATCTGCATTCAAGTCACAGAGTTGAACATTCGCTTTCTTAGAGCACGTTGGAAACACTCTTTTTGTAGTGTCTGGAAGTGGACATTTGGAGCGCTTTGATGACTTTGGTGAAAAAGGGAACGTCTTCCCATAAAAACTAGACAGAAGCATTCTCAGAAACTTGTTTGTGATGTGTGTACCCAGCCAAAGGAGTTGAACATTTCTATTGATAGAGCAGTTTTGAAACACTCTTGTTGTGGAAAATGCAGGTGGATATTTGGATAGCTTGGAGGATTTCGTTGGAAGCGGGAATTCAAATAAAAGGTAGACAGCAGCATTCTCAGAAATTTCTTTCTGATGTCTGCATTCAACTCATAGAGTTGAAGATTCCCTTTCATAGAGCAGGTTTGAAACACTCGTTCTGGAGTATCTGGATGTGGACATTTGGAGCGCTTTGATGCCTACGGTGGAAAAGTAAATATCTTCCCATAAAAACGAGACAGAAGGATTCTCAGAAACAAGTTTGTGATGTGTGTACTCAGCTAACAGAGTGGAACCTTTCTTTTTACAGAGCAGCTTTGAAACTCTATTTTTGTGGATTCTGGAAATTGATATTTAGATTGCTTTAACGATATCGTTGGAAAAGGGAATATCGTCATACAAAATGCTGGACAGAAGCATTCTCACAAACTTCTTTGTGATGTGTGTCCTCAACTAACAGAGTTAAACCTTTCTTTTGATGCAGCAATTTGGAAACACCCTTTTGGTAGAAACTGTAACTGGATATTTGGATAGCTCTAACGATTTCGTTGGAAACGGGAATATCATCATCTAAAATCTAGACAGAAGCACTATTAGAAACTACTTGGTGATATCTGCATTCAAGTCACAGAGTTGAACATTCCCTTACTTTGAGCACGTTTGAAACACTCTTTTGGAAGAATCTGGAAGTGGACATTTGGAGCGCTTTGATGCCTTTGGTGAAAAGGAAACGTCTTCCAATGAAAGCCAGACAGAAGCATTCTCAGAAACTTGTTCGTGATGTGTGTACTCAACTAAAAGAGTTGAACCTTTCTATTGATAGCGCAGTTTTGAAACACTCTTTTTGTGGATTCTGCAAGTGGATATTTGGATTGCTTTGAGGATTTCGTTGGAAGCGGGAATTCATATAAAAACTAGACAGCAGCATTCCCAGAAATTTCTTTCGGATATTTCCATTCAACTCATAGAGATGAACATGGCCTTTCATAGAGCAGGTTTGAAACACTCTTTTTGTAGTTTCTGGAAGTGGACATTTCGATCGCCTTGACGCCTACGCTGAAAAAGGAAATATCTTCCCATAAAAAATAGACAGAAGCATTCTCAGAAACTTGTTGGAGATATGTGTCCTCAACTGACAGAGTTGAACTTTGCCATTGATAGAGAGCAGTTTTGAAACACTCTTTCTGTGGAATCTGCAAGTGGATATTTGGATAGCTTGGAGGATTTCGTTGGAAACGGGAATTCAAATAAAAGATAGACAGCAGCATTCTCAGAAATTTCTTTCTGATGTCTGCATTCAACTCATAGAGTTGAAGATTCCCTTTCATAGAGCAGGTTTGAAATACTCTTTCTGTAGTATCTGGATGTGGACATTTGGAGCGCTTTGATGCCTACGGTGAAAAAGTAAATATCTTCCCATAAAAACGAGACAGAAGGATTCTGAGAAACAAGTTTGTGATGTGTGTACTCAGCTAACAGAGTGGAACCTCTCTTTTGATGCAGCAGTTTGGAAACACTCTTTTTGTAGAAACTGTAAGTGGATATTTGGATAGCTCTAATGATTTCTTTGGAAACGGGAATATCATCATCTAAAATCTAGACAGAAGCCCTCTCAGAAACTACTTTGTGATATCTGCATTCAAGTCACAGCAGTTGAACATTCGCTTTCTTAGAGCACGTTGGAAACACTCTTTTTGTAGTGTCTGGAAGTGGACATTTGGAGCGCTTTGATGCCTTTGGTGAAAAAGGGAATGTCTTCCCATAAAAACTAGACAGAAAGCATTCTCAGCAAACTTGTTTGTGATGTGTGTACCCAGCCAAAGGAGTTGAACATTTCTATTGATAGAGCAGTTTTGAAACACTCTTTTTGTGGAAAATGCAGGTGGATATTTGGATAGCTTGGAGGATTTCGTTGGAAGCGGGAATTCAAATAAAAGGTAGACAGCAGGATTCTCAGAAACAAGTTTGTGATGTGTGTACTCAGCTAACAGAGTGGAACCTTTCTTTTTACAGAGCAGCTTTGAAACTCTATTTTTGTGGATTCTGCAAATTGATATTTAGATTGCTTTAACGATATCGTTGGAAAAGGGAATATGGTCATACAAAATCTAGACAGAAGCATTCTCACAAACTTCTTTGTGATGTGTGTCCTCAAATAACACAGTTGAACCTTTCTTTTGATGCAGCAGTTTGGAAACACCCTTTTGGTAGAAACTGTAAGTGGATATTTGGATAGATCTAACGATTTCGTTGGAAACGGGAATATCATCATCTAAAATCTAGACAGAAGCACTATTAGAAACTACTTGGTGATATCTGCATTCAAGTCACAGAGTTGAACATTCCCTTACTTTGAGCACGTTTCAAACACTCTTTTGGAAGAATCTGGAAGTGGACATTTGGAGCGCTTTGATGCCTTTGGTGAAAAGGAAACGTCTTCCAATAAAAGCCAGACAGAAGCATTCTCAGAAACTTGTTCGTGATGTGTGTACTCAACTAAAAGAGTTGAACCTTTCTATTGATAGAGCAGTTTTGAAACACTCTTTTTGTGGATTCTGCAAGTGGATATTTGGATTGCTTTGAGGATTTCGTTGGAAGCAGGAATTCGTATAAACACTAGACAGCAGCATTCCCAGAAATTTCTTTCGGATATTTCCATTCAACTCATAGAGATGAACATGGCCTTTCATAGAGCAGGTTTGAAACACTCTTTTTGTAGTTTGTGGAAGTGGACATTTCGATCGCCTTGACGCCTACGCTGAAAAAGGAAATATCTTCCCATAAAAAATAGACAGAAGCATTCTCAGAAACTTGTTGGTGATATGTGTCCTCAACTAACAGAGTTGAACTTTGCCATTGATAGAGAGCAGTTTTGAAACACTCTTTTTGTGGAATCTGCAAGTGGATATTTGGATAGCTTGGAGGATTTCGTTGGAAGCGGGAATTCAAATAAAAGGTAGACAGCAGCATTCTCAGAAATTTCTTTCTGATGTCTGCATTCAACTCATAGAGTTGAAGATTCCCTTTCATAGCAGCAGGTTTGAAACACTCTTTCTGGAGTATCTGGATGTGGACATTTGGAGCGCTTTGATGCCTACGGTGAAAAAGTAAATATCTTCCCATAAAAACGACACAGAAGGATTCTCAGAAACAAGTTTGTGATGTGTGTACTCAGCTAACAGAGTGGAACCTCTCTTCTGATGCAGCAGTTTGGAAACACTCTTTTTGTAGAAACTGTAAGTGGATATTTGGATAGCTCTAATGATTTCGTTGGAAACGGGAATATCATCATCTAAAATCTAGACAGAAGCCCTCTCAGAAACTACTTTGTGATATCTGCATTCAAGTCACAGAGTTGAACATTCGCTTTCTTAGAGCACGTTTGAAACACTCTTTTTGTAGTGTCTGGAAGTGGACATTTGGCGCGCTTTGATGCCTTTGGTGAAAAAGGGAATGTCTTCCCATAAAAACTAGACAGAAGCATTCTCAGAAACTTGTTTGTGATGTGTGTACCCAGCCAAAGGAGTTGAACATTTCTATTGATAGAGCAGTTTTGAAACGCTCTTTTTGTGGAAAATGCAGGTGGATATTTGGATAGCTTGGAGGATTTCGTTGGAAGCGGGAGTTCAAATAAAAGGTAGACAGCAGCATTCTCAGAAATTTCTTTCTGATGTCTGCATTCAACTCATAGAGTTGAAGATTCCCTTTCATAGAGCAGGTTTGAAACACTCTTTCTGGAGTATCTGGATGTGGACATTTGGAGCGCTTTGATGCCTACGGTGAAAAAGTAAATATCTTCCCATAAAAACGAGACAGAAGGATTCTGAGAAACAAGTTTGTGATGTGTGTACTCAGCTAACAGAGTGGAACCTTTCTTTTTACAGAGCAGCTTTGAAACTCTATTTTTGTGGATTCTGCAAATTGATATTTAGATTGCTTTAACGATATCGTTGGACAAGGGAATATGGTCATACAAAATCTAGACAGAAGCATTCTCACAAACTTCTTTGTGATGTGTGTCCTCAACTAACAGAGTTGAACCTTTCTTTTGATGCAGCAATTTGGAAACACCCTTTTGGTAGAAACTGTAACTGGATATTTGGATAGCTCTAACGATTTCGTTGGAAACGGGAATATCATCATCAAAATGTAGACAGAAGCACTATTAGAAACTACTTGGTGATATCTGCATTCAAGTCACAGAGTTGAACATTCCCTTACTTTGAGCACGTTTGAAACACTCTTTTGGAAGAATCTGGAAGTGGACATTTGGAGTGCTTTGATGCCTTTGGTGAAAAGGAAACGTCTTCCAATAAAAGCCAGACAGAAGCATTCTCAGAAACTTGTTTGTGATGTGTGTACTCAACTAAAAGAGTTGAACCTTTCTATTGATAGAGCAGTTTTGAAACACTCTTTTTGTGGATTCTGCAAGTGGATATTTGGATTGCTTTGAGGATTTCGTTGGAAGCGGGAATTCGTATAAAAACTAGACAGCAGCATTCCCAGAAATTTCTTTCGGGTATTTCCATTCGACTCATAGAGATGAACATGGCCTTTCATAGAGCAGGTTTGAAACACTCTTTTTGTAGTTTGTGGAAGTGGACATTTCGATCGCCTTGACGCCTACGGTGAAAAAGGAAATATCTTCCCATAAAAAATAGACAGAAGCATTCTCAGAAACTTGTTGGTGATATGTGTCCTCAACTAACAGAGTTGAACTTTGCCATTGATAGAGAGCAGTTTTGAAACACTCTTTTTGTGGAATCTGCAAGTGGATATTTGGATAGCTTGGAGGATTTCGTTGGAAGCGGGAATTCAAATAAAAGGTAGACAGCAGCATTCTCAGAAATTTCTTTCTGATGTCTGCATTCAACTCATAGAGTTGAAGATTCCATTTCATAGAGCAGGTTTGAAACACTCTTTCTGGAGTATCTGGATGTGGACATTTGGAGCGCTTTGATGCCTACGGTGAAAAAGTAAATATCTTCCCATAAAAACGAGACAGAAGGATTCTGAGAAACAAGTTTGTGATGTGTGTACTCAGCTAACAGAGTGGAACCTCTCTTTTGATGCAGCAGTTTGGAAACACTCTTTTTGTAGAAACTGTAAGTGGATATTTGGATAGCTCTAATGATTTCGTTGGAAACGGGAATATCATCATCTAAAATCTAGACAGAAGCACTCTCAGAAACTACTTTGTGATATCTGCATTCAAGTCACAGAGTTGAACATTCGCTTTCTTAGAGCACGTTTGAAACACTCTTTTTGTAGTGTCTGGAAGTGGACATTTGGAGCGCTTTGATTCCTTTGGTGAAAAAGGGAATGTCCACCCATAAAAACTAGACAGAAGCATTCTCAGAAACTTGTTTGTGATGTGTGTACCCAGCCAAAGGAGTTGAACATTTCTATTGATAGAGCAGTTTTGAAACACTCTTTTTGTGGAAAATGCAGGTGGATATTTGGATAGCTTTGAGGATTTCGTTGGAAGCGGGAATTCAAATAAAAGGTAGACAGCAGCATTCTCAGAAATTTCTTTCTGATGTCTGCATTCAACTCATAGAGTTGAAGATTCCCTTTCATAGAGCAGGTTTGAAACACTCGTTCTGGAGTATCTGGATGTGGACATTTGGAGCGCTTTGATGCCTACGGTGGAAAAGTAAATATCTTCCCATAAAAACGAGACAGAAGGATTCTCAGAAACAAGTTTGTGATGTGTGTACTCAGCTAACAGAGTGGAACCTTTCTTTTTACAGAGCAGCTTTGAAACTCTATTTTTGTGGATTCTGCAAATTGATATTTAGATTGCTTTAACGATATCGTTGGAAAAGGGAATATCGTCATACAAAATGTAGACAGAAGCATTCTCACAAACTTCTTTGTGATGTGTGTCCTCAACTAACAGAGTTGAACCTTTCTTTTGATGCAGCAATTTGGAAACACCCTTTTGGTAGAAACTGTAACTGGATATTTGGATAGCTCTAGCGATTTCGTTGGAAACGGGAATATCATCATCTAAAATGTAGACAGAAGCACTATTAGAAACTACTTGGTGATATCTGCATTCAAGTCACAGAGTAGAACATTCCCTTACTTCGAGCACGTTTGAAACACTCTTTTGGAAGAATCTGGAAGTGGACATTTGGAGCGCTTTGATGCCTTTGGTGAAAAGGAAACGTCTTCCAATAAAAGCCAGACAGAAGCATTCTCAGAAACTTGTTTGTGATGTGTGTACTCAACTAAAAGAGTTGAACCTTTCTATTGATAGAGCAGTTTTGAAACACTCTTTTTGTGGATTCTGCAAGTGGATATTTGGATTGCTTTGAGGATTTCGTTGGAAGCGGGAATTCGTATAAAAACTAGACAGCAGCATTCCCAGAAATTTCTTTCGGATATTTCCATTCAACTCATAGAGATGAACATGGCCTTTCATATTGAAACACGCTTTTTGTAGTTTGTGGAAGTGGACATTTCGATCGCCTTGACGCCTACGGTGAAAAAGGAAATATCTTCCCATAAAAAATAGACAGAAGCATTCTCAGAAACTTGTTGGTGATATGTGTCCTCAACTAACAGAGTTGAACTTTGCCATTGATAGAGAGCAGTTTTGAAACACTCTTTTTGTGGAATCTGCAAGTGGATATCTGGATAGCTTGGAGGATTTCGTTGGAAGCGGGAATTCAAATAAAAGGTAGACAGCAGGATTCTGAGAAACAAGTTTGTGATGTGTGTACTCAGCTAACAGAGTGGAACCTCTCTTTTGATGCAGCAGTTTGGAAACACTCTTTTTGTAGAAACTGTAAGTGGATATTTGGATAGCTCTAATGATTTCGTTGGAAACGGGAATATCATCATCTAAAATCTGGACAGAAGCCCTCTCAGAAACTACTTTGTGATATCTGCTTTCAAGTCACAGAGTTGAACATTCGCTTTCTTAGAGCACGTTGGAAACACTCTTTTTGTAGTGTCTGGAAGTGGACATTTGGAGCGCTTTGATGCCTTTGGTGAAAAAGGGAATGTCTTCCCATAAAAACTAGACAGAAGCATTCTCAGAAACTTGTTTGTGATGTGTGTACCCAGCCAAAGGAGTTGAACATTTCTATTGATAGAGCAGTTTTGAAACGCTCTTTTTGTGGAAAATGCAGGTGGATATTTGGATAGCTTGGAGGATTTCGTTGGAAGCGGGAATTCAAATAAAAGGTAGACAGCAGCATTCTCAGAAATTTCTTTCTGATGTCTGCATTCAACTCATAGAGTTGAAGATTCCCTTTCATAGAGCAGGTTTGAAACACTCGTTCTGGAGTATCCGGATGTGGACATTTGGAGCGCTTTGATGCCTACGGTGGAAAAGTAAATATCTTCCCATAAAAACGAGACAGAAGGATTCTGAGAAACAAGTTTGTGATGTGTGTACTCAGCTAACAGAGTGGAACCTTTCTTTTTACAGAGCAGCTTTGAAACTCTATTTTTGTGGATTCTGCAAATGGATATTTAGATTGCTTTAACGATATCGTTGGAAAAGGGAATATCGTCATACAAAATCTAGACAGAAGCATTCTCACAAACTTCTTTGTGATGTGTGTCCTCAACTAACAGAGTTGAACCTTTCTTTTGATGCAACAATTTGGAAACACCCTTTTGGTAGAAACTGTAACTGGATATTTGGATAGCTCAAACGATTTCGTTGGAAACGGGAATATCATCATCTAAAACCTAGACAGAAGCACTATTAGAAACTACTTGGTGATATCTGCATTCAAGTCACAGAGTTGAACATTCCCTTACTTTGAGCACGTTTGAAACACTCTTTTGGAAGAATCTGGAAGTGGACATTTGGAGCGCTTTGATGCCTTTGGTGAAAAGGAAACGTCTTCCAATAAAAGCCAGAGAGAAGCATTCTCAGAAACTTGTTCGTGATGTGTGTACTCAACTAAAAGAGTTGAACCTTTCTATTGATAGAGCAGTTTTGAAACACTCTTTTTGTGGATTCTGCAAGTGGATATTTGGATTGCTTTGAGGATTTCGTTGGAAGCGGGAATTCGTATAAACACTAGACAGCAGCATTCCCAGAAATTTCTTTCGGATATTTCCATTCAACTCATAGAGATGAACATGGCCTTTCATATTGAAACACTCTTTTTGTAGTTTGTGGAAGTGGACATTTCGATCGCCTTGACGCCTGCGGTGAAAAAGGAAATATCTTCCCATAAAAAATAGACAGAAGCATTCTCAGAAACTTGTTGGTGATATGTGCCCTCAACTAACAGAGTTGAACTTTGCCATTGATAGAGAGCAGTTTTGAAACACTCTTTTTGTGGAATCTGCAAGTGGATATTTTGATAGCTTGGAGGATTTCGTTGGAAGCGGGAATTCAAATAAAAGGTAGACAGCAGCATTCTCAGAAATTTCTTTCTGATGTCTGCATTCAACTCATAGAGTTGAACATTCCCTTTCATAGAGCAGGTTTGAAACACTCTTTCTGGAGTATCTGGATGTGGACATTTGGAGCGCTTTGATGCCTACGGTGAAAAAGTAAATATCTTCCCATAAAAACGAGACAGAAGGATTCTGAGAAACAAGTTTGTGATGTGTGTACTCAGCTAACAGAGTGGAACCTCTCTTTTGATGCAGCAGTTTGGAAACACTCTTTTTGTAGAAACTGTAAGTGGATATTTGGATAGCTCTAATGATTTCGTTGGAAACGGGAATATCATCATCTAAAATGCTAGACAGAAGCCCTCTCAGAAACTACTTTGTGATATCTGCATTCAAGTCACAGAGTTGAACATTCGCTTTCTTAGAGCACGTTGGAAACACTCTTTTTGTAGTGTCCGGAAGTGGACATTTGGAGCGCTTTGATGCCTTTGGTGAAAAAGGGAATGTCTTCCCATAAAAACTAGACAGAAGCATTCTCAGAAACTTGTTTGTGATGTGTGTACCCAGCTAAAGGAGTTGAACATTTCCATTGATAGAGCAGTTTTGAAACACTCTTTTTGTGGAAAATGCAAGTGGATATTTGGATAGCTTGGAGGATTTCGTTGGAAGCGGGAATTCAAATAAAAGGTAGACAGGAGGATTCTGAGAAACAAGTTTGTGATGTGTGTACTCAGCTAACAGAGTGGAACCTTTCTTTTTACAGAGCAGCTTTGAAACTCTAATTTTGTGGATTCTGCAAATGGATATTTAGATTGCTTTAATGATATCGCTGGAAAAGGGAATATGGTCATACAAAATCTAGACAGAAGCATTCTCACAAACTTCTTTGTGACGTGTGTCCTCAACTAACAGAGTTGAACCTTTCTTTTGATGCAGCAGTTTGGAAACACTGTTTTTGTAGCAACTGTAAGTGGATATTTGGATAGCTCTAACGATTTCGTTGGAAACGGGAATATCATCATGCTAAAATCTAGACAGAAGCATTCTCAGAAATTTCTTTCTGATGTCTGCATTCAACTCATAGAGTTGAACATTCCCTTACTTTGAGCACGTTTGAAACACTCTTTTGGAAGAATCTGGAAGTGGACATTTGGAGCGCTTTGATGCCTTTGGTGAAAAGGAAACGTCTTCCAATAAAAGCCAGACAGAAGCATTCTCAGAAACTTGTTCGTGATGTGTGTACTCAACTAAAAGAGTTGAACCTTTCTATTGATAGAGCAGTTTTGAAACACTCTTTTTGTGGATTCTGCAAGTGGATATTTGGATTGTTTTGAGGATTTCGTTGGAAGCGGGAATTCGTATAAACACTAGACAGCAGCATTCCCAGAAATTTCTTTCGGATATTTCCATTCAACTCATAGAGATGAACATGGCCTTTCATAGAGCAGGTTTGAAACACTCTTTTTGTAGTTTGTGGAAGTGGACATTTCGATCGCCTTGACGCCTACGGTGAAAAAGGAAATATCTTCCCATAAAAAATAGACAGAAGCATTCTCAGAAACTTGTTGGTGATATGTGTCCTGAACTAACAGAGTTGAACTTTGCCATTGATAGAGAGCAGTTTTGAAACACTCTTTGTGTGGAATCTGCAAGTGGATATTTGGATAGTTTGGAGGATTTCGTTGGAAGCGGGAATTCAAATAAAAGGTAGACAGCAGCATTCTCAGTAAATTTCTTTCTGATGTCTGCATTCAACTCATAGAGTTGAAGATTCCCTTTCATAGAGCAGGTTTGAAACACTCTTTCTGGAGTATCTGGATGTGGACATTTGGAGCGCTTTGATGCCTACGGTGAAAAAGTAAATATCTTGCCATAAAAACGACACAGAAGGATTCTGAGAAACAAGTTTGTGATGTGTGAACTCAGCTAACAGAGTGGAACCTCTCTTTTGATGCAGCAGTTTGGAAACACTCTTTTTGTAGAAACTGTAAGTGGATATTTGGATAGCTCTAATGATTTCGTTGGAAACGGGAATATCATCATCTAAAATCTAGACAGAAGCCCTCTCAGAAACTACTTTGTGATATCTGCATTCAAGTCAGAGAGTTGAACATTGGGTTTCTTAGAGCACGTTTGAAACACTCTTTTTGTAGTGTCTGGAAGTGGACATTTGGAGCGCTTTGATGCCTTTGGTGAAAAAGGGAATGTCTTCCCATAAAAACTAGACAGAAGCATTCTCAGAAACTTGTTTGTGATGTGTGTACCCAGCCAAAGGAGTTGAACATTTCTATTGATAGAGCAGTTTTGAAACACTCTTGTTGTGGAAAATGCAGGTGGATATTTGGATAGCTTGGAGGATTTCGTTGGAAGCGGGAATTCAAATAAAAGGTAGACAGCAGCATTCTCAGAAATTTCTTTCTGATGTCTGCATTCAACTCATAGAGTTGAAGATTCCCTTTCATAGAGCAGGTTTGAAACACTCGTTCTGGAGTATCTGGATGTGGACATTTGGAGCGCTTTGATGCCTACGGTGGAAAAGTAAATATCTTCCCATAAAAACGAGACAGAGGATTCTCAGAAACAAGTTTGTGATGTGTGTACTCAGCTAACAGAGTGGAACCTTTCTTTTTACAGAGCAGCTTTGAAACTCTATTTTTGTGGATTCTGCAAATGGATATTTAGATTGCTTTAATGATATCGCTGGAAAAGGGAATATGGTCATACAAAATACTAGACAGAAGCATTCTCACAAACTTCTTTGTGACGTGTGACCTCAACTAACAGAGTTGAACCTTTCTTTTGATGCAGCAGTTTGGAAACACTGTTTTTGTAGCAACTGTAAGTGGATATTTGGATAGCTCTAACGATTTCGTTGGAAACGGGAATATCATCATCTAAAATCTAGACAGAAGCACTATTAGAAACTACTTGGTGATATCTGCATTCAAGTCACAGAGTAGAACATTCCCTTACTTCGAGCACGTTTGAAACACTCTTTTGGAAGAATCTGGAAGTGGACATTTGGAGCGCTTTGATGCCTTTGGTGAAAAGGAAACGTCTTCCAATAAAAGCCAGACAGAAGCATTCTCAGAAACTTGTTTGTGATGTGTGTACTCAACTAAAAGAGTTGAACCTTTCTATTGATAGAGCAGTTTTGAAACACTCTTTTTGTGGATTCTGCAAGTGGATATTTGGATTGCTTTGAGGATTTCGTTGGAAGCTGGGAATTCGTATAAAAACTAGACAGCAGCATTCCCAGAAATTTCTTTCGGATATTTCCATTCAACTCATAGAGATGAACATGGCCTTTCATAGAGCAGGTGTGAAACACTCTTTTTGTAGTTTGTGGAAGTGGACATTTCGATCGCCTTGACGCCTACGGTGAAAAAGGAAATATCTTCCCATAAAAAATAGACAGAAGCATTCTCAGAAACTTGTTGGTGATATGTGTCCTCAACTAACAGAGTTGAACTTTGCCATTGATAGAGAGCAGTTTTGAAACACTCTTTTTGTGGAATCTGCAAGTGGATATTTGGATAGCTTGGAGGATTTCGTTGGAAGCGGGAATTCAAATTAAAGGTAGACAGCAGGATTCTCAGAAACAAGTTTGTGATGTGTGTACTCAGCTAACAGAGTGGAACCTCTCTTTTGATGCAGTAGTTTGGAAACACACTTTTTGTAGAAACTGTAAGTGGATATTTGGATAGCTCTAATGATTTCGTTGGAAACGGGAATATCATCATCTAAAATCTAGACAGAAGCCCTCTCAGAAACTACTTTGTGATATCTGCATTCAAGTCACAGAGTTGAACATTCGCTTTCTTAGAGCACGTTTGAAACACTCTTTTTGTAGTGTCTGGAAGTGGACATTTGGAGCGCTTTGATGCCTTTGGTGAAAAAGGGAACGTCTTCCCATAAAAACTAGACAGAAGTATTCTCAGAAACTTGTTTGTGATGTGTGTACCCAGCCAAAGGAGTTGAACATTTCTATTGATAGAGCAGTTTTGAAACACTCTTTTTGTGGAAAATGCAGGTGGATATTTGGATAGCTTGGAGGATTTCGTTGGAAGCGGGAATTCAAATAAAAGGTAGACAGCAGCATTCTCAGAAATTTCTTTCTGATGTCTGCATTCAACTCATAGAGTTGAAGATTCCCTTTCATAGAGCAGGTTTGAAACACTCGTTCTGGAGTATCTGGATGTGGACATTTGGAGCGCTTTGATGCCTACGGTGGAAAAGTAAATATCTTCCCATAAAAACGAGACAGAAGGATTCTGAGAAACAAGTTTGTGATGTGTGTACTCAGCTAACAGAGTGGAACCTTTCTTTTTACAGAGCAGCTTTGAAACTCTATTTTTGTGGATTCTGCAAATGGATATTTAGATTGCTTTAATGATATCGCTGGAAAAGGGAATATGGTCATACAAAATTCTAGACAGATAAGCATTCTCACAAACTTCTTTGTGATGTGTGTCCTCAACTAACAGAGTTGAACCTTTCTTTTGATGCAGCAGTTTGGAAACACTGTTTTTGTAGCAACTGTAAGTGGATATTTGGATAGCTCTAACGATTTCGTTGGAAACGGGAATATCATCATCTAAAATCTAGACAGAAGCACTATTAGAAACTACTTGGTGATATCTGCATTCAAGTCACAGAGTTGAACATTCCCTTACTTTGAGCACGTTTCAAACACTCTTTTGGAAGAATCTGGAAGTGGACATTTGGAGCGCTTTGATGCCTTTGGTGAAAAGGAAACGTCTTCCAATAAAAGCCAGACAGAAGCATTCTGAGAAACTTGTTCGTGATGTGTGTACTCAACTAAAAGAGTTGAACCTTTCTATTGATAGAGCAGTTTTGAAACACTCTTTTTGTGGATTCTGCAAGTGGATATTTGGATTGCTTTGAGGATTTCGTTGGAAGCGGGAATTCGTATAAACACTAGACAGCAGCATTCGCAGAAATTTCTTTCGGATATTTCCATTCAACTCATAGAGATGAACATGGCCTTTCATAGAGCAGGTTTGAAACACTCTTTTTGTAGTTTGTGGAAGTGGACATTTCGATCGCCTTGACGCCTACGGTGAAAAAGGAAATATCTTCCCATAAAAAATAGACAGAAGCATTCTCAGAAACTTGTTGGTGATATGTGTCCTCAACTAACAGAGTTGAACTTTGCCATTGATAGAGAGCAGTTTTGAAACACTCTTTTTGTGGAATCTGCAAGTGGATATTTGGATAGCTTGGAGGATTTCGTTGGAAGCGGGAATTCAAATAAAAGGTAGACAGCAGCATTCTCAGAAATTTCTTTCTGATGTCTGCATTCAACTCATAGAGTTGAAGATTCCCTTTCATAGTGGAGGTTTGAAACACGCTTTCTGGAGTATCTGGACGTGGACATTTGGAGCGCTTTGATACCTACGGTGAAAAAGTAAATATCTTCCCATAAAAACGAGACAGAAGGATTCTCAGAAACAAGTTTGTGATGTGTGTACTCAGATAACAGAGTGGAACCTCTCTTCTCATGCAGCAGTTTGGAAACACACTTTTTGTAGAAACTGTAAGTGGATATTTGGATAGCTCTAATGATTTCGTTGGAAATGGGAATACCATCATCTAAAATCTAGACAGAAGCACTCTCAGAAACTACTTTGTGATATCTGCATTCAAGTCACAGAGTTGAACATTCGCTTTCTTAGAGCACTTTTGAAACACTCTTTTTGTATATCTGGAAGTGGACATTTGGAGCTCTTTGATGCCTTTGGTGAAAAAGGAAATGTCTTCCCATAAAAACTAGACAGAAGCATTCTCAGAAACTTGTTTGTGATCTGTGTACCCAGCGAAAGGAGTTGAACATTTCTATTGATAGAGCAGTTTTGAAACACTCTTTTTGTGGAATCTGCAAGTGGATATTTGGATAGCTTGGAGTTTTTCGTTGGAAGCGGGAATTCACATAAAAGCTAGACAGCAGCATTCTCAGAAATTTCTTTCTGATGTCTGCATTCAACTCATAGAGTTGAAGATTCCCTTTCATAGAGCAGGTTTGAAACACTCGTTCTGGAGTATCTGGATGTGGACATTTTGGAGCGCTTTGATGCCTACGGTGGAAAAGTAAATATCTTCCCATAAAAACGAGACAGAAGGATTCTCAGAAACAAGTTTGTGATGTGTGTACTCAGCTAACAGAGTGGAACCTCTCTTTTGATGCAGCAGTTTGGAAACACTCTTTTTGTAGAAACTGTAAGTGGATATTTGGATAGCTCTAATGATTTCGTTGGAAACGGGAATATCATCATCTAAAGTCTAGACAGAAGCATTCTCACAAACTTCTTTGTGATGTGTGTCCTCAACTAACAGAGTTGAACCTTTCTTTTGATGCAGCAATTTGGAAACACCCTTTTGGTAGAAACTGTAACTGGATATTTGGATAGCTCTAACGATTTCATTGGAAACGGGAATATCATCATCTAAAATGTAGACAGAAGCACTATTAGAAACTACTTGGTGATATCTGCATTCAAGTCTCAGAGTTGAACATTCCCTTACTTTGAGCACGTTTGAAACACTCTTTTGGAAGAATCTGGAAGTGGACATTTGGAGCGCTTTGATGCCTTTGGTGAAAAGGAAACGTCTTCCAATAAAAGCCAGACAGAAGCATTCTCAGAAACTTGTTTGTGATGTGTGTACTCAACTAAAAGAGTTGAACCTTTCTATTGATAGAGCAGTTTTGAAACACTCTTTTTGTGGATTCTGCAAGTGGATATTTGGATTGCTTTGAGGATTTCGTTGGAAGCGGGAATTCATATAAAAACTAGACAGCAGCATTCCCAGCAAATTTCTTTCGGATATTTCCATTCAACTCATAGAGATGAACATGGCCTTTCATAGAGCAGGTTTGAAACACTCTTTTTGTAGTTTGTGGAAGTGGACATTTCGATCGCCTTGACGCCTACGCTGAAAAAGGAAATATCTTCCCATAAAAAATAGACAGAAGCATTCTCAGAAACTTGTTGGTGATATGTGTCCTCAACTAACAGAGTTGAACTTTGCCATTGATAGAGAGCAGTTTTGAAACACTCTTTTTCTGGAATCTGCAAGTGGATATTTGGATAGCTTGGAGGATTTCGTTGGAAGCGGGAATTCAAATAAAAGGTAGACAGCAGCATTCTCAGAAATTTCTTTCTGATGTCTGCATTCAACTCATAGAGTTGAACATTCCCTTTCATAGAGCAGGTTTGAAACACTCTTTCTGGAGTATCTGGATGTGGACATTTGGAGCGCTTTGATGCCTACGGTGAAAAAGTAAATATCTTCCCATAAAAGCGAGACAGAAGGATTCTGAGAAACAAGTTTGTGATGTGTGTACTCAGCTAACAGAGTGGAACCTCTCTTTTGATGCAGCAGTTTGGAAACACTCTTTTTGTAGAAACTGTAAGTGGATATTTGGATAGCTCTAATGATTTCGTTGGAAACGGGAATATCATCATCTAAAATCTAGACAGAAGCACTCTCAGAAACTACTGTGTGATATCTGCATTCAAGTCACAGAGTTGAACATTCGCTTTCTTAGAGCACGTTTGAAACACTCTTTTTGTAGTGTCTGGAAGTGGACTTTTGGAGCGCTTTGATTCCTTTGGTGAAAAAGGGAATGTCTACCCATAAAAACTAGACAGAAGCATTCTCAGAAACTTGTTTGTGATGTGTGTACCCAGCCAAAGAGTTGAACATTTCTATTGATAGAGCAGTTTTGAAACACTCTTGTTGTGGAAAATGCAGGTGGATATTTGGTTAGCTTGGAGGATTTCGTTGGAAGCGGGAATTCAAATAAAAGGTAGACAGCAGCATTCTCAGAAATTTCTTTCTGATGTCTGCATTCAACTCATAGAGTTGAAGATTCCCTTTCATAGAGCAGGTTTGAAACACTCGTTCTGGAGTATCTGGATGTGGACATTTGGAGCGCTTTGATGCCTACGGTGGAAAAGTAAATATCTTCCCATAAAAACGAGACAGAAGGATTCTGAGAAACAAGTTTGTGATGTGTGTACTCAGCTAACAGAGTGGAACCTTTCTTTTTACAGAGCAGCTTTGAAACTCTATTTTTGTGGATTCTGCAAATGGATATTTAGATTGCTTTAATGATATCGCTGGAAAAGGGAATATGGTCATACAAAATATAGACAGAAGCATTCTCACAAACTTGTTTGTGATGTGTGTCCTCAACTAACAGAGTTGAACCTTTCTTTTGATGCAGCAATTTGGAAACACCCTTTTGGTAGAAACTGTAACTGGATATTTGGATAGCTCTAACGATTTCGTTGGAAACGGGAATATCATCATCTAAAATCTAGACAGAAGCACTATTAGAAACTACTTGGTGATATCTGCATTCAAGTCACAGAGTTGAACATTCCCTTACTTTGAGCACGTTTGAAACACTCTTTTGGAAGAATCTGGAAGTGGACATTTGGAGCGCTTTGATGCCTTTGGTGAAAAGGAAACGTCTTCCAATAAAAGCCAGACAGAAGCATTCTCAGAAACTTGTTCGTGATGTGTGTACTCAACTAAAAGGGTTGAACCTTTCTATTGATAGAGCAGTTTTGAAACACTCTTTTTGTGGATTCTGCAAGTGGATATTTGGATTGCTTTGAGGATTTCGTAGGAAGCGGGAATTCGTATAAAAACTAGACAGCAGCATTCCCAGAAATTTCTTTCGGATATTTCCATTCAACTCATAGAGATGATCATGGCCTTTCATAGAGCAGGTTTGAAACACTCTTTTTGTAGTTTGTGGAAGTGGACATTTCGATCGCCTTGACGCCTACGGTGAAAAAGGAAATATCTTCCCATAAAAAATAGACAGAAGCATTCTCAGAAACTTGTTGGTGATATGTGTCCTCAACTAATAGAGTTGAACTTTGCCATTGATAGAGAGCAGTTTTGAAACACTCTTTTTGTGGAATCTGCAAGTGGATATTTGGATAGCTTGGAGGATTTCGTTGGAAGCAGGAATTCAAATAAAAGGTAGACAGCAGCATTCTCAGAAATTTCTTTGTGATGTTTGCATTCAACTCATAGAGTTGAACATTCCCTTTCATAGAGCAGGTTTGAAACACTCTTTCTGTACTATCTGGATGTGGACATTTGGAACGCTTTGATGCCTACGGTGAAAAAGTAAATATCTTCCCATAAAAACTAGACAGACGGATTCTGAGAAACAAGTTTGTGATGTGTGTACTCAGCTAACAGAGTGGAACCTCTCTTTTGATGCAGCAGTTTGGAAACACTCTTTTTGTAGAAACTGTAAGTGGATATTTGGATAGCTGTAATGATTTCGTTGGAAACGGGAATATCATCATCTAAAATCTAGACAGAAGCACTCTCAGAAACTACTTTGTGATATCTGCATTCAAGTCACAGAGTTGAACATTCGCTTTCTTAGAGCACGTTTGAAACACTCTTTTTGTAGTGTCTGGAAGTGGACATTTGGAGCGCTTTGATGCCTTTGGTGAAAAAGGGAATGTCTACCCATAAAAACTAGACAGAAGCATTCTCAGAAACTTGTTTGTGATGTGTGTACCCAGCCAAAGGATTTGAACATTTCTATTGATAGAGCAGTTTTGAAACACTCTTGTTGTGGAAAATGCAGGTGGATATTTGGATAGCTTGGAGGATTTCGTTGGAAGCGGGAATTCAAATAAAAGGTAGACAGCAGCATTCTCAGAAATTTCTTTCTGATGTCTGCATTCAACTCATAGAGTTGAAGATTCCCTTTCATAGAGCAGGTTTGAAACACTCGTTCTGGAGTATCTGGATGTGGACATTTGGAGCGCTTTGATGCCTACGGTGGAAAAGTAAATATCTTCCCATAAAAACGAGACAGAAAGGATTCTCAGTAAACAAGTTTGTGATGTGTGTACTCAGCTAACAGAGTGGAACCTTTCTTTTTACAGAGCAGCTTTGAAACTCTATTTTTGTGGATTCTGCAAATTGATATTTAGATTGCTTTAACGATATCGTTGGAAAAGGGAATATGGTCATACAAAATCTAGACAGAAGCATTCTCACAAACTTCTTTGTGATGTGTGTCCTCAACTAACAGAGTTGAACCTTTCTTTTGATGCAGCAATTTGGAAACACCCTTTTGGTAGAAACTGTAACTGGATATTTGGATAGCTCTAACGATTTCGTTGGAAACGGGAATATAATCATCTAAAATCTAGACAGAAGAACTATTAGAAACTACTTGGTGATATCTGCATTCAAGTCACAGAGTAGAAGATTCCCTTACTTCGAGCACGTTTGAAACACTCTTTTGGAAGAATCTGGAAGTGGACATTTGGAGCGCTTTGATGCCTTTGGTGAAAAGGAAACGTCTTCCAATAAAAGCCAGACAGAAGCATTCTCAGAAACTTGTTTGTGATGTGTGTACTCAACTAAAAGAGTTGAACCTTTCTATTGATAGAGCAGTTTTGAAACACTCTTTTTGTGGATTCTGCAAGTGGATATTTGGATTGCTTTGAGGATTTCGTTGGAAGCGGGAATTCGTATAAACACTAGACAGCAGCATTCCCAGAAATTTCTTTCGGATATTTCCATTCAACTCATAGAGATGAACATGGCCTTTCATAGAGCAGGTTTGAAACACTCTTTTTTTAGATTGTAGAAGTGGACATTTCGATCGCCTTGAGGCCTACCGTGAAAAAGGAAATATCTTCCTATAAAAAATAGACAGAAGCATTCTCAGAAACTTGTTTGTGCTGTGTGTACCCAGCCAAAGGAGTTGAACATTTCTATTGATAGAGCAGTTTTGAAACTCTCTTTTTGTGGAAAATGCAGGTGGATATTTGGATAGCTTGGAGGATTTCGTTGGAAGCGGGAATTCAAATAAAAGGTAGACAGCAGCATTCTCAGAAATTTCTTTCTGATGTCTGCATTCAACTCATAGAGTTGAAGATTCCCTTTCATAGAGCAGGTTTGAAACACTCTTTCCGGAGTATCTGGATGTGGACATTTGGAGCGCTTTGATGCCTACGGTGAAAAAGTAAATATCTTCCCATAAAAACGAGACAGAAGGATTCTGAGAAACAAGTTTGAGATGTGTGTACTCAGCTAACAGAGTGGAACCTCTCTTTTGATGCAGCAGTTTGGAAACACTCTTTTTGTAGAAACTGTAAGTGGATATTTGGATAGCTCTAATGATTTCGTTGGAAACGGGAATATCATCATCTAAAATCTAGACAGAAGCCCTCTCAGAAACTACTTTGTGATATCTGCATTCAAGTCACAGAGTTGAACATTCGCTTTCTTAGAGCACGTTGGAAACACTCTTTTTGTAGTGTCTGGAAGTGGACATTTGGAGCGCTTTGATGCCTTTGGTGAAAAAGGGAATGTCTTCCCATAAAAACTAGACAGA